>NC_000021.9:17965808-19215808 GCF_000001405.40 Homo sapiens | reverse complement strand
TTTAAAGTGATAGAAATATGACACTGAAATGAATGTACTGAGAGTATTATTCTGATGACTCCGTTACTTCCAATAGATTTTGACACTGATAGTTTTTAATCACTTAGCTAAAAGGAGGGAAGCAGAGAAGAAAATCCCCCTCTTTTCACCTTTGACAATGAAATTATGACTAAAAGCTGATTACCTGTGACTGCAGAATCAATCATTCCTAATACATACTCTCTGGAGAAATTAAAAACATCGAAAAAAAGAAATGTGAAATGGCCTCATGGTTACTGTCTGATAGAAAATATCTAGAGGCAATACTAGGTTTTTCGTAATTTCATCTTATGGCAGGAGACATGTCACGTAAACATGATTGCTAAATAGTGAAGATAACACTTGTCTATTAGGATAACACTTGTCTGCTGCTGAAACAAATCACCTAAGATATTGGCATAAACACCTTGCCTATTTGTTTCTTAGTCAACAGGTTACATTAGATGTCTCTCCTGAAGAGTTTCCCTCAAAGTACTAACTCTCTCAAAGTGGTAAGTTGTGTGCAATAATCTGGCCCTCCTTAAAGCCCAGGAGGACTGGAGAGAAGGAGAGAGCTCATGATTTTTAGGAGATTTTGGAGATCAGGGACAGATTTAACTGGAATTAGTATAGGAAACTTTACCCTTATCCAAAGTGCTGGAACTAATCAGTATCCAACTACATTGCAAAAGAGATTGGGATATGTAGTCCTCTTACATTTCCTGTGAAATCTTCCTGTTAGACCAAGTAAAAGAAATGGGATTAAGGGGGATCTAGTCAATCTTGATGTCATTATATACATTGACAATAAGTGCTCAAAATAATTTTTATCATCTATTATTCTGACTGTGAAATTATATTTGAAAATAAAACACTATTAAAGTAATATATTCTCATGTGAATACATTTTATTATTTTAGATTTTAAATGTATAAGTGAAGATATTAAACATTTAAAATCTTAGGAAGCCCACTTTGTCTCTGGCTCAGGATTTTTTTTATATTTGTTTATGCTTTCAGTGTCACTAACTCCTTGTTTTGTTTCTATGAATCTCAATACTCTTCTGAACCTTCTACCTTCAACAATTTTTTTAAAGTAACTGGTACTTCTTGATCACTTTTTTTAGTGGCGCTTGTGAAAAAAATTGTGTTTCTTTTTCTTTTTTCAAGACAGAATCTTGCTCTGTCACTCAGATTGGAGAGAAGTGGTGTGATCTTGGCTCACTGCAGGCTTCACCTCCCAGGTTCAAGCGATTCTCATGCCTCAGACTCCCACGTAGCTAGGACTATAGGTGTGTGCCATCATGCCAGGCTAATTTTTGCGTTTTTAGTAGAGTTGGAGTTTCACTAGGTTGTCCAGGCTGGTCTCGAACTCCTGGCCTCAAGTGATCCTTCTGCCTCAGCCCCACAAACTGCTGGGATTGCATACATGAGACACTGCCTTGTCCTTTTGTTTCTTTCTTTCTTTTTTTTTTTTTTTTTTTTTGAGACGGAGTCTCGCTCTGTCGCCCAGGCTGGAGTGCAGTGGCACAATCTCGGCTCACTGCAAGCTCCGCCTCCCGGGTTCACGACATTCTCCTGCCTCAGCTTCCCGAGTAGCTGGGACTACAGGCGCCCGCCACCACGCCCGGCTAATTTTTTGTATTTTTAGTAGAGACGGGGTTTCACCGTGTCAGCCAGAATGGTCTCGATCTCCTGACCTCGTGATCCGCCCGCCTTAGCTTCCCAAAGTGCTGGGATTACAGGCGTGAGCCACCGCGCCCGGCCGTCCTTTTGTTTCTTAAAAAGTAGATTTGTATGCTCCTGATTTTTAATGTCTCCATTAGAACCTTCTTTAATAATTAGAATCAGAATTGAATGACACCAAAACTTTTTTCTTTTTCCTCAATTTGTATGTGCTCTTAAAGTAATTAACTTTCTGATACCAAATAGTCTTAGTTGCAGAATGTTTTATTAGACAGGCAGAGAGTAACTTCTAAGGTTAAAAAATAGATCATCAAAATTGCCATATTTTTTATTTCTCTACAAGCAAATTTCTATCTGAGTTTTTGACAGGAGGTTATTAGATAACAACTACTTTTCAAGCAACTTCACACTGACTCATGGTACTTCAAATAATACATTTGCTGAAAACACTGTTCTTAGGAAAGAGGCTTGAAATTATATTTCATCATTCATAGAGAAACGTGGTATGAACATTTGGAAACTATGCATTTTCTCCTTTCTATCAAATGAGTCTCCAAAGAACTCTTCAAGATTTTTATCAAATTTAATATTAACAGTAGCCAGGAGGAAAACTTTATAAGTTCAATAGAAAAATGTTCCATAATCCTGGGTAAACTATCTTTTTGTTTTCAACGTGCACAAAATGTCTTTAAATATTTCACTTATAACGTTAAGTACTCTGCCTCTTTTATTAGGAAAGTTTTTATACTTATTTGTGTGTGTGTATATCTTTGTTGTATTCGTTCTTTCTTTATGTAGTTATTAAGGCCTAATTCAATTCTTAGCATCTCTTCGTGAAAATGTGAGCACTTTGCAATGAGTATTTTCTTTCATTTACGATTACTTTAATTATTCCCTATGAATTAATTATTTCAATAAGTATATTAATATAAAGGTGCTTGACACAAAATGATTCTTATCTAAACAATCTAAAGGATGGAAATAATCTACAAGGAAGTATTCTTATCTAAACAATCTAAATGATAGAAATGATACATAAAGAAGTATACTAACTGATCTAGTATGCAGCAGTCCCGGTGTGGATCTGTTATGCTCTAATCTCAGGACCTCCAGAGCAGGCTTCCATTTTATTTGAAATAGAATTGGGTACCTGGGATGAAGATCTATGAGTCAAGACACGTTTCAACCTCTTATTCACTCAGCAAACATCAAACCCCTTTTGCAACAAAGCACAATTAGAGTGCAGACTCTTGGGAACTGCATCCTCAAGAAATGAAGACAGACACTTACAAACATCACACACTTAGATTGTTAACCTAGAAGACTAAAGCTCAAGGTAGAGGAAGTAAAAAGATCGTGCAAGCATTGAAAACGTGCGCATTTTTGTGGAAAAGGAAAGAAGATGATGGCACTCAAAATGAGGAATTTAAATGGGAAAATGTCAAATAGAAAGTGATTTTTAATGACCTGACAAGATATCATCATATCCTGGCAGATGAATGTTTTATGGTGCCAGGTTTCCAAAATGCTTTTTCATTCAGAGTGGCCACTGGAGCTATAAAATTTTGCAAGATTCAAGGATACACAAGATCCATGCACATCAGGTATGTATCCTCTGCTCATTTGTAAAGGTAATGAGAAGTAAAATAATCAAATGGGCTTGTCTATGTCTTAGTTTTGAGGCAAACTAAGGATTGCTTCCAAGAAGCAATCCTGGCTTGTTCTCCTGAAAACTGGGTAGTTTTTCAAGAGATTGAGCAGAAGTGTACAAGGCCTCCTGACACCTAGGTGTGAGATGGGCACACAACCACTCCTGTCAAATTCTATTGGCCAAAGCAAGTGACAAAACCAATGCAGATTTAAGAGGTGGTGGAAAAAAACCCTAAAAAGATCAGGCCTCTGTGTAACTGATGACTGGGTTATCTTTGTCACAGAGACAAAGATCAGGCCTCTGTGTAACTGATGACTGGGTTAAGATGTATGACACACATACTTGATATGTTTTTTTACCAAAATAGCTCAAGAGGATTATAAAATAGGACTTTTGGCACCTACTAATTCAACAACTAGGGATCAAAGAATTTTGTAAACAGTGATTTCTCCTAGGGTTGAATACATGAAAAAAAGCTTAGGCAACAGCAATTTGAGTGTTTCAATTTCCCATCCATACAGTTTTATTAAATATCTACTCCTTACCCAGCAGTGTAGTAGACACTTCAGAAATCAAAAAGATCCCGGTCATCAAGGAACTATGACCACAAAGTTAAAGACAGACTCGTAAACAATTAAGGGCAGGAAAATATGACTAGTGGGATGATATGAAATGAGTACATCGAGAGCACTTTCTTATAATGAGAAAATTATTTCTATCTGAGTAGCAGATGTGTAAAAAGAAAATCTCAGAGAGGATATAGCACTATTCTTTTCAACATTCTTTTTTATATGTGTTTGTCAAGGTGAGTGGAGTTTCATATAGAAAACCACATTCATTTGAATTTACAGGGGGTCCACTTCTCATGTACCTATTCATTTATTTAACAAATGCTTACCGGGCACCTACTTTGTGTCTATCATAAGACAGATGTATTAGTCCGTTCTTGCACTGCTATCAAGAAACACCTGAGGCAGGGTAATTGATATTAAAAAAAGAAGTTTAGTTGGCTCATGCTTCTGCAGGCTGTACAGGAAGCATAATGTCTTCTGCTTCTGGGGGAGGCCAAAGGAAGCTACCAATCATAGTGGAAAGCAAAGACAGAGCAAGGCATCTCACATGGCTAGAGCAGGAGCAAGAGAAAGATAGGGGAGCTGCTACACACTTTTAAACAACCAGATCTCTTGAGAACTCACTGTCATGAGAACAGCATCAAGAGGATGATAGTAAACCATTCACAAGAAACCCACCCCCATAATCTAATCACCTCTCCTCAGGCCCCGCTTCCAACACTGGGGATTACAACTGGACATTTGGTTTAGGGAGGGACACAGATGCAAACCATATCAGTCATGTGTATTGGGATCTGAAAATTAGAAAAACATGTTTCCTGACTTATTAATGATTAATATGACTATTAAAATATTTCGGTGCAGTTACTAGACCCACTTGACACATTCTAATTTAAAGACATGCCACTTTGAGTAGTCTGAACTTGACAACATACAGCTAAAAGATGCTGAGTGTGTGACTCCTCGAGTCTGCAGTCTTGAGTGTAAATGTCCAGTGCTGGAAATGAGCAAAGTGTTTTGGAAAGCTTATCAGACCACCATAAAATTGGAAGATGCCCAGGAAAGGTAGGAAGAGACTACTGTTGCACTGCTGTTAAATTCTGTTCATTTTTCTTCTTTCTTTATCCTTTTTTAAATTTTCTAGTTTTTTTATTTATATGTTAGCCTTTTCCACATAAGAGTGATTTAACATGGATGAGTTCGATAGCACTCTTCTCAATGGAAAATACATGTAACTTAGTTAATATTAGAAATGCAACCCTGTGTTACTTACAGGCTGGAGGAAAAGACATAGTGGATTTCTCCATGTATTTAACTTAATGGTTAATAAATAAGACCATTTAATACTAGATCTTATTGATCATCAAATAAAAATATTTAAGCTGAAAACTTCCAAACAGTAATATACAATAAAATATTTTAATAGCATGTATTTCTGAATACATTTATGTAGAGTTTTTACAAGTTTATGTACAAAAGCTCTGCTTAGTGTTTACAGGAATTTTCAATCTATAGCATAATGTTCTTGTGTTTATGTGGAAAGGGTATAGGAAATGTTATCTATAATATAAAAGTACCACCTATAGACTTACTCTAAAAAAATCATGATTCTTAAATGCATTTCTACTTAATGATTGGAATGGAAGTTTAAAAATAATATTTGAGTGTACATAGGAATGTATAATGTATCTTTGGAAGGGTGTATGTAATCACAAAATTAGTAGTTTTATAATAAAGTTACATTAATCACTCTAGGACAGATGTAAATGCATGTATTTAAACCATTTCACTTTTATGGTCACACTTCTAACTGCTTTAGGGAAACTGTTTACATGTAAGTTTAAATTAAAGTAGTATTTGTTACTATACCCAAAATTTCCATTCTAACTTAACTATAGAATCATCTGAGTATTTATCAATTATAGTGATACAGAAAATATCCAAACTGTCCAAATCCTGAATGATTGAAACAACATAAAGCACCTGCTTTGTCCTACTGTCTTACCTGTTTTGCAAAAGGTAAACAAGTGTGCAAACTGAGTGTATTGTTATATTTTGGGATAATATTGTTTGATAAGCTTGATTGCAAAAATGTCAAATTTTTCACTACTTTATACCAATGACTTTTGAAATATGACTTTTCAACAACTTCTATTTTTAGGGTTTTTTTCCACCACCTCTTAAATCTGCATTGGCTTTGTCACTTGCTTTGGCCAATAGAATTTGACAGGAGTGGTTGTGTGCCCATCTCACACCTAGGTGTCAGGAGGCCTTGTATGCTTCTGCTCAATCTCTTGAAAAACTACCCAGTTTTCAGGAGAACAAGCCAGGATTGCTTCTTGGAAGGATTTAAAGGCTGGTTGGATAGTGACAAGCTGTCCCAGCTGAGGGCCACTAAGTCATCTTTTATAAGCCAATTTTTAAAATTATTTTTGTGGTAGTAGATAGCTGATATCATTTCCTTGATTAAATACTAAGATGATTATAAAAAGCTGGGTTGATTATTCTTATATGTAAACTTGACTGGGCTAAGAGCTGCCCAGAGAGCTGGCAAAACATTATTTCTGTGTGTATCTGTGAGAACGTTTCCAGAATCTGTTAACATTTGAATCAGTAGAATAAGTAAAGAAGACCCACACTCACCAATGTGGTTGGGCATTCCAATTCCTTGAGGATCTAAATAGAACAAGAAGGGCAAATTTTCTCTTTCTCTCTCCTTAAATTGGGATATCCATCTTTTCCTGCTCTCATACATTGGAGATCTTAGTTCAGGGGCCTTGGGACTTTGGAACTTACAGCAGTAGTTCTTCTAGTTCTCAGTCCTTTGGACTCGAAGAGAGGTCAGATGATGAGACTTCTCAGCCTCCATAATTTTATGAAGTAATTCCCATAATAAATCTTTCTCTCTCTCAATATATATTTGTTTATAGACTTGTAATATGTGACTTCCCATTTTGTAAAAACATAATAAGAAAACAATTAATCTAGGAGAGAAACATATATGCTAATCAAGAATTTACTACAAAATATTTTATTCTACAGACATCTCCCTAGGGAGTAGACACTATCTTTTGCTTGCTAATTGTATTTTCCTGTAATTGAGCATGGATATTTACACATTTTGCTTTCTACTCCCCGAAGTTAAGTGAATAATCTTAATTATCCTGCAATCTCTGTTTAGCTATATAGTATTTTGCCAGCAGTATGACTATGCCAACTTACTTTATGTTCTTATACTTAAAGGTAATATTATGATAAAAACTAGTCATTTTCTTTGAGAGTGTTGGAATATTCATTTAATTAACAAGAGCTTATAAAGTATCTAGTTTCTATTGTACACTATCTATATTATGTATACACACACACACACAAACACACACACCTTGTTTTACTGTAGTTTGCTTTATTGTCCTTCACAGATATTGCGTATTTTACAAATTGAAGGTTTATGCCAGCCGTGTGTTGACCCAAGTTTACTGGCATCATTTCTCTAACAGCATGTGTTCACTTTATGTCTCCGTGTCACATTTTCATAGTTCTCACAATATTTCAAACTTCTTCATAATTATTTTGTTTTTTATAGTAATCTATGATCAGTCGTCTTTGATGTTACTATTATAATTGTTTGGGGATACCATGAACTGTTCCGATATAAGATGGCCAACTTGATTGATAAATACTGTGTGTATTCTAATTGCTCCACTGACTTGCTGTTCTCCTGTCTTTCTCTCTTTACTTGGGCCTTGCTATTCACTATGACACAAAAATATTGAAATTAGGCCAATTAAGAATCCAGCAATAATCTCTATACATTCAAGTAAAAGGAAGTTTGTATCAATGTTTTAAAATGACTGAGCATATTGAGAAAATCATGTCAAATTCAAGATCCTCTTACACCAGACAGCCAAGTTGTGAATGTTATGGAAAAGTTCTTGAAAGAAATTAAATTGCTACTCCAGTGATCACACAAGCGATAAGAAACTAAAACAGTCTTATTGCTGATATAGAGCAAGTTTGAATGGATAAAAGATCAAACCAGCCACAACATTTACTTGAGACCCTAACTCTCTTCAATTCTGTAAGGGCTGAGAGAGATAAGGAAGATGCAGAAAAAAAAAGGTTGAAGCTAGTAGAGTTTGATTCAGGT
Organism: Homo sapiens; assembly: GCF_000001405.40. Classification (NCBI taxonomy): domain Eukaryota; kingdom Metazoa; phylum Chordata; class Mammalia; order Primates; family Hominidae; genus Homo; species Homo sapiens. The sequence goes on along the minus strand of NC_000021.9, from coordinate 19,207,735 downwards.
GGTTTAAGAAAAGAAGCCATCTCCATAACATAAAAGTATAAGGTAATGTAGGAAGTGCTGATGTAGAAGCTGCAGCAAGTTATCCAGAAGATCTAGTTAAGATCATTGATAAAGGTGGCTACACTAAACCACAGACTTTCAATGTAGACAAAACACCTTCCTACTGGAAGAAAATACTGACTTAGACTTTCACAGCTATAGAGGAGAAGTCAATGCCTGGCTTCAAAGCTTGAAAGGACAAACTGATTCTCTTGTTAGGGGCTAATGCAGCTGATGAGTTTTAGGTGAAGCCAACACTCATTTACCACTCTAAACATCCTTGGGCCATTAAAAATTATGCTAAATCTACTCTGCTGTATTCTAAGAATTGAACAACAAATCCTGAATGACAGCATGTCTGCTTACAGCATGTTTAACTGAATATTTTAAGCTCACTGTTGAGAAATGCTGCTTTGGAAAAAAGATTGTTTTCAAAATATTACTGCTCATTGGCAATGAATCTGGGGACTCAGGAGCTCTGATGGAGATGCACAAGGAGATTAATGTTTTTATGCCTGGTAATACAACCTCCATTCTGTAGCCCATGAATGAAGAAGTCATCTCAATTTTCAAATCATATTTTTTAAAAAATATATTTTGTAATGCTATAGCTGCCGTAGATAGTGATTCTTCCAGTACACCTGGGCAAATTGAAAACCTTCTGGAAAATAATTTATCTTTCTAGATGCTATTAAAGACATTCACAGTTCATGGGAAGAGGTCAAAATATCAATATTAATGGGAATTTGGAAGAAGCTGATTCCAAACTTCATGGTTGAATTTGAGGAGTTCAAGACTTCAGGGGAGAAAAAAACCACAGATGTGGTGGAAATAGCAAGAAAAATAGGATTCAAAGTGAAGCCTCAAGAAGTGACTAAATTGCTGGAATCTCATGACAAAACTTGAACAGATGAAGAGTTACTTCTTATGAATGAGGAAAGAAAGTGGTTTCTTGAGATGGAATCCACTCCTGGTGAATACACTATGAACATTTTTGAAATGACAACAAAAGATTTCAAGTATTATACATATTTAGTTGATAAAACAGCAACAGCGATTTAGATGACCGATTTCAATTTGGAAAAAGGTCTACTGTGAGTAAAATGCTATCAAACAGCACTGCATGCTACAGAGAAACCTTTTGTAAAATGAAGAGTGAATCAATGAAGCTAACTTTATTGCTGTCCTATTTTAATAAATTGCCACAGTCATTCCCATCTTCAGCAACCACCGCATGGTCAGTCAGCAGCCATCTGCATTGACACAGATCTTCCACCAGCTAGAAGATTATGACTCAATCAAGCCTCAGATTTTAGTAAGTTTCAGCAATAAGGTCTTTCTAAATTAAGGCATGTGTATCGTTCCTTTAAACATAATGCTATTACATACTTAATAGACTGCTGTATAGTGTAAACATAACTTTTATATGCACTGGAAAACCAAAAAAATTGTGATTCACTTTTTACAATATTCACTTTATTAAGAGTGATCCGAACCAGTAATATATCCAAGGTATGTCTGTATAAAATTTGTTAAAGCAATCTAAATATGGCCCAAGAAGGACTCCATACTTTGATATTTGAGTCCTTGTGGATGAACTGTAACCTAGCTTAATAGTCAGATAAAATTGAAAACCTAACTTAGGAGTATGGATCTGTAACAATAACAGTTTTGGCCAATCCCAGCAGCCATATTTCAACCACTCATAGACTCCTCAGTGTTCAGTCTGTGTTCAAATAAGGTAAAGGCCAACCTATAGCCACTCCAGCTGTTTCTGTACCTCAATGCCAATTTCTGTACCTCATTTCCCTTATTTTGTCTATAAATCTTCTTCCACCACGTGGCTGTGCTGGAGTCTCCGTGAATCTGCTGTGATTCTGTGGGCTGACCGATTCGCGAATCGTACATTGCTCAAACTCCTTTAAATTTAATTCGGCGGAAGTTTTTCCTTTATCAAAAATCACAGGGAGCGTAGATTGTTCAAGATACTATTCTAAAGTGTTTTGTAGGTACTAAGTAATTTACTATTCACAATATTCCTGTGAAGTGTCTCTCCCCATGTTACTCAGGTAAAAAGACATTAAAATTATGTGACCTGTTTTAATACACAGGTATTAAGTGTCATAGTTAAGATTTGAACACACACATTCTGTTTTCAAATCTGATGACTTCAACATTTAGATATATTCTATCTAGAGTCATGCATATAAATAAACAGAAGTTATTTCCCTAAAGGTGTCAGAGACAAGCAAACGATTAAAAGACAATTTCTGTTAACATCTTGCTACTCTCTACATGTTATAGATAATAAAGAACAGACAGAAATTCTGGCTTGGGAGGGAGAATAATTAAGAAATATTGCCTGGAGGAGGTGACATATAAACTAACCAGTCACCTGCAAGATGTAGAAGTCAGGGGTCCAAATGAGGGAAGATACAACATATGCAGAGGTAAAGCGGCCCAAGTTCATGACAGGTGCATGAAGTCAGGTTGAAGCCTGAGAATCTGATGTGAAAGATCAGGCTAGATAAGTCAGCAGAAGGCATTATAAAATTCCTTGGATGCTATGCTGAAACTTTTTGTTTCACTTAGATCTGATATGCATTTTATAAATGTAAACCTAGGAATAGTTTTCAAACTGAAGATGACAAGTTAGGTTTTTGCAATAATTGAAATGAGAAAAGATGAAGAGCAGTAAGTAGTAGAAGTGGAAGTGATAAAAGGTTGGATTGAAGATGGATGTAATAGGTAGAAAATAGAACTTGGTGCCTGGTTGAATGTGGAAGAATGAGGCCAGGATGCTGGCTTAGTTTTCTGGCTTGGACAGTTGGGCTTTTTGTTTGTTTGTTTGTTTTTGAGATGAAGTCTCACTCGGTCACCCAGGCTGGAGTGCAGTAGCACAGTCTCGGCTCACGGCAACCTCCGCCTCCTAGGTTCAAGCAATTCTCCTGTCTCAGCCTCCCGAGTAGCTGGGACTACAGGCCGGCGTCACACCGCCCGGCTAATTTTTTTGTATTTTTAGTAGAGACGGGGTTTCAGCCATGTTGGTCAGGCTGGTCTCAAACTCCTGACCTCAGGTGATCCGCTTGCCCCTGCCTCCCAAAGTGCTGGGATTACAGGCGTGAGCCGCTGTGCCCGGCCGGGCATTTTGTATAAGATTTCAGTATTTGCAAGAAAGAAAACTTACAACTTAGAGACTAAAGCCTTGTGGACTTTAGTGTTGTTGTGAAAACTAAGTGGAATAATGCATGTAAAGTATGTAAATCAGTCTACTTCTATAATATGTAGTTAAGAATAAAATTTAGAAATCAGTCATTTTCATGCAAACAGAAGCAAAATACTATATTTTGAATAATAACTTTTTTTTTTTTGAGACAGAGTCTTGCTCTGTGACCCAGGCTGGAGTACAGTGGCATATGCATAATTCACTGCTACCTTGACATCCTTAAATTCCAGGGCTCGAGTGATCCTGCCACCTCAGCCTCCTGTGTAGCTGGGAATACAGTGTGTGCAACCCTGCCTGGCTAATTTGTTTTAAAATTATGTCATAGAGATGTGGTCATGCTATGTTTCCCAGGCTGATTTCAAACTACTGGCCTCAAGCAATCCTCGAACCTTGGCCTCCCAAAGCTATAGGATTATGGGCATGAGTGACCATGCCCTGCTAACATTCACTTTTTTAAAGATTTTAGGTTAAAGCATGTTGAGATGTCATTGAAATGTCCATTGTGCACATGGATATGCAGAAAGATACTTTTCATCTAATTAGCAGATAAACGGAAATTGCTGCAACAGGACAAGTTTAGAAGATGCAGGAAGATACAAAATCAAAGGTACGGCCCAGGACTGGACCTTTAGAATACCATTTAAGATAAGAAATAAAAATGTTCATTGAGGTTAGAGATGGAAAACCTGTATTTCTGTCTGCTAAGAATAGCTTTGGTGGAGTCAGAGTTAGCTTCGTGAGCATGCAACCTGTGCAATCTTACAGGGCCCTGCTCACAAAAGGTTTGGTTTAATGATCTCTTGGTTTATTGCTGTGCTGCCACTCTCTTGAAATTCTTAACTTTATCTTTGAACATGTAGTTTTTAAATAAAGTGCATTACAAAGTTCAGTGCAGTTTGCTAGTGCTGCCATAACCAAACAATCCAGATTGGGTGGCAAAAACTACATACTTTTTTTTTTTCAATTTTAGAGGCTGTAAGTCTAAGTCTAAGCTGGCAGTAGGTTTGGTTTCTCCTGAGGCCTCTCTTCTTGGCTAATCGATTTCTTCCTTGCTATGTCCTCAAATGGTCTCTCCTCTGTGCACACACATGTCTGGTATCCTTTCTTTTTTTGGTCATTATCAACATTTTTAATTAACACATAATTATTATACATATTTATGGGGTACAGTGTGATATTTTGATGCATTGCATACAGTGTGTAAGATTAAATTAGAGTAATTAGCATATCCATCACCTCAAACATTTACCATTTCTTTGTGTTGGAAATATTCAGAGTTTCTTCTTCCAGCTATTTGAAAATATAGAATAAATTGTTAACTACAGTCACTCTGCCATTCTATGGAACATTAGAACTTGTTCCTTCTATGTCGCTGTACTTTTGTATCCATTAACCTTTGGTTATCTGTCTCTCCCCTTTACTCTTTTCAACCTCTAGTGAGCATTATTGTATTCTCTACTTCTATAGGCAACGTTTTTAGCTTCCATATATGAATGAGAATATGCAGCATTTATTTTTCTATACCTAGCTTGTTTCACTTAACGTAATGCCCTTCAAGATCATCCATGTTGCCACGAATAACATAATTTTATTTTTTCTTATGGCTAAATAGTATTTCATTGTGTATAGACACCACATTTTCCTTATCTATTCATCTTTATGTGTCCCAATTCCCTCTTTTTATAAGAAAACCAGTCAGATTGGAATAGGAACCTCCCATATGACCTCATTTTAACTGAATGCCCCTTTCAAAGGCCCAATTTCCAAAGACAGTCACATTCTGGCCTATTGAAGATTAGAACTTTAACATATGAATTTGGAGCAAAGACAATTCAGCTCATAACATGAAGTATGATGGAAAAATGGAGAATTGTGTGAGCAGATGAGATATCTTAATACATAGTGTATGCACACACCTGCTCAGGCTGGCAGGCCAGCAGGCAAGGTGAGTACAGAGCAATTGGCCTGGTGGTGTAGTATGCAAGCACATGCCTCCAGGCAGGCGAGGCACCCAGGGAGCTGGGGCTCTTGGGGAATCACTCAGGTCCAGATTGCAGAATCAGCTGTGGGAAAGAGGAGAAGCTCCACATGCCAGCAGTTCTGAGATCCTCTATCCCTGGAACATCTCCATTGCTGGGGGATAAGGAAGGTATAGTATAGGCAATTCAAGACTATCTTTCCTACCTTCTTCTCTGTTCCATTATTTAATATGATGTTAAAACCATGTACCATGGTCATTCACCTAATTTTTGGCTCCTATGAAAGTGATTTTTTGTGTGGATAGTTGTTCAATTTGGTGTTCCTACAAGGGGGATGCTCACTGGAGGCTTCTATTTGGCCATCTTGTTCTGCCTTTTAAGACTTAATTTTTAAGAAATAATTATTCCACAGGAATCATCAGTTCTATGTATTAACATTTATATTTCAAAATAATGTGTTGGGATTTATGCATATATTGTCACTACATATAAAATACTATTAACAGCTCCAGTAGAGTTGCATCAGCAGAGAGATCGAATTGTTAAATTTTGTTTGCGATCTTCCATTTGCCAAGAGTGGCATAGAAATAGACAAGGCAATGGACCAGAGAAATGAAGAGGAACAAAACATCAAGGGAGGATGGGGCTGGATGGGGTAGAGGAACTACAGGGGAGCAGGTTGTTTTAAGATGGAAATGTATAGAGCACATTTGTGGTCTTCAGAGAGTGATCTGATGGAGAAGGAAAATCATTATTGTAAGAGAGAGAAATGATGGCAGGAATGAAATATGTAGAAGGCAAGATATGAAGGACTCCAGATCATAAATAGAGGAGATGGTCATTTCCCAGAATGGAGACTGCTGGGCTAGTTATGAGAGATGCTCAATAAGAAGTACCTGCTAAACCCAAATCCTTTTGGTTCCCCTAAATCCCAACTCCTCTGGCACAGCCTAACCCAGACTCGAGGAAAAGGTGGTGAAAAGTAACCTACAAACTTTGGGCTTGGCAGACATCACCAGTCAATCACAGTGTCCTTTGTTATGTAGTAAGATGGTGGGATTTTCTTTGGTAAGCTGTATGTAGCATGTTTTAGAGCTTACTCATACCCACCTCTAGAAAGATTGTTAATCGTGAACAATTTTGCAAGCTGCTTGTTAAAAATTAACATTATTTAAAAATTATAATTAACAATTAAAAAAAACAAGTATTGGGGAAGATGTGAGCAGACTGGAACCATCATAAGTTGCTGGTGGGAATGTAAAATGGTGCAGCCACTGCAGACAGCAGTTTGGCAGTTCCTTAAAAAGATAAATATAGAGTCCCCATCTGACCCAGCAATTCTACTCCTAGGTATATACCTAAGACATTGAAGACATAGGTTCACAGAACTTGTACATGAATGTTCACGGTAGCATTATTCCATGATAACCAAAAAGTGGAAACAACTGAAATGTCCAACTGATTAATGGATAAATAAAATGTGGCATATTCATAGAATAGAGTATTACTTGGCTGTAAAAAAGAATGAAGAAAGAACTGATGTATGCTGCAACATAGGCAAATCTTAAAAACATACAAAGTAAAATAAGTCAGACACAAGAGGCCATATATTGTCTGATTTTGGTTATATGAGATAATCAGAACTGGCAAATTCATAAAGACAAAAAGTAAATCAGTGGTTGCCAGTGGAAGGGATTGAAGAAATGGGAAGTGACTGCTAATGGGTTTGAGTTTTTTGGGGGGATGATAACCTTGTTCTTAAATTAGATAGCAATAATGATTACACAAGTTGATGAATATACTAGAAACCACTGAATTGCATACTTTAAAATAATGGCTTTTATAGTATGTGAATGACATCTTAATAAAAAATTTTAATAAAAAACTTACAATTCAATAAGTTACATTAAAAACAAAGAGAATAAATACTACCACCACCACCCTGTTTTTTTTAAAAAATGAAGCTGAGACACACTATTCATTGTATTTATTGTCGCAGAATGGAATGAAGAGATTGTAGGGACCAGGGCAGGTGAATTGGCAAATTTGGCAATAGGTATCTGAAAGAAGGACTATGCCTTTCCCTGAGATAATACACAAATGGTTAAATCAAGAAATGAATGCATTGAATCTGTAGATGCAAAGGGATTGTGACAAGGGGTTGAGTTCATTGTTTTTTACTGTGTTGGCAGTGGATGGATGACAGAGTGCAGACGGTCTGAAATAGTTATAGTAGGAAATGGACACGGAAAGTACTGGGAATTCATGTGAATATTGGGTAACCTTGACATACATGATTATAGTACATATATATGTGTGTGTGTGTGTGTGTGTGTGTGTGTGTGTGTGTGTTTGTGTGTGCATTTTTTTTTTTGATGGAGGCTCCCTCTGTCGCCCAGGCTGGAGTGCAATGGTGAGATCTCAGCTCACTGCAACCTCCGCCTCCCAGGTTGAAGCAATTCTCCTGCCTCAGCCTCTCAAGTAGCTAGGACTACAGGCATGCACCACAACGCCCAGCTAATTTTTTTGTATTTTCAGTAGAGATGGGGTTTCACCATGTTAGCCAGGCTGGTCTCAAACTCCTGACCTCAGGCAATCCACCCACCTTGGCCTCCCAAAGTGCTGGGATTACAGGCGTGAGCCACCGTGCCCGGCCTAGATTTTTATTAATATATTTGTGCACAGTTTCATGTGTTTTTGTTTCTTTTCATTTTCCAGCAGGGTCCTGGAGCTCAGGGTAAGAGTAGGAATACTGAGCAGGTAGAATCTTGTGGTTGAAGTTATTTTGATATAGGGTGGAAGAAAGACAATAGATAAAATTGGTGTTCATGAAAAAGTAAAGATAATTGTTGAACTTATGCATCCTAGGTCAATTATGACGAGAGGTAAATAATGAAAAGATATGAAGGAATAATTAACTGAAAGAAAATAGAGAAGTCAATGGACTCGAGTCTTAATGAAGTCAGAAATTATGTAAAGTGGGAGAAAGGAAGTGAGAAGCCGTGAAAGAACTTATGGATCAGAAGTGTAACATTGAATTCAAAATTTTAGAGGCAAGATAGATCTCAGACCTATAATGTTTAATCAGTGAAAATAAGGCTGAAGTGGAGAAAAAAAAACCTAAAACTGAATTTTTATTCATAATTTTGCATAGCTGAACAATGTATGACTATATGTATTTTCTTGAATAAATCTGGAATTCCCTAAGTTAACGATTGCTATATTTCTCATTTCCTTTATTTTCAGTGTTTCTCTCTGAATTTAACACAAAAATTTTCTACTAAGAATTTAAACTCCTTAATATTTTCAACTATATCAGGCTAGGTCTCAGGTTAATTTTCCCTTGCAACAAATAAATTATTGAAAAACTTTGAACTCATCTACATGTGCAAGAATTGGGAAATACTTAGTTAATGGCAAGTCTTAAAGTGATGCAAATGTTGTGGAAGGGTACACACAGTAAAAGTCTGTACCTTGATGATATGTGCTTGAGAAATGTTTGGAATTTAGAGTCAGCTTGAGAATTCCTTGAAATTTCTAAACCGTGAAATGTTTAGCCTAAGGCAAATAGGAGGCATGAAAATGGTGAATCAAAAAAGGAGAAATATAGCAACTGCAGTCCTATATTGGATATCGATTGGAGCATATTTATTGGATGCAATTATCCAACTCAGGATATTGATAGCGGAGAAGGTATGTTTGCCTGGTAAATTCTATGGCAGCCTCAAATATCAGTATTGAAAAGTGTTAGAAGAAATCGTAATGGAAATGAGAAAATAAAAAAAGAAATTCAGATTTAATAACAGTTTTACAGAATTTAACTGTGTATGCTTAAAAATTTAGAAATTAGAGAAAATTGACCAAATGATGGAACAGTTTAACTTGAAATATAAATATATAGCTGAACTTTCCTGAAAGAGAAAAATAAACCATTAGAAGAACAATCCAACTACTGGAGAAAAAACGGCAGCAAGATATTTTCCTCAGAATATTTATTTTACCCAGAAGCTGAATAAAGATGCTATCTTGAGGCACAGAGCAACGTAATTGGTTCTTGTTAGGCTGTTAGGGTTTGAATCAATGGCAGCTTCAAGAATTTTCTGGGGCTGATTCTCCAGCTGAAACAAATGTTAGGAGAAGAGAAAAACCTTTCCTTGGAAGCAGTTTTTACAGACCCTGAACAACTCTATAGAAAAAGCAGCCACTGTGTCCTATAACTGAATGCTCTAGATAAAAACAGATAAGGGAAGTTATGTCACTATACAGAGCCCACCGTCAATACAGTAATGAGGTAGCCATAAATACGGGCTCAAATAGAAAAGGGATTAAAAGATTTTGAGGGTGCTGGAAGAAAAACAAAAGTTCCTGCAATAAAACCTCTTATCGGAGCTGTCCACACTATGAATTTTGAAATTTTGCAGAAAGCAGCAATATCACAAATGTCACTCTGAGAGAAGAGACAGTGTGAAAAGATACTCCCACACATACCGCCAACAGTAATTGTATTAGTGAAAAATTTGACTTCTTGATGGAAATTGAGTTTTATTTTAAGTGGACTTTCATCATCTGGCATAGCCTGGCCTCTTGGCAAGCTAAAAAATAGTACTTTCCTCTTAAACTGCCTTTGTTCAGATAAAATCAAGTTTCTGCTTTGGTGTTTTACAACAGGAAGTATTGACTTTGGGGAGCATTTTTTTTTCCAAGAAATAACCACCTTAAATCATTGATACTGGCTTGTTTTCTAAGTCTGGTGTGTGTAGGGCTAATGCTATGTTAACTTTTTTTAAATCTAATTTGCTGTTTGGGTTCTAAACAATGAGCAAGTTGAGGCCGTTTAAATCCTGAGGCCTTAAAAGAATCACTATGACACTGTGGAAGACACAGCTGCTGAAGGAACCAGCACCCAACAATCACATTCTAGCTGAGAATTCACAGAAGAAGAGATGGGAAGGATTAATGTAGGCCTTCAGTTTCATCAGTCTCTTAAAACACAAGACAATAATTAGATTTTGATCTTTGATACCTTGGGTTGTGTCTAACTTAGGACCTTAACTTGCCAGGGAATTTAATCTTCGAACTTCATGTTTCCATATACATTTATAATGATAGGAGGTTTATATTCAAATCTGTGGAATCTCTACGTTGATAGCAGTATATTATTGCAGTATCTTTATGATGTCACTTGCTCGTTTTGCACGACTTCATAAAGGACATGTTGGTCAATGTATCTGGACATAATCTGCAGTGAGAGCTGCAACATGGAGTAAACTTTTGGCATAACAGTAATGCGATAGATGTACTTCCCTGTCAAACGTTAAATGTCTGTTGCCAAATGATACGCCCTGTCCACCTGTGGTCCCAGGTGGATGCATAAAGGACCTTTTGGTGATGTTCTTCTGTGTAAAGATACACACTGACATCTTATTCTTGGGCATTCTGTGCTCCTCTATGTCCCCTGTCCAAGACGGCAGAAGTCACATCCATGTAATTTGGAAGAATAAACTGGGCCAGTTCATCAGCCTCTTTCCTTTACTTTGCTCTTCTCAGTGAGTTTCTTTAAGAGAGCATGGAATTTGCTATGCTTTTTTTCCTTCATGCCAGAAATGTTTTTTGAAAAGACTTAGCCCTCATTGGGCAGAGAAACCTACTTTTTGTCAGTGCTACAGTGGTGAGTAGAGTAATTCTGTCTCAGCATTTGGCATTACAAAGGCAACATGCCCATCGGTATATGTCACATTCTTCAACATAAGCATTGTCAGTAAGAAAGGTAAATTTGTTTTTCATAGCTGTGCTACTCTTTCGTATCAATTGTTCAATTGGTTCAGAACTCTAATGGGGCCTGCTCAAATCCCTAAAGCATTTAAATCATAAATAAAATATATCATTTAAAAATTTTCCTAGTGTTCTATGATTTCTGAGGATTATTTTTACTGATAGCCTTCCATTTTTGTTTTACTGATGTAATGCATTCTAGTGCATTCTTTTATATAAACAGAGTGCAATTTTGGAGGCTTTTTTGAACTCCAAGCATTTTCCAATTCTCTTTATTTTTGTTTGTTTTATTTATTTTAGAAACTGCATTTTATGGTAGAGGTTTCCTGATATGTGTGATGATTCTTAGTTCTCTGTTTATATTTAAAAACAAAGCACTGAAAACCAGAAAGATAGATATTTTAAATACTTGTGAGCTTCACTATGTGTTGATAGGATAGGAAATCAAGTCTTTTGTTGGAGAGCCGTAGATGCCTGTGTTTGTAGATCTTTTCTCTTGAACCAATCATTTTCTATAAATATCAGTCTTCTAAACTTTCCTGTGGGTTTAGAAACGTGGATGCTAGCTTTTAGGAGGCTAAGTGGGCTGAAATATATTTTACTACACAATGTATAGACTTTCATTCATAAGCAAAAATAGTGCCTAAACTCTGCCCTTGGTTGGCTAAGTGTCCCCAATTTCAGAGCTTCTGTGATTCATTCTTTCAGAAATGAGCCTTTACAGCAACCCTCTTCCAGTGTAAGAAATGTATAATAACAAGACTAAATGTGTTGGGGGGAAGAACCTAACTCTTGTTTACTCACACGTCCAATCACCTCTACTTAAATGCTTTTGGCCCCATCCTGCTCTATTTGTCTTCAGCATTCCCTGGTGAATTCTTCCTCTAGTCTTTGAGTCTTTAAGTTCCAAAGTAACAACCTGCTTTCATCTTGTTGGCGTCTCTCACTCAGGAAATTAACTTCTGCTTTTCTCTGCTCTGCTATGTGAATTAGCAGGTAACAGACCTATTTCTATTTTCTAAATAGCTAAATAGACACTTATGAATTTGTTTGTTCTTTCAGTTATGGTCTTCTCTCCCATTCTCTTTGTCTTCATATCACATAAAAACATTAAAATGCGTATTTTAAGAGAGAATGGAGGAAAACACATTTGTTCAATCTCAACTTTAGGATAATAAAGGAACTCATGTTTCTTTTATTTATTAACAAACACATCTAAAATCAATTTTGGTGACTATCAAATGAAATAAGGAATGTATAGCTTTCATATAGCCATTTACTCATATGTCAGAGATACTCTAGGCAGTAGAAAGGTAATAAATGCTCTACCATTGTTTATATATATATATATATATTTTTTTTTTTTCAGGAAAAAATTTAAAGGGGAAACTCTTTTACAATACAGTTGACCCTTGAACAATGCAGGGGATGCAGCACTAAACCTGCCCCCCCTTCACAGTCAAAAATCTGAATACAACTTTGACTTCCCCAAAACATAATTACTAATAGCAGAAGCCTTACTGACAACATGAACAATTAACACAGATTTCATATGTTATACGTATTATAAAGAGATTTCAAAAAGTTTATGGAAAATGAAATTAAAAGATAAAAATAGAAAATATAAACTTTATTTCTCAGCATAAGCCATATCAAGTTTGAGACACTTTTGTAAGTGATGATACCAGCCATTTAGTCCATCCATAAAAAACTGAGGGTATTGGGAATATAAGCATGTCAATGCGTTCTTTTATACGTTATTAACTGAAGAAAAATGGGTGCCTTTTAAATAATTTTTAAGATTATGAAACTAAAAGAAGTTTAGAAAGGTGAATGCCTAATGCTTTCCCTCCCATAGAAACTCTCACAAAATTGCCCTTGTTTGATCAAAGGAACGAGCAGGAGATTGTCATATTGAAGAAGGGCTCTCTGGTAAAGTTTTCCTGGGCATTTTTCTGCTCTAGCTTTGGTTAACTTTCTCTAAATACTCTCAAAATAATCAGACACTGTTGTTCTTTGGCCATCCAGGAAATCAATAAGCAAAATGCCTTGAGCATCCGCAAAAACTCTTGTCTTGACCTTTGCTCTTGACCAGCTTGTTTTTACTCTGATTAGACCACTTCCACCATTACTTTGATAGTGCTTTGTCTTCAGGATCAGACTGGAAAAGCCTCATTTCATCTTCTGTTATAATTCTTTGAAGAGACGCTTCAAGATCTTGATCCCATTTGTTTAAAATTTTCATTGAAAACTCTATTCTTGTCTGCAGCTGATGTCGGTGCAACTGTTTCGGCACTAGTCAAGTGGAAACTTTGCTTAGCTTTAATTTTTCCATTAGAATTGTGTCAACTGAGCCAATTGAGATGTCTATGGTGTTGGCTATTGTTTGTGCTGTTAATTATTTATCCTTTTCAATGAGGGCATGAACAAGAATTTTTTTATTGTAAGTTGATACAGATAATCTGCTTCTATAAGCATCATTTCCAACATCATCTCATCCCTTCTTAAAATGAGTTATCCATTTGCAAATGGCTGATTTCTTGACATATTATTCCTATAAACTTTTCAAAAAGCATCAATGATTTCTCTAATTTTCCACCCCAATTTCTCCATAAATTGGATAATTGTTCTTGCTTTAACTTAGCAGAATACATGTTGCTCTGATAGGGGCTTTTTTCCAATTGATGTTTTATCTTTAGTGGTCTCAAACTAGATCCTGTTCAGACATGTTATAACAAGTTAATATGAGTTTATTTTGATAAAATACAGTTTTGAAATCCATGCATAGTTTTGTCATAATATGCATTTTCCACGAACTTCTTACAGACTTCCCATAAACTATATTCTTACAATAAAGTAAGCTAGAGAAAATAAAATGATACCAAGACAATCATAAGGAGGGTAAAATATATTTCCTATTCATTCAGTGGGAGTGGATTATCATAAAGCTTTTCTTCCTCATTGTCTTTATGTTGAGTAGGCTGAGGAGGAGGAAAAAGAAGGGTGGGCTTTTCTGTTTCAGAAGTGGCAGAGCTGAAGAAAATCTGTGTAAAATCGGACTCTTGCAGTTCAAATCCATATTGTTCAAGGATCAATTCTGCATAGTTCTGTATGTAGATTTCGGAAACTTTTCAACACTCCTAACAAACTAACTTACTTACTCACATAGGACTTCTTACTTATCTTATTATGATAAACAACTTAAACTACTGCTAGCCCTTGTTCAGTCTTATGTTCTTCTTGATTATAAATTTCTAAGATAATAATACTCTTATCTTGTCCACCAATATAATCTCAGTTTCAAGCAAACACCTGGCACATAGTATATAATTTGATTTTCTGTTGAATAAATAGCCTGTGTCTCTTCCATCCCTTTAGTGATTAATTTAGCTCATTGAATCTTTTTTTAATTTATACTGAATTAAAAGTATGATTGGAAGAGTTAAGTCTATGCTCAATTTTTAACTGAAAAATTAAATTAGTTAATAATGTTATGCTACTTCAACTTAGATTTGCTGAGTTTTTATGGTAAAGAGGAATTAAATAAGTTAATCTACAGGAACTTTAGAAAAATTAAGACATTTGTATGGCATTTATATTTTGTTTTCTGCATTGTAATAGATGTTGTGCTCAACTGTGTTTTTTGGAAAGTGGGACCTCAAGAAGAAGCTATCATTAAAGAACTGAGGGCTGTGCGCGGTGGCTCACCCCTGTAATCTCAGTACTTTGGTAGGCTGAAGCCAACGGATCACAGGAGGCCAGGAGAACAGCCTGGCCAATGGGTAGAAACCCCATCTCTACTAAAAATACAAAAATTAGCTGGGCGTGGCAGTGCGCACCTGTAATCCCAACTACTCCGGTGGCTGAGGTATGAGAATCGCTTCAACCTTGGAGGCGGAGGTTGTAGTGAGCTGAGATCACACCACTGTATGCCAGCCTGGGCGACAGAACAAGACTCTGTCTCAAGAAAACAGAGAGAGAAAGAGAGAGAGAAAGAGAGAGAGAGGACTGAGTAGCTCAAGCAACTCTGCTTACATAGGAACTTTGCTTGCATGCATATGAATTGCAGAAACCTAAAATTCATCTTGGTAGTGTTTTTGACATGATACACAAAACACATTCCTGGTGTCTATAGAAATTTAGACAATTCCTGAATTTCAGCACCTTGAAGACATATTCTCATATCTTTACTCGTAACTACAGAATGAGTTTTGAATACTCATTGGCCTTTTTTTTTTCAAATTTAAATCATGGCATCACTTTTAGTTACCTTTGCACCTCCTAGATGTTTTAAGAATTATTTACAAGTGAAAGAAACCAGTGACAAAAGACCATATATAGTATTTACTCAATTTCTGTGAAATATTGATTAGGTAAATCCATTGAGACATAATGATTGCCTACATAGTAGGGGAAATGGGGGGATGGGGATGACTGCTCTTAAATCAAGTTTAACCTAAAGCTTCCTGCTTACGTATTTTAAGTTTAGCCTAAAGATTTTTCTGTACATTGTGAACTATAACAAGTGGAGGTAGAAACAGACCATAGCCTACACTCGTGCCAATCACAAAGTTTTGGCCAATCAAATGTACCCAACTGTTCAAACTGTGTTCAAAAAGGCAAACACCAAGCTGTAACCAATTCAGCTGCTTCTGTACCTCACTTCTGTTTTCTGTAGGTTACTTTCCTTTTTCTGTCCATAAATCTTCCACCACGTGGCTGCGCTGGAATCTCTGAGCCTGTCCTGGCTCAGAAGGCTGCCCAATTCATGAGTTGTTCATTGTTCAATTAAACGCCTTTAAATTCAGTTTGGCTGAAGTTTTTCTTTTATCACTGCTAACGAGTATGGGTTTTTCTTTGGGGTGATGAAAATATTCTAAAATTAGATTGTGGTGAGAGTTGCACAATTCTGTAAATAGGTTGATAATCATTGAATTATATGCTATAAATGAGTAAGCCTTATGGTATGTAAATTATATCTCAATAAAGATGTTTTAAGGAGAGTGACTCAAGGCTGAAATTTCTGATTACAATTAGCACACATTTATGTTTTGATTAATGTGAAAAATAATTGCTATTGTGTGGTTTATTGTTCCTTTATACATTAACTTGTTGCCACCGTTAGTGAAAATGAATTTTGCAGTATATAATACTGTCAAACATGTAATTGCTTTCTCTAAACCTCCAGTTGTTCTTAGAACATAAGTAAATCAGTGTCCTAAAATTCATTTGCATTATTTAAAATTAAGATTGATTGTGTACAATAATTATAAGACTTTATTTAATTTTACAATGTAACATTTAGTTACTAAATTTTCTTTATTTGCCACATATCAGGAAAATTATAAAGCAGGTGTTCGTCACCTACTTAGTGTCACATATTATTATAAATATTATCTTAATTTATTCAAACATTAACTCCTTAAGGCAGAACCTGGCCTTTGTGCATTGTTATATTGCCAAACAGTATCTATTAGAACATTATCTGTTACAAAATAAACTCTAAATAAATATTAACTGTCTACTGACTATTTTACCTTCCTAGAGCAGCTGGAGGAACGATTATATTTTCTTTAATATTTCCAAGATAGTTAAAGTTTATTTTAAGTTACATTTTGAATTAGCTTAATTATCTTCAAGATCTATTGCTGAGACATAGAATTCTCACTGTAATTAAACAATGTTTGAAATGCTTTATATTGTTTTAGAAAGATCAGTGGCAAGGACTAACAGTTATATTCAGAGTTACATGAGATGAGTAAAACCCACAGGCATGCTAATCCCCACTCTCCACTCCAGGAAAAGAAAAGTTACTAGTATCTTTGTTTCTGGCACTTTAATCTTTCACATTCTATTAGAATATAGAAAGACAAGAGGGTACAAAAACAAAGTCAAGATCATTATTTGATGGAAAAAAGAAGAGATGATAAATCCTCCATTACATGATATGTTTTTGGCACTGAGGTAAAATTTGCTGACAGTATTGCTTGATTCTGGGGATGAATTGGGGAAGGGGCTGACTTCAGCATGTAAGTATATCAAGCAATCTTAGGCAGAGTACAAAATATATTTTCTCAGTCAGGAGTTTGTCAAGCACAAAGTCCAAATATACTTTTGTTTCCTTCATCAGCCTTTGAGATTTTATTATAAAGCAGGCACCAAAGCTGACAAAAGTTAAAAGTCCTCTATATTCACATCTTGAGCATCAAAGATGATAGAGTTTTCCTTGGTGCTTGAGTCTCTTGTAGCTTTGAAAGCAAAAACACCAGTGAATGCCATAGGTTCTTACAGTGAGGAGAAAGAGGCCAGTTCATATTTTAAATGTTTTATTTAATTTTTCAATGCCCCATGTGATTCTTCAATATTGTTTTCTTTCTTTCTTTTTCTTTCTTTCTTTTTCTTTCTTTCTGTCTTTTCTTTTCTTTTTTCTTTCTCTCTTTCTTTCTTTCTTTCTTTCTTTTTTCTGTCTGGCTGCATTCTGTTCACATTCTTACTATAATTTCCACAATTAGCATTACTTATTTTATGCAGTGAGCAAGGAGAAGGCATGACTTGTTTGAAAAATATATTTTCTACAAAAAATTAGCCAGGTGTGGTGGTGCATGCCTGTAATCCCTGCTACTTGGGAGGCTGAGGCACAATGATTGCTTGAACCTGGGAGGCAAAGGTTGCAGTAAGCCAAGATCACACCACTGCACTCCAGCCTGGATGACAGAGCAAGACTCCATCTCAAAAAAAAAAAAAAAAAAAAGGACATACAAAAAAAGAAAAAACATTTTCTCCATATATACTTCTCAGACTTTTTGATCTTTGCTAATCATCCAACTTCTGGAGATTTATAGATATTGTAAATATCGGATTTTTTTCTTTCTTTTTTCATGCTAAATCTTTCTATATTTTATCTCCCACATATCCCCCATATAATATATTATAATGTTCATAAAATAATCAGATATTTATATTTCATTTTCACACTGGTATTTTTATATTTACCTACAACACTATCATTATCAGATATGCAATAAATATTTTTGTGTCTTTAAATTTCCTTATTATTTTTATCAGTACAGAGTAAGATATAGATGACATTAGAACTACAGGGAACACAAATGCCTAAAGTATAAATAAATGCATAACATCAAAATACAGATCTTAGCAAAGACCCATCTTTTATGGACTTAACAGATATTTTCTTTTTTCCTGCAATCAATAATTGTATAGTGTTATTTTTACTATACTGCCTTCTCATTCTTGAAGGCATTTATTAGGAAAAGGGAATGAAAAATATTTTTCTGGAGGACAATTCTTCATGGTGTTTCTCTACATCTTATGACTGATTTTGTTCAAGACTATTTTTTCAAGGATGTTTTTATAACAAAAAGTCTAGGAAGACAAAACTTTGTTTCTAAAGAAAAAATCCTTTAGAAGATAGAAAAAAAAGGTAGAATTATTTCTGAGTAGAACATCAAAAATAAGTCTGCTACTGGGCAAAGATTTAGTAGTTTTGCTTGCAGTCTTTTTTATAAAATTGGGGATTTTCTAAGATCAGAGTTCCTTAGCTATGACACAAACCCATAGATTTCAGTATTCGCCTGGGCCCACCTCTGCACCTTCCTCGTGGGATTTGTGGGACAAAGGGACTGAAGCAAATCTGGAGCTCATACTGCTGCTGTGCCATAATTAATAAAGTTCTTTGTCTCTGACCCAGGAGTCTCATGCCTTCTGCCAGTTTCCATGAAATTGTGACAACCAAATGTGTTAGCTTGCCAGTAGAGTAAAATCTTAGACCGTTGACAAACCTTGGCAATTTTTGAGACGATCGGAGGATGGAATTATGACAGAGACAGAGTTTTCTGAAAAAGGAAAGAACAAGGGCCCTATATGGGCCAAGTTGTGGGACGTAAGAATACTCCCTGGAGCCCCAGTTGTGGCCAAAGGGAGTGGGGTGTAGGTAAGGTCCACCCCAACTACCTTGAGTTTTAGTAATGCTGAGGAGTAGGATGATTGTACCAAGTCACATAAATGAGCCTTTTTCTTATACTTACTTTTCTAGGAAGGAGGTATAATAGATGGTAAAGGCGTCAAAAGCTGGTAGAGGGCTAAACTGAAAATAAAAGACACTTGATTCATCTCTCTGCATCACATGAAAAACAAACGTGGCAGGCATATTGGTGAGGAGGTGTTCCCCACTCCATGCTCCCTGATGTCTTGTTCCCTGTTTGCCCCCAACTCAACTGCTTTAAGAAAAAGACATGTGTAACCTTTACTCTGTAATAAAAGTTGAACCTTTTTTAAAAAGATAAAAGTAAGAGGGGTAGTTTAATGTCTGAAAACTATGGTACTTAGGACATCTCTCACCTACTAGAAATTCCACCTCACATCAGAAGCACTGGATTGTGGTGCAACTTCTTAAGGTAAAAGAAATCTGCATAGAACCATGTCTCTGTTCCTTAAATTTCTTTTATTAAGGTAAAATCCTGATAACATAAAGTTGAGCATTTTAAAGCAGCAATCCCCAACCTTTTTGGCACTAGAGACTAGTTTCATGGAAGACAGTTTTCCCATGGACAGGGTTGGGGGTGGTTTGGGGATAGATGATTCAATCACACACTACATTTATTATACACTTCATATTATTGTTACATTGTAAAATATAATGAAATAATTATACAACTCACCATCATGTAGAATCGGTGGGAGCCCTGAGCTTGTTTTCCTGCAACTAGACAGTCCCATCTGGGAGTGATGGGAGACAGTGACAGAACATCAGGCATTACATTCTTATAAGGAGCTTGCAACCTAGATCCCTGTCATGTGCAGTTCACAATAGGGTTTCCACTTCTATGAGAATCTAATGCCACCACTGATATGACTGCAGGCAGAGCTCAGGTGGTAATGCTTGCTGGCCCCTTCCTCACCTCCTACTGAGCGACCCAGTTCCTAACAGGCCACAGACTAGTACTGGTCCATGGCCTGGGACTTAGGAAATCCCTCTTTTAAAGTATATAATTCGGTGGCATTTAGTACATTTTCAGTGTTGCAACAACCACCTCTATCTAGTCCAAAGGACTCTCATCATGCCAACAAGGAACTGAGTTCCATGGAGCAATCACTCTCCACTCCTTCCTCATGCAAGCCCCTGACAACCATCAACCTGCTTTCTGTCTCTGCATTTCCAGCTTCTGAATGTTTCATATAAATGTGATCACACCATCTGTGACCTTTGTGTCTGGTTTCTTTCACCTAGGTTCATATTTTTGTGTCTAAATTGTAGCATGTATTAGTACTTCATTGGCTTTTATAGGTGGATAAAATTCCAACTATAGATACACAAAAAAGAAAAGAAGAAAAAGACTAAATATTCTGGGGAACTTTGGGGAATGGAGGGTGTGATGCATTGAAGGTTGACTCGATTGGATTGAAGGATGCAAAGTATTGTTCCTGGGTGTGTCTATGAGGGTGTTGCCAAAGAAGATTAACATTTGAGTCAGTGGACTGGGAAAGGCAGACTCACTCCCAATCTGGGTATGCACAATCTATCTAATCAGCTGCCAGTATGGCCAGAAAAAAACAGGCAGAGGAACATGAAAGATTAGACTGGCTTAGCTTTCCAGCCTACATCCACATCTTTCTCCAATGCTGGATGCTTCCTGCCCTCAAACATCAGCCTCCAAGTTCTTCAGCTTTAGGACTCAGACTGGCTTCCTTGTTCTTCAGCTTGCAGATGGCCTATTGTGAGACCTCACCTCATGATCATGTGTGTTAATATTCCTTAATAAACTCATATATGTGTGTGTGTGTGTGTGTGTGTGTGTGTGTGTGTGTATCCTCTTAGCTCTGTCCCTCTGGAGAACCCTGACTAATACAGAGGTAATTACATTTTTATGGCTCTGTGGATACAGATGCCCAAGACTTGAAAAACGAGAGGACACTTGAATTTTACTCATAAGTTCAAGCAAGGTTCACAATGGAAGGGAACAAAGCAAACATGACCTTGTATGTGGGGCTCTTTGGGCCAATTCAATGGACTCTTTTTTTGTTGCTTTTACACTTGAATACATAACAGGAATTGATGGGTTGTATGTTTGAACTTCTTCATCCCATAAATATCATAGAGTCAACCTGATTGAGGAAGAAGTGCGAGAGAGAGAGAAAGAGAGAGAGAATAATGCAACAGACTTCCTTCTCATTTACCACCAGTTGGTGGGGATTTAGCATGAGGATTTAGCATAAGGACCTCCACCATCTCATAACTAATTCTTTTATTATATAGATGACGTCCATGGGATTTGGTAAGTTAGAAGCAGCAGTATCAGCTGTCCTGCCTGTAATGTTAACATACCTATATCAGCAGCGATGACAGAAAACCCAATAAAATTCATGGACCAAATAAATTTTGGAGGACTACATGGGCAGATTCATGTCATCCATCCAGCAGTTTAGGGAAAACTGCTGTCTTTTCAGACCCCTACCATCAAAACGAAGGCCTAGCACTTTGTTCATCAGTTTGTATATGGAGACAGAACAAGTCTTGGTGACTGATAATTTTGTTGACTAAACCTTTAGCAAAGGGAGGCAACCTCCACCCCAGGATGATCCTTGGAGTTTTGGACTTAGAGGTTTCCCTAACACAGCTACCAAGTACACCTTCTTTTAGAAGCTGCTATTTGCTTGCCACTAATCTCTTGTTGAAAATGAAGGCCTGACTCAGCAAGGCCATGTGACTTCTCAGCCTGAATTTCCATTTTGTGCTAAGTCTACTAGTATTCCATGATTAACAAGATGTGAAAGCTTCCAAAATGGAATTAGTGTATTGAAGACCACACCTGCTTTGCCCCAGTGGCATTTTTGCTTTACATGAATAATTGGGTGCTATCCACTGGGGTTGTATGGGGAGTTTATGCCCCACTCCATGTACTGAAGCAAAGCTGTCAACTCAAAGGGGCACATGATTAGGAAGCAGAGGTTCCCCTAAATACCTGGGCCTGGATCCCTGATGGTTGGATGAAGCTACAACCAGATATCTATTAGGATGCTGGAACCATTCAACCTCAGTTCCAGCTCTGCAGAACCAGAAGTAGATGAGGTCACTCTGTTCAGAAGGTAGAACTATGACTCTTCTCCTTTTGCAAGTAATCTATATGTTTGGTCTGTCACATGGAAAACTACACACTGTTAAATTAAAAATCACTCCTCTTAAAAGCCATCAACTATGCAAATAGATTAATTTCTGACTGAACCACTGGGGTCATTCACATAGATTCCCATGAAAAAGAAAGGCCCAATATCTGATGAGATGCTTGGAAATCAAATTTCTGATTGAGTCTGACTCCAATAATAATAATGATGCCTGTTCCATAGGGTTATTTGATAATATTTTTAGATATTTCTTTTCTAAGCATGTGTTTTATAGACTTACACTATGCAGACCCTAGTCAATGGTTGTTTTTTTTTTTAACTTTCAGAAAATACATGAGGAGAGTGTGCTTTGAAGCTAAGATACATGGCTTCAATTATGTTTTGAAACAAGGAACTTTGTTGTAAAATTGTTGAGTTTTTTATTGAATGACTCAGGTTTTAATACAGCTGTAATAATAACTAACATTACCAATGTGATTATAATCTTCCTGTGTATTACAAACTATATTTCATGCTGGGTGATGGAACTTAGGGCTTACTGTGAGATGGCTGTAGCTTAATATTCTGAATTGCTGGATATTAACCTCCAGCTCATGCAGCTTCATTGTTTTTTTTGTTGTTGTTCGTTTCTAAGAAGCACATGGACAAGTATTCATATTCAGCAAACCTTCCTCACCCTAGAGAATGGTTGATATGTTGTATCTTAAATGCATTATGTGCATAAAGTTTATATGCATAAGAAATTTGAACATGGCCTGAAATATGATTAAGAGCTAGCTGTTTTTAATATTATCATTGAATTTCTTAACACAGCCATACCTGTGTTTTCTTTCTGAGTATTGGTAGAAGGTTTCATTATTATTTCATTCATAAAATTTTCAATCATTATCTATAAAATATAAATATTATTTTAAAATTGAGCACAGTATTATTATTGGTGAAAAGCTTTAAGCTGTGAACTTTTTCTCTGTTGAAAATAGCAATGTCATTTGTGGGTTGTAGCTTGTCAACATAGTGGGGATTGCAATATTTCTGTCAACATCTGCTTTAGTAAAGGGAAGAGCAATCCGGGATAATCTTTTATTGCTTTTTGTCCATCAAGGCTAATTTGCATTCACTTAATATCAAATTTTTCCAAATTTGAGTCATGTAGTTTGCATACTTGCTTTTTTCAAGCACTCTAGTAAATTTATTTTCTAGAAAATCTCTTTCACAGTTCAGGGAGATTCAGGAAGACACTTTTTCATTTTAACTTTTGCATTTGCACTACTGATACTAAAAATGATATATTTTAATTTCTTTACAAATTTTATATCTGTGTTATTCTTAAGTGTAAAATGTTTAAGTGTCATAAAAATATGGTAAAGTACAGAAAACACAAGGAGACATATTTAAGATCTGTTACTTTTTTAATATAAAAATATACAGAAATATATCTGCAGAGATATGGCTACAAAAAGAAAGAGGTATCACAACATACTTTTATTTGGAGGAGGTATGTCCTGCTGTAACCAAGTTTTTATGTAGATGTAATTTTAACGTTGACATTTTCTGAAAGCAACCATGATTTCTTTTTTTTTTTTTTTTTTTGAGATGGGAGTTTCACTCTGTCACCCAGGCTGGAGTGCAGTGGCACGATCTTGGCTCACTGCAAGCTCTGCCTCACAGATTCACGCCATGCTCCTGCCTCAGCCTCCCGAGTAGCTGGGACTACAGGCGCCCACCACCACGCCCGGGTAATTTTTTGCATTTTTAGTAGAGATGGGGTTTCACCATGTTAGCCAGGATGGTCTCGATCTCCTGACCTCATGATCCTCCCGCCTCAGCCTTCCAAGGTGGTGGGATTACAGGCATAAGCCACTGGCCCGGCTGAAAGCAACCATGATTTTAACAGGCCTAAGATATAACCTCTCAACCGTTCTGTAGGGTGAGGAAGGTACACTGAAAATGAAAACTTGTCCATGTTCTTGCTAAGAATAAGAAAGAGTGATGCCGTATGAGCTGGAGTCTAATAACCAGCAATCTGGGCTATGAAGCTAGAATCATCTCACAGTAAGCCCTAAGTCCCATCACCCAGCATGAAATATAGTTTGTAATACACAGGAAGATCATAATCACATTAGTAATGTAATGTTAGTTATTATTACAGCTGTCTTAAAACCCGAGTCATTTAATGAAGAATTCAACAATTTTACAACAAAAGTCTTTCATTTCAAAACATAATTGAAGCCATGTATTTTAGCTTCAAAAGTACACTCTCCTCATGTATTTTCTGGAAGTTGCTAAAAACACTGACTAATGTCTGCATAGCATAAAGTATATAAAACACATGCTTACAAAAGAAATGCTAAAAAAAATAAAAGTTGTGCCTTCTTTTTTTATTATATTTTAAGTTCTGGGGTACATGTGCAGGACGTGCAGGTTTGTTACATAGGTATACACGTGCCATGGTGGTTTGCTGCACCCATCAACCCGTCATATACATTAGGTATTTCTCCTAATGCTATCCCTCCCCTAGCCCCCCACCCCCCGACAGGCCCCAGTGTGGGATGTCCACCCTCCCGGGGGCCAAGTGTTCTCATTGTTCAACTCCCACTTATGAGTGAGAACATGCGATGTTTGGTTTTCTGTTCTTGTGTTAGTTTTCTTTACTGGCCAAAATGATATAACAGGAATTGGATTCATCCTTCCACCTAAACAAATATAAAATCAGACAAGATATACAAAATAATTGTTTCAAGATGTTGGACATCACGCAATACAGTTTAATGATCTCTAAGAGAAAGGAAACAAATGAAGTGAGACTTGCAATTTGCCCAACTTCATGTCTGAGAGAGTTTCTAGGCTACAGCACCAGGCAGGATAGTTTATGTGGAACCTAGTGGATTCCCTGAATTGAAGAAGTGGAGCTGGGAATCTTGGAGGGACAAGAAAGCTGTAATTTACAAAGCAGGGTTCTGGAGAGGAGACAGCTCACTCCAAGGACAGCTGTACAGATCTGCAGAGAGGCCTCACAGGTTTTCATCTGAGTGGTGATTAGGGAGTACTTCTGAGTAATCTACCCAAGTCCAGAAAAATGACTATCAGAAAGAATTAGAGAGCTGTGTCGAGGACTCACACAGAGTGGAAAATCATGCCATTTATGGGGCAACAGGTAGACTAATTAGAAGATAACTATCCTCAAAAGAATCAATATTTTTCCAATATTGAACTTAACTTTACCCAGATCAACACTCAAAAATATTTTTAAGGATATAAAAAATATTCACCACTTAGCAAAATAAAAATTAGTGTCTGGCACCCAGTAAAAAATTACTAGCCATAAACACTGAGAAGGGAGAAACACTGTAAGGTTTTATATAATGTATGAAGTGGTATGATATAACTTGAAATTAAACTGTGATATATTAAAGATGTTGTATTAGTCAATGTTCTCCAGAGACAGACTAATAGGAGGTAGATAGACTGGATAGATAGACGATAGATAGATAGATAGATAGATAGATAGATAGATAGATAGATAGATATGGATAGATAGATGATAGATAGATAGATATAGATAGATAGACAGACAGACAGACAGACAGACAGATAGATAGATAGATAGAAGGCAATTCACTTGGGGAATTGACTCACATATTTATGGAGACTGAGAAAAGTCCCATAACAGACCATCTACAAGCTGAAGAATCAGGGAAGCTGGCAGTGTGGCTGTCCAAGTCTGAAGCCCTTAGAACAACGGAAGCTGATAGTGTAACCTTCAGTTTGAGGCCAAAGGCCAGGGAACCCAGGAGGGTGCTGGCACAAGTCCCAAAGTCCAAAGGCCAGAGAACTTGGATTTCTGATGTCCAAAAGCAGAAGAAAAGTGTTCCATCTCCAGAAGTGAGAGGGGAAATTTGTTTTTCCTCTGCCTTTTTGTTCTCTCTGAGCCCCAGCCAACGGTATGGCATCTGCCCACATTGAAGGCAGATATTCTCCACTCAGCCCACCAATTCACGGATACACACAGAAAGAATGCATTACCACTATCTAGGTATCTCTTAATCCAGTCGAGTTGACATTCAGAATTAAACATCACAGATGTTTCCTATAACTACTAAAACAATCATCAAAATAAGCATAACAGCTAAGAAGCCAGCAAAAGAGATAAAATTATATAAAATAATTAGTACAAGAGAAGGCAGAAAAATGGAAAAGAAAACAAATAAAAAATACCAGATGGGGCAAATATAAAATAAATTTTGATGATAAACTTAAATGTAATCATATCAATAATTGTGGGAACAAGAGTTTAGACACAAGCCTTTGCTCAAGGAAATTCACAGAAACCACCACTGCTATACATCTTATTGAATGAATCATGAGTTCTCCTTCCTTGATTAATCCTTTTCCTCATCCTTTCCTACCCCTCCCATCTTCCCTAAGAACAAAGAGCTTGTAAACCAATAAATTAGGTGGAGCTGAAGAGCTCTGGGCCATGAGCGAGGCTCCGATGCTCCGGTCCCCTGGACCCGCCTTTCAAACACTTATTCTGTCTCTTTCTAATTCCTTTGTCTCCAGCGAACTCGAGGTACCCACCAGGTGGTGTGGGGCTGCTTTCCCCAACAATAATCACATTAAAAGTAAATAGTGCAAACTGTCTTATCTGTAGGTCTTTTCCCAGAGATCTTAAGCTTAGCCATGCCCTCATTCATGCCCTCTAATTTGTACTCATGTCTACTGAGTATTTTTTTCATTTCTTCACATATTTTCCTAAAACAGAGGTTCAAAATATTGTTTAACTCTTTTCTTTTCATATTTCACACATAAATAGACTTAAAGTAAATATTAATACATATATAACAAATAAAATATTTGAAGTATTGTGGGATATTAAGGAAAGACAAAACAGCCATTTAAATCTCTGATTATTATAGTTGGTGCTAGGATGGAGAAGGTTCTAAAGTTCTTGGTAAGATAAAAAAGTGACCTGTAAATAGGAGTTAAACAATTTTTTGTTTGTTTGTTTGTGATGGAGTTTCTCTCTTGTTGCCCAGGCTGGAGTTCAATGGCAGGATCCCGGCTCACTGCAACCTCCACCTCCCAGGTTCAAGCAATTCTCCTGCCTCAGCCTCCCGAGTAGCTGGAATTACAGGCATGCACCGCCACACCCGGCTAATTTTGTATTTTTAGTGGTGATCCGCCCACCTCGGCCTCCCAAAATGCTAGGATTACAAGTGCCTAAACAATTTTTTTAAATGGAAGGTGATATAGACATATGACATTAGCTTAAATAATGGAAGTTTTTACTCAAGGATGTCAATCCATGAGTTGGAAGGAAATGAGAAGCAGGAGAATGAATCTTATTGGATATGAAGTTTTGGAGATTAAAAGAATCTCCAGTGAAGAACATTTCAGAAATTCATGGAGTGAAATATTACAGAAATGAAAGTAAAATATATATCTGGAGATATTGAATTGAAGCATTTACTTTTTTTCAAGTATGTCATTACTTCCAAATGAGGATTTATCTTTCATTTTATTTAAGATGAATGTGGGAATCAATTTAGATAAGTAGAATTCAATATCGCATTATCCCTGTCAGCTTCTTTTTAACTTGAGACTCAGTTAAGTATTATTCTTTCATGTCAAGAAGTTCCTTGATATCTTACCTCAGGTAGGAAATGGTCTTCTCTGTTAAGGCTGTTGCAAACTTTTGTTTGTCTTATTTTGTTTTTTACCTCATACAAGCAATAGTCAATTAAAATGCAGAACTGACTATTTCTTCTCTGGCACAAGTAAAGTAACTTCCACAGTCAGAATTACTACTTTAAAAACTATTCACACACACCATCCACATTATTTTTATAGCTCACGATACATTGTTATTCTTTTAGGAGATATCTGTATTTTTCTTAAAAAAATGTTTAACTACACATGGCGTAGCTAAAGCAATTCAGGTTGTCTTATATACATGAGAATGAGAAAAAGCACATTCAGAAATATTTGTAACTGAAAAGATAAGCAAAAGTCCAACAAAAAGGTCTTGTCTTTTGACACTTTTTGATATTGTACAGTTAACGAGATACTTGTTAAGCCATGCTTATAGGAAGCATGGAAGCTTACATCTAGATTTAATATACTTTTTGAATAGCAAAGCTATATATTGCCCTCTGTAGATGATAACAAAAAAAATGAAAAAATATATTAGTGAAATAAAATATACATGAACAAACTAAATAGTCAAATACAATGAAAAAAGCATAATAATTATATTCATTAGTAATAGGAATTTATGTAATTCTCATCTATTAAATTATGTGTAATAAAGATAATAGCTTGAAATGTAATAGTTTATATTTAGAAATAAATGTAGAGGATTAGACTTTTATATTTTGGTTTAAAATATGAAATATATACTTTTATATTTCTTTTACCAGTGAGCCTTATTCTCTTTTGATAATTCAGAAAAGATCCCCATGGAAGTTTTTGTTAGTCCATTTACTCTGAAAGAAATAAAAATTCTTTAACTTGAAAAATTCTAATTTATTTAATTAGTCTTAAGGCTAAATGTATGAGTACTTAAAGAGGTTGTATCAGTCTATAAGCTATTTAATATAAACCCATCAATTAATGCCTTAAAATCAATATCTTATGTACTGTTTAAGTTGTACATATTTTATTAATTTTCAATTTAGTAATTCTTACCAGTACAGTAAGTAAAAACATCCTAATAAATTATTTATTGCAAAGATAATTTACAAAGAAAACACTCAATTGCCCATTTGCCAGGTTGTAAAAAGATCAAACATCACGGTGAATATTTATGAATTCATGTATTTGGTGAGACAATGAACAGATATAAAGAATAACATTGTAGATAACACATCTGTTAACAAAAGAAAAATACCTTAAAGATTTTTTCTAGATTAATAAGGTAGGCTTTGGGGTGAAATGGCTTGTGTTCAAATCATGGCTTATTCAATTAATAACTCTGAAAATTTGGACTAATAAATAACGATTACAATCATTTTTTCACATTTAATTTGGAAATATTAGACCTTACCTAATAGGTTTTTGGGAGGATTAAAAAAAGTCAGCTTGAAATATTTACATAGAATTTAGCACGTATAAAATACTTTTCACTAATGAAGAGTATTATTTATTGCCTTTTCCTGTTCTGCATGATCCTAAGATTTCAGAACTCTATCCTTGGTACCTGCCACTTCCAAATGGTCACCCTAAAGTGAAAAGTTTCCATTTTAAAGCTCTAAGATATTAATTATTTCTAAATCATCCAAGCTTAACAACCGTATTTCAAATGCCTGTAATTTAGTGCTGCCTGAATATTCTAAAGCATCCAAATTCAGCAGTTCCAAATCTGTCTTCATAATTTTCTCCCTCAAATTAACTCTCTCTTCAGTCGTCCTAATTATTAATATATTGATATCTAGAAGGAATCAGAAAATGTAAACTCTGATTTCTTTTCACTACTTTCTGCTTCCAAGCCTTTTGTATCAAATTGTTTACCATGGTCTATGGACTGAATTGTGCTTTCCTTAAAAAAATCATATGTTGAAGCTGTAACCCCCTATGTGACTATATTTGGAGATAATTTTAGGAGGGAATTTAGCATACGTGAGATAATGAGGGTGGGACTCTCATAATGGGATTAGGGTCCTTGTAAGAAGAAGAGCAACATATTGCTCTCTCTCCACCACGTGAAAGCACAGTGAGAAGGAGGCCATCTGCTAGCCAGGAAGAGAGCCCTCACCAAGAGCCAAATCAGCCAGCACCTTGATATTGGACTTCCCACCCCGTAGAACGATGAGAAATAAGTTTGTTTAAGCCACCAGCCATGATTTTTTGTTATAGCAATCTGAGAATAGTAAGATACCATGTCTTTATTATTTTTTCTTAGAGATCTACTTAATGCAGACTAATTCAAGGTCTCTGAATCACTAATTCAACTATTGCTATATCCTTCTCATTGATCTCTCTGTTATTTAAATCTTTCCAGTCCAATGGATCTATTTAAATGTCAGTCACTAAAGGGGTCCCTCCAGAAAATAATGTGGTCTTATCATATTCCTCTGCAAAATGGGTTTCTCTTAGTTTCCTGATATCTATAGTAAAAACAATCTAAACTCCTTCCTCTTATATTAAGCGATCATAAAATGGTTAAATATGTACATTTTTCACTTCAGCAATGACTAGACAATGATGAAACTATTGTGGTTATTATATTAGTTATCCCTGCTTAACTTAGTTGCTTAAAACAATGTAGTGAATGCTGCTGGTGCCTCAACATAATTTCCTTTGGTGGTAGATTTGCCCAATCTCCAGCTGCTGTGCATTTTAGCTCATCATTCACAGCTGCCTTTTCTATGGTGATTAGCCAAAAGTGGGTGGGCCTTCTATAACAGCCCTAAAGGCTACTACTCCCCATACCCTTTTCCCAATCTCATTTCCCTTGGAGGAAAGCTGTCTGCCAATAACTGACTTACACTAGGGCAGGAAATAGCCACTCCCTTTCCTCACTGCAGGATTCACTTTGTGGTGCTATTTGTGTTTTAGCTTCCCCTTTGGATCAGAATGCCTGTAGTCCCCAGCTGAGGGACACCTCTGCTTAGCCCTATTCAGCTTCCTTTACTTCTCTTTATGTGACAGAATTCCCTCAATACTTACTCGATCAGGAAAACAAGTCTTAGGCTTTGCTTCTTGGAAGCCCAAACTAAGAGAAGCAATACTACTGATTACAATTCACAAATCTGCAGTTCAGTTGGACGGTTCTTTGGGTCCTGGCTGACAGTGTTATATTTGCAGTAATCTCTGGGTTAAGGAAATGGCCCTGCTGTGTCACGTAATGTGGATAGACTGGCTGTCAGCTGCTTTTGGATGGCTCAGCTTCTCTATAATTGGTCTCTCACCTCTCTTCAACAGGCTAACCTAGACGTGGTTTCAGCAGCTCATAGAGAAGCAAGGGAAAGATGTGCAAACAACCTCCTAAAGTCTTAGAAGTGAATCCATCACTACTAACACACTCAATTGGAGAAGGCAAGTCACAAGTAGCAGGTCACGAGTCAGCTTATATTTTTATGGATGATCATAAAGCAGATGTGCTTTGGTGTTTGAAACTTTTGTAACCTCCTAAGCTTATCCTGTACCTTTGGTCAAGAATGTCTTCAAAAGTATTGAAAAAGTGATGAGTAGCGTAGGAATCTTATTGGAGAAGAAATCCAGAGCTTGGCAATTGTAAGTTTGCATGCTTATCCCTCTAAGTTGTGTAAATTTCCCTCAGAGAAAAGATCAGTCCTATTAATTATTGTGCTGACTTTATTTGTCCATTACTCAAACATTTATTAAAATCTGATTGTACCAGTCATTCTACAAGGCACTATAAACTTAAATTGAAATCCATTTCTTTTGCATATTTTTCTTCTCCACTTTTTTTTTGAATTCACTTTTAGTTGACTTCTCTTTTTTAGAGAGAACATCACATTCATTTTACTGTCAAACTTTTCAAAGTTACATTACAAATCTCACTTCCATCATTCCAGGCTTCATTATAGGTTTATTGTGAAGAGGCCCTTTTAAGTTCAACATCATATTAACTGACAAGGCAGAGGCAGGAGTAATTAGAGCATGAAATATATACCGCAGGGTCACCTCACATCTTCAGTGTAAATCATGATTCAAAACACTAACTCAGCCATATTTTGACAAGGAGGGTTCAAATAATTCCCTTATCTTTGGGGCAATTTATCATTTGGCTTGTAAGAAGTTGTGCATATTGGAAATTTATAAACCTGCAAGTGCATTTTGGCCTACATGCGAGCGTTTTTTTTGTTTTTGTTTTTTTAATGTGGAAAAATCTCTCTCTGCCCTGCATAATATTTTATTTAAAAATCACTTGTGTTTATGTTCTATTTTCCTGAGAATGAAAAGAAGAAAGGATCATATGCTCTTTTTTTATATTTATTTATTTATTTATTTATTTATTTATTTATTTATTTATTTTGAGATGGAGTCTTGCTCTGTCGCCCAGGCTGGAGTGCAGTGGCACAATCTCGGCTCACTGCAAGCTCCACCTCCCGGGTTCACACCGGGACTACAGGCGCCCGCCACCACACTCGGCTAATTTTTTGTATTTTTGGTAGAGACGGGGTTTCACCATGTTAGCCAGGATTGTCTCGATCTCCTGACCTTGTGATCCACCTGCCTTGGCCTCCCAAAGTGCTGGGATTACAGGCGTGAGCCACCGTGCCCAGCCCTAGGATCATACTCTCTTAATTTGCATACATGTAATATAATTTGGAAAGATCTGATACTAAGACAAGTCAAGTTAGTTGTTATTATTTTTATCATTTTTCTTATTAAACCAGGAAACTTCAATCTGAGGCTACTTTTAGAGGAAAACAATGAAAGAGTACTCAAAACTCACGTAAATGACAAACTGTGATAACTCTGCCTCAACTCCCAAATTCTTATGCTTGTCATGAATGAGTTAAAGAGTTTCCCAGACAGTGATGTAAACTTGATTAAACAATATTTTTGAAAGTTCCTACCAAGGGCAAATTATAAGATAGTTCACCTTTAGTCCAACTATAAATGGAAATATCACTCATACGAGACTGAATTGTCCATTAAAGAGGTTAGGTTACCCGGATATAGCATATACTAGAGTCATAAAAAAGTACATTAGGAGTCTAGACTTATAATTTGTATTTACGATTGAGTAAAAGAATCATAGGTTTTAGAGTTAGACAAACATAGGTTTTGTTTTTGGATAAACTGCTTACCCAACTGGGTACTTTGGCAAATGATTTAACTCTCCCCACCTACAATATTCTGTTCTGTTCTCTGAAAATGTGGCCACTGGTACCTGCCTTAAGAGATTATTGTGAGCCAAGGAACAATCTATAAAACACATGTAGCTCCATCACTGTCATAGAATATGTACTCTTGTCATTAGTATTATTATGGTTATTAACTTATTGATATTATTGTTGAAAAAACAGCTCAAAGAGATATTTTAACATGAAATATTATTTTAATGTGTAATTCTTACATAAAAAATAAAGTTACAGAGAAATATTTTATAACCTCATTTGATTTAAAGAAAATCAAGGATAGCCTTTGGAAGAAAAGATAGATTATTTTTTCTAGAAACTTGTTACATACTCCAAAATGTATGTAACTTATGTTGGCCTTCAAAGCAACAACAATTGCGTAAAACAAAATGATATTGTTTTGATATTCTAACCTGAAATGACTTTTGCCCATTCAAGTAAATTGTTACTATTGTTTATTAAACTGTATCCTAGCAATTTTAGTTAATGCAAATCACTAATTCTCAAAAGCAGTGAAATTAGAAAATATAGTTCAATGTATGTTAAAGACTTAAATGTGGCATTTGTTTGATCCTACTTGCCAGCTTGAGTAAAACAAAATCAGATGTTGAGTTTAACATTTCCCTTTTTGTGAGATGCCTTAAGTTAATTACTTATTTCTTTTATTCTCTATGTGAAAGTATATGGAAGCAAACATTAAAAAAAGTAAAAAAATAAATAAAAGTAAAGAGCCTGGCATGGTGGCTCATACCTGTAATCCCAGCACTTTAGGAGGCCGAGGTGGGCAGATCAATTGAGGTCAGGAGTTTGAGACCAGCCTGGCCAACATGGTGAAACCCCGTCTCTACCAAAATTACAAAAATTAGCCAGGCATGGTGGCACGCACCTGTAGTCCCAGCTACTCGGGAGGCTGAGACAGTAAAATCGCTTGAACTCGGGAGACGGAGGTTACAGTGAGCCAAGATTGCACCACTGCACTCCAGCCAGGGCAACAGAACAAGCCTCTGTCTCAAAAAAAAAAAAAAAAAGTAAAAAAGTGAAAAAGAGATTAAGAGATTATATAGAATCACTCTATTTATTAGTATAACATTTTTAAATCTTATTTTCAGTTGTTTCTTCTAGAATTATCAAATACTAAACGCACACACACATAAATTAGTGCACTATTATAGGATTTGCAAAACAAAATAACTTCCATGGAAGTAATCATGGCTAATAATAATGTTTAAAAATGATACTGGAAAACATACTATATCAAAAAATATTTTTATGTGGGGATATAATTTTAATAAGTTAATAATATATTATGCTTACATACTTTTTTAAACTTAGTACCTCTCTACTTTGTAAATAAATGTGGCAGCATTATTATTTAATACAAAGTTGTTGTCATAATACTTTACTAGAAAAAAATCCATTAATTAGAATACAATTTTTGTAGGAATACAAAGAAAGCAATTACCAGGATTTTATTGCCCATATATATTTTCATGATGTTATATATTATATATTATTATAATTATAACATATTATAAAAAAGTAAATTTTGTAAAGATATAACTACTACAAGAGAAACATAATGTATAAAAAACACTTTTCATCTCATTAGAATATGTTTTATTGATTAGTACACTGTTGAAGTTTAAAACATGAAATTCAAATTATAAATTCTCATGTATTTCATAATCCACTAAGATGGCCAATCAGTCCTAGTCAGTGAAGTATTCAGTCCCCTTTTCCAGTGTATTAAGACATTTTCAAGATTAGACAAAATAATCTTATAATTACTTGAGAGGTATTTTGTTCCTTTTGAGATGTAAATTGTATCATCTGAAATAAATAAAACTCGGTGTTCTAGAAATTTGAAAATAATTGGCAGATGCAACCCATAATTTTTTTAAGATTTTGGCAAACATATTAAAATTTCATTAAGGGAATGCTCTTCCTTTACAAACCATCTTCAAACATCTTAACACCTCCGCCATTAAGGCAAAGTATAATTTTTGAATGGCATTCAGGTGATCACCTACAAGTAGTAGGAACTGTAAGAAAAAATATGATCAAAATATAGGAAATAATGCAAGAGGATATATTTAAGTCCTTTCAGTGCCACTGCACTATCAACAGGCCCTATGACAGTAATAACCCAAGGATTATTTAATTTTCTAGAAGAATTGATTTTTTTTTTACTTTGTATACCAATTGATTGGTGCCTAGTCACTGGGAAGTTACATGTCTACTTGTAGATATCTGCCTAGTAAGAAAGGTATCCCCAAAGATTATGGTTTTATTACCACTTGGAATATGAACCTGTGTTACATTTAATCTAGTGATCTTATTCTAATATTCCACATAAATGCCTTTCCTAATAGACTATGAAAACACTTGTTCCTCAAATGTTCTTGGAATCAGTCTTCCCATTTAACTGGTCCTCTCATTAGTTAAGGAGTTCAATAAATCTTTGACATGTATTTATTCTATATTGTATGAGGATCATGTTTTTATAATTGGAAAATTATAGTTAGAATAAATTTTAAAAGAAGAGTGACTTCCCAAATTAAAAATAAAAATTATTTTATACTTTTAGAATATAAAAACTGATGTAGACAAAAAGGCAGTCTCATTGTTTTTAGTTGATTTTATTTAAGCCTATATTATCTTTCAGATAAGTTCAAGTATCATTTAGTTACTGTGATTTACTTTGCAATAATTCTTAATGTCATTAGTAATCTATTTCTTATCAACACGTGTCTGTTCACAAAATATCTATTTCACTCTGTTCTTACAGTTCAGAATAAAAAAGACCCTAGAAGGAGAAGGTATCTGATTGAAGAAGTCTGATTGCTTCTGGGAAGTGAAGTGGAAGTCTGGCCGTGAATGTAAAGTGCTCCTGGCTACAGCTCTTCAGAGCAATTTTTCTTGCCCTGTCAGGTGAGTTCAACAAAGTAGAAAAGTTATGGTCTGTCTAGAGGCTCGACTTGTAAAGGATGTTTACTTGTAAGGCTATTTGACTGCACTTAGTGCACTGAAGAACAATCCTTTGACCTCATGATGAGTAAAGGAGAGACAGAATGAAATGTTGCATTCAGAGGGCACCACTCTGTGAGACGTATGGGCTAGCGTGACAGAGATATTCCCCTTTAATTATCCAAAGAAATCCCACTGTTAACTTTAAATTGATAGAGTCCAGAAAACAGACAGTGATTCAGAGGTAGAACAAAAAACATAAAACACAAATATTTGTGTAATGTCTCAATGCATTGAGATTTAAACATAATAAATAGGTTTTATTATAAATTTACAAATTGTACGTTTGTGGCCACTTTTATATGTAATCTCATATTTCAGATGTAAAAGGAGGACACTAATACTTATTGAAGAGTTAATTTGATATATGCTTCTCTTAAGATATACATTTTCAATCATTTCAAGAATATATTCACTCTAATTACTTAAATTGTAATTCATTCTAAGCTAAATTTATACATTGTATTTCACTATAAGACCCACATTCTTTTCACTACTGAATGTCTCTGAAACCAGGTTGCTTTATTAAAATGGATAATGTATCAGAAATTAATTGACAGCATTTTGTCATTCTTAATAGTGTGGAATATAACGGTATTTCGTCTGATGGCTCCTTGGCTTTAATATATGACAGTTGTTGCACCACTGATTTCTCTAGAAATTCTACCCTGCTCACTTCATCAATGCTCTTAACCTTTATTTTGTTCTCTCCTTGTAGGATGATTCTATAATTTATCTTCCAACTCACAACTCTTACGAAAGTGAAGAGGGTGCTGAAAATAGTTGTGCTAAGGTATTAGGTGATAAAAAAGGCCCTGTCCCAATTAAACTAGAACTCTCACCCCAGAGAAGGGGATACTGGCATACACACATGGCTTCATGACCTGCCTTAGTGCACAAACATATACACACAGTCACAGCCCATCCAGGAACTTCTAATTAAGATGTATGACCTGCGATGGCTATCCTAAGAAATCTCTCTTTTGTTTTTAGGAGAAAAAAGTCTTAATAAAATATTCACTTTGGGTGTCTAAATAGATGTTGGATAAGTTCTTAAAATATTTTTTAGTGATGTAAATGTACTACCTCTAAACTTGTTTAAAATTGTCACTGGCAGGGCTCATAGTATTTACCTATTTATCTATTCATTCATTTTTATATAATTTTGTTTTACAAAGTGTAGAATACACACTAGGTTATTATTATAGAAGGAATAAATGAATTTGAGCTTATTGTAACATCATTTATTTCTTCATTGAGTATGGAAAACAGACCTGAATGAAATTCAGCTTGACATTAGTTACCTAATGATTGTCTTAGGGTCAGGATGAAAGATTTGAAAGCTAAAATTGTAAAGAATTGGAACATCAAAAGGAGTTTATTGCTTTATAAATACAATTAATTATATATTGTGTTATTAATATTCGACATTTCTCCCAAATATGTACAGAAATAACATTTTAGGAAACAGCCTATTGGCAGTAACCGTTATATAGAAATTTGTATTATTTAGGAAAATCAAGATATTATAGAAAATGGGACCTTATATACGAACACTTCAGAAGCTGAGTCTTGTAAATGATAAGATGAATTTTTTTCATTCCAGAAAGAGAAGAGACTAAATAAATTCTGTCGTATTTGATAAACTTAGATACCACACGTATCTTTTTTGAGATGGTTATACTAGTGATATTGGATTTCATATATAGTCAATGAATAAAAAATAGTCTGTGTGAATGTTTGACTCAGATGTATTTTATGCAAATTTAAGTACGGTTTCAGTAAGCACTGAAAATATAGCATTATTCACTATTCTAAAATCTTCTGGTTGATTGGGAAATTTTAACATATTTCAAAAGACTGCATTTTGGGCTGGTTCTTTATACCCAAAAGAGTTTCCATTATATGGTAGAAGCAATGGTAAAAATAATTGCAAATCTGTTGTTTCATGAGTTGGAAATTTTTGGGGAATTCTAAGATTTCCTTTCAAAAGTCTCTGCATCTCTGTGTGATTTTTTTACTGAGCCATTTCTTGTGTCATCAAATGGCAGTATTCAGGATGTGAATAGTTTCCTATCAGAGGTCGAATATTGTGGGTAGAAGCCCTAAATAGAAAATCTAGAGATCACTATTTAAATTGTAGATCTTCACATTTTGGGGGCAAGGCATGAATCATTGAGTTGGTCAGTATCATAGTCTAAAGGTCATAATGGTCATTGTGGGGGATAAATATCAAGTATTCACTAAAGCAGGTGGTGATTCTGTGGGTCTCCTGAGAGGTATAGCTAACCAAAATGCAACCTCCAACCTATGGGCAGATATTTTCATTCTTTACAGCCCTGAGATTAAAGAAGTTAGGGCTGGATGCAGTGGCTCACGCCTGTAATCTCAGCTACTTGGGAGGCTGAGACATGAGAATTGCTTGAACCCAGGAGGTGGAGGTTGTAGTGAGCCAAGATCACACCATTGCACTCCAGCCTGGGCACCAGAGGGAGGCTCTGTTTCAAAGAAAAAAAAAAGAAAAGAAAAATATCTGTTGAATATGGTGCTGGATACCTCAGTTGGTTGTAACGGTGTATTTTCTTAGAAATATGGTAAAATTTACTATATACACATTTAAATGTAAAGCTACAGGAATGTTTTCTGTACAGTAGATAAAATTTGCATTGTTAATCTGTTTTTATTGGCATGATTTATAACTGATTTTCTGGAATAGATAACAGATTTTCATTGATCCATACTCACTAGCTTTTAGATCTCAAAACTCACGAGTAGTAGTTAGAAGAGCTAAAAAATTCTGGGAAAGAGGATGAGTATAAGGAGAGAGACTAAGTAGCCTGAGATAAGAAACTAGATGTCTTAACCATTATGAAAATAGAAAAGAAAGTAATTTTTATATATATACACACACACTATATATATATACACATTCAATATATATGCACAAAATATACATTAAATATATATGTTGAATGTATAAAATCATATTTTATATATTTACACACACATATATATAGGGCAATTCCAGGAGAGGATATAAAATGTGTACAAATACTCTTGAAGCTAATTTAAACATAAAACACTTTTTGTCTAATGTAATCTTATAAACTAGTAATCCATCTTCAATCTGTTTTAAAAATGTTGCTTTGAGTGGAGGAATGACAGCTGAAGAATACAAATGTTATATGGACATATGAAAACATATATATGCTTACAACTGGTGCATATAGATTTATTGTTCTATGAAACTATTATTTATTAAATCATGTGTATTGATTGCTTTACTCAATAAATATTTGCCATTATTTTCTTGTAAGATACAAGTGTTAAGTCATATTGAAATCTTTCTCTATTTCTACTTTTTTCAATGTATTTATCTGTTATTATATTTCACACAAATATAATTAGGAACACAACATTTTTATGCCTGCTACATTTTATTAATATATGATGTTTCTCTTTACCCTTTTTGTTGATTTATAATCTTCAATGTTGCTTTTTATTATTTTTTCCTACTCCACATGTCATTGTTTTGAAGATGCTTGTTATTTCTTTTTAATTGAAAAAAACTTGTTTTTTGAATATTACATTATAGGGTGTTAAGACTTTAATCCAACAAGAGAGTCTTGTTGATCGGTCAATTGAGTCCTTGCTTTCTTATTCTTTTTCTTTCCTTCCTTTTTTTTACCTTCCTTATTTTTTCCTTCCTGTATTTTTTAGCTTAAAAATTTTAATGACATTTTCTGCTGCAAATCTTTAATTACATATCTTTTTCAAAAATGTACAAATTTTCCACCCAGTATTCCAGGGCGGAATCATATTGGATTCAACAATGCCAATAAGTGCCTCCAACATATTTTTGATAACTCAAGTACTAATTCTTACGCTAATAGAATAGGAATAATAATTCCTATGCTGATGTATTTTTTAAGCCACCTATTAAGATCAACATTTCTATATTCCATTTCCATACAGGTGTACTAGTTTCTGACTTTGTAACTATAAAGTGGGTGATCTTATCATTGTGTGTTATAATTTATTAAAATAAGCTATTGTATTCCTATAACTCTCAATTTTTTGCTCGTCTGACTTTTCTAGGTTCACATATTTTATAGTATGTATCTGTTTTTTATTTACTCAGTATCTGAAATATTTTACTTGAATCTCTACTTCCTATCGGCTTTAATGTAGAATTAATTCTTTCTTTAACTGAAATACATTCATTTATTGAAGAGAATGTTAAAATTGCCATAAATGGAGCATATCAAACTATAAATTCAGCTGTTTCATCTAAAACTTTAATATACTTTTGAAAATGTGGGTACATAGTAGGTGTAGATATTTATAGGGTAGATGAGATGTTTTGATACAGGGACACAATGTGAAATAAACACATCATGGAGAATGGAGTATCGATTCCCTCAATCATTTATCCTTTGAGTTACAAACAATCTACCTTCTTTAAGTTATTCAGGTATCAATATACAAAATTTTCTTGAATTTTGCCTACCTTGAATCTTGGCTGAAATAGTGTAGTTTTTATTAGCATTATCCTGACAACGTGTGCTTTCTGTGAATCTTATGTAATACTCAAATCAGACCAGAAAGTATGCACTTAACCACTAATAATTTATTCTACAATATGTATATAATACAGACACAAAATTTATTTGTCTACATCTATAGCTACATCTATCTATCAATTTATTTATATAAATATTTATACTATTATTCCATCTTCTCTTCATTGCCACATTTTGAGGTCTCAGTTTTGGTTTGGTGCTATTCCTTTTTATTTGCTTAGGTAATAATAGAGATAGGAAAAACCAAAGTATTTTCTCTACTCTTACACAATCAACACAGAATATTTCATTCACCTCTAGTCACCAAGATGTGGTGAGTTGCCCCCCAACACTGACCTAGTAATTCCCCAGCACCAGCTGGATGCCCTTTAATTAAATTCCATTCTGACACGATCGATCCAGAGATAGTGACAGATCTTATAGGCTAAGGGCTCAGTCCCACAGGAGTGCCCCCTACTACAGATGTTAATCACAAGTCATAGGTTGTGACTTGTGCTTCTACCTAATTGGCTATAAATCAGGGTTCCCATAATCCCTTTTGGGGGATAATTTGCTAGAGCATCTCCCAGAACTCAGGAAAACACTTCTTTATGTTTACTGGTTTATTAATAAAGGAGATAATAAAAGATATGGATGAACCGCCAGATGAAGGAATACATAGGGTGAAGTCTGAAAGGGTTCCAAGTGGAGGAGCTTCTGTTTCTATGGAGTTGGAGCATGCCACTTTTCTGGCACATGAATGTGGTCATTCACCCTGAAGCTCTCCTAACCCCCAAAGTTCAGGGATTTCTGTAGAGGCTTTGTCATGAAGGTAGGATTGATTGTTAACTCCATTTCTAGTCCCTCTCCCTGCTCTAAACAATGGGAAGTGTGGCTGAAAGCTCTGAGCTTATTATCATGGGTTAGTCTTTTGGTGACTAATCTCCATTCAGGAGCCCACCAAGGGTCATCTCATTTGAGCAAAAGATGCCCTTATCACCCAGGAAATTCCAAGGGATGTAGGAGCTCTGTGTCAGGAACTGGTACAGAGAACAAATATTAAAACCAAAGATTAAAACGCATAACACTGAGGAAACTACAAGAGTTTTTGAAGTTCTGTGCCATCTGTGCCAGGAAGTGGGGGCAGAGATAGATAGATAGATAGATAGATAGATAGATAGATAGATAGATAGATAGATAATAGATATTACATAGATGGGATACTTACGTAATACGCTTTTGAATTATTGCATATCTTCAAATACCTTTCTGCATCTGAGATGCAAATAATATCTTGAGTAAGTGATATTTTATAACCACTGGTAATGCAAATATATTTATTTACTGATGACTTATGCTTACATATACAGTTAAAATTTTTTTCTTTATCATTAATTCTATCAGGCTTTGCCCAGTTAGAAATTTTTTCTCATTAGTGCAGCCTAGGACTGACCCAGTGAGTATTCTCAATATGAAAACACAGTTCTTCATTTAGTTCAAATTTTCTTCAATCAATTGTTTTGTTATTTCTGATCCTCCATCTGTCCCCTTTGCCCCCTTTGAAGCTCCTATTCTTTTCCTCCAAATTTTCCTAAACCTGTTAAGTCATTAAAGTTGGTCTTAATTTTCTCTCATCTAATCTAATTTCTGAGTGCATCTTCCTAAATGCTTAAAACAAATCAGGTGTCCATCTGTCTCTTTCAGCAGCTTTTTTCCCTTGCCATGTGCTTCAAATTTTCCATCTTATTTTTCTCTCTCTTCTTCCTGAGGCCTATCAGAAAAGCTGCAATTTCATTATGTCAATGAATCTAGACTTTGATTTTAATGTTTACATATGTTTCATAGCCAGAACCCTCAGGATCTTAGAGGTACATGGGACTCCTTCCCTGGGAGGCTACAGATGAAAGACTCTCACCGCTACTGAGCTAGAAAAATAGAAGAGGGCTTTCTGCTCTCAGATATTGTTTTACTTCCAACCATCCTATCAATGAAGAAGTAGCTCACTTCTTGTTTTGAATCCAGACTCATTGAGGCCCTTCTGAAAAAGTCAACCTTCAATCTTCACTTCCAACACTCTCTCACCAGAGTCCTATAGATCTCTGGACACCAAGCTCAATAAAGGAAAAATCATACAGCATTAAATTTCATTTAAAGAGATAAGAATAAAAATCACGTGGATGATGAATTTGAGTTAGTAAATCTAAAAGCAGAGATGACATTTTGACAGATACTGAAGAAATAGGATGATATTTGATTATTTGGAAATGAACTATAGAAATATACAACATTGCAGAGAAGATTTAGATGTTTAATCTCTTAGGAGGTAAAAGAAATCATGACCAATTATTGAATATGAAGGATAAGCAAACCACAGTTACCTGATATGATGTTTAAGATTATTTTTTGGAAGTGAAGTAACAAGTAAGTTTGGTGCCAATTTATGAGAAACTGAATAATATACCATTTGGGCAAAATTGGCAATAGAACATACTGTTGATTATCTCAAATCTGAATTTGATTTGAGTTGAATTTCCATGTATTCATTAGCTCTGCATTAAGAGACAAAACTTGAAAAAATAATTAAAAGAAAATAAGGATCATAAAGATTATCAGCAACTTTGTTTCTCAAGTAATTTAACAGCTTACACTGTACTCATTTAGTTAATAAATATTTGTTATCTTTATACCATTAACACAAACTGCATAAAGCAATGTAGAATCAGAGATGAGGCAGTCTCTTTCTTCAAGAATTATAGTCACATAGATAACTATTATGAAGCAAAGTTCAGTGTTAGAGAAATTCTTGGGATGTTATTAGAGAGAGAACCAGAAATGTGGATTGTGAAGTGGTACTAGATATGATACAGAAAAGATAAAGAGAAGTTGATTAAAGAAAACTGTAGG
Source organism: Homo sapiens (assembly GCF_000001405.40). Lineage (NCBI taxonomy): Eukaryota > Metazoa > Chordata > Mammalia > Primates > Hominidae > Homo > Homo sapiens. Next base: position 19,164,255 of record NC_000021.9, on the reverse strand, counting down.
ACATTTCAGGAAGAAAAGAACAGAGTAAATAATTATGACAAGAAACATCACAGTATTGGTGAAGCAACACAAGTATCTATCCAGAGATAGCGACAGATTTCATAGGCTAAGGGCTCAGTCTCACAAGAGTTCTGCGTGGTTAAATATAAAGTGCAAAGCTAGGATTAAAAAAAAGTTGACATAGATCAGTAAGTACAAAGTTATGAAAGAAAATTGTTAAGAAGTTTGAGAATTTGTACATGAGGAGGAGCTAAAAAACAATAGAATGTTTTGGTGACAGCAACATGGTCAGGTTTTTTAAAAGGTAGATCACTTTCTCTGCTACGGTATAAACAGATTCATGGGAGATAAGACTGGATACAGCAGAGGAATGTAGGAAGTTACTGCATTTGATTAAGAAAGAGATTCTGGAGAGGAGGCAGAGCAAGATGGCTAAGTAGACTCCCTCTAAAGACCATCCCTCCCCCTACAGGAACACGAAACTAAACAACTATTCACACAGAACGCCACCTTCATAAGAACCAAAAATCAAATGAGCGATAACAGTACCTGGTTTTAACATCAAGAGGCACTGAAGAGGGTAGGAAAGACAGTCTTGAATTGCGAAGAGCAACCCTCGTTCATCCCCTGGCAATAGCCATACGACACAGGCAGAGAATCTGTGAGCTAGGGGAGAAAGAGTGCAGTGATTGTGGGACTTTGCATTGAAACTCACAGCTGCCTGACATACTGGAAAGCAACACTGGACCGAATTCAGTCAGAGCCCACAGAGGCAGCATTTAAACCAGCACTAGCCAGAGGCAAATTGTCCATCTAAGTGGTTGAAACCTCAGTTCTGGCAAGCCCCAACACCATGTGCTAAAGCACACTGGATCCTAAATAAATATAAAAGGCGGCCGGGCGCAGGGGCTCACGCCTGTAATCCCAGCAGTTTGGGAGGTCAAGGTGGGCGGATCACGTGGTCAAGAGATCTAGAACATCCTGGCCGACATGGTGAAACCCCATCTCTACTAAAAATACAAAAATTAGCCAGGCGTGGTGGTGCATGCCTGTAGTCCCAGCTACCCAGGAGGCTGAGGCAGGAGAATCACTTGAACTGGGGAAGCGGAGGTTGCAGTGAGCGGAGATCGGACCACTGCACTCCAGCCTGGCGACAGAGCGAAACTTCATCGCAAATAAATAAATAAACAAATATGAAAGGCGATCTAGGGCACAAGGAGTGCAATTATCGGAAAAGTTCTGGTGCTGTGGTGGCTTGGAGCCAGTAGACTTGGGGTGCCTGTGACCTACTGAGATACAAGTAAGGGCAGCTTAGGGAGTGCTTGTGTCACCCCTCCACCACCCCCTGGCAGCAGAGCTCACAGTTCTGGGACATTCTCCTTCCTGTTGCTTGAGGAGAGAAGAGAGAGTAAAGAGGACTTTGTCTTGAAACTCAAACACCAGCTCAGCCACAGAAGGACAGGGCACCATGCAGAGTCCTGAGGTCCTCATTCTAGTCCCTACCTTCCAAATGACATTTTTAGACATAGCCTAGGCCAAGAAGGAAATTTGCTATCTTGAAAGGGAAAGATTCAGTTCTGCAGTAACTTATCACCCCTAGTGCTGTCTCATGTTAGAATTATCCAGCGATCTGGTTGTTTGAAAGTATCTAGCACCTCCCCCTTCACTCTTTCTCTGTCTCTTGCTAGCCATGTGAAGATGTGTCTGCTTCCTCTTTGCCTTCCACCATGATTATAACTTTCCTAAGGCCTCCCCAGAAGCAGAAGACTGTACAATCCACAGAAAAGAGAGTTGATTAAACCTCTTTTTTTTTTATAAATCACCCAGTCTCAGGTATGTCTTTATAGCCGTGTAAGAATGAACTAATGCAATCACCAATGTTGGAGATGGGGCTGGTGAGAAGTGATTGAGTCATGGGAGTGGATTCTTCATGAATGATTTACCACCATCCCCCGACGTTGATACTGTATAGTGTGTGAGGTCTCACAAGATCTGGTTGTTTAAAAGTGTGTAGCACATGCCCCATCTCTCTTCCTCCTGCTCTGGCCATGGGTGACATGCCTGCTTCCCCTTCACATTTTGCCATGATTGAAAGTTTTCTGAGGCCTTTCAAAAGATGGACCAAATGCCAGCATCATGCTTCCTGTAGAGCCTTTGGAATCATGAGCCAATTAAACATCTTTTCTTTATAAATAACCCAGTATCAGGTATTTTTATAGTAATGCAAGAGCAGACTAATATAGTCAGCCAGTCATGTCATACAAATTCAAGGCTACACTACTAGCTAGAGACTTTGATGCCCCACTTTCAACATTGGACAGGTCTTCCAGACAGAAAATCAACAAAGAAACATCCAACTGAATCTGCATTATGGAGCAAATGGACCTAATAGATATTTACAGAGCATTTCATTCAATGCCTACATTATTTTCCTCAGCACATGCATTATTCTTCTGGAGATACCATATATTAGCCCAAAAAATAAGTCTTAAAAAAGTAAAAAAAAAAAAAAAAAGAAAAAAAATGAAATCACATCAGGTATCTCCTCTACCTACAATAAAATAAAGCTAAAAATAAATAAGAACTTTGGAAACTATACAAAAACATGGAAATTAAACAATATGCTCCTGGAAGACCAGTGAAAAAATGAAGAAGGATGATGGTCGATGAAAAAATTAAGAAGGACATACAAAATTTCCTGAAACAAATGAAAATGGATACACAACTTACTAAAATTAACAGGATACAGCAAAAGCAGCACTAAGAAGAAAGCATCAATATATAGCTCTAAGTGCCTACATGAAAAAAAGTAGAAAAACTAATCTCTCTCTGTGACTCACTTTTCCACTAGGGATTCATGCAACACAGGCCAAGGGAGTACAGTTTATACTTTTCTTTTTCTCGGTTTTGGAGCTAATTTGGGGAAAGGCTTGGAGACTCAAGAGAAAGACACTGTGAATACCTGCAGGCATTTTCCCAGTCCTGTGCAGACAGCAGGATGCCAGGTTTGATGTGGGCTTGTACACAGTCAGTCTTTCTTTGGCAGCCCAGCAGTGTGTCTGTGCAAGTGTTTTAGTATTAGTCCAGGAATTACAGCACTTGCTACAGAGCTGGCTAGTAGCTTCCACAACCAGAATTAAGTGACAAGTGTGGAAAGTGCTCCAGGTGTACGCACTGAAATGGTGCTCTCTCTCATCACATGTGGAACAGGAGAGCCATTGCTGCCATAGTTTCTCCTGGGTGTTGAGATTTGTAGCTAAGGCCAACTGGGCAACCTGGAACTAGTCTGTGTGTGACATTCCTGGCTGTCTCAGCCTGCCTCTCGAAGAACCTGGTTCAGTGGGGCCCTCTCTGCTCCATGCCCAGGCATATGTCCAGACACTAAGAGTGCCTTTTCACATGAATTAAAAGCTTAAGCTGTCCCACTCTTCTGGTGCATAAACTAGGGTGCAGCAGGACCCTCTCTCTTCTGCACCTAGGCAGATATTCAGGCATTCAGAGCACTTGCTCTCCAGGATCAGCAGCCTGAGCCACCCCACCATTCCTGCACATAGATGGGGGACTGGCGTGGCCCTCCCTGCTCCATGCCCAGGCAGATCTTCAGGCAGTCAAAACACTCCCTCACACAGGGAGGAACTAGCCTGTGTGTGACATTCCTGTGTGTCACAGCCTGCTTCTCTAAGAACCAGATGCAGTGGGGCCTTTTCTGCTCCATGCCCAGGCTTACCCCTCCTTTCCACCTTAATCCTCCTTTCCATAGATTGTGGTGCAGTGAGGTCCTCCCCACTCAACACTCAGATAGAGCTCCAGGCATTCAGAACACTTGTACACCTGAACCAGCAGCCTAAGTTGCCCATCCCTCCTGTGCAGAGATTGTGATCCGATGGGGCCCATCTGTAGGTGGGCATGGCCAGTCTGGCCTTGCCCATATGGGTCCCCACCTTACAGGGATAAGCAGGGAACTCAGACCACTGTGCATTCCATGGATTAGCTCATTGCCTGCAGCAACGAGACTTTCTCCCAGTAAACAATGACTATATGTTTACCCATTTGCATTGGCCACAGTTGACTCTTACCCATCGGCTCAATCTGGTAGTCTGTAGTTTGAACCATACAGCCCAATATAAAACCAGCCAACATAAGTGCATAGAGATATAGAAGCAAAGCCAAAAGATCCCATCCGACATTCTGTGCAGTCATATCCTCTAGGAAAGAGGTAGAGGTAGAAAAATAATAATAAGATAGGGAAAGAAAAAAAGAAGAAAAATGACATATCCATAAAAACAATTACAAAACCTAGAAGTGCCAGCATCTCCAGATGGGAAGAGACCAGCACCATGTAAAATCTGAATGCTGTGACACCACCATGGGATCATACTAGCTCTCCTACAATGGTCCTATACCAAAACAGAAATTCAGACATGGTAGACAAAGAATTCAAAGCAAAGAAGCTCAATAAGATTCAGGAAAATGTTAAAAATCAACAGAAAGGAACTGCTAAAGCAATCCAGGAAATTAAGGAAGAGCTAAATATCTGGAAATAAATCAATCAGAGCTTCTGGAATTGAAAAACTCACTTAAGATATTTCAAAATTCAATTGAAAGCTGTATCAATATACAAGACTAAGCAGAAGAAATGATTTCAGTGCTTGAAGACTGGTCTTTGGAAGTAATTTGGTTAGATAAAAATTTTAAAAATAATTAAAGAAAGGGACAAGGTGTTTGAGAAATATGGGATCATGCAAACAAACAAACAAAAAAACTGTATATTACTGGCATTCCTGAGAAAGGAGGAAAAGTAAACAACATGAAAAACACATTTTATTTGAGGGATAAATAAAAAAATTTCTCTAATCTTGCTAGAGAGATAGAGATTCAGATATAACAAATGCAGAGAACATCAGTGAGATAATATACAAAATAAACAACACCGAGACATATAGTCACTGAGACTTTCCAAGGTCAGTGCTAAAGAAAAAATCTTAAAGTTAGAGAATAAGGTCAGGTCATATACCAAGGAAACCCCATCAGGCTAAAAGTAGACTTCTTAGGAGAAACCAGAAGAGATGGGGGCCTAGTTTCAGCATTCTTAAAAAAAAAAAAAGGAAAAAGAATAAGAAATTCCAACCAAGAATGAAGCTGTCAAACTAAGCTTCACAAGTAAAAAAGGAATAAAATCTTTTCCAACAAACAATTGCAAAAGGATTTTTTTTTACCATTAAACCAACCTTATAAGTCATCTTCAAGGGAGTTATAAATGTGGAAACAAAAGAACAATACCCGCTACCAAAAAAATCTCCCCACATATAAGTACATAATCCACAAACTCTATAAAGCAACTACACAATGGAAACTGAAAAGCAACGTGCTAAGAAACCCATAAGGTGATCAAAACCTCACATATCAATTTTTTTTTTTCTGAGATGGAGTTTTGCTCTTGTTGCCCAGACTGGAGTGCAATGGCGTGATCTTGGCTCACTGCAAACTCCATCCCACAGGTTCAAGTGATTCTCCTGCCTCAGTCTACCAAGCTGCTGGGATTACAGGCATCTGCCCCAACACCTGGCTAATTTTTTGTATTGTTAGTAGAGACATGGGGTTTTGCCATGATGACCAGGCTGGTCTCCGACTCCTGACCTCAGGTGATCCACCCACCTTAGCATACCAAAGTGCTGGGATTCCAGGCGTGAGCCACTGTGCCTGGCTGCACATATCCAATATTAACTTTGGAGGTAGACAGACTTATTGCCACACTTAAAAGGAACAGAGTGACAAGCTGGATTTAATAAAGGACCGAACTGTCTGTTGTCATCAAGAGACCCATCCCATATGTAACAACATTTATAGGCTCAAAGTAAAGGGGTGGAGAAAGATTGAAGTCTTAGGGGTCCTAAATATATATGTACCCAACATTAGAGCCCCTGGATTTATAAAACAAGTACTTCTGGACCTATGAAAATACTTAGCCACACAAGAATAGTGAGGGACTTCAATACTCCACTGACAGCATTAGAGGAATCACCAAGAGAGAAAACCAACATAAATTTTGAACTTAAATTCAATATTTGACCAATTCGACCTAATAGACATCTATAGAATATTCCACCCATCAACCATATATACACATATATACACAACCAAGAATACACATTCTTCTAATCTGCATAGAGTACATATTATAAGATTGACCACATTCTTGGACATAAAATCTTAATGAAATTTTAAAATTGAAATCATGGCAACCATACTCTCAAATGACAGTAGAATAAAAATAGAAATGAATTCTAAGAAGATCTCTTAAAACCACACAATTAGTTGGAAATTTAACAAACTAATCCTGAATGACTTCTGGGTAAATAACAAAATCAGGGTAGAAATTTTTAAAAAATGGAAACAAATGAAAACAGATACAGAAATATACCAAAATCTCTGGGATGTAGCAAAATGTTAACAGGATAATTTATAGCTGTAAATGCATTTGTCAAAAATTTAGAAAGATCTCAAATTAGCAATCTAACATCACACCTAAAGGAACTAGAAAAACAAAACCAAAATAACCCCAAAGCTACCAGGACAATAGAAATAAATAAGATAGCAAAACTGAACTAAAATGAGACCCAAAAACTCTTACAAAGGATAAGCAAATTAAAAGTTGATTTTTTAAAGGATAAACAACAATGATAAACTGCTAGCTAGATTAACCAAAAGAGAGAATCTAATAAGCACAATCAGAAATGACAAAGGTGATATTACAACTGATCACACAGAAATACAAAAGATTCTCAGACTATTATGAACACCTCTAGACACACAAACTAGAAACTATGGAGGAAATGAATAAATTTATAGAAAAACCAATCTCCAAATATTGAATCAAGAAGAAATTGAAGTCCTGAACAGAACAATAGAATTCCACAATTGAGTCAGTCAAGAAAGACTACCAACCAAAAAAAAAAATCCTGTATGAGTGGATTCACACCCGAATTAGACCAGACACACAGAGGAGAGCTGGTACTAATTATACTAAAAGTACTCCAAGAATTTGAGGAAGATCAACCCTTACTTAACTTACTCAACAAAACCAGCATTACCCTGATATCAACAACTGGCAAAGACACAAGAAAAATGAAACTACAGGCCAATGTCCCTGCCGAACATAGATTTGAAAATCCTCAACAAAATTGTAGCAAACCGAATCCAGCAGCACATCAAAAAGGTAATACACCACAATCAAGTAGGGCTTATTCCTGGGATGCAAGTTTGGTTCAATATATGCAAATCAATGAATGTGATCTTCGCATAAGCAGAATTTATAACAAAACCATAAGATTATTTCTGCAAATGTAGAGAAAGGTTTTCATAAAGTCCATTATCCTTTCATGTTAAAAACCCTCAACAAACTATGCATCAAAGGAATATACCTCAAAATAATTAGCACCATCTATAACAAACCCACAGCCAACATCATACTGAACAGGCAAAAGCTGGAAGCATTCCCTTTAAAACAGGAAAAAGATAAGGATGCCTACTCTCATCACTCCTATATAATATAGGAGTGAAAGACCTACCCAGAACAATCAGGCAACAGAAAGAAATAAAAGACATGTAAATCGGAAAAGAAGTCCCATTCTCTCTCTGTCTCTCCTTTTTTTTTTTTTTTTTTTTTTTGAGAGGAGATCTCACTCTGTGTCTCAGGCTGGCATGCATTGGCACGACCTAGACTCACTGCAACCTCCGCCTCCCAGTTCAAGCAATTCTCCTGCCTCAGCCTTCCAAGTAGCTGGGATTACAGGTCTCCCCGCCACCACACCCGGCTAATTTTTGTATTTTTAGTAGAGACGGGGTTTCACCATGTTGGCCAAGCTAGTCTTGAACTCCTGACCTCAGGTGATTTGCCCGCCTCAGCCTCCCAAAGTGTTGGGATTATAAGTGTGAGCCACCGCACCTGGCAGAAAAGAAGTTCCACTCTCTTCCTTTGCTGATGATATGGTTCTATACCTAGAAAACCCTTAAGACTTCACCAAAAGCCTCCTAGACTTGAAAAAATGACTTAAGTAAAGTTTCAGGATATAAAAATCAATGTAAAAAATGATTAACATTGCTATACACTAATAACATTTAAGCTGAGAGCCATATCAAGAACTAAATCCTATTTACAGTAGTTACAATACAATAAAATAACATATTAAGGAATACATCTAACCAAGGAGGTGGAAGATCTCTGCAAGGAGCACAACAAAACACTGCTGAAAGAAATAAGAGATAACACAAACAGAAAAACATCTTATACTCATGGATGGAAAGAATTAATATTATTAAACTGGCTATACTGCCCAAAACAGTCTACAAATTCAATCCTATGTCTATCAAACTACCTACATCCTCTTTCATAAAATTCAAAAAAAATTCTAAAATTCACGTGGAACTAAAAAAGAGCCCAGATTATCAAAGCGGTCATAAGTTAAAAGAAAAAAGCTGGCGCCATTGCACTCCAGCCTGGGAGACAGAGTGAGACTCTGCCTCAAAAAAAAAAAAAAAAAAAAAAAAAGACCAAAGCTGGAGACATCATATTACCTGCCTTCAAACTATACTGTAAGGCCACAGAAATCAAAATGGCATGGTATTGGTACAAAAAAGACATGTAGACCAATGGAACAGGTTAGAGAACCTGGAAATAAAGTAACATACATACAACCATCTGATCCTTGACAAAGCCAATAAAAATAAACAGTGGTAAGAAGACTCCCTATTTAATTAGTGGTGCTAGGATAACTGGCTAGCCATAGGCAGAATAAAAGTGAACCCTACCTTTCACCATATCCAAAAATTAACTCAATCTGGATTAAATATTTAAATTTAAGACCCCATACTATACAAATTCCAGAAGAAAACTGAGGAAATATATTTCTGGTCATTGACCTTGGCAAATAACTTATGACTAAATCCTCAAAAGCAATTGCAGAGGCCGGGCTCAGTGGCTCAAGCCTGTAATCCCAGCACTTTGGGAGGCCGAGGCGGGTGGATCAGGAGGTCAGGAGATGGAGACCATCCCAGCTAACACGGTGAAACCCTGTCTGTACTAAAAATACAAAAAATTAGCCAGGCGTGGTGGCGGGCGCCTGTAGTCCCAGCTACTGGGGAGGCTGAGGCAGGAGAATGGCATGAACCTGGGAGGTGGAGCTTCCAGTGAGCCGAGATTGTGCTACTGCACTCCAGCCTGGGCGACAGAGCGAGACTCTGTCTCAAAAAAAAAAAATAAAAAATAAAAAAAAAATAAAAGCAATTGTAGAAAAACAAAAATTGACAAATGAGAATTAATTAAACTAAAGAGCTTCTACACAGGAAAATAAACTATCAACAGAGTAAACAGACAACCCACAGAATGGGGAAAATATTTTCAAACTATGCATCTGACAAAGGTCTAATATTCAGAATGTATAAGAAAATTAAACAACTTGACAAGTGAAAAACAACTCGACAAGTGAAAAACAACTCCATTAAATAGTGTCAAAAGACTTTAATAGACCCTTTTAAAAAGATATACAAATGACCAACAGACATATGAGAAAATACTCAACATCACTGACCAGTCAGAATGGCTATTATTGGAAAGATAAAACATGCTGGCAAAATTGTGGATAAAAAAAATGCTTATACACTGTTGTTGGGAATGTAAATTAGTCCAGCTTTTCTTGAAAGTAGTTTGCACAAAGTGGGTACATTTTTTGCTAATGGTCTGAAAGCAAGGTGCCTTACCTGAAGCTTAAGATCTTCTTCCAGACTGATTTGGCCTGTTAGAATAGAGTTTCTTTTGGTCGTAGGACTGAGATTCCAGCCTTCCTGCTGGCTGTTGGGAAGAGGAGGCCATTCTCAGGGCTGGGAGATTGCCTGCTGTTTTCTGCTCTCTCCACAACATGGCAGTTGTTCCTTCAAGGCCAGAAAGAAAATATCTTTGTCGCTTTTAACCTGAATTTCCTTCACTCTGACTTCTAGACCTATATACAAAAGACTCACGTAGGTCAGGCCAACATATATAATCTCCTATTTTATTTTTCAAGGTCAACTAATTAGTGACTTTAGTACATCTGCAAAATCTCCTTTTTCACGTAATATGGCATAATCATGAGAGTATTATTGCATCAAACTCAAAGGTTCTGAGTACACTTAAGATGAGGAAATTATATAAATCATGTGGAACAAAGGTTGGAAATCTTGGGGTCATTTTACAATCATTATTATGTTACAATGATAGTTAATACACCTCAAATATATATATATATATATATATATATGTATATATATATGCTATTCAACTTATATGAAAAAAGTAAAACATGGTATCCTCCATCCCCGTCTCATTGTATTTTCTGATATTATCATTTGTCTGATTACTTTTCTTTCAAATTTTCTCCTACATTGTATTAAATGTGTATCCCACTTTGAAATTCATTAAAAATTTTTGAAAATTGTTGTGGAAAGAGCATGAGAGAACAAAGGCATCCATGGGAGGAAAAGATAGAAGGAGGTATTTTTTACATAGGGGAAACATGATTCTATGAACTCCCATGATGACTTAAAAGAATATTTTATCTTCTGTAGCCATGGGATTGATATAAAAAGACCAAATTATTACTTTCCAAGTAAAGATGTATCAAGCAAATGAAATGAGGAAACTCTCTGGAGTTCTTACGTGAGAATGTATATTAGGAAAACGTGAAAAACCCTGAACATAGAATGAGAGAATTCATACGTATTCTTATAGAGATGATTACTTACACTCCCCACTCCCCCCATCTTCTTTTACTTTGCTTTTAAGAAGAAAAATCTCTTCCCCTGACTAAGAATATTAACATTCCTTTGCTTTAAAATGTTTTTTTTTAAATAGTACGGTTTTTCTTTTTATAAAAGTAGAATCACTTTTTTTCTATATATCCTTCAGTGAATAGCTTTTTCATCTAACAATATATCTTGGACAACTTTCCATGTTGCTACTTATGGATCTATATTTTTCTTTCTTTTTATGTGTATATATATATATATTTTTATTATACTTTAAGTTCTAGGGTACATGTGCACAACATGCAGGTTTGTTACATATGTATACATGTGCCATGTTGGTGTGCTGCACCCATTAACTCGTCAACTACATTAGGTGTATCTCCTAATGCTATCCCTCCCCTCTCCCCTCACCCCACAACAGGCCCCAGTGTGTGATGTTCCCTTTCCTCTGTCCAAGTGTTCTCATTGTTCAATTCCCACCTATGAGTGAGAACATGCGATGTTTGGTTTTTTGGCCTTGCGATAGTTTGCTGAGAATGATGGTTTCCAGCTTCATCCATGTCCCTACAAAGGACATGAACTCATCATTTTTTATGGCTGCATAGTATTCCATGGTGTATATGTGCCACATTTTCTTAATCCAGTCTATCATTGATGGACATTTGGGTTGGTTCCAAGTCTTTGCTACTGTGAGTAGTGCTGCAATAAACATACGTGTGCATGTGTCTTTATAGCAGCATGATTTATATTCCTTTGGGTATATACCCAGTAATGGGATGGCTGGGTCAAATGGTATTTCTAGTTCTAGATCCCTGAGGAATTGCCACACTGTCTTCCACAATGGTTGAACTAGTTTACAGTCCCACCAACAGTGTAAGTGTTCCTATTCCTCCACATCCTCTCCAGCATCTGTTGTTTCCTGACTTTTTAATGATCGCCATTCTAACTGGTGTGAGATGATATCTCATTGTGGTTTTGATTTGCATTTCTCTGATGGCCAGTGATGATGAGTATTTTTTCATGTGTCTTTTGGCTGCATAAATGTCTCTTTTCAGAAGTGTCTGTTCATATCCTTCGCCCACCTGTTGATGGGGTTGTTTGTTTTTTTCTTGTAAATTTGTTTGAGTTCTTTGTAGATTCTGGATATTAGCCCTTTGTCAGATAAGTAGATTGCAAAAATTTTCTCCCATTCTGTAGGTTGCCTGTTCACTCTGATGGTAGTTTCTCTTGCTGTGCAGAAGTTTAATTAGATCCCATTTGTCAATTTTGGGTTTTGTTGTCATTGCTTTTGGTGTTTTAGACATGAAGTCCTTGCCCATGCCTATGTCCTGAATGGTATTGCCTAGGTTTTCTTCTATGGTTTTTATGGTTTTAGGTCTACTATTTAAGTCTTTAATCCAACTTGAATTAATTTTTGTATAAGGTGTAAGGAAGGGATCCAGTTTCAGCTTTCTACATATGGCTACCCAGTTTTCCCAGCACCATTTATTAAATAGGGAATCCTTTCCCCATTTCTTGTTTTGGTCAGGTTTGTCAAAGATCAGATAGTTGTAAATGTGTGGTACTATTTCTGAAGGCTCTGTTCTGTTCCATTGGTCCATATCTCTGTTTTGGTACCAGTACCATGCTGTTTTGGTTACTATAGCCTTGTAGTATAGTTTGAAGTCAGGTAGCATGATGCCTCCAGCTTTGTTCTTTTGGCTCAGGATTGACTTGGCAATGTGGGCTCTTTTTTTGGTTCCATATGAACTTTAAAGTAGTTTTTTCCAATTCTGTGAAGAAAGTCATTGGTAGCTTGATGGAGATGGCATTGAATCTATAAATTACCTTGGGCAATATGGCCATTTTCATGATATCGATTCTTCCTATCCATGAGCATGGAATGTTCTTCCATTTGTTTGTATCCTCTTTTATTTCGTTGAGCAGTGGTTTGTAGTTCTCCTTGAAGAGGTCCTTCACATCCCTTGTAAGTTGGATTCCTAAGTATTTTATTCTCTTTGAAGCAATTGTGAATGGGAGTTCACTCATGATTGGCTCTCCGTTTGTCTGTTATTGGTGTATAAGAATGCTTGTGATTTTTGCACATATTTAGAATCCTGAGACTTTGCTGAAGTTGCTTATCAGCTTAAGGAGATTTGGGCTGAGACAGTGGGGTTTTCTAAATATACAATCATGTCATCTGCAAACAGAGACAATTTGACTTCCTCTTTTCCTAATTGAATACCCTTTATTTCTTTCTCCTGTCTGATTGCCCTGGCCAGAACTTCCAACACTATGTTGAATAGGAGTGGTGAGAGAGGGCATCCCTGTCTTGTGCCAGTTTTCAAAGGGAATGCTTCCAGTTTTTGCCCATTCAGTATGATATTGGCTGTTGGTTTGTCATAAATAGCTCTTATTATTTTGAGATACGTCCCATCAATACCTAATTTATTGAGAGTTTTTAGCATGAAGGGCTGTTGAATTTTGTCAAAGGCCTTTTCTGCATCTATTGAGATAATCATGTGGTTTTTGTCTTTGGTTCTGTTTATATGCTGGATTACATTTATTGATTTGCATATGTTGAACCAGCCTTGCATCCCAGGGATGAGGCCCACTTGATCAGGGCGGATAAGCTTTTTGATGTGCTGCTGGATTCGGTTTGCCAGTGTTTTATTGAGGATTTTTGCATCAATGTTCATGAGGGATATTGGTCTAAAATTCTCTTTTTTTGTTGTGTCTCTGCCAGGCTTTGGTATCAGGATGATGCTGGCCTCATAAAATGAGTTAGGGAGGATTCCCTCTTTTTCTATTGATTGGAATAGTTTCAGAAGGAGTAGTACCAGCTCCTCCTTGTACCTCTGGTAGAATTCGGCTGTGAATCCATCTGGTCGTGGACTTTTTTTGGTTGGTAAGCTATTAATTATTGCCTCAATTTCAGATCCTGTTATTGGTCTATTCAGAGATTCAACTTCTTCCTGGTTTAGTCTTGGGAGGGTGTATGTGTTGAGGAATTTATCCATTTCTTCTAGATTGTCTAGTTTATTTGCGTAGAAGTGTTTATAGTATTCTCTGATGGTAGTTTGTATTTCTGTGGGATCGGTGGTGATATCCTTTATCATTTTTTATTGCATCTATTAGATTCTTCTCTCTTTTCTTCTTTATTAGTCTTGCTAGCGGTCTATCAATTTTGTTGATCCTTTCAAAAAATCAGCTCCTGGATTCGTTAATTTTTTGAAGGTTTTTTTTTGTCTCTATTTCCTTCAGTTCTGCTCTGATTTTAGTTATTTCTTGCCTTCTGCTAACTTTTGAATGTGTTTGCTCTTGCTTTTCTAGTTCTTTTAATTGTGATGTTAGGGTGCCAATTTTGGATATTTCCTGCTTTCTTTTGTGGGCATTTAGTGCTACAAATTTCCCTCTACACACTGCTTTGAATGTGTCCCAGAGATTCTGGTATGCTGTGTCTTTGTTCTCGTTGGTTTCAAAGAACATCTTTACTTCTGCCTTCATTTCATTATGTACGCAGGAGTCACTCAGGAGCAGGTTGTTCAGTTTCCATGTATTTGTGAGGTTTTGAGTGAGTTTCTTAATCCTGAGTTCTAGTTTGATTGCACTGTGGTCTGAGAGACAGTTTGTTATAATTTCTGTTCTTTTACATTTGCTGAGGAGAGCTTTACTTCCAACTATGTGGTCAATTTTGAAATAGGTACGGTGTGGTGCTGAGAAGAATGTATATTCTGTTGATTTGGGGTGGAGAGTTCTGTAGATGTCTATTAGGTCCACTTGGTGCAGAGCTGAATTCAGTTCCTGGATATCCTTGTTAACTTTCTGTCTTCTTGTTCTGTCTAATGTTGACAGTGGGGTGTTAACGTCTCCCATTATTATTCTGTGGGAGTCTAAGTCTCTTTGTAGATCTCTAAGGACTTGCTTTATGAATCTGGGTGCTCCTGCATTGGGTGCATGTATATTTAGGATAGTTAGCTCTTCTTGTTGAATTGATCCCTTGTTTGAGGCAGATGCCTTTCAAGGGGAGGCTGATTGTTTTTAAGACTCACAGGTACCATCCCTCATGTCTTCCTGACCCAGAATTAAATAACCAGCATATTCTCAAAAGAATAAGGATAAATCACAAACTGAAAGGGGATAGAATAAAAGCCAAAAGATCTGCCTGATTTTTCTCAATTCGTATCAACTGAAACCTGGAAATGCATGCGGGGAAGGATTCTAAGTGTGTTATTTTATGAGGAAAAAATATTATAACATTAGATGGGATTTAATTTTTAATATGGGTTACAGCTTGAGCAACAATGAGTATCTCTAATAGTTTACCTGATGAATAACTGAAATCTGGATGCTATGTTGGCCTACATTAAATAGAATGGAAATACTAGAACTTAATTGGCATGTAAAGCAGGGGAAAAAAAGAAAGTGCTTAGGAAGAGGAAGTAACTACAGTAAATTCAGCATGGATTATTCACTTATGCAAGCTAATCATGTTTCCAAGAAAAGCTTGGAGAATATTTCCTTCACCAGTGAATTGAGAAGAATCCAAAAGATAGTCCTTTTATAAGTGACTTGAAAAGTTACAACGATGAGAACAGTACCAACATTCTTGGAAAGGATAGCCCTATAATGGCTGTCTTTGTCAGGTCCACGATAACAGGTGTTACATCTTAATTTAAGTAGTGGTAATGGGATTGTGCAGTGGCGTAGGCCAACAACTAATACCTCTTACCTGTATCTTTAAGATGGGTATGGTTAGCAGAGATGGGTTTTGGTCTGCAGAGACTTGATGAAGTGAGTATTCGAGGTGTTCCTGGGAATGAGAACAACAGATGTGATGGCTTTGTTATGTGCACACTTGGCTAAGCTGAAGAGTATTTCCCAGAATTCCCTTTTTATATGCTTCTAATAAGGGTGCCAGAAAGGCAGGAAGCAACCGTTTTGTAGGATATGCATGGATAGTCTGTTAACTCACCTCATTAGCATAAAGCAGCAGCTAGTTCTCCAATTCTCTTCTTGCTATACCTTCATTTATTTTCTCTGAATCTTAGGCCACATGTATTACATGCTACTTCTATGACAAAGGACTCTTTGTCACCTTAGGCCACCTCTATGGCAAAGGACTCTGTTTTCGAGGATGCCCTCATCACTAATGTCAGTGGTAACAAGAAGAAACATGACTTTCAGTCTGTCCTCCTGTGGTTCCAGACTTCTTGTTATCTTTTCTCCCTGCCTGTCTGTCCGTGGACTTTGGCCTCCAGCATTAGATATAGAAATATCCTTGCAAAGACTGCTTAGTCAATTTCCATTTCCCATAATAAATGTCCCGCTAGTTCTGCTCCTCTGAGTGAACCCTGACTGAAACAGAAGGAATCAAGTAAATTATTTATTAATAAGTGAAACAGGGAAAACATAGACTAAAAACAAATTTTCTATAGTTTGAAAAATAATATCTCCTTCAAAATTCATGTTAAAACTTAATACCCAATATAAAGGTATTAAGAGGTGTGCCTTGAGGGTGTGATTAAATCATAATGGCTCCATTCTCATGAATAGGATTAGCACTCCTATAAAAGGGCTCAAGGTTGCCTTTCCATCCCTTCTTCCATGTTTCTCCCAGCTGGAGGATGTAGCAATAAGGTCCATCTTGGAAGCAGGGAGCAGCCCTCACCCAACATCAATCCCACTGGCACTCTGAACTTGGATTCCCTAACATCCAGAACCATGAGAAATAAATTTCTGTTCGTTATAAATTACCCTATCTCTGGTATTTTGCTATAGATCCATAATCAGACTAAGACAAAATGTAAGTGGGCTGAAGATACTTGAAGGAATGGCCAAGTTAAAGAATCAAGGACCTCTAACCTACTTCCCAGATGTGATTCAAAAGAGATTCTAGAGCTCCTGGAATGAAGTAGAAACTGGGTTCCCCCTGAAGGTAGACCCTAGAAACAAACCTACAAATATGCAATGAAACGAGTCTTTCCAACTTTCCCCAAAGAAACCTGTGAACATTTTCCAAAGTTAATTGCTTTGAATATCCAGACCTTTTAAGTATTACTCAATACACTGGCTCTGAGCTGACATAAATTTTTCATACTTCAAAAGGCCACTGCTGTCCATGACTCAGAGTGGGGGCTTATGGAGGTCATTTGAGAAAAGTAATGTTGGCCTGAATCCATCTGTAAGTGGGCAGAGTAAATCTACAAAACCATTCCGTAGTTACCTCCCCAAGATCTGAATGCATAGTTGAAATATTCATACTCCATAGCTAGCAGAATCCCCACACTGCTTCCTTGGCCCCTGGTGAAAAGGCTCTTATGGTACAATAAAAAAGTAGAGGTCTTTGATCTCATTTTACATGAATAGCAGAAAAAAAAGTCATATGTCATTTGTAGTACAATCGCAAGGAATTATGCCACCATCAAAGATACAAGAAAAGTGAGTTCTACTTTATTTTCACTTAACATGCCACTTGGGCTTGTGAAGAAATATTGATGCTATAGACCGAAAGGAACTATTGTAAACCTAATTAGCAATTGCCTCCAATTGCGGCTGTTGTTTCAAATGTTGTGTATATATTGGAGCAGGTTGTATGAAGCTCCGTAGTTGGTATAAACATATTGTTCTGGACTGGACGCGGTGGCTCACACCCGTAATCCCAGCACTTTGGGAGGCCGAGGCAGGCGGATGACGATGTCAGGAGTTCGAGACCTGCCTGACCAGCATGGTGAAACCCCATCTCTACTAAAAATACAAAAAATTCACCAGGCATGGTGGTGTGCGCCTGTAGTTGCAGCTACTCAGGAGGCTGAGGCAGTAGAATTGCTTGAACCCGGCAGGTGGAGGTTGCAGTGTGCTGAGGTCGTGCCACTGCACTCCAGACTGGGTGACAGGGTGAGACTCCATCCAAACAAACAAACAAACAACAAAAAAAAACTATTGATTGGCAATTGCTTGCATCTATGTATTAGAAAGGACCACCACAAAGTTTGCTTTCATACTGTGTGGAATGCAGCACATCTTCTTTGTATTGTATTACCTCAGGAATATGTCGTCTCTGTTCTGTTTCATAAAATAGTGCACTGTGTCACTTTTTGTGTCATAACATAGTACACTTGCTCACCTCAACTGTATCACCATCCTTCAGAATATATTATCTTATTATGTCAATAATATCACAAAACTTGCATCTGGTGAGCAAGACATAGCAAATAACCTCTGGATGTATTTGTAAAATATATATGTCAAATGGTGGGAGATAAAACCTGCGAAAATTCAGAAGGGATGAATGTTACACATGAGGTCAACAACAAGATCTTCCCTTAAGTAAGGCATATCTAGCTGAGTGACTAATATTCAAAACTGCCATTTCCCAAGAGGACCAGTCTGACACCCAATGGCCGTTTAATTATATTGAATTTCTCTCATCACCTTGTGGAGAAGGATACAGACAATAATCCATCTTCACTGAAATAGTGATTCAGTGAATCACTAAAAACATCTATCAAACATTATATTATAGATGCTTTTAAGTTGCCCAGAATTATTTTTAGCATGACTTTAATTGGTTTTGTTTCATACTCATTCAGCATCATGGTATTCACACATCACTGCCCCTTAACAACGAACCATTTTACAACTGAAGCATCAAGGGAATGGACTTAACTATCATGAAATTCACTGGTCTTGCTATGTACACCCTCCCTAGAAGTGATAGTACTGATAAAATGTTGCGATGAACTGTTAGGGGTTTGTTTACAACCAATGCTGGTTTGATGACAATAACTTGTCATGCAAAAATGACTACTATACAGCTGGAAAAGCATCCCAAAATATTGAAATTAATGTAAAAGTCTTGGATTCTGGTCTTTGCCCTATCCATAATTAGTTGGATGGTACTAAATAAATCAGTATGAATTTCCATATTTTTAAAAAGAGAAAATTGGAATATGTGTATCTAGAAACATCAAAAGTAGCCAAGGTGTTCCAGAACAACCTAGGCTAAAAGATAAAACATTAAAAAAAATCAACATAATTTTTAAATATAATACCCCTATCTCAACATTCAAGAGCCTTCTGTGGATGTCAGGTGTTATGTGTGTTTATTAGTAGGTATCAGATAACCATAGCTGATTTTATCTACCATTTCACTTGTTTCTTATGTGAACAGTTTTTGACGTGTTGAACTTTTGACCGTTAAGTCATTTTAATGTATTTTTGTTTTCATTTCTATATATTTAATTTGTATTTATTACCAAAGTTAATAATAAATCTTAATGGTTTTGGTCAAATTTCATGCTTTAAGAAAGTCTGGAATATTTTGTATTCACTATACTTTTAAAAAGCTTGATGATTGAAAAAATAATGACCATACGGTAAAATCCATGGTTCTAGTGAATAACGAGAAATTATTCTTTCATTTATAATTGATTAAAATATTATAGAAATTGCCTATTTTTGTCATGCACATGAAAATCAGGTTTGAATAATTATGATGGCAAAAGGAACAGCTGGTAAACATTCCAATATGAGCATAAACCTAATGAAAGTGTGAAACTTTACAAGTCAATGTTTACCTATGTAACACACCTGCACATGTATCCTTGAACTTAAAAGTTTTTTTAAAAAAGTCAATGTTGGTATGGGACTTTTATATTCTTAGGAAAGAGCTACTAAACGAAATTAAAATGTATTAGACAAATGTATTCATAATGAAGCAGGAATAAAGATAGCAAGAAAATCAAAAGCAACTGCTGTGAACATTATAAATCACACAATTTGGACTTTAATTATGAATGTCTTTGACAATACTACGTACTGATAAGCTTTCAAAGTGGATCAACCTTATCAGTAGGAGTAAGACAATCATGCAGTTTATTTTTCCTCTGCTTCAAAGATTAACCCCATTGAATTTTTTTTGAGCATTTGTACCCCACCAAAATGCTTTTCATTCAATGGAGTATCACTGTTAGTTCTAAAATATTAATATTTAAAATAACAGAAATAAGACACTGAGATATTAGTTTATCCTTCCTGCAGTTTATTTGCCTCTAAAGGAGACTGCTGTAATTTAGAATGACAGGTTTTTAAATAAAAGTAATCCTGTTATCTGCTTGGTGAAAATTTTATTGGAATAGTCTCTAAATTTAAGAAATGAATACATATGTACGGGATTACTAGTGTCATCAGATTAATAACAGATAAAGCCTTATAAACATATTGGCTTCACTCAATAAAGTGAGCTTTTGAATTTTGAAGGAACAGTGGTTTGTAAATTTCTATTATCTGAAGAGCTCTTTTCTTGTGTTTTTAAAAATACAACACGTAACATGAAGAAAGGCAAAGTTACTCTGGTTAAAGTTTGTATGAAAGTTGTGTAATCTATTCTACTGGGATCCATCCTCAGCGGGCCCTTATGCAGATACAAGAGACCCAATGGCTTGGCAGAGAAGTATGAAAACTCTAAGTATTTTTAACCATTTATATTTGTAACAAAAATAGTTGGTTAAAAAAGTGTAAGGATATGGATCTACCCTCACGGCCAGACACACACATACACTCCTCCAACGAGGTCCAATTGTATGAGGGTCCTTATCTCCGTGAATGAAAAGGAAGCATGAGATGCTCTGCATGGTGACACATATCTGTCCTGTACTACCAGCTACTCAGGATGCTGAGGCAGGAGGCTCACTTGAGCTCAAGAGTTCAAGGCTGCAGTGAGTTATGATCTTGCCATTGCTCTCCAGCCTGGGCAATGGGTGACAAAGTGAGACTCCATCTCAAAACAAAACAAAACAAAAAGCACAATGGTGAAGGCAAAGAGTAAGGACAAATAAAATTGGAAAAAAATGTTTTAGAATCTTTTAGAATCTTGTCTCAAATTCTAATGCATATAGCATATATATCTCTTAGCATTTTGGAGAAAATGGAAGTATAATTGTGACTTATATTTAAAACTTCTAGATCAGCATTGCTTAACCTGGTTATTCCTCTCTATTCCTTTGATCAACATGATTGATAATATCACATGTAAAAATGTCCCATCTGTGTTTGCAATCCCCAATGGCTCTGATATGATATTAAAAACTGTAAAGTATCTAAATTTTTTACCCTATTTGCAAATTAATAAGTTAGCTTGCCATAGTTTCAGATATGTACAATCTTTATTAGAAACAAATAATAGTTTATTAC
The DNA here is from genome assembly GCF_000001405.40 of Homo sapiens. NCBI lineage: Eukaryota > Metazoa > Chordata > Mammalia > Primates > Hominidae > Homo > Homo sapiens. The sequence goes on along the minus strand of NC_000021.9, from coordinate 19,143,303 downwards.
TCACTCCAACACCAATAACCAGAATATTAGCATTTGCATTTCAATTTTCACCAGCTGAGGCAAAAAGACAAGTGACACCTACCCACAAAGTGGATTATATTATAGAAGAGAAACACGAAGTTACAAAATCCACATTTTTAATGCAGGGTAGTATGCATAGACAGGGGAGGCAAATTTTACTTTTAACTTCTTGGGACCCTGACTGAGCCTAAAAATTAAATTGACATAAGATAGATTAACAGAAGAAAAGCATACAAATTGAATATAAGTTTATATGACATGGGAACCATCATAATGAAATAAAGACTCAAAGAACTAGCAAAACCTAAATGCTTTTATATTAGGTTGAACAAAAGGGAGAATTGTGAAAAAGTAACTGAATTTTCCACAACAGGCTAAAGGAATATAATAATTACTTTAACAGTCTGTTTATACAGAATTTTCTTAGCTCTGATTTCTCTTTGAAGAATATTGCTTCTTTCTGGTATAGGGAGGACATCTTTTTTTTTTTTTTTTTTTTTTGAGATGGAGTCTTGCTTTGTCACCCAGGCTGGAGTGCAGAGGCACAATCTCGGCTCACTGCAAGCTCCGCCTCCCAGGTTCACGCCATTTTCTTGCCTCAGCCTCCCAAGTAGCTGGGACTACAGGCGCCCACCACCATGCCTGGCTAATTTTTTGTATTTTTAGTAGAGACAGGGTTTCACTGTGTTAGCCAGGATGGTCTCAATCTCCTGACCTCGTGATCCGCCCGCCTCGGCCTCCCAAAGTGCTGGGATTACAGGCGTAAGCCACTGTGCCCGGCCTAGGGAGGACATCATTTATAAGAGGAGTTTTCATCTCAGGTTTTTATGATGAAGGAAATTACAATGTCTTTCTTGTATCTGCTGTTTTTCAAGTGCTAAAGCTCAAAAGAATCTCTATACCAAAATGGTGTATTTTGGGATGCATATCCTGCCAAACTTGCTCCAGAGAGACCAATGAATGCATGCATGCCACTTGCTCCAGAGAAAGGTACTTTATCCTTTAACATTTTAAAAATCCAGGGTTTGCTCTGAAGTGAGGTGGGGTGGGGTCGAGGTGGACACTAGATCATCCAAGGCTGTTTGCTATACAGACATCCTTGAAAAGATAGGTCAGAACAAAGCAGTTAGTTATTTTCCTTACAAGACATACAAAAATGTAAGAAACCCATAGATAATTGTCTCCTTGTGATACCAATTTTTTAACCCTTTTGAAGATACTATCAGGGAAATGTAAAATGAAAAGAGTAAAATCAAAATAGCAATCTTTTAAAAAGAGCAACATCTGCATATCAACTGATTGTAGCAAATCATTATTTTGTGAAATGATAGCAAAAACATCTGTTCTAGACAGAAGATGAACCCAAAAGGAACACATTCTATGGGTACATAATAAACACTTTTAATATATTGAAAATCCAATTATTTGGCGTCCCCATTATGTTTCTAAATCCCTCTGTTCTTCCATTTCATGAAGTACAGTGGTGTGTGTTTGTCTTAAAAATGTCCCTTTCCATAAAACAGGAAGCTCCATGAGATGAAGCACTGTGTTGATATCAGTGACAGCTGGCTCCTAAGCACGTTGCACAATGCCCAGCACATAATCAGCATTTGATTAATATCAGTAGGAGAAATAAATACCACACAACAGATTATAAGACAATGATGATATTTATAAAGTTTAAAATTATTAAATTGACATTTCTTAGAGATTCTATAGATTCTAAAAATACTAAGTTTTGCAATGAGTCCTACTCATTCTGATGCTCACAGTGCAATGTATAAACACAGCACCTGACACATGGTACTTGTCATTTTAAAACTTGAAGGCTGTAAACAACCTCTTGAGAAAACTAAGATGAAGAAAAATGTAAATTTTCAGAGTGTTACAGAATTCCAGTCCTAGTTAGTGGCTAAAACACAAATTTCCACATTTTATGCTATGGTTTAGAGAATCATTATTTCTTTTTTCTCTAACGTAAAGGACAGTGGCTTGTCTGACAACATTACTTGAGTATTAAAATCAATGTTGTGGAGGCATCACAATACCTGACTTCAAACTATACTACAAGGATACAGCAACAAATACAGCATGGTACTAGTATAAAAATAGGCACATAGACCAATGGAACAGAATAGAGGACCAAGAAATGAAGCCACATACCTACGACCATCTGATCTTTGAAAACCTTGACAAAAATAAGCAAACAGGAAAAGCCTCCCTACTAAATAAATGTTACTGGGATAACTTACTAGCCATAGGAGGAAGAAGGAAATTAGACTTCTACTTATCACCATGTACATTAACTCAAGATGGATTAGAGACTTAAAACCCCAAACTGTAAAAGAAGAAAACCTAGGAAACAGTCTTCTTGATATTGGCCTTTACAAAGAATTTATGGCTAAGTTCTCAAAAGCAATTTCAACAGAATGAAAATTTATAAATGGGACCTAATTAAACTAAAGAGCTTTTTCACATCGAGAAAAACTATCAAGGAAGTATGCAGACAACCTACCAAATTGGAGAAAATATTCACCAGCTATGCATCCAACAAAGGTCTAAAATCCAGAACCCATAAAGAACTTAAACAAATTAGTGAATAAAAACCAAATAACCTTATTAAAAAGTGGGTAAAGAATATGAAAAGACAATTCTCAAAAGAAGACATATAAGTGGCCAACAAACATAAAAAAGCGCTGATCATCACTAATCATCAGAAAAATGCAAATCAAAACCACAATGGGATACCACCTCACACCAGTCAGAAGAGTGTTTGTTAAAAAGTAAAAAATAATTAAAAAAAAAAAACAGATATTGGCAAAGCTGCAGAGAAAATGGGACACTTATACACTATTGGTGGAAATGTGAATTATTCCAGCCATTGAGGAGAGCAGTTTGGAGATTTCTTAAAAAATGGTAGTTGACCATTTGACCCAGCAATCCCATTACTAAGTATATACCCATAGGAGGATAAATTATTCTACCAAAAGGACATTTGCACCCGTATGTTCATCTCAGCACTATGTAAAATAGCAAAATGATGAAATCGACTCAGGTGCCCAGCAATGGTGGACTGGATAAAGAAAATATGGTACATATACTATGTGGCCATACAAATACACAAAATTATGTCTTTTGCAGCAACATGGATGCATTTGGAGGCCATTATCGTAAGCGAACTAATGCAGAAACAGAAAACCATGTACCACATGTTCTCATTTATAAGTGGGAGATAAACATTGGATACTCATGGACATAAACATAGGAACAATAGACACAGGGGACTATTAGACTGGGGATGAAGGGAGGGATACAAGGGCTGGAAAACTACCTATTAGGTACTATGCTCACTACCTGGATGATATGGTTTGGCTCTTTCCCCACTCAAATCTCATGTTAAATTGTAATCTCCACATGTCAGGGGAGGGACCTCGTGGGAGGTGATGAAATCATGGGAGCAGATTTTCCCCCTGCTGTTCTCATGATAGTGAGTGAGTTCTCACAAGATCTGATGGTTTAAAAGTGTGGCACTTCCCCCTTCACTCTCTCTCTCTCCCACTGCCATGTAAGATGTGCTTCCCCGTCGCCTTCCACCATGATTGTGAGTTTCCTGAGGCCTCCCAGCAATGCAGAAATGTGAGTCAATTAAACCTCTTTTCTTTGTAAATTACCCAGTCTCAGGTAGTTGTTTTTAGCAGTGTGAAAATGGACTAATACACTTGGTGACAGGTTCAATCACACCCTAAACCTCAGCATTATGCAATAAACCTTTTTAACAAACCTGCACATGTATCCCATGATTCTAAAATAAAAGTTAAAAAGGAAAAAAAATTTAAAAAGTAAATTAAATTAAATGTAAAAATCAATGTTAACAGGGATAACAAGCCAAATTTTCACCAGTTTGTGGTAAATATTTTTTCTAAAATTAATTTTGAAATGGAACATATCTGATGCAAGATAATTACATTTAATTACTAAATAGTAATTAAGATTTAAAGATAGTAAAAAAATGAATTGTTCGCAGAAGAGAAAAAATATCCAGAAGAGTTGTCAAGGAAGGACCCCAATCTTCTGGAAGATACCAAAGCACAACAAAACTACAAAACATGTAACTAGGCATGAAAGCAGGTTGGCTTGCTATAAAAGCATGGTTATTCCGTGGAAAGTGGACAATGAAACTCAATGGACCAGGGCCAGATAGTTTATTATTCAAAGAACTGTGTACATCAGGAGCATAAGCAAAGACCTTACCTCCATGTCTCCAAGGAGATACCACCAGCCCAGATGGATATTAGGCATACAGTGGGCTGTGCTGCAGGTGAGAAATGCAGTTCCAAGGCCTAGCACTTTTTACGCAAGGACCAAGCATCATAGCAAGCAACAAATATTTTCACAAGCAACAAGCAAGCCAGTACGAAGGGAGGAGCAATTATAAGGTATTTATACTTCGGTCGCTTTGAATACTTCATCACCTATGTGACTAAATGCAGAGACTGGTCAGTTTCAGGAGACAGACAAACCTTGCAGTGTAACACAGTTACTGCACAGTTACTGCTGGGATGCTCAAGGACCACTGAAAATTGCCTCATCCAACAAGCCTTTTAGCCATCACCCTTTTCAAATAACAGTACCGCTAAAAATATTTCTCTGAGAATTTGCCACTACAAAGACTCTGCGTGACCAAACATTAGTCATGCTGCAGAACCATCTCTTAGCACCATCTATGCACTTTCTTGTAAAATCTTGTTTTAGCAAAATTACAAGTCAGTTTAACAAGCATCAGCCCTCACCTTTAATATCTGATCACCCTCATGATCTGACTGGGTTCCTCATTCTCTTCAATTCCCCAGCTGATATCTGATTGTTCTGGCCTGTCTTCAGCAAAAATACTGTTAGGTCGGTTTAGTTACATTCCATCTTACCCCTGATGTTTCCTCTTAGTAACTTTCTATCCACTGATCCCCACCCTGCTCCTTGGCTATAAATTCTCATTTTCTCATGCTGTATTCAGAGTTGAGCCCAGTCTCTCCCCAACCGCAAAATCCCATTGCAATGGTGCCTACATCATGATGGTCCTGAATAAAGTCTTCCTTTCTGTGCTTTAACAAGTATAATTAAATAATTTTTCTTCAACATCACCAAAAGATTCACCTCCTGATTTATTTTAAAAGAATGTCTTACTAAAACAGTCATTCTGATGCACACTGAATTCAGAATGATAAGTAATCTTTATATTTCACAATCTATTAATTTCCAATGAAGTAAAACCCTGTAGTGGTGACATTATAATCAATATCCATAATATTAGGAAATATTAACAATTGCTTTTACATACCTGCTTTTGATATCCTACAGTCACTGCTTATGTATACAAAAGAAAATCAAAACATTTTATTTATATGACTAATTATATCTTTAAAATTCTAGGCAAGAATAAGATAGCTAAACCCTGAAGACCACCAGTAGTGTTTTATCTACCAAATATTGGAGAATATCACATTGATTAGATAATTCAATAATTTGGGGAAATTATCTCTAACCATGACTTTTAAGGTTAAGTAAAATATATGAAAATCTGCAAATATGTTTTTAAATGGACTAGCTAATTGATATAGGTTAACATCATAATCACATAATTGTTAACTCTATAACTGATTCTTAATTGCTTATATGCGTATTACATTCATTGCTAATCTGCATCATCATAATAAAATATTATTAAGTTAAACAATGCAGTTTAAATTTCTTATAATGTTGTGACCAGTGTCTTATTTTATTTTTCATAAAACACTTGGGTAGGTATGGTTTTGTCATACCATTTTAGAAGTGGTAGAGGCTGGCATAGGTCATAGTTTTGCCTATTACTTTGGCAGTTATTTGAAGGGTTAATGTATGTATCTCGTATGCCAAATCTGAAATTTAGATTACTCTGCCATTACCATTGGATCCCGCTCACTGGAGCCTAGAGAATATGTTACTACTGAGCTGGCAGCTCAGATCGCCTTGGTTGGGTAAATATGCAAATAGTTAATGATTTGTTTAGGAGACTCAATCTTTTAGGATTCAGAAAAATAAAACTTTAGAATAATGAAGATTGTTATGTACCATAGAGAAGAACTTAATAAATTTAAGAAAATATGCTTCCTCCATATATAGAGAGGCCATAAGCACAAAAAATACTCAAGCACTATAAAGTAGATGACCTTGGCCCCCAATATAAGTCCTATTATTTTTAATTTGGCAAAGATTATGATAAATATGTTAATTTCACTGTCCTGATGAAAATTTGATTCATTTTTTTTCAGGAATTTTATTAACAACCCAGTTTAGGCTGGGAGCAATGGCTCAGACCTATATTCCCAGCACTTTGGGTGGCCTAGGTGGGAGGATTACTTGAGACAAAGAGTTAAAGGCAAGCCTGGGACAAATAGCAGGACCTCATCTGTACAAAAAATTAGAAACTTAGCCATGCATTTTAAAAATTTAAAAATTTTTAGGGTTTAGGGTTACAGTGAACTATGATCATACCACTGTACTCCAGCCTGGGCAATAGAGCAAGAACTTGTCTCCTATAAAACAAAAACAGAAAACCTGGTTCAATTCTAATCAAAATTCAAGTCAGATAGTTCCCTAATTGCCAAAAAGATAAAGAGCAATAAACTATCCTTCTGACCTCAAGAAGGCTTACAGATGGGAAAAAAATAGCAAGCAACTAAAAAAAAATAAAAAATTGTCTATTGCATAACAAATGATCTTCTTTGTATAAGCTTACCAGTTTTGCTCACTATTATTAGTGATAGAATTTCTTCAATTTTTTTGTCTCCTATTCTCAAAATAATTACAAGATTTAAGATACATACACTTAATTCTAAAAATATGTGGAATTTTTATCCCAAAAACATCAACTACAACATGATAATGATAAAACATTACATGCTGTTAGAGAAACAAAAGTTGTTGAAACCTAGTTCACTCCATTTATAAAGTCATTCAGCAAAGGCATTTTAAAGAAAACTACTGACTGGCCAGGCGCGGTGGCTCACGCCTGTAATCCCAGCACTTTGGGAGGCCAAGGCAGGCGGATCACGAGGTCAGGAGATCGAGACCATCCTGGCTAACATGTGAAACCCGGTCTCTACTAAAAATACAAAAAATTAGCCGGGCGTGGTGGCGGGCGCCTGTAATCCCAGCTACTCGGGAGGCTGAGGCAGGAGAATGGCGTGAACCCGGGAGGCGGAGCTTGCAGTGAGCCGAGACTGCGCCACTGCACTCCAGCCTGGGCGACAGAGCGAGACTCCCTCTCAAAAAAAAAAAAAAAAAAAAAAAGAAACCTACTGATTGACAGTTTTACTTCAATTTTTGCTTGCTTTCACTATATTAGAACAGTCTCAAAAACATCCTGGTGAAAATGCCATTATTTTCCAGTTTACTCAGGTCTTGTGACCAATTAAGTTTTTATAGCAATGCTGATATTAAATTACAATGCAATCTACATGGTGAAAATGGAACATAAGCGATGCATTTGCTTTGTTTTGCAGAAGTCATTATAAAAGATATATCCATTAATAAACAAAATATTTCAGCTACCAACATCATTAATAACAGAACATATAGGCTAATTTATTAATTAATGAAACAGATTTTAGTATCTTCAGCGAAATAAATAAAAACTTAAACTCCTGGAATAATCTCATTTATTATAAAACTTCAAGTATAGCAAAAATAAGTAATTCAATTAGTATCATTGTTTCTCAGTGCTATCACTGATATTAATAAAAACTCATAAAACTGTAGTAAATTCTGGTTCATATTTTTGCTGCTACCACTAGTAAAATGCAATTTTCTCTGAATCTGACCTCTGTTTTATTGCAGTCTACAATGTAGTTCTCAATGAAATTAAAGCAAAGGAAATCTATAATGTACTTTTTTATTCAACTCCACACAAGTTTTGGATCCTATCAAGTAGGAAATTGTGTCCAAATCATTCATTTTACAATATTTTATTATAACATTATAGATTTCTAAAAAGCTATTATATTAAAACAAAATCTAGTTTTAAATTTCCACTTATGCTTTTATTGTCCATAAAATTTTCAATTAATTTTATTGCAGCTCCATTAATATAGTTCAAATTATTTTCTAGCTGTATTATAATAATTTTGACTGAAAAACCAACTTATTTAAGCTTCCCTGTCAAAATTTGAAATATATCTCAGAAAATTCACAAAAATAACCTAGAAAATTCATAGGAAAGTTTAATTATAAAATCCAGAAATATTATGAAGCAGAGCTCATAGATATATTAGTAGTTTTGTGAATGGAGATCATAGTCTTTTTTCTTAAGAAGGTATATTTCCCATATGATCCTCACTTCTTTTTTGACCTTCAGGCAAAACAAAAATTGAACATAGGTATTCTGTAAATATTGATGACTATTTACAAAAAGAATGGCTCACTTAACCTCTTTTCCTAGCATAACATTCCATAAGTATCAATACAGTTCCAAATTTTGCATATATATATTAAACATTTCTAACATCTTATAACTCAAATATTTGTGGCAATCACACACTTGATATTTGGATTAGTGCATCCACAGATGTTTATTGTAAGGGAATGATCACTGAGCAATGACTAAAAGGGCCTGAACTCCCATCTGGTCGCTGCTATTTACTGACCTATGTGATTGTGAGATAAATTCTTAACAGCACTTGGCATAAGAATTCAAAAAATATCTGTTGAATCAAGATGGAAGTTAGACTAATGGAAACATATGTTGCAGAAAGAAAAGTAATATTGTATTAGTTTTCTATACTGTGTAGTAAATCATCACAAACTTGAAGCTTAAAATAGCACACATTTATTATGTCTTTGTTTCTGTAGGGCAGAAGTCAGGCATATCCTAGCTAAGTTCTCTACTCCAGGGTCTCACAAGGCTCAAATTCAGGTGTTGGCTGGGGCTGTGGTGATCAGAGCCTGGACTAGAGAATAATCCATTTCCAAGGCCTTCATGTTGTTGGTGGAATTCATGTCTTTGCAACTGTTGCCCTGAGGTTCTATGTTCAGCACTCAGCACTCTCAGTACTCAGTGGCCACTACAGTTCCTTGCCACGTGGCCCCCTCCATATGCTCTCTCACAACATGGAAGCTTCTTCAAAACTAGCAATAGAGAGAGAGAGAAAGGGATAGAGAGAGGGAGAGAAACTCTTACTTCAGGGATGATCCATTTTCGCTTTGAGTTCTTTTATCAGTAAAACCAGACCCACCTAGATTAATCTCCCTTTTGATTAACTCAAAAGCAACTTAATTGGGATCTTAATTACATCTCCAAAATTTCTTCATCTTTACCGTATCTCATTGATGAGAAACAATTAACATTCAAAGGGAGAAGATAATGCAGGAAGTGAACACCAGAAGTTGGGAATTACTGGGGTCATTTCAAGGTCTACTTGACAAAGATGGAATTGTAATAATCAAGTATAGAAAATATTCAACTTATTCTTTTTATATATGAAAAAATAGAGAAGGAATCCAATGAGGTCACAGTGTCCTAAGGTCAAATAAGATAAAGGCTAGGATGAAAGTTAGTTAAAATGGTTAACAGAACACTGACAATAGACAAACATTTTATTCATTTGAGTTATCTTACTTTGCCTAGATATCTGCTACACTCAGCCAGCTCTCACTTATTGTAAGAAATAAATATGAGGGGTGGGGACCGCAGAGAGAGAGATGCAGGTTGCTCCAGGCAAATTCACATTGGTAATTCGTGCTTGAAAATTGTCCACATTGTAAGATGTTGGGCTCATCTGGGCAATAATGGCTCTTAACTCTTTCCTTTGGAAGTGACTTTTATTCCTTACAAGAATCAATTCAGGATAAATAAAAGTAATTATTTACAACAACCCCTCCCACCACCCTAGGAGAAAATAAAAGTGTTTTTATTAAGCCCCATGGGAGAAGGGAAGTGTTCTTACAAATTAGATTTGAACATCATTTGATTAATTTTTTAAAAGTCAGCATAGTTTGGCACTTGTTTTTTTTCCTGCTAAAATAGAAAGATCTGAGCCCACTGTAAATGTGGCAAAGAGCTTTCATCTTTTCCAATGGAAATTTAATCTTACACGTGCTCTTCAGAGTGACAGAGTGACACCTTTGAGCAAAGGTTGTTTATCAAGCATTTGTTAAAGGATGAGGTAGGCCAACAGTCAGCAGCCAATTTCTCTTTTCCAAAGTTTTGGGCTAAGCAGAGCTGATGTAATTCCCAAATTCTACCTCTAAAGTGTAAGAACAGGAAAGAAAATTACATAATTGTATATTTTTTCCTACAACAACCTTCTCTCTAATATAGCATAAAAATTGTCAGATAATCACATGAAAAGTAACGTATAATTTATTTGAATTATTAATTATAACAATGAAAACCTAGAAAGTTATTCTTTGAAAATAAATGTTTTTACTAAGCATCTATTATGCACTATATAATATTCTAAATTCTTGGGAGAAGTGGAGAGAGTACGTTAACCCAAATATCTAATAATGGAGACTCATTAGGCATCTTATATTATGTTCACGTTGTTAAATGTTAAATAACCATTACAGTGCTATTTGTGAAGAATTCCTATTAACATTTTAAATTGAAATTTTAAATAAAAAGAGATTCAAATTAATATTTGCATAGATAAATTGTAGTATATTTATATAAATAAAATGTGATACAACAGTTGAAATAAAGAATCTAGAATAAAAAAGTTGACTTGGATAAATCTCAAACACAATGTTAAGCATAAAAAATAGGTTGCAAAAGAATAGTTTTAGCATAACCATATAATACTACACAGCAAAAGTATAGAAAAGGCACATAAACAATGAAAACCAAATTCTGTTTAGTGTTTAACTATGTGGGAGAAGGAGAGAGATTTGGGAGAGGAGAAAAAAGACTTCAATCATTTTTGTTAGATTTGTTTCTTCAGCTTCACAGAGGCACTTGGGGTATAGTAATACTTTCCTCAAAACCTATTTGCATTCTGAAATATTTCACTGTTAACTTAAAAAACAAATAATTTTTGGTTCCCGTATATTAGAGAGAATATGTAATATTTGTCTATCTGTGCCTGGCTTATTTCATGTAACATACACTTTAAAAAAATTGTACTTTTAGAGACAAAGAGTAGAATAATGGTTACCAGAGGCTTAGACGGGTACTGTTGTGGGGGGAGGCAGAGAGGGGTTCGTTAATGGGTACAAAAATACAGCTAAAAGTGATAAGACCCACTGTTCAGTAGCACAATAGGGAAACTAAGAGTTAACAATAATTTATTGTGTCTTTCAAAATAACTAAAATAATGGAGTTGGAATGTTTCTAACACAAAGAAATAATAACTGCTTGAGGTGATAGATATCCCAGTTACCATAATTTGGTCATTACACATGGTATGCTTGTATCAAAATGTCACATGTACCCCATAAGTACATACAACAATTATATATCCACAACTGTAAATTGCAAATAAAATTTAAAAATATAGGAATAAAACTATTAGTAGGAAAAAAACAGCATATCTTTTGAATTTTGTTACTATCTTTCTATTCAATGTGTATGTATTGGCTTTGTAATTGGAGAAAAAGCTATCATTCAAGTTAGTCTAAATTAATGACTATTCTACTTTTCAAGGTCATTCAGTTACTAAATTATGTTAGTATCTAGATTTTTATATTTTTTGCATTATTTCTGTTAGTGCTTTTTATGTTTACATGGTGATCATAATTTGTATTTAACAGTATGTTTAATTACGTCTCAAAACATATCTGTATAATTTTATGTCTCTAAAATTTGAAAGTGCTGTCAAAATTTGTATTCTCTAAATTTGTATATCTTAGCTTTAGTTTATTTAGAAAATAATTATGGAAATAATATCATAATCTTTTCTATTCTCAAAGACAGGTCTCACTCTCCTGTAGATGCATGTGAAATATTATGAACTAGGATGTTTTATTTTTATGAAACATAATTAACTCCTCCAATCTCCTTTTCTATCAGAGTAGTTGGTAGAAGGATACACTATAAATAACTTGTGCCTTTAGAAACACTTGTTCTTATTTAGGATAATACTAAATTTAGTACATGTATGTTTCAACCAGTTGGAGGGTGAAATTTGAAGTTTATGTAGATTAAATTCAGGTAGATGTAAATGCAAAAACCTTTGTTAAGAAATCTTAATTGAAATAAGAAATTAGTTATGGTTTCATGGATTTAAGTTAGAACCGGTCTTCCTTTTAATGTTTCTGTTCTCTTCTTCCCGGATTGGATTAATGATGGGCTTCTGAAACTGACTCAGTTCTGAAATACTTTCTGAAAACAGAAATTACATTAATAGTCAATGACTCCAACTGCTAGTTTCTCTTCTAACCCAACACATATGCTTCATGATCACCAGACACTGCGCACCAGCATTGAGTCTGGGTGCCCCAGCAGTGTATGAGATTTCACAACTGATCTTCCCTGTTGTTCAACTCAGTCTATGTTCTTGCTTCAAGATCAGGTAGTTTCATTTAAAAACTTCTCTAAGAATGAGACACTGGTAATCTTACCTTTTGGAAAGATTCTGTTCTCCAATCCTCACTTCTAGTAAAGTCCTACTGTGGCTTCTTCACTCCCGTAGTTCAGCAGGATGGAGTGATACTGCTCTTTCACTTCTGCATTTCAGCAAGTTCTGAGTTCTTGTCTCACGACCAAGAGGAATGAGGTGTGCAGACACTGGAGAGTGAGTAAGGCAGAGGAGAATTTTATTGAGTGACAGAAAGAAAGCTCTCAGGAGCAACAGGGAACTTGAAAGTCAGTTGTTGGCTGCGAGGTGGTTTTTATGGGCTTAGAAAGGGGAAATGTATGCTGATTGGTTTGTGGGTAGGCTTGGAAAAAGCACCATTCAGAAAGAGGTACAAGAGTGTAAAGAATCAATAGAGAGCTGAAGTGAAGTCTTAGCCCAGAACCAATGAGGGGCTGATTGCACCAAATGGAAATGGAAGTTCCCACCCTGGTCCACGGACTCTATCCAGGATTGGTAGTTTTGTGTACACTTTAGACTCTCCTTGGCTTGAAGGTTGAGTTTCACCAGGCACCTGTCCCTGTCTGCCCAGGAATTTCTCTGCTTCCTATCACTATCACTACCAAATTATAAAAATCTCTCAATGCTGAATATCACTCATTTTTTTACCTCTAACTTCTAATTCTACATTTAATAATATATTTTATCTCCTATACTCCTTAGTGATACCAAGACCAATAATATAATCAATAATAGCTACCACTAACTGAATATTGAATATGTTCTAGGAGCTTTAAATATATTCTTTCTATTGCCTTAATAACTCAAATTCGATATTATTTACCCTGTTTTACAGATGAAGAAGTTGAAGTTGAAATTTGTATAAAACATATCCAATTCCGTAAGCGGATGTATGTTTTATCAAAGACTGCACAATTTCCACTAAGATATAATGCCTGCCATCGAAAATAAAATAGCAGAGATGGCCCCAACAAAGCTGTTTCTCCCTTTCTTTATTTTAGCATTTTAGAGAAGGAAGATAAAATGAAGAGGGTAAGGCAAAATGAATCTAATGAAAAACAGAGAAAATTAAAAATAGATGAAAAATAGGGTAGAATGTTCAAGAAATATCAATGTTGAAGAGTACATTTTAGAGACTACAAACACTAAGAAACATGCAAAAATATAAAAAAATTGTAAGAAATAATGAAACTTCTTTCATCAATTCCTTAGGAAATATACTCCCCAATATTGTAAATTAAATGTTAAATTAATCAGAGTATCTAATCTTGAAATGTAGACACTTTTCTTAAAGGATAATGGAAGTGCTTTTCTGAGGTCAAGCATTCTTAAGCCAATCCTCATTATAAATATTTATTTCTGAATTGTCCTTCATACCTCCTTAAGAAGAATTGAAAAATAATGAATATATTTAACTCCCATATTTTGACTAACTTTAAAAATTCTTCTGTCTTTAAGATTTCAAGGTAATTAAACTAATAAAAGTGCACACCACTACTCTTGTAGAAAAATCTTTCAAGATAAAATCATAAGGATATTCTTTGCAATTCAATCCCAATTATCACAGGATCCTTTCTACACGGGAATTGATTTTTAATCCTTTGGAGAAGTACATATGTATCATGATTTCTTAATGGAATACAGAAATATTATTGAACACGTTAATACTTTTTACCTCAAGTAGAGATAGAAATGCCAGTTAGATATGTATATTATTTAGTATTTATGGCTTTCCCTTCCAGTATTATGCACCATATACAACTGATTTTATAATTATTAGAAAGTCAGAAATAATAAACATTTAACCTGCTAACTATTATTCAATCAATAAGCATTGCCTGTAAAATCACTAAATCACAAGGACAAGAATTTTAGCTTTATCTGATAGTTAACTGATGTTCTTGGCAAAGACAACTAGTCTCTGTGCAACGATATGGTATTTTTAATTATCAACTTATATTATTTTCACCTAAAATTATTTTTACTACTTACCACTTTTGAATCCCACCCTAAATTCAAAGTCTTTCATCTATAAAGATGAAGTTGAATGTTATTTTTGGCAACTTAATTTTGATCAAAATTATATTCATCGAAATTATTTTATTTAATTTTTTTTTTTTTTTTTTTTTGAGACTGAGCCTCACTCTGTCACTCAGGCTAGAGTGCAGTGGCGCGATCTCGGCTCACTGCAAGCTCCACGTCCTGGGTTCACGCCATTCTCCTGCCTCAGCGTCCGGGGTAGCTGGGACTACAGGCGTCCACCACCACGCCCGGCTAATTTTTTGTATTTTTGGTAGAGACGGGGTTTCCCTGCGTTAGCCAGGATGGTCTCAATCTCCCGACCTCGGGATCCATCCGCCGCCTTGGCTTCCCAAAGTGCTGGTATTACAGGCGTGAGCCACCATGGCCGGCCAAATTATTTTCAAAATTATATGATATCTTACTGAGTAACCTGTTAATGACAAATTTGATTTTTAAAAAAATTTTATTAGACCTTAAACAAATATAGCCATGCCAACTGTAATTTACTATTACAATGTTTAAAAGGGACAAAATGATTATTTTGGAGATGTTTAAAATTATTCAAATAAAAATGCTTAATACATAATATTATAATAAATATTGTATATATGTATTTCACATATGCAACTTGGAAAGAATAAAACAGAACCCATTACAAAACACAATAAACAGAGTATTACCAATACTACATAAGCACTCCATACAATTTCCTGAGCCGACCCTCCTCCCTCTTCTGAAGAGCAGGTGGCCAAGCTGATGTTTTTATCATGGCCTCAAGATTCTTTATCATTTTATGACATATAAATATATATATGCGTACTTAAAATATGTTTTATTTATTTTATGTTTATAAAAACAGTAGAAAATTGTATGCAGCCTTCTGTGAAATTTTTCTCTCAATTTTACATTTCTACAATTTATCGTGATTGAAGTATGTATATTTGGTATTTTTAGTACTGTGCAATATTTCATCATTTTAATGATCAACAATTTATTTATTCATTCTCAAATTGATGAGAATTTAGGCTGTTTCTAGTTTTTTTCCCCTCATGAGTAATATTGCTCTGAACAGTCTTCTTTTTTTTTTTTTTTTTTGAGATGGAGTCTCACTCTGTCGCCCAGGCTGGAGGGCAGTGGCATGATCTCGGCTCAGTGCAACCTCTGCCTCCTGGGTTCAAGTGATTCTCCTGCCTCAGCCTCCTGAGTAGCTGGGATTACAAGCGCATGCCATCATGCCTGACTAATTTTTGTAGTAGAGGCAGGGTTTCACAATGTGGTCAGGCCGGTCTCGAACTCCTGACCTCGTGATCTGCCTGCCTCGGCCTCCCAAACTGCTGGGATTACAGGCTTGAGACACCTCACCCGGCCTGAACATTCTTCTTTATATCTGCTGTTACTAAGTGTAAAAGTTGATTTTGTGCATGAGTGATATTCATGAGGCTTAAATTATGTTCATTATAGATTAAGGTAACTTAACAAATGGACCAAAATATGTAAATGACTCAAATATATTAAACCTCTCTTTCTTGCTTATGTATCAGTTCAAAGCAGGTGCCTGATCTCCATTCAGTAATTCAGAAATCAAGGTTTCTTTCCTCTTGTACCACATAATTGTGTGTGTGTGCGTGTGTGTGTGTGTATATGATTATCAGAAGTTCAAGAGAACATGAAGGTAGCACATCTATCTCCCAGAAACCTTGGCTCAATAATGGTGTACCGCACTGGGATGAACTGAATTATATTTCCACAAAATTAACACATTGATGTCCCACATCTCAGTATTTCAGAAAGTAACTATATTTGGAGATAAAAACAAGGTCATGAAGATGGGGTCTTAATCCAATATGACTGAAGTCTTTATAATAAAGTGTAAGATACAGCAGACATGCACACATAGAGAAGAATGGCTGTGTCAAGACAGAGTGACAAAATAGCTTCTGTAAATCAAGGAGACAGGCCTCAAGAGAAACTGAACTGGGGATGCCTTGATCTTGGAATTCTAGCGTCCAAAACTATAAGAAAATACATTTCTCATGTTTAAGACATCCAGTCTGTGGTATTTTGTGGCCATCCCTGGCAAGCTAGTACATTCACTGTTGCTCTTATTCCAATAGTAAACAAGTCACATGGCTTTCCCTACCACAGTGAGAGCTGGGATATACAGTCCCTAACTGAGTGCCTATTACAGTCAAAATACAGTCATTGTACTACATCTCTGTCTCAAAGATTATATGAATTTACCAGCCCTAGAGAATAATGCTGTATTTTATACTCAAAGAGATTGTTCATTTTTTGTTCCTATTTTCTATTCCCCTAAGTGCGTGAGAGAATGAATCAATCTTTATCTGCTGTGACATTTTGCATTTCAGGCTTCTTACTTGCCAATTGAATGGGTATAAAATGACATCGCATTAGAGTCCTGCTTCCAGCTTCCTTCAATGTCAATGACTTTGGACGTCTCTTCATATGTATGTTAGCCACACGCATTGACTATTCTGTAAAGAATGTGCTCATTTACACCCCCCAGTAGTCTATTCATATATTTAGCATTTTTATTTTTGAATTCTGAAGTCTTTATAAAACTATATGAATCCTCTTAATTATTTGTAATACAAGTAACTTCTGCCAGCTTTCACTTTTATTAAAGTGTCTTGGATATACAAAAGGCTTTAATTTTAATATACTTGCATTTCTCAATTTCTTATGGCCATCATACATTGTACTCTAACTTCAAGTTCTGAAACATCTTGATTTATTTATTTTTTCAAGGAGTTCCAATTTGCACATTGGTCATTTAACTTAATCAGTCACTGGATTGAGAAGGGAGTACAAGGGATACCTCATGGAGGGAGTGACAGAAACCTGGCAGAAGGGAGAGGGTACATCCAGTGGCAACTTAGAGTACAGAAAAGAGCCCCCTGTAATGCTTGCCAGCCTTTTAACCTCTCTAACCACACATCCTCAAGCTACTGGAAGTATAAGTTAAATTAGGATGTCTGTCAAAGACAATTTGATTGCTCTATGATTAAACACATAGGACCTACAGAATGCTGTTCATACTATCCATGATTATAAAAACAAGGAATATCACAAAATATGAGTAAATGCGTTACATAAAATAGCAGAAGCAAAAACAAACTAAACAGCAAACAACAGACAACTTCCTTAAAATCACTGAGTTATTAAAGAAATTAATGATAAAATTACTTACATAAAATCACAGCACAAAATAACTACCTAAAAGATGTGTAATGTAAAGATAGTAACAGAAGTCAACAAACTGAAACACAGAAAGATACAAACTGAAAGAAACAGAATGAGTGCAATGGAAAATCAAGTTGCTGTTATGAGGAAAAGGCTTCAGAAATCATAGTGAACGTAGACGGAAAGTCAAAATATTACATCAATATACAGAATATTATTTATATAAAAAACAAAAATGATGCAACATAAGGTAATTGATGTCCCTGAAGTAAACAATACAAATAATATTCAGCGAGATACCTTGGAAAAAAATATTTTAAATTATATAGAAACTAAATTCACAGGAAAAATATACAGAACAATTTTTTAAGAATTCAGGATATATCACATACCAAGAAAGTTGATAAAGATAAGCCAAAATTGAGATTCATATTATATACACCAAAACCAGTGAACTTTAAAGTAAATAATTTTTTAGATCATAAGTAGTAAGAAAACATCAGCTATAAGGGTAAAATCAGGCTAGCCTTTAGATTTCTCTACAGAAACATTCTTTGCCAAAAATAAGTAAAGCAGTGATTGCCAAGTCTTGAAAAAAAGGAAGTGTGATCCAAGAATATGACATCCATCTCAATAGTCATAAAAGAATTAAAGCAACTGGCTGACATTCTGTAATATAAAAGAGTCAGAAAATATAAAATGAGTAATTCTGAAGAAAAATTCTTGGTAATTAAATTCAACAATCTAAAACATAATATAAAGAACTTGAGGATGGAGAAGCCTTGGTAATTTATTGGTAATGACTATTAAATTTACTTAAATATAAAGACAAGAATAAATCCTGGTGGAAATATAACTGGATAATATAGTGTTATGATTGCTATCAAATTTAAAATAGTCTGGGCAACAAAATTAGCAGGTCAAGAGAGAAGATGCTGAAGAAATATGGATGCTAAGAGCTTGACATCTTTCATTCCAAGGAATTATTCAATTATTTCATATGGAAATATATATGTGTAATTTGGATGCTTTTTAAATTGAATTTATATTTTCTTGTTTTTTAAGATAATTACTGTTTAAGATCTTTATCCGTTAATAAAGTTAAAAACCAGCAAATAATTTGTTGGAGAAAGGTTACAAAAGTTATAATAAAATTCATATTTAGAAAAGATGTGAAGGAACACATATGTTCATATATAAAAGAAAGGTATACATGTCAATGTTGTTTCTAAATAGTAGATTCGTCAATTTTGATTTAACATTTTAGTTGTTTTTTCTAAAATCACTAAGTAATGTTCAAAATGAAACAGGTTAAAGAAAATGTAGGCGATTATGATGAAAAGGTTAAAATACATAAATATAAATGTTAAATAAAAATTAACCAAATCTTAGAAAATTATTTTTTTTCTGTCTTAAAGCGGTATGGAAACATTGTGTGGTTGGATATTTTACAGTATATCATACAGTATTAGTTCCTCCTTATCCATGATTTCAATTTCTACAGTTTCAGTTACACATGGTTTGGGTTAACCTCAGTTCAAAAATATTAAATGGAAAATTCCAGAAATAAGCAATAAGTTTTAAGTTGCATGTTGTTTTGTGCAGTGTGATACTATCTTGCACCATCCAACTATGTTCTACCCAGAAATGATAAGATTCATATTCCTTTGTCCAGCAGCTCCATGCTCTCTAAGCTGCCTGCCCACCTGCCCCTTAGTTAATTGGTAGTCGTCTCAGTTATCAGATACATTGTTGAGGTATCACAGCACTTGTGTTCAAATAGCTCTTATTTTACTTAACAATGGCCCCAAAGAGCAAGAACAATGATGCTGGTAATTCGGATATGCCAAAGAGAAGCTGTAAATTTCTTCCTTTTAAGTGAAAGGATGAAAATTCTTGATTTAATAAGGAAAGAAAAAAAAAACTTTACTACAGTATGTTGTTATAATTGTTCTAATTTATTATTATTGTTTTAATATCTTACTGTGCCTAACATACATTAAACTTTATCATAGGTCTATATATATAGGAGAAAACATAGTGGATATAGGATTCGGTACCATCTGTGGTTTCAGGCATCCACTGGGAGCCTAAAATCGTATGTTCCACAAATAATGGGGGACTCCTGTATGCACATTCAAGCTTGATAAAAGCCCTTTGCCATGGAATTAATTCTTACATAATGAAAGTCAAGGACATTGCAGACCGCGGGTGCCAGCAATGGAGGTTTCTCATTAATGTGTACGGATTCACTACACAAAGAAACATTCTCTTTGCCTGGTGACAGCTTCTTAGTGACTGCTTGAAACCTCAGTGGACTTGTACTACATTTGTTATTCAGTCTAAGTTCTGCAGTATTAGAATGAATTCTGCCCTCTTAATACATTCATTGACTTTGATAAGCTAAAATACACAGGAAATTGCTCACTTTGGGAAAAGGATTAACTAATTCGGGCCACAAAATTCAATTTAGTAAGGGAAAGATCACTTGTAAACTATATTCTGAGCATCTGATTGAAAGCCCTGAGTCAGGTACCAACTAATAAAGACTAATCAAGAGAGAGGTTTTGTTATTATTATTTTCTTTAGAATAACAAATGGTTCTGATGAGATATGCCTTTTTTATTTTACTGCAAATTTTCAAGGATGTCTACCTAGATTTTTGTTTATTCTCTACACTAATAGGGATGACACTCTAGTTCCCTTGAATATTTATACTTCATTCTGATTTTATAAACCAAGTCAAAAAACCTCTACAAATAAAGCAAAAAGATGTTTCATAATTGCTATCACCTAAAAATGTCTTGCACCTTTATACATATCAAGAATAATCTAATTTTCTCTCATTGAAAATATCTCCCCCTCCTGCTCACATCACAGTGTTCAAGGCATTCGTGTGCCAACTTTTCCCAGAACACCTGGTCAATCCTTTACTGCCAGATGGACCTGCTGATGCAGAACAAAACAGAGAATAGTTGTAATAAATAATTCTGTGGGGGATATTGTTGGTAACGTTATTGGTCCAGTCTGCCTTGACTTAAAATTGTAGCAATCCATAGCCTCCATTTATCTGTCTAGAACTAGCAAATTATTCAGAGGTGTCAGAAGGCAAGGTGATAGAATGAAAGAGTACTGGTTTATAAATCATGGGATTGTGCAGTCTGTGCTATTCGCTTTGTTTCTTTGGGGCTCACTTTTCTATCTCTAAAATGAGTGAACTCAAAATTGAGAGAATTGAATGAGATGTTTCTTGTACTTTACTCAGGTTTATAGTTCAAAAGCACAGTGTGCACATTGAACTTGTTGACACCAGAAAAACAAGAGACTTTTAAATGGCCTATATTTTTCGGTTAACAGGTGCCTTTCCCTATCATCTTCATTCTCAAAAATAATTTGGAAAATAGTCATATTATAATAAAGTTATATTATTTTAATAAACTTTTGTGAATAATTACTGCTGGATGATGATTATTCATGTTGTAACAGCTGAACATCAACTGTGTTACCAGGTGCCAGGCACCATGGCAGGAGCTGAGACCCTTGAGCCCCACTAAGCAAGACTGTGAAATGTAGGGTTAAGGAACTCACAGAAGTGCACCTGCTCAACAGATAGAAAAAAGCAGAACATAGATGGTTAAATTGGTTAAATGTGGAAATGGAAGCTTCCTGACAAGTGTAAGCTAAACTGGCTCTCACTGGGCAAGAAAAAGACGAGTAGCATGAGAATTTAATGTAAGGATGTTTCAAATGCCAACAAGTGGATGTGAAAAGGTATTAAATTACAAGAGCTTTTTTTATCAAGTAACTGAAAAATTAATAGAAGAAAGATAAAATGTCACATAGAAAAAATTAAATTCACAGAGGCAGAAGCAAATTTTATGAAAGATAAACGCTAACACTTAACCAATCCGTATTAGTGGATTTCCAACTTCAGCTGCAATTTTTTTTTTTTTTTTTTTGAGACGGAGTCTCGCTCTGTCGCCCAGGCTGGAGTGCAGTGGCGGGATCTCGGCTCACTGCAAGCTCCGCCTCCCGGGTTCACGCCATTCTCCTGCCTCAGCCTCCCAAGTAGCTGAGACTACAGGCGCCCGCCACTACGCCCGGCTAATTTTTTGTATTTTTAGTAGAGACGGGGTTTCACCGTTTTAGCCGGGATGGTCTCGATCTCCTGACCTCGTGATCCGCCCGCCTCGGCCTCCCAAAGTGCTGGGATTACAGGCGTGAGCACCGCGCCCGGCCTCAGCTGCAATTTTAAAGAGCTTAATAGTCATCACTTATATTCTTCTAACAAGAAATGATTGTACAAACTGAAAATCAGTGGTGGTTCTTGAAGAGCTGAGGTTGTTGGGCAAATTGTTACCTTGAAATCTGGAAATCCTTAAAAAAGTGCCCATGCAGAGAATCAGAGCTGAGATCTGCTTACAAGGAGAAGAATCTCATAGAATCTTAAATGAATGTTACCAAAAAAAAGGGAGTTCATTTACCTGGAGTAACAAATGACTCTCCACAAGAATGCAGGTTTCGATCAATAGGAATTTTATTACTTTCCACAAGTAAGGAGTGCATGGGGTGTGTTCTCCAAGGCAGTGTCTCCCTGAAAGAGGGTTTCATGGGGCAGTGAGAGGGGAGAGGGTGCATCATTGCATGTAGAGGAGAGGTCCCGGGGGGGAGCAGATGCAGTAAGTCATTATGCTCACACAAAGGTTGCATGTTATGATAATGAAGCTGTTGCTCTTCACAGGGTGGAGATTTTAGCATGATAATAGGAAAAGTTTACTTGGGTTAATCTGTAATTTGCTAGGATCTGTTAGGAGCTTGCTCCAGGCAATTAGGTGAACACATTCTACACAGAGTTTGGGGAAAAATGAAACCGCCGTTTAAAAAAATTATTACAGTGAGAAAATTATGGCAGTGAAAGAGATTTAACCTAACTGACTCCATCTTACCTCTAACCCTCAACCTGCCTTGTTATCCTGGGCATAGGCTGAACTAACTTTGGGAAGAACTTCATTTATAATTTGACTTTGAAACAGACTGTAACAGCCCTTTCCCAAACAAGCCCCCTTCTTGCCTGTGACCAGATTGCCTTTGTAAGACTAACACATTAGCCACAAGATAAGAAATTATGGTTTAGGGGTCACGCAGCAAGAGACCACTAGATTCAGAACATCCCCAATTGTTCCCAGGAATAATATCACTACTGTAAAATCTAATATTGGTGCTTAAGATACTTTCTAGATCCTGCATTCAGAGCGCCAGCTGGCACCACCCAGACCTGTAATCTAGCTCAACCAGTTCTGTGAATCCACCCAGGAACAGAAGACAGGAAAAAGTACCCACTTTGACCCTCTTGATTTTGTCACCTACCTGACCAATCAGCACTCCCAACTCCCTGGCCCACTGCTCACCAAATTAGCCTTAAAAAACGCAGTCTCCAAATTTTGGGAGAGATAAATTGAGTAATAAAACTCTGGTCTTCCATTTAGCTGGCTCTGTGTGAATTAAACTCTTTCTCTATGGCAATTCCCCTGTCTTCATAAATTGGCTCCATCTGAGCAGTGGGCAAGAACTCATTGAGTGGTTACAAAAACAGGCTGCAAAGCCATAAAACAGGCTGATTGCTCAAGTTGATTACATTCTTATAGTTCCTGGAGACTCTCCCTGTCTTTCTACACTGATAGGAAGACATGAATGGTAACTTTTTCACCAGAAAGGGGTCCCACTCAAGACCCCAAGAGAGGGTTCTTGGACCTTGTGCAAGAACGAATTGGAGGTGAGTCCATAAAGTTAAAGCAAGTTTATTAAAATCGTAAAGGAATAAAGGAACGGCCACTCCATAGGCAGAGCAGTGGTGTGGGCTGCTCAACTAATTATACTTATAGTTATTTCTTGATTATATGCTAAATAAGGGGTGGATTATTCATGAGTTTTCTGGGAAAGGCAATTCCCAGAACTGAGGGTTCATCCCCTTTTTAGACCACATAGAGTAACTTCCTGACATTGCCATAGCATTTGTAAACTGTCATGGTGATGGCGGGAATGTCTTTTAGCATGCTAATGACTTACAATTAGCATATAATGAGCAGTGAGGACAACCAGAAGTCACTTTCATCGCCATCTTGGTTTTGGTGGGTTTCGTGGGCCTCTTTAACGACTTGTATCTTGAGCCAACCTCCTATCTCATCCTGTGACTTAGAATGCCTAACCTTCTGGGAATGCAGCCAAGTGGGTCTGAGCCTCATTTTATCCAGCCCCTATATAAAATGGAGTTCCTCTGGTTCAAACACTTCTGACAAGTTGAACAAATTAACAAATTACTAGATGCAAAGTGTGGACTGGTGTAAGAATGATAAACTAGGGGCTGCAGTTTTCAGGTGGGTAGGATATATATTTATGGGCAATCTCTCCAAGAGTCCCTAGTAAATATCTGAGAATAATTTCCTATTGGTTCTGGCAGAGAGAGGGGAAAAGAAACAGTTCTGAAATACACCCAAAGTCTTCTCCATAACAAAGGCTTACTCCCAAGAGAAACCGTTTAACTAGAGCCTTATTCCACCTTAAGAAAAGGTAATTTCTCCAGTCTAAAATCCTCTAGATTTTCTGTTTCACCTAAAGGAAGAAGAAAAGCTAAGAAACACTTGTGAAAGTCACAGCACAGGAAAATAGATACATTAAAAGAATGAGATTTAATAATAAGATTACACACTGGTTTCTCTACCCCACAATTTACCCCCAGGCCAGTAAAGACTCAGTAGAAAAACAGTGGATTATAGCTGAAATAGCTGCAAGACACAGACTTTATGAGACTAGTACTTAAGGGATCCCAAAATCAACAGGGGAGACAAAAATAAGGTCACCAGAGGAATTTGAAATCTGTGTACATATAATGCCAACATTAAATACAGCCCAGCTCCAAGCCAGGCTAACATAAAACCTTCCATTAAAGCCTGTTTAGCTCAGTTACTGTTACCCAATACATCATGTCCAGCTTTCAACCAAACATTATTAGGTATTGATATGTTTAGGCTTCCTGTCCCCACCCAAATCTCATCTTGAGTTGTAGTTCCCATAATTACTACCTGTCAAGGAAGAGACCAGGTAGAGGTAATTGGATCATGTGGTAGGTTTCTCTATACTGTTCTCATAATAAGTGAGTGAGTTCTCACAAGATCTGATGGTTTATAAGTGTTTGATAAGTTACTTCTTTGGTCGTTCTCTCTCCTGCCACCTTGTGAGGAAGGTGCATGCCTCTTCTTCCCTTCCGCCATGATTGTAAGCTTCCTGAGGCCTCCATAGTCATATGGAACTGTGAGTCAATTAAACCTCTTTGCTTTATAAATTACCCAGTCTCAGGCAGTTCTTATAGGAATGTGAGAATGGACAAATGCAGACATATTAATTTCTTTTTTTAAAAAAGCAAGCTTAAGAACCAAACTTAGATAAAACACACACTTTGGGATTATCAGGCAGGACACTTAAAATAACTACTGTTAATTTGTTAAGGGCATTAACAAACTTTAGAGATATTAATCTAACTATAGCCATAATCATTTTAAATGCAGATAGTCTAAACATGCTAATTTAGAAGCAGAGATTGTCAGAGATAAAATAATGAATAAACTACACATTCTTAAACAATCAATAAATAAAAGAAGAAATCACATTAGCCTGCTATTGAAACCCGACAAAGACATTATAAGAAAACTACAGACAAATGTTTCATGTGAACATTGATGTAAAAACGCTAGCCAACCAAACTCAGAACCACATTCATTCAAAGTACTATACAATATAAGAAAGTACTAAAATTCAAATTCAAAGTACTATACAATTTGAGATTTGTTTCTGGAATGCAATAATGACTCATCATATATAATTAATGTAATACACCACATTCCAAGTATGAAAAACACACACACATGGTCATTTCAACTGATGCGGAAAAGCATTTGACATAATTGTTGTTTTTATGATAAAAACAACAAACTATGAGTAGAAGAAAACTACCTCAGCATAATAAAATCATATATTTTTAAAAACCCACAGTGATCATCATAATGGTGAAAGACTGAAAGCTTTTCCTCTAAAATCAGGAACAAGGCAAGCATGACTAGTTTTATCCCTTCTATTCAGCATAGTACAGGAAGTTCTAGTCAGAGTAATCACACAAGAAAAATAAATGAAGGCATGCAGTTGGAAATAACGAAATAAAATTATCTGTTTGCAGATGATATGATCTTATCTCTAGAAAACTCTAAAGAGTTCAGAAAAAACTGTTAGAAGTAATACATGAATTCAGCAAAGTAGCAAGATACAGTTACCACCAAAAAGTTTCATTTTTACATAAAAATAATGCACATTCTTAAAAGAAA
Organism: Homo sapiens; assembly: GCF_000001405.40. NCBI lineage: Eukaryota > Metazoa > Chordata > Mammalia > Primates > Hominidae > Homo > Homo sapiens. Next base: position 19,117,118 of record NC_000021.9, on the reverse strand, counting down.
ATTATAAAAATAATTCAGTGTATACTAGCATGTAAAGAATACAATACTTAGGCATTAACCAAGAGGGTGAAAGTTTTGTACAATAAAAACTGGAAGAGAATGCCAAAAGACATTGAAGAAGACATAAATAAATAAAAACATGTTTTGTATTTATCGATTGAAAGATTTAATAGTAAGCTGTTTATAGTACCCAAAGTGATCTGCAGATTTAATGCAATCCCTATCAAAATACCAATGACCTATTTTGCATAAATAGTCTCAAGAGACTGAGCAGTCAAAATAATATTGAAAAAGAACAAAGCTGGAGGATTCATATTTCCTGATTTCAAAATTCACTACAAAGCTACAGTAATCAAAATGTTAGGGTACTGGCATAAAGGCAGACATATAGACCAATGAAACAGGTAGAGATCCTAGAAATAAACATTTACATATACAGTCAAATAATTATTGATGGGAGTACCAACACTATTCAATGAAAGCAACAATAATGTTTTCAACAAATGGTGCAGGGAAAACCTGGACGTTTACATGCAAAATGATAAGTTGAACCCTTTTGTAACACCATATATAAAAATGAATTCAAATGGTCAAAGACTAAAATGTAAGACTGAAACTATAAAACTTTTCAGGAGAAAATGTAGTGCAAAGCTTCACAACATTAAATTTGGCATTGACTTTTAAAATATGACTACAAATGAGCAGGCAACAAAATAAAAAATAGACAGTTGGACATTATAAAAATTAATAAATGTGTGCTTTAACAGACACTATCAGTAGAGTGAAATGGCAACCCATAGGATGGGAGAAAATATTTACATGTCATACATCTGATAATGGGTTAATATATAGAATATGTAGAGAACTCTCAAAACTCAATCACATAAATCAAACAACAAAATTCAGAAATGGGCAAAGGACTTGAATAAACATTTCTCCAAAGAAGATGAAGAAGGACAAGTGGTCAATAAGCACATGAAAAAATATTCAACATCACTAAACATTAGGAAAATGCAAATAAAATCTACAATTAGATACTATCTATTATCCATTAGGATGACTACTTTCAAAAATAAACAAATGAAAAACAGAAAATGAGCACTGGCAAGGATGTGAAAACATTGGAACTCTTGTGCACTGTTGGTGGGAATATAAAATGGTACAGATGTTACTTCAAAAATTAAAAATAGAATTGTCATATAATTCAGCAGTTCCAATTCTGACTACATACCCTAAAGAACAGTTTATAGCAGCATTATTCACAATAGCTAAAATGTAGAAGCAACTCAAACATCAATGAATGAATGAATGAATGAATAAACAAAATGTAATAAATGTAGTCTATGCAGGTAATACTATTTAACCTTAAAAAGAGAAGACATTCTGACATATGCTACAACATACATAATCTTGGAGGGCATTATGTTCAGTAAAATAAGTAAGTCACAAAAAGCCAGTATTTCATGAGTCCACTTATATCAGATACATAAAGTAGTCAAATCATAGAGTCACAAAGTAGAATGGCCATTGGCAGTGGCTGAGAAAATGTAGAGTCATTGTTTAGTGGGTATAAAGTTTCAGATTTCCAAAAATGAAAAATGTTATGAAGACGGATCTTAGTGATATTTGCACAACATTATGAATGTATTTAATACCATTGAACTGTATGCTTAAAAATGATAAGACGGTAAATTATATGTTGCGTCTGTTTTACCATACTTAAAAATATTGGAAAAAATACTGCAACAAAATTCTACCAAAAAAAAGAAAGATTAAACACTATTAAATTTTACAAATTACTAAAATTATGCTGTTTCCTAAGTCTCAATAGTCAAACACCTGATATCCAAAATTAAATAATTGATATGTAAATTTTGCAACATGCAAATCACTTTCACCTCATCTACATTTCTTAACTTCCACAAACAATCCCAGGTAACTGGTGTGTTAAATTTTGAAGGAAACAAAAAAAAAATATTTAGCTAAGGATTAATTTTTATGTAATGGAAGAAACTACACTAAAACAGATCTTCTAACTCCAAAAGTCAGTGTTAATTCCATTATATGTTTTTTACATTTCTTTCATTTAAATGTAAATACTACGAAACAGGAAAAAATGTCTTTATTCTATGAAAATTTAGGCAAAACTTGTATAAGAAATTAAAATTTCTGAGACATTAATTACATGTGTCTAAAAATTAATAAATCCATTGAGAAACAATTTTTTGAGGAAATGGAAGAAAATAATTTTAAAAGAAACCAAGTCTTCTCCAGTCTTATGCAAGAGTCATAATTTGATGATAATATTTTGAATAAAATATTAAGTTTTATTTTTATTGCTGCTTCTGTTTTACTGCTGAATGTTAAAAGCTGATACTGGTTATGAGCTCGTGGAAAACAGTTCAAATTACATTCAACAACTAAATGACAATGGGTTGTATTTCATGAACGCAAAAGCTGTCTTCCTGATAATACATTTTTATTAACATCATCAAGACTGTATCAACAAAACATTAAATAATGGAACTTGCATTATTATGCATTGTTATTTTCTAATGTATCATCTGCACAAAATAAATGACATTATATATTATCGTGAGGATTGGTGGCTGAAAGCAAACAAAAACATGAGTTTCAATGAATTTAGCTATCAACGAGTCAGGTTCCCGTTGTGCTCAAGGCACACCTGGATTTTGTGAGGGATACAAAAGAGTGAAAAGCTCAATCTCTACCTATCCTCAAAGATCTTTAACTTAAGTATGAAAGATGTCATCTAAATAGATGGCTGGAGAAAAGGCAAAGTATAAGAAGAGTATTTAACGTCTAAATATCAGAACTCAGGAGAGGGAGAAATGCCAGTTAATCAGAAAATTTGTCTCATCCCGAGGGTGTGCTGAAGAGAACAAGAGGTTTTAGATCTTTACCAAAACAGTGACAGCAAAATTTAGCTATGTATAACCAAAGTACAATGTCCTGGGACCACTTGTGCTCTGTGTTATTTAAGGCTCAAGCTGCAGCTACTGTTCAAAGTCAGGAGAGAACAATAATACTAATATGGTTACCCCCCATATGGCTCCTGTTTTGCATTATGCAGTGGATGGATGATATACTGTATTGTACCATGCCACCTTTTTCCCTGATAAATAGTGTGTCAGCTGTAGGTAGCTTTTGAAAATAATTTATTATCTTTACAAAAAAACTAGAAAGAACTTAAATAGAAAAATCTTGGTTAATAAAGAAAGCAGGGACTGTCCAATTCAACAAGCCTGTTTGACTCTCAATTCCAAAAATGTCTATCTGTTGACACTGAGCATATTATTTAATCTCACTCAACCTCAATTTTTTCATGTATGAAATGAAAATGATGCTTTTGTGATTATTACTAATGGCTATTGGTATTAAATAAGAAAATAATAAGTTAGGTATCTGGTAAGTAACATTTGGTACTCAATAAGTGTTCAATTCATTCTTTCCTTGCGTTTAATGAAATTCTCAGCCAACATCATAACTCAACTTTAGAGTCTATGACTCTGTATAGACCAAAGAGTAAAAGTCAACATTATTGTGACTGTAGTTGTCTCATATTCAGATCAATATCATTGGCATTTCTGCCCTCATCCTCTTCTTGCCCATTAAATTTCATTATTCAGTTTTATTTAAAAAGTATACATGCTGATATAATTAGTGTATTTGACATGAAAAGTTGAAAAAATCAGTAATAATAAAATTAAAACATAGGTTCAAATCATTATATTTTATGATTAGAACTTTAACTTAATAATTTCTAATTATCACTAACATTTTGATTTAGTTATTCTTATTACTATTCTACATTACTTTTACATTCCTATGAGGCACCTTTACTGTTTGTTAACAATTCACACTTTAATTATACTTTTAAATATTTGTCAAATCGCTTTTTTTTACTAGAATAAATGCTTTTTGTGAAAAGTTTGGCCAAAGTTAAAGTTTTTTTAATTTTATTTATTTGTACTAAGGCTATTATATTATCAATTTCTTATAATACACTGGCATATTTATTTGAAATATTAAAAATTGCATTTATTATGTGGCATGAAGTAATTAAAACTTATGCTCTTTATTATTAAATTATTTTTAATTTTTTTGGTAAAGCAATATTTTTGGTTGTTATTTAAATAAAATTTTAAATTTAATTTGGCTGTTGCTCTTAATGGGATTCATTTGTGTTTATTTTTCTCATTTTGCTACCATTAATATTAATTAGATTTAATTATATGCTTTCTTGATTGTATGTAAAATAGTGACATAGTAATGTTTAGAAAATTTACAGTATTTACAAATATGAATATTTTAAAATTCTATGTGTAATTTGTAATTAGATAGGCCTTGAAGCCAATGCAGTTTCATGTTCAGGTATATTTTGAATCCTTTACAAATTGTCTGGCAAGTTAGGGGTTGACATAGACTTTAGATTGTATTACTTAAATTATTTTGTATAAATAACTGCTTTAAAAATAATTATTTTGTAGGTAAAAAAAACAGCATTATTTTTGGATTAAATAACTAAATTGGAGCTTTCATTCTAGAACAAAAAGTGGAAAACAAGGAATTGCCAGAGAAATCCAAATAAATTTACAGGAATTAAAAAAAATTATTACCTAATTTAAAGGAAGCAAAATGTTAATATTCTTAAGAATTACAATGTCTTTCGATGTGAATTTACTACATATGCTATTGTAGTAAACCTACTCTTTATTACCTTTAAATATTAAAGGTTTTATTCCTTTCCTTTTCTAAACCAAAATACTTCAGTTAGATGATAGAAGTCTAGTACTATGGCTTATTAAGTCATTGTTGCATAACATATCATCTCATTAAATAATATTGTAATAAGATTATTATTATTTTCATTTTATTAATGACAAACCTGATGCTCAGAAATGCTAGTTGAAATAATCAGGGTAATTCAGCTACTAAGAAGCTAAATCAGAAATTAAAGTTCTTATTTGTTATTGCAGGTTGGGTCTCCTTGGAAGAAGAGTCTGAGATGGAGGTTAACAAGCAAAAATTTTTTAGGGTATGTTCTTGAAATCAAGTCCTTTTGGGGATGTGAAGGAAGCGGGTTGAGGGAGAAGCATGGCTGTCATGCAGGCTTAACAAAGGCTGTGACCAATCCCATGAAGATTTCTAAAATGGACATAGCTGTTTAGAATTGCTCTGAGAGAACATGAAGTCTTCCAAAAGTAGTAACCCTTCATGTTGCAAAGTGTGCAATAGAATAAATTGTCCCTTACAGGCTGGGTACTTTGGCTTATCCCTGTGATCCCAGCACTTTGGGAGGCCGAAGCAGGTGGATCACATGAAGTAGGGAGTTTGAGACCAGCCTGACCAACATGGTAAAACCCCATCTCTACTAAAAATACAAAAATTAGCTGGGCATGGTGGCGGGCACATGTAGTCCCAGCTACTCAGGGGCTGAGGCAGGAAAATCACTTGAACCCAGGATGTGGAAGTTGCAGTGAGCTGAGATTGTGCCATTGCACTCCAGCCTGAGTGACAGGGCAAGACTGTCTAAAAAAAAAAAAAAAGTCCCTTACTTCAGAGCAGGGCTTTGCAACCTTTAACTATCAACATTTTGGGCAGTCAAGTATTTTTTTTTTTTTTTGAGGGTCTGCTCTATGCATTATAGGATTCCTGGACTCTACCTGGTCAATTCTAATAGTATGCCTCCCTACTTGTAACAACCAAAAATACCCCTAGATATTGTCAAATACACACTCGGGCACAAAATCTCCCTTCCTCCCAGTCAAAACTAGAGCTTAAGAGGACAGGTGCTAGAAAGTTTCAGATCATCAGCCTCGAAAATGTCATTGAGGCTGCAGGTCTGAGGCTTCATAGGGCTTATCCCCTGCCCTCTGGAACAATAAATGTGAACTATTTCTGAGTTGTCTTTTAAATATAAATGTAAAGAACATATTCGTTGGATAAATGGCCACTTATCATGTATCTGAAACCATGCACACAAAGCACATCCTGCACTGCAAGGGAGTTTTTCACTTGGCTGAGTTTGTGGGAGTGTACCGTCATTCTCGACAATCCATCTTCAATGAGCCTGTAGTGGCAAATTTCACAAAATAAATGGAGATACGAGGGTAACCACTACTCTTATATCTTATTATTTTTGCAGGTGTCTCTGACTGATTCATATTTACTGTGGTAAATATTATTTCCTATCTCAGATGGTAAGTGGAGGAATTTCAAAGAATTCTACTTGGTTTTCCCCACTGTAATAATGTAACCTCATTGACTAAGGAACTAATAAAGAGATTTTTGCAAACTGCAAACTATATGCCCATTTTGATTGACAGTTGGAACCCCAAAAAGGATCACCAGGTGAATCCATCAAACAAGTGGATCCACTAGCCAGACCTGGGCCAGGACTCTTATTTATTATTTGGCTCTCACATGACTCATTCTAATAAGGGATCCATGTTAAGGCTTCACATGAACAGTATAAATGTTAGCTTGGATCCTGTGTTCAATCGTCCTCAAAACTTGGAGGAGTTTCTTTTCTCACTGTATAATTACCTGACAAATGGCTTTAGATTTCCTAGGGGAAGGACTGGGGAATTATCATATATTTACTCTAGTATTGCAGGAACTGTCCTTTTAGAGACAAAACCTCTTCCTTTGTCAGTGACAATCAGGTTGGAAAACTGGCCCAGGTCTAAAAATTGACAAAGAAATTATAAATATTAGAGTGGTTGCCCATCTATTTTTCCCTTAAGGATACTGTGCTCTCTAATCATCCCCACAACTCTCTGTGAGTTAGGCTCCCTGGCTATCCCTCCAACCTTGACTCATATTACAATTTCTACTGTCTTGCTTCAGACAGTAATATACTGCCAGCTGGCTTCTATAATTTTGGGATTCTGTCATTGTCTCCATTGCTATCAATGAGTCCAATTCTATAATAGAGTTTTCTAAAGTTAGCTCTTATCTACAGAGAAGATCCAACACTGAACTTCTTATGGGTGCTTATTTTACTCTTTTAAGCACATTGTTTTTATTGTTTTGGTAAATTTAGGCCCTCCTAGAGACAAGAGTTCTTTGTTGAGTTTTCTGGCCTACATTGTATATTCTCTCTAGCTTGCCTATTATTCTGAAACTTTTCATTTATTCTTTTATCATATGAGATGGCAATTTCGGCAATTCTCATAATAGACCCTCACTCTGTCCAAGGTTCTGAAATCTATGGTAGCAACAGGAAAGCAACATGGCCGGGGAAGGTATCAGAATGTTATATGTTTAATTCTAGGAAAATGCTTCAAATATACTTTAATTAATTATCCCTTATTAAACTATATATTCTACCTCCTTTGATCTAGAAAGTTAATATCTTATGATAGATAGATAGATAGATAGATAGATAGATAGATAGATAGATAGATAGTAGAGATAGATACTCTTCCATTTCCTACCAGTACATGTTGTTTAGGTCCTGCGGCTCCTTCATGATACTTTGTCTTTCTTAATTGGTGAAATTTACCTTGAAAAGTTATGTTGTCAATTAATCCAGTTTATGGTCTGGTGTACAGGAAACTATGTAGTAACAGATCCTTGAAGGGGTGTATGCATTATCTCATCATGCACATTTTCATGGAGCAGAGGAGAGTGCTAGCCTTTAAAAGAGAAGTTGGTCATTTCAGCAGGTACTGGAGTATATAGAAAGTCAACATTTTCACATGTAACACTAACTAAGGCCCTAATCTTAGGATATCAGCGCACCTTAGATGGAAAGATCAACCTTCTCCCAAGCTCTCCTTTTCTTATTAAACCTCAGACCTGCTCCTCAGCTTTATTTGCTTTCTGACTGCATAAGATGAGTCTCTTTATATGCTGTGAGGGAGGCTTTCTAGATTTCTCACCCAGACTTTAGGTGATAATCACACTCAGACTTTCATTATCATTGCTCAAAACATCAATTACCCCCTGCAAAAGCACATAATTCTATTATCCTTATAAATATTACTCCTTACCTATATCACCAAGCCCTGATAATTTAACTTTAACTCATATATAGGATATAAGACCTGTGCCTGTGAAAATTTAAACAACCGCACTACTATGTGTCAGAATGTATCTGTGCTCCAATTACTACTAGTAATAGACTTCCTATTGTTATCTGACCAATATATGACCCAGCTAGAAAATTCCAATTAATATTCTACTTTTTTTCTCCCACTTCTTGTACCAACAATTGAAGGTAAAGTTCCTTAGGATGTGGACCCAGAGAAGATTAGCATATGAAATTTAATCAGAGAAGGCTTTCTTGTGCGATTAGAAAAAGATGTAGTATTAGGTCAAAGGATAATTTAGGATGCAATACAGCCTCAAATAAGGTGTCAGCCAAACAACAATGGCCCTTGAGAGTTATTTCAAAATGAGGGAAGAAGTAGAACCTTTATACCACTGTATCACAATCTTTGAATGAAGGCTGCCCCTTGTAGGTGGCTTGTCAATACCCATGGTAGCACTCTATAGCCAAGGCACTTTCCATAGAGAGTTGTCAGTTGAAGGCTATCATCCAGGTACATGACAACAACTAGAAAAATAAATTCTTTCGTCTTGAAGGGATATGCTTATGACCAGTGCATTATAACATCCACTATAACAAGCCACAAAATCTGTGTGTTTTTAATGGTGCCATGCTGTCAAATAGACTACCACTTTGGTTTCATATGACTGCTGTGATTCTTGAAACACATGGTTTACTTTTTGTAGAAGAATTATCTTTTTTACTGTTAGAGTTCAACCCATCTCACTAAGTTAATATGAAATTAAAGGAGATGGGTTAATGTTTGGCAGCATAGAACCTGTACTTGGAATCACAAATTTACAGGTCTTATGACAGATGAGTTTATTTATCTAAAAATGTATGAAAATGTCTCTGCTTTTAAATTTATATTTTAATTTTAAATAATAATTTCAATTTTATAAGCTGTAAAATTGTATGATGTGACAAAATATAGCTAATTTTTAACTGAATTTCCTTTCACTTCTAATATTATCATTAGACTATAGTTCTCAAATTTGCCTGCAATTAGATTGGTTCTAGTCAATGAAATAAATACACCTAGTGGATGTATGCTATGTTTAGACATGACTCATATAAAAATTCACACATATTATTTCCCCATGTTTATTCTTCTTGAAAGCCACTCATTGAAGTTTGTGGAGCTACGAGATGAAAGGTGTTTGAGTATTTAAACCGCCAATTGGAGGAGACGTGTTTTCATGTCAGGAAGAGCTATTTTGGACTGCTCATGAGTAGAAAATATATTTTCATTTTCTTAAGATGCTAATTTATCTGTTAGTCAGCTAGTGCTCCCTTGATTAATGGAGGTTATACTTAAAATTTTATTTTATATCTGCTGAGTATTTTTAGCTATTTTTTCCTTTTAAATATATATAAATACATATAAATTTCTTTTTTTTATTATTATACTTTAAGTTCTAGGGTACATGTGCACAACGTGCAGGTTGGTTACATATGTATACATGTGCCATGTTGGTGTACTACCCCCTTTAACTCGTCATTTACATTAGGTATATCTCCCCCCACCCCACAACAGTCCCCGGTGTGTGATGTTCTCCTTCCTGTATCCAAGTGTTCTCATTGTTCAATTCCTACCTATGAGTGAGAACACGCAGTGTTTGGTTTTTTGTCATTGCGATAGTTTGCTGAGAATGATGGTTTCCAGTTTCATCCATGTCCTTACAAAGGACATGAACTCATCATTTTTTATGGCTGCATAGTATTCCATGGTGTATATGTGCCACATTTTCTTAATCCAGTCTGTCATTGATGGACATTTGGGTTGGTTCCAAGTCTTTGCTATTGTGAATAGTGCTGCAATAAACATACATGTGCATGTGTCTTTATAGCAGCATGATTTATAATCCTTTGGGTATATACCCAGTAATGGGATGGCTGGGTCAAATGGTATTTCTAGTTCTAGATCCTTGAGGAATCCCTACATTGTCTTCCACAATGATTGAACTAGTTTACAGTCCCACCAACAGTGTAAAAGTGTTCCTATTTCTCCACATCCTCTCCAGCACCTGTTGTTTCCTGACTTTTTAATGATCATCGTTCTAACTGGTGTGATTCCCTATTTAATAAATGGTTCTGGGAAAACTGGCTAGCCGTATGTAGGAAGCTGAAACTGGATCCCTTCCTTACACCTTATACAAAAATTAATTCAAGATGGATTAAAGACTTAAATGTTAGACCTAAAACCATAAAAACCCTAGAAGAAAACCTAGGCAATACCATTAAGGACATAGGCATGGGCAAGGACTTCATGTCTAAAACACCAAAAGCAATGGCAACAAAAGCCAAAATTGACAAGTGGGATCTAACTAAACTAAAGAGCTTCTGCACAGCAAAAGAAACTACCATCAGAGTGAACAGGCAACCTACAGAATGGGAGAAAATTTTTGCAATCTACTCATCTGACAAAGGGCTAATATCCAGAATCTACAAAGAACTCAAACAAACTTACAAGAAAAAAACAAACAACCCCATCAACAAGTGGGCGAAGGACATGAACAGACACTTCTCAAAAGAAGACATTTATGCAGCCAACAGACACATGAAAAAATGCTCCTCATCACTGGCCATCAGAGAAATGCAAATCAAAACCACAATGAGATACCATCTCACACCAGTTAAATATATATAAATTTCTATAGTGCAGCTGTATTTAGCTTCCACCTTGTTTAATTTATTGTTGTTTTTAAAAGATAAACACCAAAAACTTATATTCATTTTCCATTTTAAAACTATTTTTGTTCTCTTTCTCCATTCATTTATGTTTATGAATATCTTATCAGAATTTTTATATTGGATTATTAATTATATATATTTTGTTAATAATTTTTAAACTACTTATTGGTCTGGGAATGAATCACAATTGGCGAATGCTTGTTTGAATGTTAATGTACAGAGGAAACAATGATTAATTCCATTTGTAATTTGGGGAGGTCAAATTTGAGATAATCCTTGAAGATGGAAAATATTATACCAGGTAGATAAATAAGAAGCTGGTGTGTTTGTGTGGCAGTGAGAGTTCCATGGGATAAGAACACTCTGGTCTGTAGTATTTGTCTGTCTAAAAAGTTAAATTGAGATATTATACAATATATTCAGAGAACCAAGGATAGTACAAGGTGGCGAGGATGGAGAGGTCATGGTAGAGTGCCTGGGATAGGTGATGTAATTTGTTAATGATTTTCACTTTAAAGTTTTAGATTTAGATGTTGTATATCAATTTAAAATTTGTTTATTTTCTATGTTTTTCTCTCTTCCTCTTTTTTAACCTCACACTTATTAAAATGACTATTATTGAAAAGCCAAAAGATAACAAGTCTTGGAAAGTATACAAAGAAAAGGAATTTTTTATAAACTATTGGTCGGGATGTCAATTAGTATAGACATTATAGCAAACTATATTGAGGTTCCTCAAAAAGCAAAAAATAGAACTATAATACGTTCCACTTCTGTATTCCAAAAGGAATTGAAATTAGTATGTCAAAGAGATATCTGCCTTTCTATCTCCATTGCAGCAATATTCACAATAGCCAAGACATAGAATTGAGCTAAATATCTATCAATTGATGAATGGAAAAAGAAAATGTGGCATATATGCACAGTCGATGACTTAGCCTATTTTGTGCTTCTGTAACAAAGCATCAGAGACCAGGTCATTTATAGTGAACAGACGTATATTGGCTCACAGTTCTTGGTGCTGGAAACTCAAGATTGAGGGACCAGAATCCGACAAGGGCCTTGTTGGATTGTCTTATGGTGAAAAGCAGAAGAGCAAGAGAAGGTGAGTGAGACAGAGAGAGAAGGCTGAAGTCACCCTTTTCTTAGGAATCCAATCCTGAGATAGTGGTATTATTAATCCATTAATGAGAAGGATGCCCCATGACCCAAACCTCTTCCATTAAGTTCCATCTCCCAATGCCCCTGCATTGACAATCAAGTTTCCAATACATGAATTTTGAGGAACACATTCAAATGATAGCAATGAAATACTATTCATGCTTTAAAACTAAATTTGTCATCTGAGTCAACATGGATGAACCTGAAGAACATTATGCTAAGTGAAATAAGCCAGTCACATAAAGATAACTACTATAATATCATTTCTTATAAGTGTAATCTAAATAAGTCAAACTCATAGAAGCAGAAAGCAGAAAGGTGGCTACTAGAGAATGGTGGGATGGAGGATGCAGGATAGAATGGAGAGATAAATTTCAAAAAAAATAGTGTATTTCATAATTGTTTTTGTATTTATTGAAGAAACACATTGGAGACACTCTTCCTTACTATTCAGTGACACATTTGTTGAGACTGATCTTATAACTTATTGTGCTTTTCGCTATTTTGAGAAAGAGGTGATAGTCATAAAGTGCAAAGTTTCAGTTAAACAGGAAGAATAAGGTTTTTGAGATCTATTCTACAGCAGGGTGACTATAGTTAATAATAATGTATATTTCAAAATTCAATTTCCTTACCTTAAAAATAATAAGAGGTGAGAAATGTGTAATTTTCTTGATTTAATCATTCCACATGTATATTTATATAAAATATCACATTGTACTCCACAAATATATAAGACTATTAGGTCAATTAAAAATACAAATAAGAAGGCATCATTGCTCTAGGAAAAAAAGGAAGGAATTGACACAATCAGGCTTGCATTATTGAATGTTGTAGATAAATAGGTATAATAAAGAATAAGGGGGCCAGCCCCTCCACACCTATGGGTATTTCTCATCAGGTGGGATGAGAGACTGAGAAAATAAATAAGACACAGAGACAAAGTATAGAGAAAGAACAGTGGGCTCAGGGGAACGGCGCTCAGCATACGGAGGACCCACACTGGCACTCGTCTCTGAGTTCCCTCAGTATTTATTAATTACTATTTTCACTATCTCAGCAAGAGGAATGCAGCAGGAAAGCAGGGTGATGGTGGGGAGAAGAAAGAAAACATGTGAGCAAGGAAACATGTGAGAAAATAAGTTCAAGGGAAGGTACTATGCCTGGATGTGTACGCAGGCCAGATTTATGCTTCTCTCCACCCAAACATCTCAGTGGAGTAAAGAATAACAGAGCAGCATTGCTGCCAACATGTCACCTCCCGCCACAGGGCGGTTTTTCTATCTCAGGATTGACCAAATGTACAATCGGGTTTTATACCGAGACATTCCGTTCCCAGGGAAAGGCAGGAGACAGAGGCCTTCCTCTTATCTCAACTGCAAGAGGCCTTTCTCTTTTACTAATCCTCCTCAGCACAGACCCTTCACAGATGTCGGGCTGGGAGATGGTCAGGTCTTTCCCATCCCACCAGGCCATATCGCAGGCTATCACATGGGGAGAAACCTTGGACAATACCTGGCTTTCTAGGCCAGAGGTCCCTGCGGCTTTCCGCAGTGCATTGTGCCCCTGGTTTATCGAGAATGGAGAATGGCGATGACTTTTACCAAGCATACTCCCTGTAAATATTTTATTGACAAAGTACATCCTGCACAGCCCTAGATCCCTTAAACCTTGATTCCATACAACACATGTTTTTGTGAGCTCAAGATTGGGGCAAAGTTACAGATTAACAGCATCTCAGGGCAAAGCAATTGTCAGGGTACAGGTCAAAATGGAGTTTCTTATGTCTTCCTTTTCTACGTAGACACAGTAACAGTCTAATCTCTCTTTTCCCTACAGGTAATATTAAATAGATTCCAATAATCCAGATAAGAGATCGTAAAGATCTGAATGAGGGTAAAACCAAACCAACATAATTTGAATGTTTAGTTTTGACATGCTGTATTAGGTTATTCTTACATTGCTATAAAGAAATATCCGAGACTGGGTGATTTACAAGAAAATAGATTTAATTGGTTCACAGTTCTGCAGGCTGCACAGAAAGCATAGTGGAATCTGCTTCTGGTGAGGCCTCAGGGAGCTGACAACCATGGTGGAAGGTGAAGGGGAACAGGCAGGTCACATAATGAAAGCAGGACCAGGAGAGCACTGGGTAGGTGCCATAACTTTCCCACCAGGCCCCACCTCCAACACTGGGGATTACATTTCAATATGAGATTTGGGCAGGGACACTCATCCAAGCTATATCAAATGCCTTCACATCACATGATCATTTTTCTTGTTTTTTTTTTTTAACAGAAGTCATTTAAAGAATATGTTTTTGTATTTATTGAAGAAACACCTTGGAAGCACTGTTCCTGGCTATTAAGTAACACATGTTTTGGGAATGTAATTTATAATTTGTTGTGTTTTTTGTTATTTTGAGAAATATTGGGAGAGCGACACAATTAAACTGAGATAATAGAGATAAACAAAAATGTTCCCGTGAAAATAGGATACCTACAAGAATAAGTAAAACTAAGAAAACAGGACACATGTAAGAATGCATGGGTCAGTGACTGCTAGAATTCTAGTACCAAATAATTTCTCCTCTGAAATTTTATGAATTTTTAAACCAAAACAAGTATAATAATCCATTGTCATTTTTCTTTTTTAATACTTATTTTCTAATTGTCTTCCTTTTTTACTCCTTCCTTCTTATTTTTCAGCTTTTCTGATTTGTCAAAGTCTTTATATTTTATATAAATGCCCCATTTTTAAGTGCCTATTTTCATTTCAAAGTCTTACTACAATCAACTCTTCTATTGAGAAACAAATTCTGATGACCTTCTTTATTCTTCACAGTGCTATAATAGCTTATGTGTGACTTGTGGTGAGTTTGTGTTATTTTTGAAGAGCCCATAAATTAGCACAAATAAGGACATTTTTATATATGCTAATTTATACACAACTTAATTATTTGAGACAGTATAAATATTAAAGTTTAGAAGGTCACACGGCTAGGTTTTTCTTACTTTGAAAATATTATGGAGTTTCCACAACTTTGAATCTTACCATTTATTACTTTGACCTAAACTCCAAGTACACAAAAGCCCTCACCAATTCAAAGTCATGATATACAGAATGAGAGAGAATATGGGATAGAATTTTTCTTTAAATAAATACTAACATGACCAGACTATTTAACTAAAATGCTAAATTATGGGTCCTCTAGTAGATCTATATTTAACACGGAATGAATGGCCATGCATTTGGTACTAGGGTAAGATATGAAATGGGTGATTTATCCCAGTCACTGAAAATATTTGAATATTAAACGCCTTATTTAGAAACAGCATACATCCATTATCAAGTTGATTTTGTATAAGCCAGTAAGAAGAAGTACAAGGTCATCTCTCCTTGATATTTTACATAAAACCAGCAATATTCATGATTTGACTTTCTAAGGTGAATTCTGCTAGTATGTTACAAACTGGTATAGGGTGATAATAGCTAAAATAGAAAAGAATAATTAGTGGTACCTGTTATTTTAGAATATTTTGAACACTTTTATACATGACTATTCTTTAAATTTTATAATAAATGAATATAAAGGCTTTAATTTTGATACCCAAATTACCACTGGAGTTTAAAGACTTGTAATCACATTCATTTATTTATTTCTTCAAAATTAAATCTAGGTATTTGTGAAATTTTTATTGCAGGTAAATATAAGAAATTTCTAGAATTATAGAAGAAAATGTGTCAAAATAGCAACTATACCTAATACATAATACTCCAGTCTATATGTTAAGATGAACTTGGAAATTTATATTTGGTGTTTTCACAGCTGTTCAGTTTACATAAAAATTATTGGCTATTTCTATTTAGGACCAATTTTTGTGCCTTATTTTCTATTAATATCTCACACCAGAAAACAAATGGCACTTTATCTTTACTTAAATTTTTACTAACTCACTTTTGGTTTTATGAAGGTATTTAAGAGGATAAATCATGTCCAGCTTCATTGAAACATGAACCCACTGGGTTCTATAATATTTTCATATTCATCCTTATTCCGGAATCCATAGATTCAAGATGCAAGACAGCCTATAAAAAGTCCAACACTTGACAAGGAAGGCCAGGTGTAAATCCTAGCAGTATATTTGGATATAGTGATAAAATAAACTTCTTTGAATTCTCCTTTAATGTCTGTTACATTTAATTCACAAATTTCTACCAATGCTATAACACAACAATCTTTAATCTTATAGAATGATCAAAAATCTATCATTGTAGAGATATTAAATAAGCCAATACTTTGGGAGGCCGAGGCAGGCAGATCACGAGGTCAGGAGTTTGAGACCAGCCTGACCAACAAGATGAAACCCCGTCTCTACTAAAAATACAAAGATTAGCTGGGTGTGGTGGTGCACGCTTGTAGTCCCAGCTACTCAGGAGGCTGAAGCAGGAGAATCGCTTAAACCCAGGAGGCGGAGCTTGCAGTGAGCCGAGATCACGCCACTGCACACCAGCCTGGACGACAGAGTGAGAGACTCTGTCTCAAAACCAACCAACAAACAAAAAAACAAATAAGCTAATAGATGAGAAATGAAAAAAATTAATTGATGAACTTCAAAATTGTATCACACTTTCAGAAGTATTCTTCAGTTCTCTAAAAGTCTTATAAAAATAAGAGAGTAGGATTTCTAATGAATGATAAAGTCAAAGAGGGAGGAACTAAGAGAGGAAGATATTAATATATTGTAGCATGAAGACTGAAGGCAACATAATGGGGGATTCCATGATCACTTTTCGTGGCCGATTTCCTATTACCAATAGGGCAGATAACAGAAGTTATGAACGTCATTACACGATATTCTCACATTCTGAACATCTTGAAAAAATACATCACAATAACAGTTTATTCCTCAAAGGAGCAAAAGCATGTTATCACTTTAGAAAGAGTAAATTGAAGATGTTAGGGAGTGAAGCTTTCCGAGATGTTTGAAATGAAACATCCCAAAATATTTCGCAGAATTTGAGAGAACCTTAAAAATATATAGTGCGCATTATAATTGCCGGATATGTAACTCTCAGATGCCAAGTAATAGAAGGCAAGATAATTTTGTTTATTTAATTTTGCTTTGTTTTACTGCCTTCACCTCCTAAACAATGCATGCAAACAATAAGCTGTGTTCTGTTTTTTTTTTAAAAAAGTTTTAGATATTGAAATAAAAGCCTAATGACTAATTGGAAAAAATTTTTTTATTTTTTTTTGGCATAGCTTGCACTTTATGACTAAAGTTTAGCATTGAGGAACTTCTCTTTTATAACTCGACTAAATGTGAAGAATTAGAACTTTACTAGCTTGAAGCTGATTTCAGAGGGAGTTTAAAAGGAGGTTCACAAATCATTTTCTTAGTTTCAACCAAACCTTGAAGGCTTGAATTTAATTGAAAATGTTAAAGTTTCATTTCAGGCCTCAGAGATCAAATCTTCAGAGTAAAAAAGGGCAATTTAAAGACAATTACGGTCTTTGGAATGTAATATGAAATCGTCCTTATTTTCAAATTAAGGATTTCCATATTAAGATCACCTCTAGATTTGTGACTGGTAAATAGTACATTGCTGACATGAATACCTGTGGGTGCCTTTAAAAGAGCTATAAGTTAATCAGTTTCCTACCACATGCTGGCTCTCTAATGAAGAATGATGCTCTGCCTAAATTTAAAGGGACTCAGTGCTCTGATCCTACAAATTGATTCCAACTATAGACACATTTCTCTCTAAAGCACAGCTATGGTGGTAAAAGTTTTAGGCTTGTAGTCAGAAGGCTGACATTCAAGTCTTATTTGCACTAATTTACTGGCTGTTTTATCTTGCATATTTGTTTAAACCATGTGGGGCTCATTATCCCCAAACCTGTAAAAGTAATATTTCTACTGGCAATTCTTCTAATGGACCCTATAAATTTTTAGTTATCTTTCCCTTCAGACCGTAGTATTGAGGATAAACTGGAATTATCTATGTCACAGCAATTGATAACTTATACATTGCTATACAAATGTTTAAAAATGGCATTTTTCAGATCTTATATACGTAAACTATAACATTAAAGAATGATCAATGATTGTAGGCTAATTCCACTGTAGCCTGGTTAAATTTATGTATCCACTTGGCTGGTGCCTAGATATATGTTCAAACATTACTCTGGATGTTTCTATGAGGATATTTTTTGATGAGATTAACATTTAAATTGATGGATTTTAAGTAAAGCAGATGGCCCTCCATAATGTGAATGGGCCTCCTCCAGTCAGTTGAAGACTTGAATAGAACAGAAGAATGACCTCTTGCCAGCAAAAGGGAATTCTTCAGCAGATGCATTTGGACCTGAACTTCAGTATCAGCTTCTTCCTGGTTTCCAGCCTGCCAGCCCATCCTGAGAATTTTAGACTTGCAAACTTCCATAATCATGTGAGCTAATTCCTTAAAGTAAATAAGTAAATAAAAAAAATTCCATTTGTCCTGTTCTCCAGAGAACTCTGATGAATATATAGTAAAAAAAATCATATTAAAACTGATAGAAATTGAATTTATATAATATTGAAATTTTATATTTATGAACACTGTTACCTTTTGTAAGATACTTATGTTTTAAATTGCCTTAGTATTCATTTTTAAAATTATAATCTATGGTAGATGATATTTACCTTCTCAAATAAGTAGAATTCTCAGAATATGGTTCTTAATCAAAACAAGTCATTAACCCATACCCTAGGACAGGATTTTACCTGTTCTCCCAGGTTTTAACAGGGTCTGCCACTTGAAGACACACTCTCTCTATTCTTCTGAACACCATGAAACATTCTTTGCACAGAAAGAGTTCTGTCTAATTTGTTCCTCAGTTTCTTTCATGAGAATAGGGCATCTCTATTTAAGGACATGGCTACTGTCATCCATTATACCAGTTTCATAGACCAAGTATTATTTGAGATCAACCCTTAGTCATTCTGTCCCCAAAATAACATCTGCCAGAAACAAAATATTTGAATCCAGTCATTTCTAAACATTACCCTCATCTTTTCCTTCCTTTGGAAGCCATTCTTCCCAATCTGGTCTAAATTTTATGCCCTCTTATTTTCTTATCTTTTTAGAGCACAAAAACTTCCATTTCCTGGAAGCTCCTAAAATGGATTCCCCTTCAGTCCTTTCCTCTGCTTTATGGAACCCTTGTACCACTGGAAATAAACTTAACCACTTTCTCATTTTTACCACAATTTTCTGTTACCTGCTTCCTTTGACTAGCACTTGGTCCTCAACTGAGAACACATTCCCTTGTGGTCCTCTCCTGTGGAATTTTTCCTATCATACACGATCCAGAGAGCCAGGAGCAGATTTAGACGAACTGGCCAAAGTCCTTTCAAGGCAAGGTCAAGATCCATTTAACTCCTCTCAGCTGGGTTAGTTACAAATATTCAGCATTCCCACAAAGCCATATGGATATATCTATTTTCATAGTTATTCAAAATTATATATGTATTAAACTATTGTCACTGTCAATTGTGATTTCTTTGAAGGAAGAAAGATGTGTTGTATTTTACTTTATAGCTTCAAAACTTTTCAATAATACCTAAATAGTGAATGATATATAATTATTTTCTTACATAATATCAATGAATTAACAGATGTATGAGTAAAAAAATAAAATATTATCTTATTAGACATACAGTTACATTTATTTACTGGTTAATTTACATGAACAACGTCAAGTTTGGTGAACATCTAGGATTTTACTGTAGTTGTAGAATGTGATTGCCTAGAAGTATATGTGATAGAATAGGTTTGAAATAAGATCAGATGTATGCTGTTTCCTTTTTCTTTTTGAGACAGAGCCTCCCTCTGTCACCCAGGCTGGAGTGCAGTGGCACAATCTCAGCTCACTGCAGCCTCCGTCTCCCCAGTTCAAGCGATTCTCATGCCTCAGCCTCCCAAGTAGCTGGGATTACAGGCATGTGCCACCAGGCCTGGCTAATTTTAATATCTTCAGTAGAGATCGGGTTTCACCATGTTGGCCAGGCTGGTGTCAAACTCCTGACCTCATGTGATCCACCTGTTTTGGCCTCCCAAAGTGTTGGGATTACATGGGTGAGCCATGCAGCCAGCCTTCAGATGTATTTTTAATTTGTGGTTGTATTAGTCTGTTCTCATGCTGCTAATAAACACATACCTGAGGCTGGGTAATTTATAAAGGAAAGAGATTCAGTGGACTCAGAGTTTTGCATGGCTGGGGAGGCCTCGCAATTATGGTGGAAGGCAAAGGAGAAGCACAGTCATGTCTTACTTGGTGGTAGGCAAGACCATCAGATCTCATGAGATGTATTCACTACCACTAGAACAGTATGGGGGAAACCACCCCCATGATTCAATTATCTCCACCTGGCCCCACCCTTGACACATGGGGATTATTACAATTCAAGGTGAGATTTGGGTGGGGACACAGCCAAACCATAACAGTGGTAATTCTTATTGTATTGCAACCTAGGACCAAATGGAAAGACATTTTTATAATGGCTCGAGAATTGGGAAAGGCAATAACCAACACCTGGCAAACTCAAATTGCAAAGTGGTACCATAAAGCACAAAACAAGACTCAGCATTCTAAAAGGCTGGGAAAGCACTTACAAATATTTTCGGGCCGGCGGAAAAGCCCAGTAAGAGGGGAAAGAACTGAGAAAGGGATGAATGACTCTTAATCTTCTGTTACTGTGGCAGTGACACACAGACCCCTGGGCAAACATGAACATTCTAGTGTAAAGGAGGATAAATCTACCCCCTTGATTGGAAATCCGGGAAAAGAAAGTCTTTCAGAGTGCTTCACAGCCACCTGAAGAACCAGAGTTAGAGACAAAAAGAGTATGTGGATTTAAAGTTAGAGGGTAGAACTTGATTATACCCTGCAGGAATGGTCATGACTCAGGAAAGTAGTTAGCCTAGGGGTATACTTATAGGACCTAGGCATTGGAATACATCTGTGATTTTTTTAGAACATATAGTGTTCTAAGTTCAACACGCAAAGGTAACAAGGACAGGGCAGTATATGCTTGAGCTTGCTCAGTACGTGTAGTGAGAACAGAAATGGAAAAGTGGGAAATGCCGTAACAGTAAAAAGTCTGTCAAGAAACTGAAGAAGAGCAGTTGATACTCCTCTCCACCAGCATTTTAATAATACTCAAACTTCCTCTGCAGCCTCGGGGTAAAAGTCAGAAAGAAGAGAATTAAGAAATTTGAGCACAGTAGTTGCCTCACTTAAAATTTATTCCTTTATTTTTATTACCTTTTATTTTGTTTCATCTCCTCCCTCCCTCCCTCTTTTCCTTCCTTCCTTCTTTTCTTCCTTCCTTCCTTTATTCTTCTCTTTCTCTTCTTTTATTCTTTTAAAATATACTACAATAAATTTCAAACATTATAGCATTACATCTTGTTTTGGACACTCTGAGAAGAAGGACAGACTTCCACCCAAAATTTGATCCAGATGTCAATAATGATAATGGTACAGACACATCCACACACACACACACCCCCAAACACCCCACGACGGTATGAAAATATTTATTACTAACAGAATAAAGCATTTTGAGGACAAGACACCCTTTCCAAGCTGGTCTGAAAAATGGCTTGAGAGAGTAAGGAAAAGAGACTAGTTTGGAGATGTCATTGTGTTTAAGAATTGGGGGTGAGGTGAGGGTTCCCAGGAATATTCAAGAGGCTTGAGTGTTTCGAATCTTCTACCAGCCGAAAGAGGAATATTGTCAACCTGCTTAATAGCGAGGCCTAAGAAGAGAAGGGAGCAGTGAGGTTTGTAAGATGTGAGCAATCAAACATGAAAAAGTAGAGTCAGGCAGTTCTATATTCTAAATACTTCATTCCATAATACAATCACACTCTTTTGTCAGACATAACAACAAAAATAGCATTAACTCTTTATGTCATCTAATAGTCAGTCTATACTCAAATCTGTCCAGTTATCCTATTCTTCATTACATTTGATTTGTTAAGAAGTCAGAGTTTCTCAAGGTCTACAAATTGCATTTTAATGTTTTGTAAGCCTGTTTTATTCTTGCATCTTCTTCTATCTTTTATACTTATGTCATGAAATTATTGCTGATGTCAGATGTTGTAGAATGTCACATTTTATAAATTTTTCTCATTGGTTATAGTGTCATTTGGCTTATCCCTTTAATTCCATTATATGTAAACTGTAGGTTACATGTAGAGGCGTGATCATATTTGAGTTCAACATTATAGATAGAATATTACATAATACTTTATACCTGACACTGTGACTTTACATTTCATCAAATCATGAGGAATATGCTATCTGCTTGTTCCACATTAAAAGATTCTAAGACTGACTGCTGGTTCAAGAGGGACGGTCAGATATCCACATTGCAATTTGAACTGTTTATTCTACAATCTCCATGTAATCTGTGGGGTATAATTTAGTATAGTGTAAATATCCAGGTCCCCACACTACTCCAGCAAAAGTGTTTCTTGATAAGGTTTCCTGCCATCTTGATGTTAGTAAAACAATGGTCAAGTCCTATCTCAGCTATTATTTAACCAAACCATGGCTTTTGCCATGGATTATTTCTCCTTTTTTCTTGTAACAAATTCTTCTTTTTGCTTTCAGAGCCCTATTCTTGTTTGATTCTTTGTTTCCCTCTCTGACCTCCCTGCAGAGGTAGTGCTGGTTTCTTCAGTTCTCCTTAACTACTTTTTTCTTTCTTTCTTTCTTTTTCTTTCTTTTTTTTTTTTTTTTTTTAGACAGAGTCTCACTGTGTCACCCAGGCTGGAGTGTAATGGCGCAATCTCTCAGCTCACTGCAACCTCCACCTCCTGGGTTCAAGTGATTCTCCTGCCTCAGCCTCCCAAGTAGCTGGGGCTACAGGCACCTGCTAGCATACCTGGCTAATTTTTTGTATTTTGGTAGAGATGGGGTTTTGCCATTTTGGACAGGCTGGTCTCGAACTCCTGACCTAAGGTGACCACCTGCCTCAGCCTCCCAAACTGCTGGGATTACAGGCATGAGACACCAAGCCCGGCTGTTCTCCTTAACTTCTAAACATTGGAGAATCCTAAAAGTTAGTCCTGGAGCTTCTTTTTTTCTATTCTAGAGCAGTCAGTGGTCTCAACTGGAGATGACTGTTCTCCCATGGGACATTTGGCAATGTCTGGTGACATTTTGGGTTACCACTGCTGGCATATCGTGGGTAGAGGCCTGGAATGCTGCATAAGACAGCCTTCTAAAACAAAGAGTTATCCACCCTTCCATAGCAATATTGCCAACATTGAGAAATCATGATTTAGAATCATTTTTTGGTGATCTCCTTTATTTCCATGGCTTTAAATATTGCTTAAAAGCTGATGGCCTGGGCACAGTGACTCACACCTGTAATCCTAGTATTTTGGGATGCCGAGGCAGGCAGATCACCTGAGGTCAGGAGTTCGAGACCAGCCTGGCCAACATGGCAAAACCCAATCTTTAGTAAAAATATGAAAATTAGCCAGGCTTGGAGGTGTATGCCTGTAATCCCAGCTACTCAGAAGGCTGAGGCAGGAGAATAGCTTGAACCTGCGAGGCAGAGGTTGCAGTGAGCCGAGATCGTGCCACTGCACTCCAGCCTGGGCAACAGAGGGAGACTCTCTCTCAAAAAAAAAAAAAAAAAGCTGATGATTTCTATATTTAAGTCTTTCTTGAATTCAGACTCATAAATGTACTGTCTATTCTTTGTCTCAACTTGGATGACTAATAAGTATTCAAAATTTAATATGTACACAAAGATTTCCCCATTCCCATCTCTTCCAAAGCATTTCCACTTTCAGTAGAAGTCAAAATATTTTAAAGCAAAAAAATAAAAAACATTCTCACAGAAATCCACGTGTGTTCTACCAGCATTTCCTGTTACTTCAAACTTCAGAATATATCCAGAATCAAACCTGTTTTCATCACCTACACTGGTCCAAGCTATCCTCATCTGTTGTTTATGTTAAGGTGGTAGTCATTGTCTGGAATCCTTTTTGACTTCAAATATTTTAATTCAATCTCTCTTTTATGTAATCATTTCTAACTCACCTGATACATTTCTAACTCTTATCAGCTCTCAAAACATTATGTCATACATATATTTATCTCATTTGTAACGTAACAGGCATGACTATCTTTTATATTGATTTTTTTGACTGTGGATTTACATTACTTAAGTTATCTGCACAAAACAGAGTGTGGGGTATAGTAAATGGTTAATAAGTTAGTATTTTCTTAACAGTGAATATGAGAGTAAACTCTGAAATTTATATTTTAAAAATTCCACAACATAGAATTAAATTTTAAGGTCAAAGTATGCCTCTTCTGTTTTAGAAAGTGATGCATAAAAAATGTAAAATATTGTTACGTTGGGTGGAATTATTGCAAGTTGAATTTAGTACATATATATAAGAAAAAATTAGTCTAGATCACCTCATAGATTGTAGTAATTGATTTTAACAGCCTATTATCAGCAACAAGATACTTTAGAGACTGGATATTTGTAGATGAACTGAATAGCATAGAAGTTACAAAGGTTTATTTGTGCTTACCAGTTAAAGCTGATCATGCGTAACTTTAATTAAATGTGGGAAAATGTGTTTTCTTAATGCTGCAGGGTAATTGGAAAAGATAAAAAGAACATTTGATAATGAAATGTGCCTCTTTTTCATACCGAGAGACAAATGCAAAATGTTTTGAATCATATATTTAATAAGTTGCATTTATTTTAATAGAAAATATGGCCTCAATGCTTCTTTAGCTATCAAAATACTAAGGGGACCTTACATCCTACTGAATATATTACATTCTGATATCAGTAATTATTTCTATCACTAGTGTAATAGCTATTCTAATTAAGGTTAAGTTTATTGCCAGACTCAAATTATGCTTTTTGAAAAATACAGCTAAAATTCCTCATGATCATTCATTTAAAAAATATCTCATTTTGACATCTGTGCCTCAAGCAAACTGATAAGATCTAAAATCAAAACATATTTACATTTTAAAAGATTGATTATAGGTAAAAAGCAGTTTAGGTGGAAATGTTTAAAGACATCATGTTGACTTACTTCTACTCAAAGTAAACAGGTGTTTTTATCAAAATGTAATAAATTGACATGATCATTTACCACTGTTTTATTATTTTAATATATTTGTTTTCATTGAACGTGAAAATACTAACAATCTTAATTTTTGTTATTCATGCTTTTTGATCTTTCTCAGGCACAAGATTTAGAAAATACAAGAAATGTATTTTCATTTTTCTTTTACCTAAGAAAGCATCTGATGATGAATGTATTGATTATGGACTCTAATTTCAAATAATTTTTATCGTGATCTATTAGTTTCTTAAGGCTGCTATAATAAAATATCACCAACTGGGTGACTTAAAACAACACACATTTTTCTCTCTCACTCAGGAAGTCAAAACTATGAAATCAAGGTGTCAGTAGTGGCAGTTTCATCTGGAGACTCTGAGGGAGAATCTGTTCCATGCCTCTCTTCTAATTTCTAGTGATTTTCAGCAATCTTTGGAATTCCTTGGCTTATAGATCAGTCCAGTCTCTGACTCCACATTCACATGGTTTCCTAAGCTCCCCCTCCTTATAAGATTGCCTGAGTAGATTCAGGGCCTGCTCTAATCCAGTATAGCCTCATCTTAACCAATTATATCCATAGCGACCTGATTTTTAAACAAGGTCACATTCTGAGGCTTTGGGTAGACATAAACTTTGGAGGGCCATATTAAGTTTGGGGGACACTATGCATTCCAGTACACTATGCTTTTTCCAAAATTCATCTCTGTCCCATGTGCAAAATACCTTCACCCCATCCCAACATCCCCTAAAATGGGAACATATGTTCAAAACCAAGTAGCCCTCTCAGTCCATTTTCTACCAGTAGAACCCTCAGAGTCTCAGAGTCTTTCTTTCATTTTATCCCATATCTGTCTTCTTTAGTCCAATTTGGCAGTTTTTTAATTGGTATAACATTCTTAAAACCCTGTGGGTTATCTCTATATGTCAAGGGGATCCATGTTGTTAGATACAAAGATTCTCCATAGATCCTTCCTGGATGACCTCAGCTATACTCCTAGCTTCTGATGAGATTGTTTATTGAATACATGTGTGTCCCAGTTTATGTTGCGTTGCTATAAAAGAATACCTGGCACTGGGTAATTTATAAAGAAAAGAGGTTTATTTAGCTCACAGTTCTTCAGGCTGAGCTATTCAAGGGCATGTACCTGGCTTCTGCCAAGGGTTTCTGTACTGTGTCACCACATGACAAAGATCAAAGGGGAAGTGAACACTTAAAAAAGGAAAGCCTAAAGGACGCCCTGGCTTTATGATAATGTACTCTTGTGGGAACAAATCCATGCCTGTGAGAATAAATCTAGTCTCATGAGAGTGAGAACTAATTACTGCAAAAACAGAAGCAAGGTATTCATTAGGAATCTGCCCCAATAACCGAAACGCCTCCCAATAGGCTTCACCTCTCAACACCACCATATTAAAAATCAAATTTCAACATGAGTTCTGCTGAGGGCAAACATACCATATCTAAACCATTGCACGTAAGTCACACACCTAATCTCTCCAGTAAAAGTTTGTCTAGCCATCCATAGGTGTTTCCTCAAGAGCACACTGTAACGCCATTTGCAATATAGGCTGAGAATTTTTCAAATGATCATGTTCTGGTTACTTTTTGCTTAGCATTTTCTTCTTAGTGTATTTCTTTCACCTTGCATTTTAATATAAGAAGCAAGGAGAAACTAAGACACACCTTCTATAATTTGCATGGAAATCACCTCCGCCAAACATAAAAACTCATTTCTTACATCCAATATTAGAACACGATCTAGTCAATTTTTCCACTACTCATTAACAAGGGTCACTTTCCTCAAGTGTTTATTAATATTATCTTCATTTCTATGTGAGACTTCACCAGAAACGCCTTTAACATTTATTTTTCTACCAATATTCTGTCCGTGATGATATATATATTCTTGAAGATGATAGAAGCTTTCTCTACAACTTTATTCACTTCTTTTTTTAAGTCCTTACCAGGATCTCCTTATTCGAATTTCTAACAGCCTCATTGAGGCAACCCAGGTTTTTACATCACACATCTAAAAACTCCTCCAGCCTTTACCCGTTAGTGAATTCCAAGACCATTTGCATAGTATTAGGTATTTGTTTTAGCAGCATCTCACTTCCTGGTACCAAAATCAATATCAGTTACGGGGCTCCACAGAAACAACAAGAAATAGATGTACAGATTTAGATTTGAATATAGATATAGATCAACATAAAGAAATTTATTTTAAGAAATTGGCTCACACAATCGTTGGGGCTGACAAGTCGGAAATCTGTAGGGCAAGCCAGCAGCTCGTCAACTCAGGCAGGAGTTGATGATACGGTCTTAAAGCAGTATATTTTTTCTTCTCAGGGAAAGCTCAATTTTTGCTTGTAGGATCCTCAAATAATTGAATGAGTCCTACTCATATTATCAAGAGTAATCTCATTTACTTAAAGTCAACAGATTGTATACGTTAATCACATCTATAAAATACTTTCACAAATTATTGTTTGATTAAATAACTGGGTAAAATAATCCAGCAAATTGATATAAAATTAACTATTACACATCATATTTAACTTTTACTCTTTTTAATGTACGTATTAAAGTTTATTGTAAAAGTATTCCATATTTGAATAAGTTGTTTTAGCCAAACACATCTTCACATGACACCTATATTGAGGCAAAAAAAAATCTTCTAACATTGAAGCTATATAGGATATTATCGTTATTGTTTCTAACATTGAAGTTGTTTAAAATATCATATTTTGTCACCTATACTTTGTCCTCAACTTACAATGGTTTGACTCAAAATTTTTCAACTTCCTAATGGTTGTAAAAGTGATAAGCCTTCAGCATAAAGTGATCTGATATTCTAGTAATGCTGAGCGGTGGTAGTGAGCCAAAGCTCTAGTCAGCCTCACAATAATATTCTACAGTGTACTGTGTTACCAGGTGATTTTGCCAGCTGTAGGCTAATGTAAGCATTCTGAGTACATTTATGATAGGCTAGGCTACACTTTGGTGTTCAGTGGGTTAGGCACATTAAGTGCATTTTCAACTTACAACATTTTCAACTCATAATAAATTAATCCAAATGTAATTCCACCGTAAGTCAAGAAGCATCTTATATATTTAGATTAATGTATTAGAAATTTAAACTAAATTAAGCCTAAGAACTTTAGTGCATTATGTCATTAACTTTGTTGCTGTTAATGGTCCCAATAGCTGTTTGCTGTAACACTCTTTATTTCAGGATTCTTGCTAGCCCTATTCAGTTATTTGGGATACAAAATGGATTCATGAGAAGCTTAAGTTTTATAAAAAGTATTGAAAGAGATTAGTTGTTTCATAAATACTTACTCTACACATGTATTCTAACTAGTCTCTATGTATGTTCTGTGACATAAAATACAATCGTTTTCTGAAGGCATCTAAAATTATGGAAGTTTTTGTTTAAAATTGAGCTACTTGACTGGGAAGATATTGGGTAATAAAAAGTTATTCACTAACTATGGCCTCTCATTTTGCAGAATTAAGAACACTCAATATTTTATTTAATACATGCTCATGTGCAGATATTGCTTATAAAAATACACTTTAGTGTGATTTAGTTTATGTATATGTTTCAAATAATATATATCATTTGAAGCATTTTACAAAGTTCAAATGCGGAAACAATAAATGGATTTCCTTTTGACCTTGTTACTTTTCTAATTACTGTACCTGAATTGGTCATCCAGAGAGTAAATGTTAATCGTTTTGCAGGTCAGGTGCCTCCATGCATTACATAAACTGCTTACTGCTTGGCAAATAAAATAGATGAGAAGTGTAAGGAGAGTTTCTAGAAGCATGGCTGAACAGAGACATTACAGCAGCACTATGGTTGCATTTTAAATCACATCATGGCAAAATAAACATAATAAATAAGCATAAGGAATCACTAGACCTCTGGATGAATATCAGATAATTCTCTTAATTATGTTCCTTGTGAGTGGCTCTGATGGTATGATAATGCTTACATCAATATTTTGCTGTTAATAACTTTCATGTATGTATGTGGTCTCTTCATCAAAGGAACTAAAACACTCATAAATAACAAACATTTATTAAATTCCTACAAAGGTCCTCCAGATGTTATTAACTCTTATATGGATATAGATAGAAGGGATAAGTGAGGGGACAATACATCAGTGTGGTTGTCTAGGTTGTCTCTAAGGAAAAAAAGAAAATGTAAAATATCTGACTCCACTGATAAGTCGACTCCACTGATAAGTCCACTCCACTTACAATCTGTCATTCTGGACAAGTTAACTCACTCTCTTACCTCAATTTTCACACTGCAGTATGGGAGTAACAGCACTATTTACTTCTTAAAGCATAATGAAGTAATTGAGATGATATAAATGAAACAATAATTTAGCTTGGAATAAAATAAATACTCCTTAGATATTAGCTTCTAACTTTCAACATTCACAGAATTTATGTTTTTAAAAAAGATATTTTTAAAAACATCCTAAAACTTTTTCATACTCAGGTTTTCATTGTTTTCCTATTTACAAGTGCTATCCACAGTGCTTGCTAAGCTCCCTTTGTATTGCAAGCCAACACTCACAACTATTTCAGAGAACTTCAAATAACAGCCTTAAATGAAGTCTACTTATTTTGACTATGCTATTTTTATCCTGGTTCCCCTCCACCATTTTCTAGGTGCCCATTAAACTATTCGTTTGTACTAGGGAGAAGGAGTCATCGACTGAGGTTAGGTACTCTCCTTTTCTCCACTATCATATCAAGACCTTATTCTTTTACCACCTGTATTTAAATTATCTCACAAATGATGCATGCTCTCAGACAATCTATTTCCTTTCTACTTACATCTGATACTGGACCCTTGTTGGTGGTCTCAAATGATGTAACCAGTTTAGAATCTTCTGACTTACTCTTACTCCAATGATCATTCCAAGTCATTTCAATATTCATTTAGGTAGCCCATTCAACCTGGTGACATATCAAATAAATAACTGCTATAGAAAATAATAAGGTAAGGGAATAAGTATATTATGCAGGATGTAAACTAGAAGAAAAAAGTCTAATTTTTTTTAAAAGAGGGAATTTAATGTAGCGAATTGATAACACAACTGGTGGAAGGGATGGGAGCCTAAATAGAACACTGTGATGCCACCAAGAGTTTTTATAGCAGCAAGGCCATAGGGACAAAAGGAGCAAGGGGAATTACCACAGCTGAACAGCCAAGTTTACCCAATGTACTTGTTCCCATGTTTGGCTGTAACAAATTATGGAAAACTTATTGGCTTAATACAACAAACATTCATTATTTTACAATTCTGGAGTAAGAAGTCTCAAATCAGTTTCATTAGATCTAAATCAAGGTTATGGCAGTGCCATAATCCTTCCAGGGGTTCTAAGAGAATATTCATATTCTTGCCTCTTCCAGTTTCTAGAGCTACATTCTTTGACTGGCAATCCCTTTCTCCATCTTCAAAACCTCAACTAGCATCTTGTTTCAGTTATCATATCGCCTCCCTCTTCTGTAGAAAAATATCCATTCAGCCTCTCTCCTACAAGGACACTTGTGATTTAGGGCCCATCCAAATAATTGAAAATGATCTCTCTGTCTCAAGATTATCACCTTAGTTTCATGTGCAAAGTCCTGCCATATTGCTGACATTTACAGGTTCCAGGAATTAAGACCCGAGTTATTTTGAGTAGCCATTTTTCATTCTACCATAGTCTTCCCTCTAGTGTCCAAAGACTAATGTTTATTTCACATTCAAAATGCAATCACCCCATCCCAATATCACCAAATATCTTAACCTATTACATTATCATTCAAGTCCAAAATCTTACGTAAATGTTATTAGCTCAACAGTCCTAACTCTCATTATCTAAATCATCCATCCTAGAGCAAAATCCTTTTTCCATTTGTGGACTTGGGAAATGAGAAGGCAAATAATGTATCCCTAAAATACAATGGAGAAACAGGCATCAGATAATAATTATAGACATTCCCATTATAAATGACAGAAAACTAAAAGAAGAAAGGAGACTCCAGTCCTAAGTAATTTTGAAATCCTACTGTTTAGTAGAGTCCATTAGGTTTCAAGACCTGGTAGCAAACCTCTGTGGATTTTGGCTCCATTCTCTAGACCCACACCTGCATTCTCTGGTTCCAGGATCTACCCTCTGATCTTGAGGCTCTGCTCATGAATTATCCTCCTTTTCCCTTGAAAGGTGCACATGTTTACTGCTGAGACGTTTTATCCCTCTTTCCTGCTTATGGAAATTTGGGAGTCTGACAGCCTGTCTTTCTTTATTTTGTTTCCTTTCTTTATTTTTTTCAGGGCTAACTGGCAGTGTTTCTGCCAACATAACATCTCAAGTACATCGTGGATCTCCTGTGTAAGTCATGGGGATTTATTCCATTAAACAGGAGTGTCCTCCCAAGATGTTTCCTGGATAATACCATCTTTATTTCTGGTTTCTCCTAGGATAGTTGAAAGAACTCATGAATCATATTCTTAATGTCTTTAAAGAGCCCTCTGTGTGAATGTAGATTATGATCTTTTAATACTGTGAAGCACTATTCAAAAGTTGTTTGGTGACATCCTTGAATTTTCCTTTCAAGCATGCTTTTTGGATATTGAATCTCCTAATTTTAGCGTCTTTTGAAAGTTGGATAGTATTCGAATTTCTTGGCCAAGCATGGTGGCTTACGCCTGTAATCCCAACACTTTAGGAGGTCAAGATGGCAGGTAGCCTGAGGTTAAGACTTTGAAACCAGCCTGGCCAACATGGTGAAATCCTGTCTCTACTAAAAACACAGAAAAATCAGCTAGACGTGGTGGCATGTTCCTCTAATCCCAGCTATTCAGGAGGCTGAGGCAGGAAGGAGGTGGAGGTTTGCAGTGAGCTGAGATAGCACTACTGAACTCCAGCCTGGGCAATGGAGTGAGACTCTGTTTCAAAAAGTAAAGAAATAAATAAAAGAATTTCTCAGGTCATCAAGTTCTGGTTTATTTTTGTTTAACTGTTCTTTCTTCAATTTATCTTTTTCCTTTAACATTTTACTATAAGCAGCAAAAAGAAGCAAGGCTGCAACTTCAACATTTTACTTATAAATCGTCTAAACTAAATATACAAGTTTATTGCTTACAAGTTCTGTTTTCCACATAACTAGGGCAAAAGTCACCCAAGCTCTCTGCCACTCAAGATTCTTAACTTGATCATACATGCAGAGTCCCTTTTGCTTTAAAAGCTAACATTCATGGGCTCCAGGTTATTATTTAAGGTCATTATTAAGACTTTATACCCAGTGAAAGATAAATCCATCGTTGGGTCTGGCTAAAAACCACTAACATCATTTGAATATTTGTTTCTTCCGAATCTTATGTTGAAATTTGATTCCTAATGTTGGAGGTGGAGCTTAGTGAATGGTGTTTGGGTTGTAGAGGTGAATCCCTTATGAATGGCTTTGTGCCTGATAATGAGTGAGTTCTTGCTCTATTAGTTCCCACAAGAACTGATTGTTAGAGACAGCTAAAAACAGCCTGGCACCTCTTACCCCCATCTTTGCTTCCTTCCTCTCACCGTGTGATTCCTCTTCCCCTTTGCTTTCTGCCATGAGTGAAAGCTTCCGTGGGCCTCCCCAGAAGCAGAAGCTAGTGTCACGTCTCCTGTAGAGCATACTGAACCACGAGCCAAATAAACCTCTTTTCTCTATAAATTATGCCACCTCAGGTCCTTTTTTTTTTTTTGGAGATGAAGTCTCGCTCTTTCACCCAGGCTGGAGTGCAGTGGGGCCATCTCGGCTCTCTGCAATCAGGTATTTCTTAAAAGCAGCACAAGGTGGACTAAGACAGCCACACAGAGAAGTCAATGAAGTCAATGTCTGCTAGAAAGACTCACTATGATAAAGAGAGAAAAAGATTAACTTGGCCTCTCTTATTTTTCTGGTCTCCAAAAATCCTGTTGGTCCCTGTCATGAAACAAACCCAACTGAACCCAGCTAGCCCAGGAATCTGGAAAACAGAGCCTGCAGGGATCAGCTTTCTAGACATAAACTACAGAACAAAAGAGAATGTCAATGCAAACAATTCCAGAATTGATTCAGGGGGTCGAGTGAGCCAGGCAGTGTTGTCATTTTATTCATAGTGGTCAAGAAAGGCTTGTGTAATAAGGTAGCATTTGAGCAAAGATATGAAGAAACCAAAGGGGCAAATCATATAGTTAACTTAAGTAAGAGCATTCATTTTTTAGCAGAAGGAACAAAATGTAAATCACTTGAGGAGGAGGTTCCAATGATTTTGAGGAAAATCAAGAGGGCATGCATTGCTGAACTTTAAAAACAAATAGGGAAAAGGACATAACAAGATATAAGATTGCCGTGTATGGTTATAAAGATTCGGTCTGCTGGTTCATTTTATATTGTGTACTACACAATTTATGTTCTGCACCTGACAGCCTTGAGGCCAGATCATAAAGTGTGTATGTATTTATATAAATTATGTAAAAGCTAGTAGGTATTTTACAAAATTTAGATTTTCCTTTCAATGAATAGGAAGTCCTTGGTAGGTCTTGATCAGAGAAGTGACATAATGCAATATTTATTTTAAAGAAAGTATTTGGATACCTCTTTTGAGATACACTAAACTGTAGGGTGGAAGTAAAATAAAACCAGTAAGGGCCCTAATGCAATAATCTAAGCATAAGATCATGGTGATTTCAACTAGTATATACAAGATAAGTACTGGCTGTATTGTAGATACATTATTGAAAGCAAAACCAGCATCATTTGCTGTGGAACTGCCTGTGTAGTATGAAAGTAACAGCAGAATCTAAGACGACTTCAAAGTTTTTAGTCTGGTATTTTAAAAATATAAGATTTTATTTATTAAGGAGAAGCTATGGAGGAAATAGTCTTTGAAGGCCCACCCAAATTTCATCTTGAATTCTCATGTGTTGTGGGAGGGACCCAGTCAGAGGTAACTAAATCATGAGGGCAAAATCTTTCCCATGCTGTTCTCATGATAGTAAGTCTCCTGAGATCTGATGGTGTTAAAAAGAGGAATTCCCCTACGCAAGCTCTCTCTTTGCCTGCTGCCATCCATGTTAAGATGTGACTTGTTCCTCCTTGCCTTCTGCTATGTGAGGCTTTCCCAGCTACGCGGAACTGTAAGTCTGGTTAAACCTCTTTCTTTTGTAAATCGCCTAGTCTTGGGTATGTCTTTGTCAACAGCGAGAAAACTAATACAGTGACTCTGTTGAATGGTGAATGTATCTATAACAATGGCAAGAGTAACATCAGAGTGTATAAGTTAAGAGGCAAAATAATAAATAATTGAGACACTTTGGTGAGCAGATAGGTAAAGTGAGGTGAGGGCAAATTAAGATGAAGCTGGACACAAGAATCTCAAAGGATATACTGTTTGTGTATAGTGTTATTTTAATTATTGAAGAAATGGGGACATTTTAAAGCAAAGAAAACCCCAAAATGCCTTCAATATTGAATTCCTTATAAAATAAAATGAAAAGCAGTCTTTAGCAAAAATATAACAGGAAACACTTTATTACTAGATTATTATCAAATTTAAATTAAGACAGGAGAAGAAATTTTAGGAGATGAGCCTGAGCTAATTGAGGAGTTTTTTAGTTGGAGGGAAGAGTAGAAGAGTAGAAAGGTGACTTCAGTGGTGAAAATCTACACATTGGCAAGAGAATAACAGTACAGAAAAGAACACATGAGAGCAAATTACTTTGTGTTGAGGCAGAATAAAATTGGGATGTTGGCCGGGCTCGGTGGTTCACGCCTGTAATCCCAGCACTTTGGGAGGCTGAGGCGAATGGATTACAAGGTCAGGATTTCGAGACCAGCCTGGCCAACATGGTGAAATCCTGTCTCTACTAAAAATATAAAAAATTAACCGGGGGTGGTGGCAGGCGCCTGTAATCCCAGATACTCAGGAGGCTGAGGCAGGAAAATCGCTTGAACTTGGGAGGTGGAGGTTGCAGTGAGCTGAGACCACGCCACTGTACTCCAGCCTGGGCAACAGACCAAGACTCCATCTCAAAAAATAAAATAAAATAAAATAAATAGAATTAGGATGTCAGCAGTGTTATATTTAATTCTGAAATCTTCTTTAGTAGGGCAGTTACTCAGAAACAGAAGAATTCAGTGTGGCTTGAAAGGATGAACTGATGGATTCTATTTTTCCAAATTTTATATTCCCCAAATTCTGGATACTGCTTCTTTGCCAGAAGGTTTACTACCGTCAGTAGTGTAGCATGAATCACTCAGTTCTTCATATCTATCTCTTTATGTGAGCCCTCATTACCAATGTCAGAGAGGTCTAATTTGGAGCTGGTGAGCACAAATGGCTACATGATACTACATCTTTTCTATCTAAAAAAAAATTCTCTTCCCATCTCTCTGCTTTGTTTGGAGTAGGAATGTTTAGAACATGTCCCTAGAAAGGTTAGCATCTGTAGCTGAAGCTAGAATGGGACCCCTATTTCAGAATATCATTATGTTTATTTTGACACATTGTAATATTCTCCTGGGAGGAACACTTCAGCCTATTTCTGTTTATTACCTTTATTCTAATATCTTCTGAGATATATCTGTTGATTCGATAACAAAGAATATACCGATAATGACATTGCTAACGTTTATGACAACCAGGCCAGAAGTACCTACAGGATTTATTAGCCTATTTGATAGATCCTACAACAAACAAGCTTTTGTAAAATAATTATTGTATTAGGCTATTCTTGCATTGCATAAATACCTGATACTGGTTAATTTATAAAGAAAAAAGATTTAATTGGCTCACAGTTTGGTAGGCTTTGCAGAAAGAATGATACTGGCATTTTCTCAGCTTCTTGGGAGGCCCCAGGAAGGTTACAGTCATGGTGGAAGGTGAAGCAAGAGCAGGCACGTCACATTGAAGAAGCAGGAGAAAGAGAGAGAAAGTTGTGGGGGAGGAGGAGCCACACACTGTTAAAAGGCCAGATCTTGTGAGAAATCACTATCTTTTTTTCTTCTTTTCTTCTTTTTCTGATTTTTAATTTTTGTGAGTACATAGTAGCTGTATATATTTATGGAATACATGTAATGTTTTGAGACAAGCATGCAATGTGAAATAAGCACATCATGGAAAATGGGGTATCCATTCCATCAAGCATTTATCCTTTGTCATTTACTGTCTTTGAAGTCAGCACCAAGCCCTGAGGGATCCAACCCTGATATGATTTGTGTTCCCACCCAAATCTTATGTCGAATTGTAATCCCCGATTTTGGAGGTGTGGCCTGGTGGGAAGCGATTGGATTATGGGGGCATATTTCTCATGAATGGTTTGACACCATTCCCTTGGTGCTGTTCTTGTGATAATGAATGAGTGAGTTCTCATGACATCTGGTTGTTTAAAAGTGTGTAGCACCTCTTCCCTCTCTCTCTCTTTCTTGTTCTTCTTCCTGACATGAAAGATGCCTTGCTCCCCCTTGCCTTCTGCCATGATCAGAAGCTTCCCCAGGCCTCCCCAACAGCGGAAGTCACTATGCTTTCTGTACAGCATTCAGAACCATGAGTCAATTAAATCTCTTCTCTTTATAAATTACCCAGTCTCCGTTATTTCTTTATATCAATGTGAGAACAGAATAATACAGCCTCCATAACCCAAACATCTCCCATCAGGCCCCACCACCAGCATAGCAGATTACAATTCAACATGAGCGTTGGATGGTCATCAATATCTGAACTACATAATTCCACCCCTGGACCCTCCCAAATCTGATGTCTTTCTCACATTGCAAAATACAGTCATGCCTTCCCAACCGTCCCCAAAGTCTTTACTCATTTCAGCATTAACTCAAAATTCCACAGTCCAAAGATTTATCTGAGACAAAACAAGTCCCTTATACTTATCACTCTGTAAAGTAAAAAACAATTTACCTACTTCCAAGATACAACAGGCGTATAGGCATTAAATAAACATTCCCTTTCCAAAAGGGAGAAATTGGTCAAAGTATGGGGCTATAAGCTGCATACAAGTTCAAAGCTCAACAGGGAAGCCATTAAATCTTAAAGCCTCAAAATAATCTCCTTGTAACTGCCCAGTGGGTTCACCTTGCCCTCTGCCTAGACAGAGCTGATTTATCAAGACAGAGGAATTGCAATAGAGAAAGAGTAATTCACACAGAGCCAGCTGTGCAGGAGACAAGAGCTTTGTTATTACTCAAATCAGTCTTCCAGAGCATTCATCGTTCAGAGTTTTTAACAACAATTTGGTGGCTGGAGGAAGGCCAGTGAGTTGGGAGTGCTGATTGGTTGGGTCAGAGATGAAATCATAGGAAATGAAAGTTGTGCGCTTGTGCTGAATCCGTTCCTGCGTTGGGGGCCACAGGATTAGCTGAGCCAGTTAGTAATCTAGGTGGTGCAAGTTGATCCATCAGGTACAGGGTCTGCAAAATATCTCAAGCAATGATCTTGGGAGCAGTTTAGGGACTGTCAGAATCTTGTCACCTCCAGCTGAATAACTCCTATACTATAATTTCTAATCTTGTGGCTAATTTGTTAGTTTTACAAAGGTAGTTTAGTCCCCAGGCAAGAAAGAGGTTTGTTTTGGGAAAGAGTTGTTATCTTTGCTTTAAACTATAAACTAAGTTCCTCCAAAGTTAGTTCAGCCTATGCCCAGGAATGAATGAGGAATGCTTGGAGGTTAGAAACAAGATGGAGTTGGATAAGTCAGATCTCTTTTACTGTCTCAGTTACAATTTTGC
Organism: Homo sapiens; assembly: GCF_000001405.40. Taxonomy (NCBI): domain Eukaryota; kingdom Metazoa; phylum Chordata; class Mammalia; order Primates; family Hominidae; genus Homo; species Homo sapiens. The sequence goes on along the minus strand of NC_000021.9, from coordinate 19,079,237 downwards.
AATGGCAACTTTATCCTTTGACTCCATGTCCCACATCCCAGGCACACTGGTCAAGGGGTGGGCCCCCAAGGCCTTAAACAGCTCCACCCCTGTGGCTTTGCAGGGTTTAACCCCAGGCCTGCTCTCGTGTGTTGGAGTTGAATGCCTGTGGCTTTTCCAGGTGCAGAGTGCAGGCAGCTGGTGGATCTCCTATTCTAGAGTCTGAATTATGGGGGTCCCTGTATTAGTCTGTTATCGCTGATAAAGACATACTGGACACTGGGCAATTTACAAAAAAAAAAAAAAAAAAAAGAAAGAGGTTTAATTGGACTTACAGTTCCACATGGCAAGTGAAGCCTCACAATCATGGCAGGAGGCAAGGAGAAGCATGTCCTGTCTTACATGGATGACAGCAGGCAAAGAGAGAAATGAGGAAGACACAAAAGCAGAAATCCCTGATAAAACCATCAGATTTCATGAGACTTATTTACTACCATAAGAACAATATGGAGGAAACTGCCCCCATGATTCAATTTTCTCCCACCAGGTCCCTCCCACAACATGAGGGATTGTGGGAGTACAATTCAATATGAGATATGGCTGGGGACACAGAGCCAAATCATATCATTCCACCCCTGGCCCCTGCCAAATTTCATGTCCTTACATTTCAAAACCAATCATGCCTTCCCAACAGTACCCCAAACTCTTAACTCATTTCAGAATCAACTCAAAAGTCCACAGTCCAAAGTCTCATCTGAGATAAGGCAAGTCTTTTTCTCCTATGAGGCTGTACAATCAAAAGCAAGGTAGTTATCTCCTAGTTAAAATGGAAGTACAGACATTGGTTAAATACAATGTTTCAAATGGGAGAAACTGGCCGAAACAAAGGGGCTACGGGGCCCATGCAAGTCGGAAATCCAGCAAGGATGTCACATCTTAAAACTCCAAAATGATCTCCTTTGGCTCCATGTCTCACATTCGGGTCACGCTGATACAAGTGGTGGGTTCCCATGGTCTTGGGAAGCTCTGTCCCTGTGGTTTTGCAAGGTACAGCCTCCCTCCTGGCCGCTTTCATGGGCTGGTGTTGAGTGTCTGCGGCTTTTCCAGGTGCAAAGCGCAAGCTGTTGGTGGATCTACCATTCTCGGGTCTGGAGGACCCTCTTCTCACAGCTCCACTAGGTAGCATCCCAGTAGGGACTCCGTGTAGGGGCTTCAACCCCACATTTCCCTTCCATACTGCCTGAGCAGAGATTCTTCATGAAAGCTCCAACCCTGCAGCAAACTTCTGTCTGGACATCCAGGTGTTTCCATACATCTTCTGAAATCTAGATTGAGGTTCCCAAACCTCAATCCTTTACTTCTGTGCACTCACAGGCTCAACACCACATGGAAGCTGCCAACACGTGGGGCTTCCTCCCTCTGAAGCCATGGCCCAAGCTCTACATTGGCCCCTTTCATCCTCTGCTGGAGTGACTGGGATGCAGGGCACCAATTACTTAGGCTGCACTTAGCACAGAGACCCTGGGCACAGCCCACAAAATCACTTCTTCTCCTAGGCCTCTGAGCCTGTGATGGGAGGGGCTAGCTGAAGACCTCTGACATGCCCTGGAGACATTTTCCCCATTGTCTTGGGGATTAACATTTGGCTCCTTGTTTCTTAGGCAAATTTGTGCAGTCTGCTTGAATTTCTCCTCAGAAAATTGGATTTTCTTTACTATCACATTGTCAGGTTGCACATTTTTCAAACTTCTATACTCTGTTTTCCTTTTAAAACTTAGTTCTTTTAATAGCACTCAAGTCACCTCTTGAATGCTTTGCTGCTTAGAAATTTCTTCTACCAGATACCTTAAATTATCTATCTCAAGTTCAAAGTTGCACAAATCTCTAGGGCAGGGGCAAAATGCTGCCAGTCTCTTTGCTAAAACATAACAAGAGTCAGCTTTGCTCCAGTTTCCAACAAGTTCTTCATCTCCATCTGAGACCATCTCAGCTTGGACCTTATTATCCATATTGCGATCAGCATTTTGGCTAAAGCCATTCAACAAGTCTCTAGAAAGTTCCAAACTTTCCCACATTTTCCTGTCTTCTGAGCCCTCCAAACTGTTTCAACCTCTACTTGTTACCCAGTTCCAAAGTTGCTGCTACATTTTTGGGTATCTTCCCAGCAGCGCCACACTCTACTGGTACCAATTTACTGTATTAGTCCATTTTCACACTGCTGATAAAGACATACCCGAGAGTGGGCAATTTACAAAAGTCAGAAGTTTAATACAGTTTCAAGTGGCTGGGGAAGCCTCACAATTTTGGCGGAAGAAAGGGAGGAGCACGTCCCATCTTACATGGATGGCAGCAGGCAAAGAGAGAAATGAAGACGACACAAAAGCGGAAAACCCCTGATAAAACCGACAGGTCTCATGGGACTTATTTACTACCATGATAACAGTATAGAGGAAACTGCCCCCATGATTCAATTATCTCCCATGGGGTCCCTCCCACAACATGTGGAAATTATGGGAGTACAATTCAAGATGAGATTTGGGTAGGGTCACAGAGCCAAATCATATCAGCTCCCTTATCACAATTCCACTAGACAGTGTTCCATTGGAGACTCTGTGTGGTGTCTCCAACCCCAAAAATTCCCTTCACACTGCCCTAGTAAGATTCTCTGTGAGGGCTCTCCCCCGATGCAGGTTCCTGCCTGGGCACCAAGGCTTTTCCATGTATCTCCTGAAACCTAGGCAGAGGGTGCTTGGTCTCATTTATTCTTGCACTGTGTGTACCAACAGGCTTAAAAACAAATGTAAGTCATCAGGGCTTAAGGTAGTTTGTGCTCTCCAAAGCAGCAGCACAAGCAGCATCTGGGGCCCTTTGAGACAAGGCTGAACCCAAGCAACTGGGATGAGGGAAGCAGTGTCCCAAAATTGTGCAGGCCAGAGGGGCCCTTGGTCTGGCCCAGGAAACTATTCTTCCCTCCTAGGCCTTAGAGAATGTGATGGGAGGGGTTGCTGTGAAGGTTTCTCAAATACCTTCCAGGCCTTTTCTTCCTTGTTTTGGCTGTCAGCATTTGGCTCCCTTTTAGTTATGCAAATTTCTTTAACAAGTGGTTGCTTCATACCCTGCTTGAATTCCTGTTGCTAAAAAAGCTCTTTCTTTCTCTGCCACTTGCAAGGCTGCAAATTTTTCCAAATTTTTACGCTTTGCTTTACTGTTAAATATGAATTTCTAATTTGAGTTATTTTCTTGCTCCCACATGTGAGCTTAGGTTGCTAGAAGCAGCCAGACTACCTCTTAATGCTTTGCTACTTAGAAATATCTTCAGCCAGGCCTGCCCTAAAAGAGCTCCTGAAGGAAGTGCTAAACATGGAAAGGAACAACCGGTACCAGCCGCTGCAAAATCATGCCAAAATGTAAAGACCATCGAGACTAGGAAGAAACTGCATCAACTAACGAGCAAAATCACCAGCTAACATCATAATGACAGGATCAAATTCACACATAACAATATTAACTTTAAATATAAATGGACTAAATTCTCCAATTAAAAGACACAGACTGGCAAATTGGATAAAGAGTCAAGATCCATCAGTGTGCTGTATTCAGGAAACCCATCTCACGTGCAGAGACACACATAGGCTCAAAATAAAAGGATGGAGGAAGATCTACCAAGCAAATGGAAAACAAAAAAAGGCAGGGGTTGCAATCCTAGTCTCTGATAAAACAGACTTTAAACCAACAAAGACCAAAAGAGACAAAGAAGGCCATTACATAATGGTAAAGGGATCAATTCAACAAGAAGAGCTAACTATCCTAAATATATATGCACCCAATACGGGAGCACCCAGATTCATAAAGCAAGTCCTGAGTGACTTACAAAGAGATTTAGACTCCCACACATTAATAATGGGAGACTTTAACAACCCACTGTCAACATTAGACAGATCAACAAGACAGAAAGTCAACAAGGATGCCCAGGAATTGAACTCAGCTCTGCACCAAGCGGACCTAATAGACATCTACAGAACTCTCCACCCCAAATCAACAGAACATACATTTTTTTCAGCACCACACCACACCTATTCCAAAATTGACCACATAGTTGGAAGTAAAGCTCTCCTCAGCAAATGTAAAAGAACAGAAATTATAACAAACTGTCTCTCAGACCACAGTGCAATCCAACTAGAACTCAGGATTAAGAATCCCACTCAAAGCCGCTCAACTACATGGAAACTGAACAACATGTTCCTGAATGACTACTGAGTACATAACGAAATGAAGGCAGAAATAAAGATGTTCTCTGAAACCAACGAGAACAAAGACACAACATACGAGAATCTCTGGGACGCATTCAAAGCAGTGTGTAGAGGGAAATTTATAGCACTAAATGCCCACAAGAGAAAGCAGGAAAGATCCAAAATTGACACCCTAACATCACAATTAAAAGAACTAGAAAAGCAAGAGCAAACACATTCAAAAGCTAGCAGAAGGCAAGAAATAACTAAAATCAGAGCAGAACTGAAGGAAATAGAGACACAGAAAACCCTTCAAAAAATCAATGAATCCAGGAGCTGGTTTTTTGAAAGGATCAACAAAATTGATAGACCCCTAGCAAGACTAATAAAGAAAAAAAGAGAGAAGAATCAAATAGACGCAATAAAAAATGATAAAGGGGATATCACCACCGATCCCACAGAAATACAAACTACCATCAGAGAATACTACAAACACCTCTACGCAAATAAACTAGAAAATCTAGAAGAAATGGATAAATTCCTCGACACATACAATCTCCCAAGACTAAACCAGGAAGCAGTTGAATCTCTGAATAGACCAATAACAGGAGCTGAAATTGTGGCAATAATCAATAGTTTACCAACCAAAAAGAGTCCAGGACCAGATGGATTCACAGCTGAATTCTACCAGAGGTACAAGGAGGAACTGGTACCATTCCTTCTGAAACTATTCCAATCAATAGAAAAAGAGGGAATCCTCCCTAACTCATTTTATGAGGCCAGCATCATTCTGATACCAAAGCTGAGCAGAGACACAACCAAAAAAGAGAATTTTAGACCAATATCCTTGATGAACATTGATGCAAAAATCCTCAATAAAATACTGGCAAACCGAATCCAGCAGCACATCAAAAAGCTTATCCACCATGATCAAGTGGGCTTCATCCCTGGGATGCAAGGCTGGTTCAATACATGCAAATCAATAAATGTAATCCAGCATATAAACAGAGCCAAAGACAAAAACCACATGATTATCTCAATAGATGCAGAAAAGGCCTTTGACAAAATTCAACAACCTTCATGCTAAAAACTCTCAATAAATTAGGTATTGATGGGACATATTTCAAAATCATAAGAGCTATCTATGACAAACCCACAGCCAATATCATACTGAATGGGCAAAAACTGGAAGCATTCCCTTTGAAAACTGGCACAAGACAGGGATGCCCTCTCTCACCGCTCCTATTCAACATAATGTTGGAAGTTCTGGCCAGGGCAATTAGGCAGGAGAAGGAAATAAAGGGTATTCAATTAAGAAAAGAGGAAGTCAAATTGTCCCTGTTTGCAGATGACATGATTGTATATCTAGAAAACCCCATTGTCTCAGCCCAAAATCTCCTTAAGCTGATAAGCAACTTCAGCAAAGTCTCAGGATACAAAATCAATGTACAAAAATCACAGGCATTCTTATACACCAACAACAGACAAACAGAGAGCCAAATCATGAGTGAACTCCCATTCACAATTGCTTCAAAGAGAATAAAATACCTAGGAATCCAACTTACAAGGGATGTGAAGCACCTCTTCAAGGAGAACTACAAACCACTGCTCAATGAAATAAAAGAGGATACAAACAAATGGAAGAACATTCCATGCTCATGGGTAGGAAGAATCAATATCGTGAAAATGGCCATACTGCCCAAGGTAATTTACAGATTCAATGCCATCCCCATCAAGCTACCAATGACTTTCTTCACAGAATTGGAAAAAACTACTTTAAAGTTCATATGGAACCAAAAAAGAGCCCGCATTGCCAAGTCAATCCTAAGCCAAAAGAACAAAGCTGGAGGAATCACACTACCTGACTTTAAACTATACTACAAGGCTACAGTAACCAAAATAGCATGGTACTGGTACCAAAACAGAGATATAGATCAATGGAACAGAACAGAGCCCTCAGAAATAATGCCACATACCTACAACTATCTGATCTTTGACAAACCTGAGAAAAACAAGCAATGGGGAAAGGATTCCCTATTTAATAAATGGTGCTGGGAAAACTGGCTAGCCATATGTAGGAAGCTGAAACTGGATCCCTTCCTTACACCTTATACAAAAATCAATTCAAGATGGATTAAAGACTTAAACATTAGACCTAAAACCATAAAAACCCTAGAAGAAAACCTAGGCATTACCATTCAGGACATAGGCATGGGCAAGGACTTCATGTCCAAAACACCAAAAGCAATGGCAACAAAAGACAAAATTGACAAATGGGATCTAATTAAACTAAAGAGCTTCTGCACAGCAAAAGAAACTACCATCAGAGTGAACAGGCAACCTACAAAATGGGAGAAAATTTTTGCAACCTACTCATCTGACAAAGGGCTAATATCCAGAATCTACAGTGAACTCAAACAAATTTACAAGAAAAAACAAACAACCCCATCAAAAAGTGGGCAAAGGACATGAACAGACACTTCTCAAAAGAAGACATTTATGCAGCCAAAAAACACATGAAAAAATGCTCATCATCACTGGCCATCAGAGAAATGCAAATCAAAACCACTATGAGATAACATCTCACACCAGTTAGAATGGCAATCATTAAAAAGTCAGGAAACAACAGGTGCTGGAGAGGATGTGGAGAAATAGGAACACTTTTACACTGTTGGTGGGACTGTAAACTAGTTCAACCCTTGTGGAAGTCAGTGTGGCGATTCCTCAGGGATCTAGAACTAGAATTACCATTTGACCCAGCCATCCCATTACTGGGTATATACCCAAATGACTATAAATCATGCTGCTATAAAGACACATGCACACGTATGTTTATTGCAGCATTATTCACAATAGCAAAGACTTGGAACCAACCCAAATGTCCAACAATGATAGACTGGATTAAGAAAATGTGGCACATATACACCATGGAATACTATGCAGCCATAAAAAATGATGAGTTCATGTCCTTTGTAGGGACATGGATGAAATTGGAAATCATCATTCTCAGTAAACTATCGCAAGATCAAAAAACCAAACACCACATATTCTCACTCATAGGTGGGAACTGAACAATGAGATCACATGGACACAGGAAGGGGAATATCAGACTCTGGGGACTGTGGTGGGGTGGGGGGAGGGGGGAGGGATAGCATTGGGAGATATACCTAATGCTAGATGACGAGTTAGTGGGTGCAGCGCACCAGCATGGCACATTTATACATATGTAACTAACCTGCACAATGTGCACATGTACCCTAAAACTTAAAGCATAATAAAAAAAAAAAAAGAAATATCTTCAGCCAGATACCCTAAATTATCATTCTCAAGTTCAAACTTCCCAAATCCTTAGGGCATGAGCAGAATGCAGAAAGCTTTTTGCTAAGGCATGACGTGTAACCATTGCTCTAGCTCCCAGTAAATTCCTCATTTCCATCTGAGGCTTCGGCAGCATGGACTTCACTGTCCATATCACTATCAGCATTTGGTCACAAGCATTCAACTAGTTTCAAGCTTCAAAATTCCTTTCATCTTCCTGTCTTCTTCTGAGCTTTCCAAACTCTTCCTACCTCTGCCTGTTACCCAGTACCAAAGTTGCTTCCATATTTTTAGGTATTTTTATAGCAAAGTCCCAGCCTTCTGTGCCAATTTTTTCAGTTAGTCCATTCTTACATTGCTATAAAGAACTACCTGGGACTGGGTAATATATAAATAAAAGAGGTTTAATTGGCCCACAGTTATACAAGCTTTATAGGAAGCATGGTGGGTGCTAGCATCTCCTAGGTTTCTGGAGAGGCCTTGGGAAGCTTACAATCATGGAGAAAGACAAAGCAAGAACAAGCACTAAACGTGGCAAAAGAAGTAGCAAAAGAGAAAGACAGTGGGGGGAGGTGCCACAAACTTTTAAATGACTAGATCTCTTGAGAACTCACTCACTATTACAAGGTCAGTATCAAGCTGTGAAGGGTCTGCCCTCACTACCAAACCACCTCCAACCAGACCCCACCTTCATCCTTGGGGACAAATATCCAGACCATATCAACTATATAATTCCTGATGTGGCTTTTTTCATCCTACATTTCCCACACCATCATCTCTGATCTTAATTTAAAGGTATAGATAAGGCTCAGGCAGATATGTATTGATATTATATATTTTATTATGCAGCACATTTTAGAGCAAAGGTTAATAACCATAAGGATTATTGTTTTAAAAAGTGCGTGCAATAGTCTTCTTCCCTATATTTATGCTGTTGGATATTGTCTTCATCCACAATGCTCTACTGCATTGCCACATGACTTGTTTTGGCCAATGGGACAGTAACACATGCCACATAAGCACAGACTTGAAAATAACTTGTACTTTGGATTCTACCTTCTCTTGCTGCTCTTGGAACACTTTGGCCATGATGTGAAACAACCAAGCCTAACTTATTGCATGGTTAGAAACCACAGATTGCAAATCAGTCACCCCAGCTGAGGTCCCTAGACCAAACAACCTACCAACTAAAGACATATGAAGACAGTTATGCAGATCATGCAGCCACAAACTGACCTGCTAGCTGACCACAGACACACACGTGAAAGAATGCAGTGGAAAGTAAACACAGACCATAGTCCAGTCAACCCAAAGTATCAGAATCTATCTAAAATGATTGGTCTTTTAAGCCACTAAATTTTGGGTAGTCGATTATACAGCAAAAGCCAGCTGATGAAGTAAATAACATAGTAAAAAGTATTATAAAAATGGATATATTATATAGATATAGTTAACTACTATTTACCATTCTACATCTTCCAGATCTTAGAAGTAAAATATATTAAAATATGTAATATAATTTGCAATAATGAGACCTTTTTAAAAGGTACTTTAGTACCTATGTTTAATGTTATTTTCCAGAAATGAAATATAGGTCTTCCAATACTATTATTAGTATTTATTCTTTGAATGGGAACATGTGCCTTTTTGTAGCAGCAAGAAAATTACTACAACAGAAACTTATGCTATTTTGTTTTTATTACATTTGTTATAATGACATATTGAAGTACAAATAAGAAAATGATTTGGATATTGTTTATCTTCTTAATATTATTCATTTAGAAAAATATAAGACTGTAAGACAAAAAGCAATAATATTAGAAAGTAATAAATAACCCAATTTATTACAATTTTTACATAGAGTTTCTTTATCCACTCATTGATTGATGAGCATTTGAGTTGGTTCCATGTTTTCGCAATTGTGAATTGTGCTGCTATAAACATGTGTGAATAAGTATCTTTTACATATAATGCCTTCTTTTCCTCTTTGTAGATACCCAATAGTGGATTGCTGGATCAAATGATAGTACTTTTAGTTCTTTAAGGAATTTCACAGTTTCCCATAGTGGTTGCACTGGTTTACATTCCCACCAGCAGTGTAAAATTGTTCCCTGTTTATCACATCCATGCCAACATTATTATTTTTTGATTTTTTTTTTTATTATAGCCCTTCTTGCAGGAGTAAAGTGGTATTGCATTGTGGTTTTGGTTTGCATTTCTCTGATCATTAGCGATACTGAGCAATATTTCAAATGTTTGTTGATCATTTGTACATCTTCTTTTGAGAATTGTCTATTCATGTCAGCCCACTTTTTGGTGGAATTTTTGGGTTCTTTTTTTTTTTTTGCTAATTTGTTTGAGTTCATTGTAGATTCTGGGTATTAGTCCTTTGTCATATGTATAGATTGTGAAGATTTTCTCCCACTCTGTGGGTTGTCTTTTACTCTGCTGACTGTTCCTTTTGCTGTGTAGAAGCTCTTTAGTTTAATTAAGTCCCAGCTATTTATCTTTTTTTATTGCATTTTTGGGGGGGGGGTTCTTGGCCATGAAATCCGTGCCTAAGCCAATGTCTAGAAGGGTTTTTCCAATGTTACCTTCTAGAATTTTTATAGTTTCAGGTCTTAGATTTAAGCCATTGATCATCTTTATTTTTTAATCCAGAACTTAAAAGACATTTTCTATGTGTGAGGTACATTTCTAAATGTTTTACAAATATTACACCATGCAATCCTAATAACCAGGTATTATTGCTTGTATTTTCAGAGATTATAAATATTGAAGCACGAAGGGATTTGATACCTTCCCTAAGGTCTTAAACTGAAAAAAACAAAACAAAACAAAACAAAAACAAACAAAAAAAAACAACTAGAATTCAAATACAGGTCATCTTGCTGCAGGCCGTAACATGAAGAAACCTAGCCTGCTGCCATGGTAAGGAACCACAGAGTACCAAATGATTATGTTATGCTGTTTCTAGATGCCTTAAGAAAGCCCTTTTTAATCATCTACTCAGGGATGGCAGATGCCCCTTGTACATATTTTCAAAGCTGTCTGCATCTTTGCTTCATAACTTTATCATAATTTGACTTATGTTTACTGTGGTTCTTTCCAACAATTATCTGGGAATTCTAGAAGTGAAGTTACAATCTTCACTACAAACAGGAATTAAATACATATTTTTGAAAAAGAATTTCATAATTGTTAATTAACTTTACAATTTTTAATGCAAATTTATTCAAAAGAATGTTTACATCTGTTTCTTATTATTATCAATTGATCTATCTTTCATAGAAATCCACCTTACATACACCTTAAAATGTATATACTTGGCCAGCTGTATTATCCAGCACCATGATGCTTTTATTTCTAGGACCACTCCATATATTTATAGAAAAAAAAGTATATTTGGTTGATTTACTATAACAACTCGTTAGTTAAGTTTGAGACACAGAGAACTGTGATTTATGTCTTTGATGGAATACTATTTTCAGCCACAAGTATTAAAAATAGGACATTTTTGCATCTAAAAATTACTTGAAATAATAAGATAAAAACAGGTATTACAACTTAAATTTGTCCATCTACCACTGAAACAGGGAAATAAACAGAAATCTATGCTTGCCATTAGTACATGTACATATGTTCACAAGAGGTTCAATCTAATCTTAGGATAATTTTTCCAGTAATATTTTATATTTATAGTATATTGAGTTATATTCAAAAGTATAGTGCAGAAAACTTACTATTAGGATATTTTGTAACTTTATGTTTAAAATAGGTTAACATGGTTTTCTTACATTGGGTCCTCAAAATAATACCAAATGTAGTAAATTTAGAAGAAGTTGTATAAACATTAGAAGTAGTTCTCAATAAGCAAGTAGAAGTTTCTCATTTTTTTCCTCTGCAGTTGAGATTATGTAATGATGTATTTTAAATATTTTGTAACATCCATATGCCAGGTACCCTGCTAGTGATTCCAAAATCAAATGTCTTTCATATTTTTCTTGTGTAGTTTGTGTGTATAAAACATTAACAGCAATATTTAAAGATAATATTTGTAGTCAAAGTATGGGTCATTAGAAGTTTGAGAAATTTTTTTCCATTTCCTACACAGACATGAATAATATTTCAATAAATGATAAAAATAAGATAATAAAAATTATAGAAATATCTCACTATGGAAGAAATAAACTAATTTCTAATTTACACTAATATTGTTCAATATTGGAAAAAGGAAAAATAACATGTAACAGCAAGGAGGCATTATAATGACTATGCATGATTTACAAGTTACATTCACTGAATTATGAAAAGCATAAGTACAATGTAATTCTAAGCCTTGGGTAAAGATGGGAGAAAAAAGTAGAATAATAGGTGTGTATGGTAAAGTAGACAAAAAGAGATGGTTGTTTCTTTGAAATTTTAAAGCAATACTAAGAGCAACATTATTATTCATCCTCTGGGACAATGAAGTAGATGTAATCTTTCTTACTTCCTCTGTTAAGTACAGCTAAAAACACCGGAACTTAACAATAATAAATAAATTCAGAGTCTTCTTAAATGTCTTTTAAATCATTATTTATAATTATTAATTACACGAATTAATTTATATATAAATAAATAATAATTTAAAAGTCACTTAAGACTCTGAAACGTGGAGAGAAGTTGGACCCACTAGAGACTTGGATCCAAAGGAATGACATAGTGGTGAGCCCACTGGATTTTTTTTTTTTCATCATATATGAAAATCCTGAAATTGAGGAAACCAGCAATCTGGAAACATCAATGAGAACAGATAGAGAAATATCCCCCAAGAAAGCCTCCTTTTTTTGAAGCAAAAGGGCCAAGAAAGAGGTAGCATAGCAGGAGAGACAACTTTTAGAGAATAACATCCTTACTCAGGTAAACAACACAGAAAATATCTATGGCCCAACTTCCATCCTTGAAAAAAAAATCAAGTGGGGCACCTACAATTTTACCCTTGCAAGGCTATAAGTAGACGCTCTGACTTCATCTCTGTGACAGTGTTAGAAATAAATAATCCATGGGTTAAAGAAAAAAAATATTAGATAAAATTTCTAAAAATTACATTAAAGTGAATATAAATGAAAATAAAACATTAACATTTGTTGAATGAAGCTAAAGCACCAAAGAGCAGAAAACCTATGCATATATTAGAACACAAGTCTCCAATTCAAAATATAAGGTCTCATGACAGTGCCTAGAAAAGAAAAAGAGCAAAATAAATCTAAAGGAAGCATAACTTGCTTTATATGTATTTTCTTGTAACTCTATTGTTATGCACCTTGACTATTAAATGCTAATATCCTGGATGCGATACTGTACTACAGTTTTACAGGATGTTACCATTGAGGCACATTGGGTAAAGGGTATTCTCTCAGTATTACTTCTTATAAATACATGTTAGTTTTACAACAATCCTCATTTTTAAAATAAAAATAAATATAAAAAAGAGCAAAAACCCCAGCTACTCAGGTAATTGTTATTATTCAATATTGACTTCCATTTTTATGTTGAAATAAAAATTGATTTCTATTTGAAATTTACCACACAGCTGGAAGTGGATCCCACCAACATAGTTTCCATAAAATTATCTATTCTCTTTGGTGTTCATCTTAATTCTGGGGAACATTTTGTTAGATGTCTTGGGTTCTGTTTACTCCCTTTGGTCCAACATTCATCAGAGACACATTTCTAAAACAAAAAAAAAATTGAATAAATAAATAGAAACTTAGATCATTTCGATATTTGAACAAACAAAACAAACCAAAAGTCTAATTTGAGTAGAAAAGCAAATTACAAAAGAAATTTTCCATAAAATATCACCAATTAATTTTACATTTAAAACCTATACTCTATATTGGTTTTGACCCATATATTTAGTACAGTTAGTGAAACGCATAAGAAATGTAAACATCAGACTTAGACTAGTAGTTTTGTGACAAGATGGGGGAAGGAAGTTGATGGATTAGGAGATAAATCTGTATATTTAACATTGTTGTTCTCTGAAAAATGGCAGAATTTTCACTTTACTACCTTTTTGCAAACTGGTGTAAAAATATGTTAGTATTTATTGTATTATTAGTTCTATATATTTGAATCATAAATATTAACTCAAAAGTTTTTTTAAAAAGTCCTTAGTATCTTTATTATTGGTGCAGGATTTCTTTTTGGTGCTGCTTTGTCAGCTGGAGGCCAATGTGGCTGGCAACGTGTCCGCTCAGGACTCACTCAGGCCGTGGCTTGCCACAAGAGGTGCCTTGCTGACTCGGCCCCCCAGACTGTGCCCATCTTGCGCTCCAGCATGGATCCTGTGGCCACTACAACTGTGCGCTCAGCCTGTGGTGGTAGTGGGTGTGTGAGCATGTGAGTGCAGGGTCCAGTCGGCCACTCCAAGCACTGGCATAGGAGTGGGCTCTGTGCAGGACTTGTGGCTGGATCAGGCATGCCACAAGCAACTCCCATGGGGGATGCTGGCATCCAGACAAGGGGAACACAGCAGCACCCGAACAGGGATGCCAGTGACCTCAAAGCCCCAAAGTGGGTGTTACAACATGCTAACTGCTCTTTCAGTCCCACTGCTCCACTCTGGCCCACGACTCCAGGATTGGCCTGGAACCACTGCTGCTTCCCATCATGTGGAGTGGCTGCTGGGTTCTGGCAGAGGACAGAGAGCCACAGTGTTACAGCCTTTTTTGTACCTGCACTCGATGGGTCTCAAGTTCTTGTCCTGTGTCCAAAAAGAATGAGGTTACACTGACAATTGAAAGGTGAGAAGGGCAGAGAAGAGTTTTATTGAGTGACAGAACAGCTCACAGTGGAGAAGCAGGTGGTCCCTTGATCAAAGGCAGCTAGTCTCTCTCCAAGTATGGCTGAGTCTGGGGCTTTTATGGGCTCATAATGAGAGAGTGTGTGCTGATTGTTCTGTGAGTATGCAAGAAAGACACCACTCAAAGGAGGACATGATAGTGTTAAAAACCAATTAGAGACAGGTAGGTATATGTAAAATAGGTGAAGGATGGGGATCAAATTGAGGAAAGCTCACCAAACTGGAAGAGAGGTTCCCAATGTAGTCTAGAGATTCATCCGAGACTTGTGGCTTGGTTTTCAGGCTTTAAACTGTCTTTGGCTTGAAGGTGGTGTTTCACCAGGGACCCACCTCTATCTGCCTAGGCATTTGATTACCTCCTGTCACTAACATTATTTGCTATTTATTATTATTATCTCTATTATATATTAACACTTATTATCTTAAAAATTTGAAGCCTTTATTAGTGCACACATGATGTGTCTCCATCTGACCTGAGTTCACCCTCCAGTTTCTCCCCCAACCTTTCTAAAGCTTGTCCATTCCTGGATATTAACCTCTAATACAATGAAGAAATAAATTATTAATTTATATGATAAAGTTTGCTTCCTGTACCTTTATCTTTTTTTGTTTCTTTGCTTTACTATCAAAACAATTTATTCCATTGCAACTTTTATTAAATCCTCTATTAATAAGAACTATCCTACAGCTGAAACTTTTGAATGTGGCAAGAATTTCTGACACTCCTCTTCCCAACACATTGTGTTATTAATATTCATCAATATTAATGTTATAGTGAATGTCAACATAAAGTGTTCTGGGCTAGAACCAGATTAATTATTATTATTTACATTTTAATAACTATTGGTCCTTTCTGCCTTAATTTTTATGTTTAGTATGATATGAGGAAAGCCAAATGAACAAATCTCTTATGTAAATGGTCAGATCCTTCTTATGCAAGAGAAAAATAATAAAAAATGAATTGTTCTTTGCTTTTAGAAGACAAAAAGACTATTCTATCTCCTCATTTTCTGAGAGTGCTTCTTGGAAAAGTACAGAGAATAGATCCTTACTCCACTCCTTTGGTAAGAAAATAAATTTTCCAAAGGGCTGATAAGTCCAGTATCTGCAGCCAGATTTGTCTCCAAAGTAATGGGCCTCATTTGCCCTTGAAATATAAACAAATATCTTTGGAGTTAGCTAAATTTCCAAGGAGTTCTTTCACTATGAATACAGCTGCAAATTAACTTGCAAGTCTGGCTATAAGACCAAGATTCCACTTTTTCAGGAAAATGTTTTGAGAAAGCCATGACTGTGCAGACACGCAAAAATATTTTCTCAACACTCAATTTCAAACCAGGAAAACTAAATCTTAAGTTTTTTAAAAGAAAAACCTTAGACGAATTAGGTTTCACAGAGTTTAACTGAGCAAAAAATGATTGGAGAATTGAGCAGGTCCTTATCCAGAATAGGTTCAAAGAGACTCCAGGGTTTCCACATGGTTGAAGAATTATGAATAGAAAAAGAAAACTGACATACACAAAACAGAGACAGCCAGACTGCTTACTGCTCAGCTTTGCCTTATTTGAACACAATTTGAGCCTCTGATCAGCTGAAACATGGCGATTGGCCCAAGAGAAAGTTACAGTCTGTTTATACATCCAGTTAAGTTACAGTTCACTAAATACAGAGAAACCTTTAAGCCAAACTTAAAATATGTAAGGAGGCAGGTGTAGGCTAAACTTAACATGTTTAAAGGAAGGAATGGAAAATCATAAACTGAGCCTATAACACATTGATACTTACTCTCTTAAAGTTCTTGGCCGGGCCTGAGAATTAAATTGACATATAAGAGAGATAAGAGGAGAAAAACATCCACGTTTAATATATGTTTACATGACATAGAACCACTCACAAGAGAATGAAGATCCAAAAAAGTGGCAAAACCCAAGAGATTTTATATTATATGGAATAAAGAGATGCAACTGTTGAAAATTAACTAAATTATGTGGGGAGGATAAAGGAAAAGAGGAATTATCTTAACAAAGTTTGATTGTGCCGAAGTCTCTTGACCATGACTTCCCCTTGAAGAATGTTTTCTCCTAATACAGGAAGGGCATCTTTCACATGGGAAATTTCATCTGTTTTCAAGAAGCAACGGGGAAATTAGAATGCCCTTCTTGCATCTGTTGTTTTTCAAATGTCTTTAGTTCAAAATATTTCTTATACAAAACAGTATATTTTTGCAGGCATATTTGGCCACATTTTATTGTGTATAAAAGCACTTTTTGAAGAGATTGCATAACAATGATAATTGTACATGCTTGGAAACATTTGGAAGTGGACTAGGTCTCTTATAAGGCTAACTTGGTGTGCTTATTATTGTCTGGTTTCATTTCCCTATCTCGGGATGGCATCTTGTAATACTTCTTTTCATTCCATTTCCTTTATAGACCCAAGGATGCTACCTGTTTTCATCTCCTTTGCAGGCGTACCTCATTCTGTACCTTTTCTTAGGGCTCCTATCTCTTCAAAATTTACTACATTACTAGGGTACAATCTCTCTCACATCCTGAAATAAAACATCAAAGATTTTTTCACTGATTACTACAAAGAAATAAAGAAGGCAACCGGGCACAGTGGCTCACACCTGTTATCCCAGCATTTTAGGAGGCTGAGGCAGGTGGATCACCTGAGGTCAGGAGTTCGAGACCAGCCTGGTCAACATAGTGAAACCCCATCTCTACTAAAAATGCAAAAATTAGCTGGGTATGGTGGCATGTGCCTGTAATCCCAGCTGCTTGGGAGACTGAGACAGAATAGCTTGAACCCGGAAGACAGAGGTTGGTTGCAGTGAGCTGAGATTGCCCCATTGCACTCCAGCCTGGGCAAGAGAGCAAGACTCTATCTCAAAAAAAAAAAAAAAAAAGAAAGAAAAGAAAAGAAAAAGAAATAAAGAAGGCAACAGTTAAATAAAGAAAGGATATCTAAAGAAGTTACGTATTGGATATTTGTTTCTGTTTGTTTGTTTGCTTATTTGGTTAAGCATTACTTAAGTGCCACTTCCTCCTTCTTATGGTCTTGTTGGGGCTGTCAGAATTGGGACCCAAGATTCATGTTTAATGACAATTGAATTCAGCATAATCGCTGAAATGAGAAGTAAGACAAGGTATGAATATGACCAGTGATTTAATTATTAAATTTATTTGAAATATAAATATATAAAAGCAATAAGATAAAGTATGAACATGACCAATAATGCAATTATTTCATTTACCTGCAATATAAATACATAAAAGGAGTAAGGCAAATTATGAATATAGGCCAGGTGTGGGTGGCTTATGTCTGGAATCCCAGCACTTTGGGAGGCTGAGGTGGGAGGATTGCTTGAGGCCAGAAGTTTGAGACCAGGTTGGGCAACATAGCAAGACCCCCATCTCCATTAAATTTTTTTTAAAATTATGAATATAACCAATGATGTAGTTATTTCTTTTATCTGAAATATATATATGTGTGTGTGTATATAAATAATTTTAAAGTTTATTTGCAAACTGATTCAATCAATCTGTAATATTAAATTATGAGCTAGATATTCTTTAAAATGATACGTTTTTAGATTGACTAAAAGACTACATATACAGGCCTTATGGGCTTTATTTTTGCTCCAGGAATATTTCTGGAAATTAATATAAAATAAAACTATAGGCATAAGAGTGGTGTGATGTAGAGAGGAGGGAAAGAAGTGCACACACCTTTAAACAGGTCCTAGCATGAGATTAATGTTAGCTTCAAAGAAGTTCCATGCTCAGATACAATCTGCAAGATATACAACAAGAGAAGAACAGCTGGGCACCCACAGGGACCCAAATTTATACCAACTGAGTGACACACAACTCTAGTAAAAATGCAGCTGATATGCACAGGAAAATTCTAAATACAATTTACTTTGTGGTTTTAGAACAACTGTAAATATTTCCATGGAATAGGAAAAAAAATCTAATTTTGCCAACTAGACTCAAATTAATCTCATAATTTTACATTTTATTCACTATACTAATTAAAGTATCCTAGTTAAAAAACATAAAAATGTTTATAGATTACCTAACATGCAAAAATGTGTAAAAATTAAAAAACAAACTAGAAACTATCAAAATCTAAAAAGTAATTTTATCTTGTGATTCTTTATGCAGCTCTGGGGTTCTGGATATTTATCAAAATTTTTTTACCCCTAGCTTTAAGTATAATTAAAATTTCTGTCTTTATCATTCAATAAATAACTATCTGCCTTTGTCTTTTACTTAAATTGGCTGGAGGAAGCATTTGACAGAACAACTGGTTGACCATTTATCCATTCAATTAATTGCACTGGCACTGTCATAACTTGAGGTAGCAAAATCTATTGGGTGGCACAAAAACCTCTTTATATGTCGAATTCCTAGCTAGCGTAGTTGATCAAAATTGCGTTTCTATGATGTCAAAATAGCTCCATGCAAAGTGAAAATTTTAATTACCTGTAAATTACATCCCTTATATATTAATAGATATCCATAATTTTAGGACTAAGGGTATACAGTGAAGCTTGACTTTGTGTTTTGTAGCCACCAAAACTTTCTAACACCCTTTATATATTTGTAGAAATAACGAGCTGAGTCCATGCCTTCCCAAAATACAGGCCAGAAAATTACTTTGCATATTTCACAGGTGTGTGAACTGGCTTCTGTAATCTCATCAGTGAGTGAGATTTTGAGTCAGAAGCAACAGTGGAGCTCATTCTGGTAAAAGTGGGGGAAGAAACTCTCCTTTTTCTGTTTTAAAAAATTATTATTTTGTAGAGTCAGAATCTCGCTATGTTACCATGGCTCGTCTTGAACTCCTGGGCTCAAGCAATCCTCTCACCTTAGCTTCCCAAAGTGCTGGTATTACAGCAATGAGCCACGGCCCAGCCGATGTGCCTCTTTCAGACACAGCAGTGGCAGAGACAGAAATGGTGCCATTTGGTTCCCAGTAGCAATGATGTTCTTGTAGTGGCAATGGAGTATTATTCCCAGCTAGGGAGGCTCTATAATTCTCATGACTTCATGGTGATAAGGTATATTACATAATATCCTTCTATATGTTTCCTTTTTTGTTAACAAATTAGAATAGGTTTTGTTTCTTATGACTAAGAAATTGATTGAGTAGACACATCTAATATACTTCTCTTATTATACACAGAAAAAAAGTGGGACTGATTTTATTTTACCCATTTAACAGGCAGGAACAAACAAAATCAGGATTAGGGCCATGTCTTTCAAATGCTAATTCTGTATATTCCCATGAAAATAACACACATAATGTTTTTTGTTTGTTTTTAATCCAGGTGCTTTTAAATATCTAAATATCTGGATATCTTACTTAACACTTTCAAAATAAATTTATAATGTTGTTACTTTGCTTATTTTGTCTTATTAACATAGTTAAAATTGATAAAGAAATAAATTCCTTTGTGGCTTCAAAGCTACAAAGAAAGAAATAGACCATATTTCTTAGCAGTTATGCCAGTGAAAGCTGATCAGACTTATAATGATTTGCTACATAAAGAAGCAGGCTAGGTTTGCCTATTTATTCAATAGACAGATATGGGGAGGGGGGGTTATCTACTTTCCATTACTCTCTGGGCCTTTTAAAAAATGTTATGGTAAAATGATCCAAAAAAATGTTTCCTTTGGGTCCACAGTTACTACACTTTAAAGCTATTATTTCTTTAAAGAGAAATGATAAACTACAGGACATTTTTATAGGCTCAAATCGTCCTTCTCAATAAAATGTGACTTGTTCCCCTGACCTGAAGGTCAGTGTATTGGGTCTTTTTAAAGCTATGGATGAATGAATTTTTGAACTAAGAATCATATTATGGTAAGCATCTTTCTCCTTGAATACTTCTCATTCAGCTCTCAGCTCTCTAATTCAAGGAATATTAGATTAGAAACACTCAAAATTCTCAAAGGTTATAGCTGCATATGTGAAGAAAAATGATCTTAAAGATAGCTAAGGACTAAGCTACATATCAAAACTAACACTTGAACTGCTCTGAGAAGCAAAATGGCTGCCCCCACACTCTTTAAAGCAAGTAATATAACTCACAGGGGAGACATGATTAAAGAAATCACATATATCATGGCCATAGCAGTCCAAAATGTCCTTTTAGGATTGCCCCCAAGGTATAAATTGCAGGAATTTATTATTCAGATTTAAGTCACAGGAAATGTAGATTTTGCCTCTTACATTTAAAAGCATAATTCATAGTATTTATACATCTACAATATTCAGGATTGTTTTTTCTAATTTCTTAGTTTATTAGTTATTTCTTTTATAAATATTTATCATGATTATACTGCTTAAATTGCCATGTTAGCAACTAGGGGGTCTAAGTGAATTGATATAGACAAAGACCCTTTATTCATGGATCTTACATTCCAGTGAAGAACAACAAAATTGAAAAATATACATGATACTATGATTATAGTTGGAGAAAGGTAATATGGAAACAAATAAATGTGGACCTAATACAGGCCATTGTATTTAAACAAAATTTCCATACAGATGTAATGTTTGCACTAAGACCCAAACTGTGAATGAGATTTAGCTGGATAAAAAAATAGGGGAAAGAAAAGGACACATTCAAATTGTGCTTCATATTAGGCACGACTTTGAAATCTGGTAAATTGATTTTATGACATGACAAGTCATGTGGCTACGTGGCTTTTACTTTTCCTGGCTTATTTCTTATATTTATTTCATTGTAGTAACCATTTTTTTGCATTCTTCCTTTTAAATATTTCTGAAATCTTTTTAGTTTTCCTTCTCCAGTGCCATTGCTTTGGTTAAGATTATATGATTTCTTGCTGGACTTACTGTATCGATCTTCCAATTGATCTTTCCATTCTGGGCTTTCAGCTCCCAGTTACATCTCCTTCTCCATTCTCAGTTCATCTTTCACACGGCTACTAGTGGAAATATTTTAAAAATGTATTGACGTGATCAATGTTCACTGTTACTTAAGATGCCTCAACACCACGCCAAACGTATTCGCCCAGGCTGGAGTGCAAAGGTGCAATCTCTGGTCACTGCAACCTCTGCCTCCCGGGTTCAAGTGATTCTCCCACCTCAGCCCCCCTGAGTAGCTGGAATTCCAGGTGTGTGCCACCACGTGTAGATAGCTTTTATATTTTTTGTCTTGCTATGTTGCCCAGGCTAGTCTTGAACTCCTGACCTCAAGAAATCAGCCCATCTCTGTCTCCCAAAGTGCTGGGATTATAGGTGTGAGCCACTGTGCCAGCCCAGGCTCTATGTCTAATTCTAGTTCTCTTGCTATTTTTACCACATCTGCAGTTGCTTCCTCCTCTGAAGTCTTGAACCCTTCAAAGTCATTCATGAGGTTTGGAATCAACTTCTTCCAAATTCCTATTAATGTTGATATTTGGACCTCCTTTCATGAATCATGAATGTTATTAATAACATCTAGAATGGTGAATTTTTTCCAGAAGGCTTTAAATTTACTTTTCTCAGATCCATTAAAAGAATTACTGTCTATGGCAGCTACAGCGTTACAAAATGTGTTCTTTAAATAATAAGACATATACACTATGGAATACTACATAGCCATGAAAAAGAATGAGATCATGTCCTTTGCAGGGACATGGATGGAGCTGGATACCATTATCCTTAGCAAACTAACAAAGGAATGAAAAACTAAATACTGCATGTTCTTACTTATAAGTGGGAGCTAAATAATGAGAACACATGGACACATAGAGGGAGGGGAAAAACATACACTGGGGCCTTTCAGCGGGTGGAAGCTGGGAGGTGGAAGAGGATCAGGAAAAGTAACTAATGGGTAGGCTTAATACCTGGGTGATGAAATAATCTGTACAACAAGTTCCTATGGCATAAGTTTAGCTATGTTACAAACCTGTACTTAACCCTGAACTTAAAATAAAAGTTAAAAGAATTTTTAAAAATTAAGTTTTAAACAATTTTATACTTAAAGACTTGAAATCTGACATTATTTCTTAATCCATGGGCTATAGAATGGAGGTTTTATTAGTAGGCATGAAAACAAAATTAATCTCCTTGTGCATCTCCATCACAGTTTCTGGGTGACCAGGTACATTGTCAGTGCACAGTAATATTTTGAAAGGAATATTTTTTTCTGAGCAGTAGACCTCAACAATGGGCTTAAAATAATTAGTAAATCACGTTGTAAACAAACGTACTGTCATCAGGCTTTGTTCTATTTAATAAACACAGAGAGAGTATATTTTAGCATAATTCCTAAGGGCCCTAGGATTTTTCAGAATGGTAAATGAGCATTGGCTGAATTAGCCCCTAACTAAAGAGTCAGTCTGTTTTTTTAAGCATTAAATCCAGGCATCCACTTATCTTTTAGATAAGCTAGAAAGTCCTAGATGGCATCTTCTTCCCATAGAAGGCTGTTTTGTCCACATTAAATATCTGTTGTTTAGTGTAGCTGCCGTCATAAAATATCTTAGCTAGATTGCTTGGATAACTTGCTGTAGAGCTTCTCTACCAGCATTTGCTAATTCATCTTATACTTTATATTATAGAAATCATTTATTTTCTTAAAATTTAAGAACCAGCCTCTGCTAGCTTCCAACCTTTCTTCGGAAGCTTTCTCACCTCTCTGGAAGACACAGAATTGAAGAGAGTTAGGGTCTTTCTCCAGATTAGGTTTGAGTTTATGGGAATGTTGTGGCTGGTTTAATCTCCTATCCAGACACCTAAAACTAATTTTCCATATCAACAATAAAGCTATTTTTTTATTTTACTATTTCTGTCTTCACTACATTAGCACATTTATTTTCTTTCAAGAAATTTTTCTTTGTATTTACAACTTGGCTGTTTGACACAAAAGGCATAGCTTTTGGCCTAAGTTTTTGGCATGCCTTCCTCACTAAGCTTCAGTCATTTCTAGCTTTTGATTTAGAGTGAGAGATGTATGACTCTTCCTTTCCCTTGAACACTTGGAGACCAATGTAGGGTTATTAACTGATCTAATTTTAATATTGTTGTGCCTCATGGAATTTGCAGTTCTGAGGAGAGGGAAAGAGATAGGGAAACAGTCAATTACTGGAGAAGTCAAAACACACACAGCATTTATAAGTTAAATTTGCCATCTTATATGAGCATATTTCATGGCTCCCCAAAACAATTACATTAGGAAGAGCTAAGATCACTGATCACAGATCACCATAAAAGACATAATAGTAATGAAAAAGTTTGAAATATTGCAATACATAGTAAAATGTAGCAGAGAGACATGAAATAAGCACATGCCGTTGGAAAAATGGTGCTCTTCAACTTGTTTGATGCAGGGTTGTCACAAACGTTGGATTTGTAAAAAACACAGTATCTGATAAATACAATAAAGTAAACTGCAATAAAATAAAGCATGCCTGTAATTTAAAATTATACATATCATATGTAACATTTTATTCTTAAAAACAGTAACTACAGAGATTTTAATGATATCAAATATTTGCACACTTTTCCTATGAGTTGAGTTTATTTTAATGTGCATATTGAACTTTTGAAATATTATTTTGCAACAACCTCAAATGCATGGCATACACTTCACAAATATGAATCAGGCAGACTAGTTTATACACCATGCTCAGCATGCACACAACTGAATTGTTAAATAATTTATACCAACAGCTAGGTGATGAAAATAACTGGCAAATGAAAGCTGTTTTCCTACTCAGATTGCATCTACTGATCCAGATGAAAGAATTGCTGAGAAAAGGGTCTGGCAACATTTTCGTTCCACTTAGAATGTCACCGCCTCCCCTCCCCTCCATTTTTATATTCCTTTTTAGTTCTTGTTTTTAAATGCAAAACAAAATCAATTTAAAAGCAGTAGCTGAAACTTTTATAATCCTGGATTTTTTTTGTAATATGTAAAATTCAGTTTATATACGTGTGTGTGTATGTTTTCGTGTGTATGTGTGTGTGTGTAAACCAGACGGTATTTCACCATTACTTTGCTCATTGTCTTTATAGTATTTTTGGCACAAGGATACATCCAATACTTGTTAATTGAATTTGTTAGGCTTACATATATTGTTTACATTGTTAGAAATATTTTTAATTCCTATTTGAGTGATTCTGATACAACTTAGCTCTTTCCCAAGCTCCTTTCCAAGCTCTGTTCAGAGAATACTTATTTACTTGGTATTAGGACATTCTTCGGCAGAGAAGTGGGCCTGTCTTGAGTTCATACATCAGTGTGAAGGGCACAGTAGGGAATACTGTGGAAAAACAAAATTTAAGATGGTAGATTTCTGCTTCTGAGCACCATAAAATATAGGGTCTAGACTTAAACTCATTAAACTCAAATGCAAACAAACAAAACATCAAAACAAAATATATAAAGTAATAGGTTTCAGTCTGTAGATAACAAGGTTCTTTCTGTGAACCTCAAGAGAAGGAAATGAGTTTGGAAGGCACTACAGCTTTCTCAGATGTCTGCCTGCAGACATATTTTTGGCTCCTGGAGCACAAAACAATGTTCTCAAATGAGATCAGGCACATTTGGGTGGTATGGCCTTAGACTAAAACAGTGATCTCAGAGAGAGTCTACTAATATATTTGGTTGAGATGACAGAAATAAAAGTTTAGGAAGGCTGTAGTGTATGAACTTTGGAGGAAGAAGTTCTGGAAAGATTAAATGTACCCAGAAAATGTTTCGGATATCTTCATAGAGGTCCTCTTGTATCTTTGTTGGACACTAAGTTCTCTGTGTGTATGGTGAAATTCTATAAGGTCAGGCAAAAATGACAAGGAAACTATGAGTTGAGTAATTCCCAAAGGTTACAGAGAGCATGTAGATATTTGAGCTCCATCCTTATGGTTTATCCAGGGCATTTAATAGAGAAACTAGAAGGGTACCAGCTTGGTAGAAGTGCAAAACTATACAAAGTAAAGTTTTATTGAAACAGTAAAACAAAGCATGGCACAAAGCTTCCAAATGGTTACACTGGTAAGCAAATAAATTCATTGCACACAAAAACAAACTTCAATGCTCTTTAAAGGAATATAGCAATTCAGACACTTCACAATGTACCTTGTGGCTATATTCATGAGGCAGGATCAATTCCTGCTACTCAAAATTAATTCACAAGTCAAGGCTGATGATGTCACACATGCACCAAGAGAGTATATAAATATTTATTGGCTCTGGTAATTTGAATCTCAGTATCCACTGAATGTTTGCCAATTGGTACATCTTAGCACTTGTTAGGAGTTAATTGATATAACTTCTGTTGTAGAAGCACAAAATCAATTGAGAAAAAAAAGATCAACAATTGTCCTGTCGTCAAGAAATACCTGTTGACCTTGTTAGCATTCACAATGTTAAGTGGTGTTAAGAGGGTAAAGAGGTATTTACTGATAATGGGACAACGGTTAATGTCTTTTTTGTTAGATCCATTTTGAGTATTTTGTATGTCCTGAATGAGTGTGGCAAGTGAACCTCCTTGGAGAAGAATGTCATCAATGTAATGTCATATTTATGTTTTTGTAGAAAGTGAGGTGCAATAATTTAAACCACATTATTGATCAAGACCTTGAAGATTGGCTGATTGGTACATTTATAGCAAGTTAGAGTTAAGTTAGATTATCTATATTGTAGAGGCACAAAAGTCAGTTATCTTGATAAAGAAACAGTTGGAAGCATCACACATTATGATTTTAAATTATACCACAAAACAATAGTAATAAAAACAGTATGGCACTGGCATAAAAACAAATACATAGAACAATGAAACAGAATAGGGAGCCCAGAAACAAACTCAAGTGTATATGGTCAGTTAATCTTCAATAAAGCCACTAAGAAGACACAATGGATGAAAACATCTCTTATTGAAAAATTGTGTTGGAAAAACTGGATATCTATATGAAAAGAATGAAACTGAATACTTATCTTATCCATATACAAAAATTAACTCAAAATGGATTAAAGATATAAACCTAAGACTTGAAACCTTAAAATTCCTAGAAGAAAACATAGGAAAAAAGCTCCTTGGTGTTGGCCTTGGCAACAATTTTTGATCCCCAAATGACCCTAAAAGCACAGGCAACAAAGCAAGAGTAAACAAGTTAGACTACATCAAACTAAACGGTTTTCTTTTTACAGCAAAGGAAATAATCAATAAAGTGAAAAGGCAGCCCACAGAGTAAGAGAAGATACCTGTAAACCATATATCAGATAACGGATTAATGTCCAAAAAGTGTAAGTAACTCACACAGCTCCACAGCAAATAACCAAAGGCTAACAATCTGAAGGGACATTTCTCTGAAGACATAGAAATGGCAAACAGATACACAAAAAGATGTTCAACATCAGGGATTCAACAGGGAAATGCAAATCAAAAGCCACAATGAGATATCACCTCACACTTTTTAGAATTACTACTATAAAAAAAGGCAAGAAATAACAAATGTCAGTGAGGGTATGCAGTAAAAAGAACTCATGTACATTGTTGTTGGAAATGTAGGTTCATGTTGCCATTATATGGAGGTTTCTATAAATAAATTTAAAGTAGAACTACTATATGATCCAGCAATCCTTCTTCTGGTTACTCTGGTTATACAACCAAAAGAAATAAAATCACCACCCCATGAAGATATCCATCACTCAATAGAGATCTAATGTACAGTGCAAGGACTACAGTTAATAATATTGTATTGCGTACTGTTAATTTGCTAAAAGAATGGATTTTAGATATTCTCACCACACAAAAGAAGAGAAAGGTAACTATGTGAGCTGATAAGTAGGTTAATTTACTTGACTTTTGTAATCAGTTAACTACGTATGTATATCAAAACATCATAATGTATTCTTAAATATATAATCGAAACGTCAAATGTCACCTTTAAAATTTTTCTATTACATAAATATTTTTGGTGGATGTTGGATTACCATTGGGGGTCCAATCACAGCCTTCTATTATATAATTAATTAATTATTATATATTTTATCAAATTTATATATTATATTTTATATATATATATAATAGAGAATACTTATTTACTTGATATTAGGACATTCTTCTGCAGAGAAGTGGGCCTGTCTTGAGTTCATACATCAGTGTGAAGGGCACCGTAGGGAATACTGTGGAAAAACAAAATTTAAGATGGCAGATTTCCGCTTCTGAACCCCATAAAATATAGGGTCTAGACTTAAACTCATTAAACTCAAATGTAAACAAATATATATATATATTTGTCTAAGTATATATATATTACATAGAAAGACTAATTATAAAGATCTTGCTCATGCAATTATGATAAATAGATAGACTAATTATAAAGATCTTGCTCATGCAATTATGGAGGCTGAGAAGTCTCATAATTAGCTGTCTGCAAGCCAGAAACCCAGGAGAACAAATGGTGTAATTTTCTTTCTAAGTTCACAAGAAAGCAAATGTCACACTCAAAAACAGTTACACAGAGAGAACTAATTCTTTATTTAAAACAACAGCCTGAGATCGCACCATTGCACTCCAGCCTGGGCGACAGAGCAAGACTCCATCTCAAAAAACAAACAAACAAACAAAAAAAAACGAAAAACAGCAGTAATTCAACTCCAATAATTTAAAAAGAATAATGCATCATGATAATGTACAGTTTATTCCGGGAAGGCAAGGTTGGTTTAGCATTTTAAAATATTCAGTTTTTTGAATAATCATATGAACAAATTAATGTGCAAAGCCGTAAGATTATTTTATAGATTCTTTAATGAAAACAGTTCTTAGCAAACTAAAAGTAGAAGGAAACATGCTCAACCTGGGAAAAAATTATGAAAAGCTCCAGAGCTGAGATCATTTTTAACCATAAAAGACTGAATGCTTTTCCCGTAAGTTTGAGAACAAGTTAAGGTTGTCCATCCTTATCACTTTTAGGCAATATTATGCATTGGGTCTGATTCAGTACTATAAGGAAAGAAATGAAAATAAAAAGCTTACAGAGTAGAAACAAATTAGAACTATCATAATTCAGAGATAACCTGGTTATGCATATAGAAAATCCAAAGGTATTTAACTAAAAAGGTGTAACAACTAAAAATTAAGTTTACGAAGATTCCACAGTAAATGGATATTAGGTTAGAATAAAATAATCAACTTTATTGCTAATGTATTAGAAACAAAAAAATAGAAATTGAAACAAAATAGCAATGAAACAAAATGTATAAAGTTACATTTAGTAAGATAATTTCACAAACAGTATGCTAAAAACTAAAAAAAACCCCATAACTAAGTCAAATTAAAGAACAATTATATAAATAGGTATTCCATGTTCATGCATGAGAAAATTCAATATTGTAATGAAGTTAATTATCTCAAAAACAATCCATGAGAACCACAAAATTCTCAGCATAAATGATTGTCCACACTCATTCTCCACACCCTGCATTAACAGACTTGACCAAACTCTAGGGTGACTTCTATTGGCCCAAGCTCATTCCTTTAGAATGACCGTATACTCCTTAACGCGCCTGCCTAAAAAAGCCTAACTGCCTAAAGTATTTAGTGTTTGTTCCAGCAAAAACATGATTATAGGCTCCTGACTACCTTTTCCTGAGAGCTTTACTTCAGGAAATTTTCAATTTAAATTCTTTCTTTGCCCCTTTGAGATATAAATTTTCTACAACTCAGGAAACTTCCTTCCTTCATGGCAATGTAGACCTTCTTTTAGCATGCACCTTAAAATATCTCCAGCCTCTAGCCATACCTAGTCCAAAAGCACATCCACATTTTTAGATATTTTTTTACAGCAGCACCCTCACTTCTCATTGCCAGTTTTCTGTCTTGTTTTACATTTCTATAAACAAAAATACCATAGATTACATGGCTTTTAAGCAATAGAATTTTTTTTTCCAGTTCTGTAGGTTAGAAGTCCAGGATCAGGGTACCAGCACGTTCAGGTTTTGGAGAGACCCTTCTTTCAGGTTACAGAACTTGGTCTTCTCACTGTATCCTAACATGGTGAAAAGCAGCTCTCTCAGCACTCTTATAAGAATACTAATCCCATTCACGAGGATCCTGAGCTCATGACCTCATCTGATCCTAATTACTTCCTGTAGGCCCCACCTCCTTTTACCATCACATTGAAGGGTAGGGTTTCAACATATGAAATTGGGGAAGGGATCACAAACATTCAGTCCATAACAACGTAAAAAAAATTCTCGCTGAACAAGATAACACTACAGTGACATTTTGTTTGCAATTAAAAAAAGTAATAAAGATGAATTTGTAATTTCTTTTAAATTCAATTTAGATAAGATTTCTTACATTCTCAAATTTTGATAAGCTTGGAAGGGGTAATAAAAGAGACAGTAGAATTTTTTCAAATCATAAGGGAATAAGAGGATAAAGTTTAATTTAAGAGCTACTTGTTTCGGAAGATTTTTTTCCTAGATGGAGTACATAGATGCTATGGATTCTTTCCTAAGACTTTATTTTTCTATCATAAAATGTACAGCCATTTATAATGACTATTTGTTTATAGTCTCCAATAGAAAGTTAAAAGTTTTGTAAGAATCCATATCTATCTGTCTTGTTAAATCTCCTGCATTCAAGAGGTTCAGACTGTTGAGTAACTATCAGGCAATTAGAACCTGAATGTATGTTGAATGCATGAATTATTAACAGTCATATCCCATAAAAAAAGAAAGAAAAGTAAAAACGATGGATGATAGATTTGTAAATTCACAATCAGTTCTTGGATAAATGACTGTGTGACAGCACATCTTCATCCTATGACTGCCCTTCATCAATTTATGTTGAGTGAAGAAGTGTGGCATAGCTGTGGCTCCATTTTTATTTGCCACTGTGGCTTTAACTTTTTTAAAATCAACATTTCCTTACTTCCCAGAATTCAGGATCCTATATCCAAAACCAAACTCAAACTCTGAATTCTACTCTTCTATCCTTGTTCCTCTCATCATTTGATAAAACATAGAAAAATACTCCTTTGGCATTTTGACTTAAATGTATGAGCATCTCAAATTTAGCAGTAACAAAAACGAATTTAAGATGTGTGCTATGGCCCTCACACTTACTACTTTTTCCTCATGAGTTAATGGAAACTTCATCTTTCATTTTCTAGAGCTAGGACCATGACTCATTCTTGTCTCTACTTTTTCCTTCACATCTCCCATCCAATCTATGAGCAAATACTCTTCATTTTATCTTTAAAATATGTCCAGAGTCTAACGCATTTCCACCTTTGGTCTACTACCACCCTAGCCCAAACACAATAATCTCTCAACTGGATTATTACAATAGCGTGTTGGATGGTCTCCCTTCCACCTTTGCCCTCATAAAACCTACTTCCCAGAGAGCACTAAAATTATCCTATTAAACTGTCAATCAGAACATATCACTCCTCTGTTCAAAACCAGCCAACAGCTTTCATCTCACTCAGAGTCAAAACCTGAATTTCCAACCACGACCTACAAGGCCTTGATGATTAGATTCCCCATTATATCTGTGATCTCATATCCTAATATTCTCCCCTTGCCTCACTCTGTACAAGTCATACAGGCTCTTGGACTCTGTCACTATTTCCTTAACGTGCTAAGCATACTTTGACCTCATTGTTTGTTATTTTTTCTCTCTGGGCTTTTTCCTTAGATGCCTGCCTATTTCAATGCTATACCTCCTGAGATCTCTGCTCAAATTGTATCTTATCAGTGATGCTTTTTTGATGACCCTTTATAAAATATCTCCCATTCCTTTTATTCTCTACTAGTCTAATTGTTCTGTATATTTCCTTTAAAAAGTTTTAAGATTTATGGTATTTAATCCCACTAAAAAGTAATCTTGAGAATGGAGAATTTGTTTGTTTACTGCTGTAAGCAAAGTAACTGGAAAAATGCTGCTACATAGCTGATGTTTTATACTGAATAAATAAATAGTCTCTGATATGATTGGGCTCTGTGTCTCCACCCAAATCTCACCTCAAATTGTAATCTCCATGTGTCAAGGGAGGGACCTGGTGGGAGGTGATTGAATCATGGAGGCAGTTTCTCCCATGCTGTTCTTGCAATAGTGAGTGAGTTCTCAGGAGAGCTGATGGTTTTAAAGTGTGGCACTTTCTTTCTCTCTTGCTCTCTCTCTCCTGTCACCTTGTGAAGAAGGTACCTGCTTCCCCTTTGTCTTCCACCAGGATTGTAAATTACCTGAGGCCTCCCCAGCCATGCGGAACTGTAAGTCAATTAAACTTCTTTTCTTTATAACTTACCCAGGCTCAGGTAGCATCTTAATAGTAGTGTGAAAATGGACTAATATCATCTCTAAGCATCATACAAAGCACCTGTCTATGATATCTATTCAACTAATTGCTTGATGCAAAGTCAATTATGAACTCGACTTAAAATTCCTAGCCTTCATGGGAGAAAACTAGAAGAAAATATGCTGTTACTTTTGCTCTCTATATTCTCTTACTTTGGTTTCTTGGTTCTCTCTTTTCTTTGCTAAAAATGTTAATTTCAAGATAAGTTTACATTTTTTCTTCCGGCCCGTCAGTTCTGTGATATATTATGTATTGTGTTATATCTATAAACAGTAGCAAGTCATGGACATGATGGATACTCTTATTTAGCTGTGTATACCCATTTCCCTATGACTTTACACAAAATGCAATGCTTATGCACTGTAAATCTAAAGGCAATAATGATAATAGAGCCATTGGAATTTGGTTATAAAATTAACAAGTAATAGAAACAGTAAATTTTTGGCTCATTATTCATTCTTTCATTCATTAAAATGTATTGACCTCTCTTGTGTTCCAGCCTCTATGTTGAGTACTGAGATCCAGCATAAAACAGGAGACTTGTTTCCTGCATGAAACCTGCAGTATTCTGAGGATTAAAGATATTAGATCAACAACCAGAGAAAAGAATTATTTAAGTGTTTATGCAAAAAACTGTAGAGAGTCCTATGGAAATACACCAGTGAAATAGAATATGCACAGAATGTGATACACTGTACAAGATAAGTGCACCAAAACCATATATTTGAACTGTGTGACTAGTATATGACAAAGCTAGAGAGATTTGAATTGTGCTTCTAAAATAAAATAATTACTTTGCAACTTGCGATAAAAAAATCCATCAATGGATCAATCAAAACGGCAGTGCTGTCAAATTGTGTAATATAGCTATACTAAAATGTATATATTTTTATACATAATCACAGGAAACACAACTCATAGTCAATTATGTTATCATATTTTCCCATTCAAAAATGTGGTATGAAAGTATTTTGCAAATTCAGTATCAAGTAGATAGTTTGTCAGGTGTTTTTACACCACACAGAATAAATCTTATCTTTGCTAGACAAGAATAAGTGTGCTAGTTCTTTTGTATTTTGACTTTTAAGTTTGAGGCAGAAGTGCCACGGAAATCAACTTCTGACTAGGGGAGATAAAATAAACTCTCCAAAGAGCTGAGCCTGTCAAAGTAGATGAAAAAAACATCTCTCTCGAATGCTCAAATAATAAATGCTGCATACATAAGTAAAATTCAAGAAAGCTTCAGTTCTTCTCACTTTGAAATTAACTTTTCTTGTTCAAGCCAATGCTGGATTTTAGCATCTTTACTTAGTCACCCTGGACAGAAAAAATGTATTTGGATCTATAAATATTAGAGTTTTCATTGATGTGACACTGAATTTCTTTTTACCGTAATGAGGTGGATTCTGGTAGAAAAGAGATGAATGAAGAATACTCAGGATTTGGTTGCTGTGGAAACCAGCAATGTCATTGCCTCGTGATCAGACATCAAACTGATTTTTTTTAACTCAGAGGCATATATCCTGATTTTTGTTACTTACAAGCTAATAATCTACCATATTATTCTTTTGCACTGAATTCCACTTGCTTTATCCCAGGAGTCTCTGAATTACTTACAGTTATATATTAAATAAACTTGAAACCATTTTGTTAGTCAGTTGTGTAAAAAAGAATAACTCTAGGTTGTCAGTGAAGCCCAAAGTTGTATCAGAAAACTGTTTTAAGAAAGGGATGACATAAAAATTTTTGCCTTCAAGCAAGTAGTTTCTGGTTATTATATCTAATCAACATATGCCTATATGTGGACCTGCACACAAATGTGTATAGTGTATGCAATAAGGTGCATTTCTGGAAATACCTATTTTTAGAAACTATTAAACCAGTGAGTCAATAATATCAAGATCCTTTGTATTGATATCGATATTGATATATAAAATAATACAAAACCCTGGTATTAGGGCATTATTGACATTATTACCTGAAAATGAACAGAGAAGATCTCCCTACAAATAAAATAATGTATACTGCATTTTTGCACAGATATTAATATGAAAAAATTTATATCAGTTAAATGAATTTTATACATTAGAAAACATTTTGCATTTAGTCTTTGAAATGTGGAACATCAGTGAAACAAACTCTTGGAAAATGTGTATTACGTCAATAAATTTGAAAGTGTTTTTCTTTCCCCTCCATAATTTGTTTTCTCAGATCCAGGACATAAAATAGCACATCTACTTTATCCCATATAGTATTTATTCTCTACTTGGTCACACATCTTCAAATCTATCCTAAAGTATGTGCCACAAAAGTTGCTTTGGCTATAGATTCCTACGTAAACCTGGACATGTTTTAAAATAATTTCCAGACACAAGCAAACTTGCTTCTAGGTAATGTATTTCTTATTCATTGTCTAAAAATTTAATATGTATTTAATTACAATGATGTTAAATAAAGTCATGGTTGAATGAAACAGAAAGACTTTTCCTTTGTTCTTTTATTTTATATGAAAATTTTCAGGAGGCCGAGGCAGGAGGATCACGAGGTCAGGAGTTCGAGAACAGCCTGGTCAACATAGTGAAACTCTGCCTTTACTAAAAATACAAAATTAGCCGGGTGTGGTGGCACACACCTGTAGTCCCAGATACTCAGGAGGCTGAGGCAAGAGAATCGCTTGTACCCAGGAGGCAGAGGTTGCAGTGAGCTGAGATTGCGCCACTGCACTCCATCCTGGGCGACGGAGTGAGGCTCCGTTTCAAAAAAAAAAATTCATGTTAATACTTGTGTAGGAAAGAAACTAAATATTATAAGATGACTTTAAGAAATTCCCTTTCTCACCATACCTACCTCCTTCTTAATCTTGCTCCCAAACAACAAACTCTTTGATCAGTTTCTACTTTTAGTTTGAATATGAGTTCTAGTTGGGCAGAATCTAAATCTCCTTTCATATTTCATCATGAGTCTGAGAGTGGGGAAAAACACATGTGTAGTGGACAAAAGAAAATCAAAGGTATTCCTGTTCCTTGTCTTAGTGATAACATTAATCTCTCAATTTAGAAACTTGATTGTCATTCAAAATTCTACTCTTTCTCATGCCCCACATCCAATCTATGACTGAGTTATGTTTTATTAAAATCTGTTTGTCCTTTCTTTATTCTTGCAATCAATGTCAGAGATTGGAAATTTGTTTTTTTCTCTTTAGATAATCACAATAGTCATCTATTTCTCATCTTGCAGGTTTTAATCATTTTTTAATCTTTCATCCAGCCCACTGCCAGGGTAATCTCTCTAAAGTAAAAATCTTACCTGTAACAACCTGATTAAAATATTTTACTTTCTCTTCAAAAGCATTATTCACCTTTCAATATTAGTATTTGGTGAAAAGGAAAAGAAAAAGTCTTTGTTTTAATAAGCATAACTGTTTTGTTATGAAAATAAAGATTTCTCTTTTTTGAAGGACTTTTTGACACCTTTAGTATATTGTATTATATTGATTTATCTTGGAAATTTCTAAGAGTAGTGGGTAAAGTATGAAGTCGTTTTTCCCTGTTGTCTTCGAGCAAATAATTCTGTGTGTGTGTGTGTGTGTGTGTGTGTGTGTGTGTGTGTATGTGTATGTATCTCTAGCTTATTCTGCAGGAGATCTCTGCATGTCTGAATTTGGTGGGAAATACTATAATCTACAAAAAATGTCACATCTTGTTAAGTTAACCCTTCTTTTTCAGGATTGTTACCTCTCCAGCTTCATCTTTTCTAATTTCCTACTTTATATTCCACTTAAAGGTTTAGTTTATAATAAAAGTTCAATTGTATTAATAAAGTTAATTAATTTTACACAAAATTATCTTATGCTTAGAAACTTTATGTGTTGTGGTTAAATGCATTAAATAAACAAATGGATAAATAAATACATGCCACATGTTCCCACCTTTCCCTGAATGCATGCCACTTTTTAATGAGACTTTGCAGTTCCTTTGATTAAGAGGTAGATCTCTTTGTCATCCCTGAATCTAGGCTGACCTCATGACTGCCTGTAGCCGATGCTTTGGTCAACATGTGAAAGTGGCATTATACCAAGCCTAGCCTTGAATAGGCTTTGATTCCATTATCCCTCTTAAATTCTTGCCAAGCCTTTATGTGAACAAACTTGGGACAGTCCCCTAATGTTGACAAACATGAGGCTGAGTCTCCTTTACCATCCCCTTCCCTCAGTGAAAAGCTAGCCAACTCCTCAGAGGCAGAGCTGCCCAGAACTCTGTAAATGCATGTGGTAGTTCAGTTAAGAACAGAAGGATCAGAAAGCTAAGCCAAGTCTAAATTTCCAAATGGAAATTGTCAATAAAATGAATTGAGGTCTACATAATTGAGAGCAACCACAAAGAGCTGATGTTTTAAGGACTAAGTTGGGTGGTCTGTTACATAGAAATAGCTAAACAATATTCCTATGTACTTCCCTTTGACTGCCACATTTATTCCACACTTTTTCACATAGCAAACTCTTACGAAGACTCAATTAGGAAAACATTCACTAGAAAGATCTGATGTGGCTGCTGTTTTCTGGGCTCAGTGTATCCATTCATACCATTATATACAGAGTGTTGCCATTACAATAAAATTATGTTTACGGTCTGTATTCCTCCAAGATGATGTTTCCTGAGGACAGAACCTGTTATTAATATGCTTAGTCCTTATATCCACAAATTTCCCTGCTCATAATGGAATCTCAGTATTTGATGAACTTAACTGAGGATGAGATAGTTATTTTTCCTAGAGTTTTATTATAATAAGTAAATACAACACAGTCACTTGTTTATATCCTTAGGTTAATTTTTATTCATACACATTCCCAGACAGCCAAGTTTCTAGTGGATATATTTTATAAATGCATTATTCATTGTGTTAAATAACACTTAAGTCATAAAGCAAAATTTTACATTTGGATTCTCCTTGGAGCCTTTAGAAGAAACAAACACAGCCATCCCTGGCAGGAAGACTGACACCGAAAAGGCATTTGCAGTAAGGGTTGAGGTAACCTCCCTGAGTTTCAGTAGCAGATGGGGAGAGGCACAAGGTAAATGATGCCTACTGCTACCCTTGCACCCCTCTTATTCTATAGGCCACAGACAGCAATGTGGTTGGAACACTGATGGATCAGAGCTAAATCACAGCTCACACATGTGGCTCATGTTCCAGGCTCAGAATTGAACCACTGGTAGATCAGAATCCTGACCATTTCCAGATTCTGACTTAGGTGAGAGTCACCCCAAATCAGTGTGTCAGTATCATCCCAGTGATGAATCTCATGTGATCCCAGGAAGAAATTCTTTGCCAGCCACACTGGCCACACTACCCAGGAAAATGAACTATTCTCCAAACCACCCTTCTGGATCTAGCCTGGAAACGTAGCCCAGGGACAACATTGTAAACATGAGTATCAGGTATCCTTGGGGCATCCAGTGAACCATAGGTACAGGGGAAGTCTAGGGGTTGGGAAGAGGATCAAAAAGTATCCCACTGGGGCCCAGTCTACACATGGGTGCAGGTCATGGTCTCTGTTTTTATCTAAAATGTATTGTTAAAATATATTTAAAGACTAATTAAATAACACACTTAATTAATTATTATCACAGTCTTCTGATATCATTCAAAGACAGGTCTTTCTTAATTTTGCTTAAATGTAGGATTTATACAAGACTATTACATGAGTGTAGTAATTTCTATAGTCTTTGCCTGAAATTTCCTAATTGTTTTTAGTTTATAATGATAATAACCAGAAATCCTACTTTTCTTTACATGGAGTCCCCCACTAGGAGCAGCCTTCCAGACCTTAAGATGATGTGGTCACCAAATGTAGACCCTAGCCAGAATGGATGTCCTGACCTACCTGCCAGGTGATACTACAACTCTTGGAGTGAGAGGAAGGAGGAAAGAGGCTCATTACTTTGTTTCATGCCACATTTAACCTCTAGAGTTTTCTGATGAGAGAGTGATATCGTTTGGCTGTGTCTCACCCAAATCTCATCTTGATTTGTGTTGTGGGAGGGAGCCGGTGGGAGATAATTGAATCATGGGGGCAGTTTGTCCTACACTGTTGTAGTGAATAAGTCTCACGAGATATGATGGTTTTATAAGGGGAAATCCTTTTCACCTGGTTCTCTCATTCTCTCTTGTCTGCCACCATGTAAGACATGCCTTTTGCCTTCCACTGTGATTGTGAGGCCTCCCCAGCCACATGGAACTGAGTCCATTAAACCTCTTTTTCTTTATAAATTATCTAATCTCGGGTATGTCTTCATCAGCAGCAAGAAAACAGATGAATACAGTAAATTGGTACTGGTACAGTGGGGTGCTGCTACAAAAATACCCCAAAAATGTGGAAACAATTTTGGAACTGGGTAACACACAGAAATTGGAACAGTTTGGAGGGTGGAGAAGAAGACAGGGATATGTAGGAAAGTTTGGAAATTCCTAGAGGCTTGTTGAATGTCTTTGACCAAAACGCTGATAATGGCATAGAAAATGAAATCCAGGCAGAGGTGGTCTCAGATGGAGATGAGGAACTTGTTGGGAACTGAAGCAAAGGTGACTCTTGCTGTTTTAGCAAAGAGATTGGTGGCATTTTGCTCCTGCCCTAGAGATTTGTGGAGTTTTGAACTTAAGGGAGATGACATAGGATATCCGGTGGAAGAAATTTATAAGCAGCAAAGCATTCAAGAGGTGACTTGGATGCTGTTAAAAGAATTCAGTTTTAAAAGGGAAACAGAATATAAAAGTTGAAAAAATTTGCAGCCTGACGAGGCAATAGAAAAGAAAAACCCATTTTCTGGAAGAAATTTGAGACTACTGGAGAAATTTGCATACAGAACGAGGAGCCAAATGTGATTTGCCAAGACAATGGGGAATAATGTCTCCAGGGCACGGTCAGAGACCTCTATGGCAGCCACCCCCCATCACAGGCCTGGAGGCCTAGGAGGAAAAACCGGTTTCATGGGCTAGGCCCAAGGCCCCTCTGCTGTGTGCTGCCTAGGGACTTGGTGCCCTGCAACCTAGCCACTCTAGCCATGGCTAAAAGCAACCAAGGTACAGCTCTTGCAGTGGTTTTAGAGGGTGCAAGCCCCAACCATTAGCACCTTCCATGTGGTGTTGAGCCTGCAGGTGCACAGAAGTCAAGAATTGAGGTTTGGGAACCTCCATGTAGATTTCAGATGATGTATGGAAACGTCTGGATGTCCAGGTACAAGTTTGCTGCAGGGGTGACTTCACCACCTTTGTCACTCAAGCCTGATTTACAGCTTTCTCGTGTCTACTTCCTTACTGCTTGTGCCTCAGCGTTCCGGCTACCAAAACTTAAATCACATTCCTTCTAGAGGGTCATCTCCTTTCCTATTCTCTTTGTCTTCATGGAATTACATTTTTGTTAGGGAGTTTGGGTATGGGTTAATTTTTTCAGTGACATTTTAGTAGAGATAAGAGAGGAAATGAATTTAAATGCATGTGTTCTCCTGCACATTTAACAGTAAGTCCTTCACTTTATAACGAGAAAGTTAAATATCAGAAATATAAGCTGACTTGTACAAGATCTTACAAATTTGGATTGAGAATTCGGGTTTGCAATTTGTCTATTCTATATTCTTTCAAATATAAAAAATGATTTGTGCCTGAGTGTGGTGGCTCATGCCTGTAATCCCAGCACTCTGGGAGGCCGAGGTGGGTGGATCACAAGGTCAGGAATTCAAGATGACCCTGGCCAATATAGTGAAACCCCATCTCTACTAAGAATCCAAAAAAAGATTAGCTTGGTGTGATGGCAGGCACCTGTAATCCCAGCTACTCCAGAGACTGAGCCAGAGAATCACTTGAACCCAAGTGGCAGAAGTTGCAGTGAGCCAAGGTTGTGCCACTGCACTCCAGCCTGGGTGACAGAGTGTGACTCCGTCTCAAAAAAAAAATGATTTGTGTATTAAAAATGTATAATTTTTTAAAAAATTCATGGTGCATAGGTGATATTGCAAAAACCTTCCAGTCTCCTTTTCCTGCAAAGCTCTAGAACCTGAAAAGCTCAGGCTAAGATCACTATTACTTATAAGAGATGCACTAAGCTGCATGTTGTATTCTTTCTAAATTAAATATCTTAAAGTAGTACAATATGACAGCCATGATCTATATGTAACCATAGAAATGCAAAGTCATACTGAAGCTGATAGGTCCCTTCTTAATGCTTAAGATAAATTCACAATAGCAAAGACATTGAATCAACCTAAATACCCGTCAATGATAGACTGGATAAAGAAAATGTGGCATAAAACCATGGAATACTATGCAGCGATAGAAAAGAATAAGATCATGCCATTTGCAGGAATATAGATGGAGCTGGAAGCCCTTATCCTTAGCAAACTAATGCAGGAACAGAAAACCAAATACTACATGTTCTCATTTATAAGTAGTGAGCTTCAAAATGAGAACACATGGACATATAGAGGGGAATAACACACACTGGGGTCTTTTGGAGGGTGGAGGGTGGAGGGTGGAAGGAGGAAGAAGATCAGGAAAAATAACTAATTGGGATGAGGCTTAATACCTGGGTGATGAAATAATCTGCACAACAAACCTGCATGAAACAAATTTACCTATGTAAAAACCTGCACATGCACCCCTGAACTTAAAATCAAAGTTAAAAAACAATAATAATTTTTAAAATGCTGATATTGCACTGTAAAAATGATTGTCTCTTTCTCCATTATCTTCGATTCAAATCTACTCAAAACCCATTTTGGAACTCATCTCAATAGTGTGGTTCTTGGTATGCAAGTTGAATTCTAGGATTTAGAGTTCTAGTGTAAAACTTGGAATGGAGAAATGCCACATATGGAGAATGTGTTGTAAGCCTATGCCTTTATGATAGATAAGTACTAGAGATCTATGTTCTTCATTATTTTAGTCCCACTTTCTATGATTAAAAAAAAAGATTTTAAGTTTTAGAAATGTTTTCTTTTTAATTAAGTTATTTATATTAATGCTTCAGAAATTAATTTTTTAGAATATTCCATGATATTTTGTTTGTTTTAGAGTGTTAGAGTGGTGGCCAGAGACAGAGAAAATAAATTGTATGTGTAAAGAAGTTTAAAAATTATCTTTTAAAAATATTGTGATTTTAATTTAACATTCAATGAGAATATGAGTATGAATTTAGTATAACATTCTGCATGAATATGTGATTGTAAATAAAAATAAAATGTAAAAAGTTAGAAAGATGGTGAACCTAAGTAGAATATATTTCCATGATCAGAACTCAGGATGTGTCACTTGCTAGCTCAGGTTGGGTTTTGTAGAGGCTGACCTGAGATAAGGAATTTTGTTCAATGTCTTACTGATGGAGTACTCTCAGCAGAAGAGATGTGAGGGACACAGCTATGAAGAATATAAGAATGCTAAACAATGGTGTAGTCTTGGGATCTCACCAGCATCTGAGAGATAAGACAGTCCCACCTGGAGGCAAGAGAACAGTCTCGTATTCCAATGCAAAGCAGGTCTACAGGAGGGTTTTCGGGAGGCTGTAGTTTTCTGGGCAAGTATCTCCAATCTGGCCAAGGGCAACCCTTCATACAAGGGAGAATCTGTGAGCTGTTATCAGTCAACTCTTACAGCAGCTGGGAGATGGGGAGTGGGACAGGTACCAATATCATTCATTATACTTGCCATGTAGTAATGTATACATGTTACACCTTCTGTGTCTTAGCATAAATGCCATGAGTCTGTAATGACAGTAACCTACATTCACTGGGCTGAAACCACCGCAAGAAAGTAGACTCTAGACATCAACTATAAAAATACTATGTATCATATACATTCTAGAGACTGTAGAATTACTTACACTTATATCCCTAATAAAATAAATCAAAACTAAATAAAGTCAAAACTCTAGGAGAAAAAGCAGTAGGCCTTGCTGTTTAAAAAAGAAAAGGAAAGATAAGAACAAAAAAAGAGCCAGGCGCAGTGGCTCACGCCCGTAATCCTAGCACTTTGGGAGGCCGAGGCGGGCAGATCACGAGGTCAGGAGATCGAGACCATCCTGGCTAACACGGTGAAACTCCGTCTCTACTAAAAATATAAAAAATCAGCAGGGCATGGTGGCGGGCATCTATAGTCCCAGCTACTCGGGAGGCTGAGGCAGGAGAATGGCGTGAACCCGGGAAGCGGAGCTTGCAGTGAGCCAAGATTGCGCCACTGCACTCCAGCGTGGGTGACAGAGTGAGACTCCGTCTCAAAAAAAAAAAAAAAAAAAAAAGAACAAAAAAAGGATATCCTCTGAGATTGTCACTAGGAAAGAAAAATCTATTAGTATGAGAACAAATTCACGTGGCTCATTACAGGTGTTCTATCATGTTCAGATTTCTTTCATCCTAATTGTATTTATTGAGCCTCTACTGAGGACATCAATGTTCACTGAAACTCAGAATGGGGAAAGTTTTCACCAGGGAAAATATATTTTATGTTCTTCTTACTTTAGATGTGAGGAAAAATTTCAAGCTGAAAATAACAGGGAAGCTTTGAAATTCCCTCACAAAATGACTGGGATATAAATTTGCCTATTACCCTTCTAGTGTACACTCAAATACCACAATCAAGAAAACTGGACCAGGTGTGGCGGCTCACGCCTGTAATCTCAACACTTTGGGAGGCCAAGGCAGGCGGACTATGAGGTCAGGAGTTCGAGACCAGCCTGGCCAACTAATGAAACCCCATGTCTACTAAAAATACAAAAAAAGTAGGCAGGCATGGTAGGCGACTGTAATCCCAGCTACTCGGGAGGCTGAGGCAGGAGAATTGCTTGAAACCAGGAGGCTGATGTTGCAGTGAGCTGAGATCGCACCACTGCACTCCAGCCTGGGCAACAGAACAAGACTCCATCTCAATAAAAAAAAAAAAGAAAGAAAGAAAGAAAGAAAACCTCAGCGACCATCCCCACACCACCACCACTTTATGTTATAATTGAATTTTTTTGTCTAAGCAATGCTAGTTTCTGGTCAGAAAATGTTATGTATTTTGTAATGTATAAAGAAATGAGAGAAGAGGAATAGAGAACATATAAGTGATACTTTTAGTGGAGTTAGCAGTATTCTTTCCAACTGAAATCCAAATTAGTTATCATTTCAAGCAAGCCATCCATCACCACGATGAATGTGCATTTGCAGAAAGTGAAATGTCAGAAGATGCTTTTTCAATCAGATTACTCTCAGTTTCATTTAAAAATATTTAAAGCTTCACTTTGTAAATTAAATATAAGTGCTGATATGTTCTCATTGTAAAATGCAAACTCTTTCCTCTTCCTTCAAAGGCAAATTGATGCGTGACTGATCAAAGCTGTTGAGAAGACAGAGAAGTTATGTAAGGACAACTGTGGGCACTAAGCCCTCCCTTAATTTCTTTCTGACCTAGAAATTACAAATATTCCTTAGAGTGTGCAATGCTACTTTCCATAACTCTACAGAGCATTCAAAAGAACTTACTTATTTTAAAAATTGCCAGTAAAAATATTACTAAAACTTCTCCTTCAATATTAAATTAGTGATATTAAGAAGAAAATAATAATATTTGAGTCACATAAAACTATGGCATGCATAATACTTCAGACACTAATAATTATATAAATTTTATAATGATAACCAACATTATTTAGTGTTTATTAAGCACACTCATAAACACTTTTGGATATTTGTATCATTTATTTATCATAAGAATTTTAGGCCAAGTGTGGTGGCTCATGCCTGTAATCCCAGCACTTTGGGAGGCCAAGGCGGGTGGATCACAAAGTCAGGAGATTGAGACCATCCTGGCCAACACGGTAAAACCCCATGTCTACTAAAAAAAATACAAAAAGTTAGCCAGGCATGGTGGCATATGCCTGTAGTTTCAGCTACTCGGGAGGCTGAGGCAGGAGAATCGCTTGACCCCGGGAGGTGGAGGTTGCAGTGAGCCAAGATTGTCCCATTGCATGCCAGGTTTGGTGACAGAGCAAGACTCCATCTCAAAAAAAATAAATAAATAAAGAATCTTAAATGGGAGGTGCTATTCTTATCCTTATATTGCAAATGAGGAAATTGAGGCAGAGAGGCTAGTAACCGGTGTAACCTATATTAAAACCTAGATGTCTGAGTATGGATACTGCAGCACTCACCGTAATGCTTCCACAGTATATATTTTCATTTTCTAATAATAAAAAGACTTAATTTACTAATAACCTAAATCCTTCTATGAAGTCATTTTAAGGAAAACATATTCTTTCCATTCATAAGATGCTTTTAGATGTACAGTTTCTAATGTTATTTTTAAGTATACAATTTAGTATGAGATGTTTCTTCCAGTGAAGGTAAAGATGAGTCCATGGAAAAGAATCAGAAAGGTAGCCACATGGCCTTAACAGCTGCAAGTGAGAAATGACTTAGCTTTGTCGATGGAGTATTAGGAATGAACACAGAATAGGAATCACCAAAGATAAGCAGAGTCTACATTTCAACCGGGTGTTAACTCTGGTCAAAAACAAGTACACACCTCACATATCATCAATTTACTTTATGTAGTGAAAATAATTTGTCCAGTATGTTTCAGTACAAGCTTCTGTAAGATTTCCTTTGTAATAGTCTTAGCAAACATCAGGCAGAGGAAAAGAGAGACAAAACGTTTATGAGAAAAAAAAAAAGAGACCAGGTAGTTTTAATTGAGCATGACTTCAATATGAAACCAAAATGCTGTGGCTGCTAAATGTAGTGTGAAACTGCAGTAGGAAATAGAGATGAGATCAAGCGCAAGCAATGTCCATGCCAGCAGCTTCTGAAATAT
Source organism: Homo sapiens (assembly GCF_000001405.40). Taxonomy (NCBI): domain Eukaryota; kingdom Metazoa; phylum Chordata; class Mammalia; order Primates; family Hominidae; genus Homo; species Homo sapiens. The sequence continues at coordinate 19,034,687 of NC_000021.9, read as the reverse complement.
TGTATTCAAGCCTTGGAATTGTATTTTACAACAGAATAGAGAGGTGTAGACTACATAGTGAAGAATCCAGAAATATTATTCTAAGGAGAGCATACATTCAACTGCATGAGATTCAAACATTTTACCAAGTAGTTCAACCTCCCAAGTTAAGTGCTTTTCAGAACATTCTCATCCATTATCACACTTAATCTTTACTACGATTTTTCAAGGTGGGCTTTATTCCCTCATTTACCAAAAATATGCATTGTTTTCTCATTTTACTGATTATAAACTGGGTTTTTAAGAGAGAGTTTTTAACAGAGACTCACTAATAACAATAGTAGTAAATTAATGGCAACAAAAATGATAATATCCACTATCATTTATCACTGACTGCTATGTGAGTCGCTTTCTAAGTGCTTCGCATATTTTAGTTTATTGCATTCTCACCATAATCCCTAGAGAATGTTACTAATTAAGAGAAGCATGAACACCAAACCGCGTGATTTAACAGGGAAGCTTAAGGCTACTTTACTTGAATTAAAAATGGATACTTAGCCAGGTAAGAAGGAGAGCTCTGTGATTTACTTGCTGTTCACTCCTTTTCTTGTTTGGGCCTTGGTTTCTTCCTCTGGAAAGTGGAGACAATGGCAATGTTAAAATTCTGTGGTAAAAATTATCAATCTTCTTCTTGTCGGTGATTACTTTTCTCTCCTGATGATTCTGCCTGTTCTTGTTCAGTATGGCATTTTCTTTCCTAAATGTACTTCTGTGGCATTCACAAGTTCCTTTTCCATCTCACTGGATTGTTCCAGTAACCTACTATTGATATCTTGTTTCATAAAATGTGATGGATTGTAATTTTCTTCAAATTATAAAACTGTTTTCAGGTTTTCATTCTATTTTCTGTGTGCGTTTTTTTTGTTTTTTGTTTTTGTTTTGTTTTTCCCCTAAAACTGATCTTTTCAAACATCTTTATTTTTTTTTCAGATGGAGTTTCTCTCTTGTCCTCTAGGCTGGAGTGCAGTAGTGTGATCTTGGCTCACTGCAACCTCTGCCTCTGTGGTTCAACGATTCTCCTGCCTCAGTCTCCCAAGCAGCTGGATTACAGGCACCGGCCACCACACCTGGCTAATTTTGTATTTTTAGTAGAGACAGAATTTTGCCATGTTGCCCATGCTGGTCTTGAACTCCTGACCTCAGGTGATCTACCCGTCTCAGTCTCCCAAAGTGCTGGGACTACAGGCTTGATGTATTTTGTTTTTCATATCCACTCAGAGACTTTGAATAAGGCCACTTTTCCCCCTATTTATTTAATGTATTGGGTCTTTATTGCCTGTACCAGTCATTTCCTTAAAAATAGTGTGTTACTTAAATGCCCAAGATTCAGCTTACACAGTCATCTCCCACTTCTTTGACTTCCCACTGGCGCTTCCCTCCCACAAATTCCTTCCCTTCACTTCAGCCACATTCCCCATTCCAGAGCCAAACCCTGGACAATGCCATCACTTGAAATTTGAAGTTACCGAAATCATTAGTTCATACATTCTATTCTCTGATAACTACCTCTACTTCTGGCCTTTTTGCACCCCTACTCCCTTGACACCTGCAGTTTCACACTGTAGCTGAGCCAGTCCACAGTTGAATTGAACTCTTCTTTACCACCATGCATACTTATCCATTGTCTACAGTTCTCTCCTTATTAAGTAAATCCTATTTATCAATTCAGTTGTTTTCACGCCAATAGTCCAAACATTATTCTTCCCCCATTGGCTTTTAATGTTACTTAAAAGCCCTGAATCTTGTGAAGACCTAGAAATTTCTCCATTATTTGAACTTCCCAATATCTCAAGTTTCAGCTCATATTGCTCTTCTATTTTCTTTGTATGTTGCAGCCATTCTAGGATTAATTATATGTCCTTGTAAAATATTTTTAACTCGTTGTCTTTATACACATATTTCTCTATCGAGATTGACTACTTTCCCTCCCTTTTAAAAACTATTAATTGAAGCTTCTGTCTTATATCCTGTGCTAGGCATGTGAAACACATCAATGAACAAAAGAAAGAAAAATCTTACCTCACGGAACTTAGATCTCAATGGGATAGGTACAATAATCATGACACATAAATAAATTAAATAATGTTTTAGAAGGTAATAAGTACAATAAGAAAGGGGCAGAGTAGGACTAGTTAAAGGAAACAGGAGTACTAGAGTGTCTTAGGTTATAATTTAAAAATACGTGAAGGAGTTAGCCATGAGAATATTTGGAAGAAAAGCATTCCAGCAGAGACAACAGGCAGAGTAAATACCACAAGGCTAATATTGATTTTTCTTTCCTTAGCTAAAATAATTTCCTTGGCTAAGAGATCAATCAGCTCCTAGACTAGGTAAAATATGCTCTGCTATTTTTTTTTTCATTTTATCTAGCACTTTGCCTACAGTAAGACACTTCACACACTTAATTACTCTGTGGCTCTCAGCCTCAATAGTCTGTGCTGACAGCTCTCATATATGTTCTTCTGGAAGCAAGAAAGATGAGGAGATGAAAAGGACTGTGAAGAATATGTCTCAACTCACTCATTAGAGCATCTCTCAAGTGCTGCCAGATGGCCAGATGCCAGATGACCATTTACATATTATTGGCCTGAGCTAGTAATATGGATATGCCTGGATGCAAGGAAGGTTGGGAAAAAAAAATATTTATTATCGATGGCCATATGCCTAGCTAAAAATGTGACAACAATGGAAGAAGATGAGTACAACTACCAGAGAGTAAATAAGACTTTCCAACAGAATTTCAGAGACAAATTGATTGAGGATTATAATAATCTAAAGATGATTTTAAAATTTCAGTTACAAGAAAAAGTCTCTCAGTCAGTAGAAAAGAACATGAAAGTGGGGGGAGAAAAAGCAAGTAGCAGTTGATCTGGCACACCATCTTATATATAAACATCTATGAAATCTGTTTTGTAAAACAATCAAATTTCCTAAAATTCCTAATTTTGATTATGATTGATTTTGGACACAAATTCTACTTAAAACAAGCCAGTTTATTAAATAACTTAAGACAAAACTTTGGATGATACCTGGGGATATTTTTTCTCAATATCATAAAGACTTGAGAATTTCAGATCTATAAAAAGCATTCCTTCTCCATCTCCCTGTCACCATTGGGTGTGAACACATGTCCAGCCATAGTAAAATACACACAATATAATTGCCAATATTTAGAATGCTTGCTGTGTACCAGACATTATTCTAATTACTTTAATATATCTATTCATTTAATTGTTACAACAACTCTCCCGGGTAAGAATTAGTATTATTTTTATTTTAAAGAGAAATGAGAACAAAGCATGTCAGCAACTTGTGTAAAGTCACTAAGATAGTAAATGAGCCAGGATTTGAATGTAAATCATCTGGATTTATTATTACATACTGAATATAAATGCATACATTTACAAAAACACACATATATACACATATACATATAAACACACATATATACATAAGCACATATGAATATACTCAGGCCTAAACTTATTTTATTTGATTTGCCTGATTATTTATTATGAATGAATATAAGACATCATAAATTTGTAGGCATGAATATATTATACAAAGATACATTTCTTTCCTTGTTTTTAATGATTTAGAAGTGTGCTATTAATAATTTCAGCTACTAAAATTCATATTGGAGTTTTACTTAGCGGTTGATGTAATTAAGAATTTAAAAAATTATATCTAACACAATTCCAAATAACTGATGTCTCTCATGGCTAGTTATATTTAGATAATTTATTCCCACAGTGTGGTCTTGTTAAAAATGGTTAGAAAAGAAATGAGAAAAATTTTGATACATATGTATTTTTAAAAAAGACCAAATTTAAATTTATATTGTGCACAGAGGTCTTGGTCTTGCCATGGTTCATAGCTGACACCCAATACATAAATGAGTGAATGCATCAGCTATGACTACTATAAAATTGTAATGAATTGTTCGTGTGAATACTGAGAAAACACGTGACAGATAACTTCTACTTCATTTCAAGAAATTTTATTAACATATAACCTTGTAAAATATATTTCTAATCACATTAGTTTTAAAATGGTGTATTTTAAATTAAATTTGTTAATATTAAAATGGATCTCATCCTTGTACTTAATTTCTGTTCTTTGGAAGAAGCTGTAAGAGTCACCCTGAAAGTTTTATGTGAAGCAAGAAGGTCTTTACTTGAAGATGTAAGGTTATCTCCTTTCTCACCATAATTTATCCTAATTATCTTTTAATTGGGTATTTCAATAGGGTGTCGCAGGAATCCACAGTTGTAAAAACTTAACTCATTAAGGACTTCATTAATTATATTGTACTTCAAGACTTTTCAGATATCTTTCTCTTTTATTTAAACATCCTAAAACATCTGACATGGAAAAAAAAAAGAGCCTAAAAAAGATAGCAAAACCTGAAAGAAAAGACTTAAGTTTGAATATTTTGTCATTGAGTGGACAGCTACATTCATCATAAGAACTTTGGAAGCAAGGCATGTAGTTATACAAGACCAAGTCTTCATTGTCCCCTATAATTTCTATGTTGAGAAGGTGTTCCTGCTTATCTGTTTTCTTTTTATCTTTCTTTAAATGCTTTGGGTTGGGAAACAACACACTGTTATGGAAAGAACATTGCTCATGATGACACATTAACATTAGCATGAATCTCAGCTCCGTGGTTTCCTAGTGTCTCAAGAGATTAGGGAAATATATCCAGTGGATATAGTTTTGTGCTGTTTCCGGAGTTTAAAACAAGTTTATAAAGATACTGAAATTCTAATATGACAACTTGACAATGATAACAAAAAAAGACAACATAGTTTAAATATGCAAAAAATTAACAATATATTTGATAGAAGTGTTAAGTCAAAAATTTCTGATGGGGTTTATAAAAGGAAATATACAACACCTTGTGGGAAAATAAATTACTGTAATTAAGTTAGTCCAGCATCCAGGGAAGAGTTCTGTGAGGAAGCTTAGGTATTTTAAGGTTTACAGGGAGCATATCATTAAAAAAAGTTCCATGCACAGGAGCATATTGTTCATGCATATGAGCATATTGTGAGGTAAGTGAGAGTATGGCATATTCAAGAAACTGGAAGGTTCACAGTCTAGTAAAGAATGTAAGGAAGGCAATAGTTAGAAGAGGGTGATGATACAGGCTAATATGGAGGGCCTTGTAAATCCACGTGGAAGAGTGCATGCTTTTATATTAAAGAAAATGGGTGAATAAAATTTTTGAACAATATAGTGATATATCAAACTTACTCTCTCATTTTTGGATGAAGACCTTTCCTGCATATGGAACATGTAAATGGAAGAGGGCAAGATTACAGGCAGTTAAGCCAGGTAGAAAGGTGATTATCTCAGTGAGAGATCGTGGTAGTTTACTCCGGAATTGAGAAGAGTGAACAGATTCTGGAAATGTTTACAAATCAAAATCTGGAAGACATAGTAATTGAGTGCATGGAAGTAGAAATTTCTACCTTGGCTGGATGGAAGAGGGTGCTGCAATTTAAAGATTTCAGTTTCTTACCAACCTATCTCACATTATGTATATTTACCAATTTCGCATAAATGCTGCTTTCACATAGCTTTTACAAATAACTTAAAAATACACCACCTGCTATTAAGACATGCACGCACACACACACAATCAAAAAAACGAAAAAGAAAAAAGAAAAAGAAAGAAAGAAAAATAAAGCACCCACTGCAATTTTTCTCACATCATGGGGTGAAGCAATCACTTTGTTCTGTGGATGGGTGTGCCCATATAGTGATCATGCCTAAAGATCAATATCCCATTATTTGCTAGTAATCATATCTTTCCAATTTTTTCTTTCTGCTATTTTCACTATAACTACTTTATAATTTCATTGGAATTTCCAAGTCTTCTGTCTCTTCCTTCACTTTTGGTCTATTTACTACTTTTAGAAACCAATTTATTTCCTATCTAACCTAATATGTGGCCCATCACTTCAAACATTGCTCCTGTCTTTCAGGTGCTGGAATGACAGTTACTTTGTTGTCTCAGAAGTTTTTTCTTACCTCTGCTGTAGGTAGGGTACCTCACACATTCATCACCCCAGCATCTACAAGACTCACCTGGCATTTACATCACAGGCAGGTTGAAGTTCTTCAGCCATGCACACAGAGAAAGACTATCCTCTGCTTATGTGAATAAACCAGATGATCTTCAATTATACCGGATTAATCAGATAACGAGAATGAGCAATTCAAACAGCCTTTGTACTATAAAAATCTGTTATCCAATCTCTAGCTTACAACTTAATATGTGGTTTCACTTTTCAAACTGATATTATCCCCCTTTCTAAAATGAGGTTAATACATTTCTTCTTTGGTTATGTCATAGACATCTATGAAAAAGTAGTAGAGAATGAATGCAAATGTTTTGTAAATAATCTGCAAAATTCATAACAATAGCTTCATCAGTATCAACATTCACTGTAATACTATGTCATAATTCAGATATTTACTTTAATTTTTGTTATTTTATTTCCTCCTCTGTCATTTTCTAGGGTGCTTGGTGGTCATTGTCCTCGCTGTTTGCGTTTTTTTAATGCATCCTTCCTGCCCTTACTCTCCTAGTTCAATATATGAAGAAATTGAGAAAAGAAAGCATAACGACTTTTTCTAGTTATACAGGCATTTAGTTCTTGAAGCTAAGCCAGAAAATAAAAGCAGTCTTCCTATCTGCAGCCTAGTACAATTTCCGTGAAAGTTATAGATATTAGAAATGATATTTATACTGCTTATAATTTATATACTCAGTACACACAATATAGGTAGAAGACTGTAATATGAAGATCCAATGCAAAAAACGTGGTTTACATTTATGGAAAAGTTAATAGTGCAGCTTGTTTAAATACTTACTATAAAAGATAGAATTATTTCACAGTTGTATGAATCATGTGTTTTCTCAAATATTACATATTCAAACTTTAAGGAAAAAAACTAAATTAAATATTAAACACAGGCAAGATAACAGCATCTGCACCAATTTCAATCTCAAAAAATTGGGAAGAGAATAAAGTCCGAGCTCTAATGCCTTTGATATGTTTAAGATTTGGAAGGTAACCAATTATTTTATCATCACTTAATATATTTTACAGCAAGATCTAGACATTCTCTCCCAAGCATCCAATGGACATTAACATATCTCTTAAGTAGATATGTTCCTTCACAATATACTTGAAACTAAACAAAATACATCATCTTCAGCACTTGGAAATTTTTTCTCAACTTTTTAAACTCATGTATGCATTTAGGTATTCAACGTATAAATGTTGTAACTTAGGGCAATAGAACAATAATTATAAATAAATTCATTTAGCAATAAAGAAATACATATTAAATTAACAAAAATAGTTCAAATTGTCAGCATTCCTTTTATTTGGTATAGTTGAATACTCTATTAGAAAGTAAGATCTGAAAGTATGTCAAATGGAGAGTGTAAGTAAAGCACTCCAGTGGCTGTTTTCACAACTGAAATATATGTCACTCTAGGGCTTATGCCACCATTCACTTTAATTTGATCAGTTTAATTAAATCACTTAGTGTTATAATCCTCAAGAGGGGAACTGCTATACTTAAGATAAACTCCATTAGAAATACTTGAAATGTGAGTATTTTTATAGTGTATGCTAAGAGCTGCTTGAAAATGCAGTGTAAAAAACAGAAGTGATCATGCAATGATCACTAGAAATGCTATATTTTAAGCTTTAAATGTATTTTAGCCAGGAAAATAACAAGAAAGTGAGCCACATAAATAACCAGAAAGGTAATAAATGTATTAGAGAATCACATAAAATGATGTAGGGCACTTTATGAAGATCAAAATAAGAATGTGTCTATGTGGAATATATTTGCTTTTGAATGATATTACGTATGTCTTTAAACACACTGACATCCCTATTATTTGGAATAATAATTTCTCAATTTCCAGTTAGTGCTTCAGATTCAGCCTTTCATTTATTCTGTGAGCATTCGCCGAACACCTGCTATTTGCACATGACTGTGTTAAACACATGCCATTTGCTACCTGGCATCTTTCTTCATCTTGCCACTCTATGTGATGTTCAATTTTTTCAAGTAGACATCCATCCTAATTTTGTGGTGGACTCTATAAGGGTGACCTGAGTGAAGATTGGGTTGAGCATGAGGGAGGTCGCAGAAGCTGTGTGCCAGGAATAATTTAAGAGCACGGCATTTGTTAGTCTGTCAAAGATCAGACTATGGAGAGCAGTTAAGATATTTTAATTCAAATAGCAGGAGTTTAGAAGAGACAAATTACCAGAAGGATTGAAACCTGGGATGTATAGATATTTGGATTTTAACTCGCCGGGATAAAGCATTGAATCCAATCAGCTTCTAATCTGGCAATCAGCACTAAAAAAACCACAGACAAATAAATAAATAAAACATAATGAAATTAATATTTGGTAACGATATTCGCCTCTCTAAAATGAATTCCCATATTATTTATCATCCAAATCAGAGGTGCCATAATGAAGGATTTATTTTTATGTTTATCCTCTGCTTAATTACAAGATATGTACTTTATTTAAAAATATATGTAAACATATATAAATATTCATATATTTTTAAAAGATATGTCTTTTTAAACTTATGCAAGCATATATTTAATTTTTTAAACTTTATATACATAATATATAAACTATCTACATAGAAAAGAGTACATTGTCTTTTAAACTTTTGTTGTTCGTAATCTCTATTTCATTTAGTAGATTATCGCAGTTTCATTAGATGCAACCATGAGTTATGTGTGTTTCTTACTGTCTTCTTGAATGTATCAACAAGGATATTCTTTTTACCACAGGTTGTTTTCCATCAAAACTTTTATTAGTATTACCATAATAAAAAAAATATTATTTTCCAACAACTAATTTCTTAGCTATATTTAGAATAGCATTCAGAATAATATCAGGTATTTTCTTTCAGAAGCATATATTAATACTTTGACAAATTTTACTCGATGACATAAATTGTACTTAAAATCAAATGACTTTTGGCACTAACTTAACTTTTATTCTACCTGCAGTCTTCAAAGGCACTGATGTAAAACTGCATATTAATTCTTTGCAAACTTCTTTTGTTGTTTGAGCCAACGTATTTAAAAATATTAGTAATGTACCTTCAATGTGTACACAAGAAACCTTGGAATTTAAAATAAGCCAAATTAATTTTTAGAACATTCAGTTTTTCTATATAAGAAACTTCAGCTTCACAGTGTTAAGTAACTGTAAAGCTAGCAGTGGCAGGTGAATTACACCATGACGTTTGCTTATAGTTTGCTCAATATAACTATAAACTCTAAAATAGCTTCTGACGCTTCCTCACTAGATCTGTATCTTATGACTGTTGTGTCTCATTGTGGCCCTTATGGTGGAATATAAATGGCAATAAACATTTTTGCAAGTTATATATTCCTTATCAACTTTCTTTAAAAATGTAAATTCAGTTAATTTTTTTTTTTTTTTAGACAGAGTTTCGCTCTTGCTGCTCAGGCTGGAGTGCATTGGTGCCATCTTAGCTCACTGCAACCTCTGCCTCCCAGGTTGAAGCGATTCTCCTGCCTCAGCCTCCCGAGTAGCTGGGATTACAGGCATGTGCCGCCACGCCCAACTCATTTTTTGTATTTTTAGTAGAGACAGGGTTTCTCCATGTTGGTCAGGCTGGTCTTGAACTCCCGACCTCAGGTGATCTGCCTGCCTCGGCCTCCCAGAGTGCTGGGATTACAGGCGTGAGTCACCGTGCCCAGCTGGTTAATTTTTTATTATGAATTTTTGGGAAGAAGACCACAGAAGTGAAGTGCTGCTCTCATTGTATCATAGCAAGTATAAATACAATCAATGTTAATTATCACTGTTGATATTATTCTTGCTCACCTGGCAGAGATAGTGCTTATCGGATTTCTTCAATATAAACTTACTCTTTCCCCCAGGCCTGCCCCTGCCTTTCCATATGGTAATCCTTGGAAAGAGGTCACTATGTGCAACCCATACTTAAGGAATGAGGAGTTATGCTCCATTTATTTAAGGGCTGAGTATTCCCATGAATTGTTTTTCATGTTTTTACAAGAGAGATTTGTGTATTTTCCCTAATTTATTTATTCAATAATTCATATTATCATGAACTCTTAAGTATTTATTTTATACTTTGTGTTACAGTCCAACACTGACTTATTTCATTTGTCACATCATCCCAGCTTTGGCCATTGAGAACTCTTTCAGTTGACCCTGTTTCCCTTTGTCTTTCCCTCATCATTGTGCATTTTGTTCTGTTATTTTTTTCTTTATTTTTTCAAGAAGGCCATTTTTTTCTGGCACTAAAATATTTTTCAGTCCCATCTTGTATATCCTTTACCCTGTCCTAGAATCAGTCATTTCTCCAAAAACTCTGTGCCCTTTAATTGGAGAGTGACATTAGAAACTAAGATCCGGGTACTAGATATGCTGTTCTGGTGTGGCATTGCTCCAAGGTCCTCTCAACTGACAGAGCAAGACAATGTGTTGATTCCAACCCTTACATTTACACATTCTTATAAATGTAACTGTTAGTATCTATATTGAGAATCATGTTTCTCACACTTGAAGTGTGAGAAACATAATTCTCTAGATTGCCTCCATTTACCTAACTGTTAAATTTCAGTGTATATGTGTCGCGGTTTCATAATCCTTAGCCTGTACCCATGTAGGGAACAACATTTCCTACTAGAGTTTAGTGCTTATGTGCAGTTCTTTTGCGTTTAGTTTTACAGACTCCACTCATTTCCAGGTTACCTAAGTCAGTATCTTTTCCCTAATCTTTAATGAGATTATACTTTATACATTCTTAATAGAGTAAGAATCTTTTGTCGCAATGATACATTTTAGAAGACAATTTGGTGGTCTTTTTTTTTTCTTACAAATATAAACATAGTCTTAGCATGCTATCTAGGAACTATGCTCCTAAGTATTGTACAGCTGATTGGAATGCTTATGTGTACACGCACAAGAAATCTCAACACAAATATTTATAGCAGATTTATTCAAAACCAACAAAGAATGAGAAACAACCAACTTCTCTCCAGAGCACTGACATTTGACAATGTGTCCTTAAAAAGGCCAAACTTGAAAATATTTACTCTCTTTTCCATAATTGAAATTTTCTTCTGCATTTTGTCTATATGTTGATTTCATGTTCTGAAAGTCAAGAAACAGAATTTCATGTGAAAAAACTGCCATAGAACAGTGAAATATATGAAATATAGATCTATACCACAGAGTGACAATCCTACTACAGGAAACACATTCCGACAACTTTTGTACTCAATAGTAGGCTGCTCAGACTGTTTTCTAGGAGAGTTTTTGTATTTTCTTGTCTTCATTCTGTATATCTCATCTATAATTTTCTGGTTATATTTTATTTTGTTTTGTTTTATTTTATTTTATTTTATTATTTTATTTTATTTTTTTATTTTATTTTATTTTATTTTCCCTCTGATCCCTGGACTGCTGGCCTGGTCGTTCCCTTCTTCTCTGTATCACGCTGTCAATAGCGTGGACTGTGGAGCCATGGATGGTACATCAAATGACTGGCAGAGGGAGCAGCAGGTGATGGTAGGAATATTTTTTCTACCATCACCTGAGATAGTAAGAAGTCAGCAGTCCCTGACAGTTGGATTCTGAGTGTAATTCTTTTTATCAGTAGGCACCTCTATGCCATCCTTGAAAACGAGGTGTAGTTACTCAGTAATGATAAAGTTGTTCAAGAGTGATTGTCTTTCAGATTTAACCAAATTAAAGTAAGAACTCTATTCACTGCACGGGAGTCTCACATGCAATTATACGATATCATGCCAGAAGCTTGAAGTGCTAAGTAAATGTTACCAAACCCAAGGCAGAAGCCGACAGCACTAAGTAAATGGTGTCAGTCCCAAAATGATATGTTCTTATGCCATCACTAACAATAATTTGTTAGAAATTTAAAACACACACACACACACACACACACACACACACACAAACAAATACAAAGTGGCAGACTTCCTGGACAACAAGTGTGCATGCAATTGTCACATTAAACAATGTACACATCTGGGTACCTTATATAAATACAATGGCTTTCTAAGGAAAGAAGTTCATGCTGGAGTGAAATCACTTTTATCTCCTGACCACCTTGGTGGGTTAGGCTGCTCACTTTTAGGAAGAGGTGTTTTGTTCTTAGCACCGATATACAAAGGTGGATATCACGAGACAGTCAGAGCAAAGAGCAGTTAAAGGAGGGAAACGAGGGAGGACCAGTACTCTTGGGTGTGTCTGGAAAGAGAAGTGGCCAAAACCATGTTGATTCCAACCAACATGCTCTTTGTGACCAGAGAATATTATTAAAGAAGATTATTAAAGAAAAAAAAACTTCTTAAATATATTTATTCGTCACCAGAGAACATTATTAAAGAACAAGAACTTCTTAAATATATTTCTAAGATGTTTGTGTTGCCATACCACACAATTTCACTTTTAGCTGTACCCTCCACACAAAACTGGTAATTTTCTTACTCTGCAGAAAGTTTTATGAGGGCACTTCTCCCACGTTATGTATGCTTATCTTTTGTGAAACCAAAACGGTCTTGAGTTTTATATATGACACACTGAGCAGTGTTGCCACTGTTGTAACAGAGGTCTAGGAGACAGAAGAGGCCATAGGAATAAAGAATGTTAGATCACTTAAGAGACAGCTCTAGCTATTTGAGTTTCACAATGGTAAAAGTATGTAAGTACCAGCTGTGAGGCTTCAGAAAAGCAAAGTGGGGGCCGGCGCGGTGGCTCACGCCTGTAATCCCAGCACTGTGGGAGGCCGAGGGGGGCGGATCACGAGGTCAGGAGATGGAGACCATCCTGGCTAACACGGTGAAACCCCGTCTCTACTAAAAATACAAAAAAATTAGCCGGGCGCGGTGGTGGGCGCCTGTAGTCCCAGCTACTCGGGAGGCTGAGGCAGGAGAATGGCGTGAACCCGGGAGGCGGAGCTTGCAGTGAGCCGAGATCGCGCCACTGCACTCCAGCCTGGGCGACAGAGCGAGACTCCGTCAAAAAAGAAAAGAAAAGAAAAGAGAGGAGAGGGGAGGGGAGGGGAGGGGAGGGGAGGAGAGGAGAGGAGAGGAGAGGAGAGGAGAGGAGAGGAGAGAAAAGAAAAGAGGCGCACAGGGATTGGAAGGAGACGAACAGGCTTCCCGGTTAAAGGGTAATCTGAGCATATCGGTATGAGCACCCACTTTCCAGCTTCCCGAAACAATAGTGAGACTTAACTAATTCCAAGAGAACTTCTTGCTTTGGCAAATGAATACAGTTGTCTTAGTCCATTCTGAGTTGCTGTTAAGGAATACTTGAGGCTGGGTAGTTTATACAGAAAATAGATTTCTTTGGCTCAGGGTTCTGCAGAGAAGATGCCGAAGCAGGGCGCCAGCAACTACTCTGCTTCCGGGAAGGACGCTTGTTCTGCATCAAAATTTGATGGAGAAGGTCAAAGGGAAGCAGGCATATGGGAAGAGGGATGAAACAGGGGGAAGAACCTCACTTTACAATAACCCGCTCTTGGTGGAGCTAATCCATTCCCCTGAGAATCCAGTCCCACAAGGGCAAGAACTCACTCAGTACCACAAGAACAGCATCAAGCCATTCATGAGAGATCTGCTTCCCTAACCCACCCACTTCTTATTAGGCTCCACCTCCCAGCATCACCACACTGAGGATTAAATTTCAATGAGACTTGGTGGGGACCAACGAACCATACCTGAACCATAGTAATGGCTAATTTCATCTCGTTATTAGATGCGTTGTAAGTTACTCTGCTAACATGAGTTACACATCTGTCCTGTCCCCATTGCCCTGGTCATTAAATGAGTCCTTATCTCTATAAAATAATTCAATCTTCACAGCAGATGGAGTTATTACGAAGATTAGTGATTCTCAATCTTGACTGTGAATGACTATCATTTTAGAAGGTTATAAAACACATTATGACTAGCACCTTTCCATCCTCATACCCACATTCTCATTTACTTCATTTGAGCACAAGACCTAGATATTAATATTAAAGTAAAACAAAATCCTCCAAATGACTTAATGTAACCCCACTGTTAAACAGTGATCCTCAAACTTTAGCTTCCATCATTATCATTTGGAAGAACCTTATAAATACTGATAACTAGGTCCCATTTTTAGGATTTCTGACTCAGTATGTCTGGGGTAGGGCCTAACAATGGGCATTTCCAGCACATTTCTAGGTAATGTTAATGCTGTTAGTCTAGAGAACTAACTTAGTTAGTCTAGAGAACTAACTAACTAATTTAGATCAGTTGAGAACAACTGATCTAAATTAATGCTTCAAACTCTAATATGATTACAAATCACCTGGGATCTTGTTAATATGCAAATTTTAAATCATAAATCTGGGCCGAGACCTAATATTCTGCATTTTCAACAAATTCAAAGGAATTAAATAGCTTGCATGAATGTTAATGGTCTATTTTTAATAAACATTGAGACAGATACAACATCACTAAAAGCCAAAGGTAAAATAATACTAGAAACCATTTTTAATTTGTCTAGCTGAATGCTTCTATTAGTCTATAGAAGAACAATACCTGCACTATATTACTGTAAGATTTCCAAAAAGGAAGTGATTTTGTGTTTGAGAAAGTTTAATAATAATAAAGTCAAACTACATTATTTACTGCAGTATTTCTCGGAAGTTTTAATGCATATTGCAAAAATCTTATAAGAAAATGTAATATGAACAGTTATCAAACTTTTTTCATCTACAAAATGTTTTGATCAAAACTCTTATTAATACTGCACCATACTCTAAATTACATGGAACCCAATTTGAAAAACATTAATATAGTGTCTTTACTTTCCTCATTCATCAGAGAGCTTGACTCATGCAGAGGTGGTTTCTGCAACTAAGCAGAAAGGTGTGTTTTTCTTTTCTTTTCTGCACATTTAAAGAAGATGATTAGTTTTTGATTCTTCATAGCACTGAGGAAGTAAGAATAACACAACTGTCCAGGGAAAATAACCCTTGCTGACATACTCATTAGGGCTTTGGCTTTTTATCTTCATTTTTATATTCCTGGCATTTACTACAATTCCATAAAGTAGCTAAAATAATGTTGAGTGAATGATTAAATCACTCAAATTACAGGGTTTGAAGGCTAATTAACGAGATAATTAATGTGGCAGCAACTTATAACTTCAAAACCTCTAAAATACTCATTGTTAATTAGTGTCACTATTGTTTTAATAATGTGAGTGATACTACCAGTATAAGTAAAGCTTATACTCGGGGGAAGGAGGCAGGCAGAATTCACACATGGATATGGAATTACACAACTACAGCTTTAGGCTTACACAAACAAGGTACAATCCATTGGCATTTAAAAGAGTGCCTAGGAGTTGTCAAGCTCTTTCCATCATTGGAACTACCTCTTATTAATTAACATGAATGAAACAGAAACATAGCATAGAATGTAACCCAAATTTCAAACATTTTATCTACAATTATTTAGAAACAATCTAAGATATTAAATGAAATGTAAAAATATGATTTCATGAAGTTCTGTAAAATTACTAGTATTTCATCTTTTCCTCTGGTGAATGAGTTACATGGTATCACATAGAGCATAGGGCATGGAATTTTTGGTGTAGCATATTATATATTCGTGTCTTTGCTAATAAAAGTCAACTGTCCTTTTACTTACAATTTGCATTAACGGCTCATCAATATAAATGAAAATGATTTATTAAAATATTACTGAGTAGAGACTGAATGGCTCAGGGAATTGATTGGTAATGGGGTATGTAGTCTTTCATTTCTAGGTCACTGATTTGAATTACATCTTGGCAGAGAGTAGAGGCTATTCAGGACATATGGTGTGTGGAATGGGGTGGTGCAGCCAGTCTCATTTTCATTAAGTGCTGTCCATTTAGGTTTCACTATTTCAAGGAAACTGAACTTGACTCTGAAGCCTGTATCCGTGGATTCAAAACATCATTATACATATATGTGTAAAAAAAATTATAAGAGAGGTTCATAGCACTAAGAATAGGAAAAATAATATCCACTGAAACATTCTTAATATAAAAATATTTTGCCTGACCTATGTGAGTAGGTTTAACATGCATACAAATAAATATTTCAGGATGATTTAGTTGAACATGCCCTTTTCAGGTTATTTTATTCCTCATGTCTTCAGGAGATACATAGCTCCCTTGAAGTTAGATTTTCAGTATATATTTCTTCTAAGGTAACATTAAGATATTTTATAGAAGTAAAATTTAAAATCCTATAAGAACCAGTTATAGATTAAAATAATAGAATATTATCACTAAGAAAAACTGTGGAATCTTTTAAACTTTGTTTTATAAGGAAAAGAAAGATGACAAGTGTGAAGCTGAAACTACTTCCCCAATATAGTACAGCTGCCCTGTGATGTAGTACAGATGATCTGTGCTATAGCTGAAGCATAATTTCCCAGCCAAAGCTCTTCTCACTATTTGTACTATCCCTTTTTAAAGATGGACTCCTAATTCAAATGGACAGCATTATTTCTCATTCTTCTCAGGTCAAGACAAAGCAACGAGAAAACAAGTAAAAAATATTTACAAGAAAAATTTGAAGGTCTTATGATTACAACATGGAATAAATCTAAAATTTGTAGTTATACTGTTTGTTAGAATAAGTGAATTTATCAAGGTTCTGAAATACAAGCTCAATAACAACTTTATATTTATATATAAGAAACAGAAATTGAGAAAATGCTATTTAAAAAAAACAACCATTCAATAGCAACAAATTTAACTACTTAGTAATAAATCTACCAAAGTATATACAAGACCATACAGAAAATAGATAGATCATTACTGAGATACATTATAAGATACGTAGATAAATGATGCCATGTACCTGGATTGAAAGGCTAAGTATCGTAGAGTTGACATTTCTCCTCAAATGGATTTTTTTTATTCAGTGCAATTTCAATCAAACCCCAGTGAATTTAGAGAAAATGGAAAATAACATTCATTTTAACATTTTATGGCAATTATTTAAGCCAAGTTTAGGAGGCACAAAAAAAATCAAGTATTGACTTTTTAAAGCATGTACTTTAAAGTGAGTCCCGACTCGGAAATTTGCTTTAGCTAATGAAATGTGAGCAGAAGTATACTCTCTGTTTGCCTTGAAGGGTAACAATTAAAGAGTAACAATGTCTTCCACAAACAATTGTAGAATTTAGTTTGGATGACTGGAAGAGGGATGAAAGTGTATTCATATCATCACCATCTATAGATGGATGTACACAATGATATATGAGTTTTCTATTCTCTTAGCAGAGCAAATTTTTTAAGACACCCATTGAGACATACCAGGTTAGCAGGTAGATGAGGGCAAATGCCAGTTTAACAGACACAAAATAATCTTTAGGAAAAATACATAAATATTTATGATGAAGAATGAGAAGACTTGAAATACAGTAATATAAAAGTCATGAAAGAGACTTTTATATTATTATTGTATTATTCTAAATAATTTGTTAATAATTTGATAAAGAATTCCTTTAAAGTCAGTTACTACATAAAAACTCAAAACTGTGATTTCATTCATTCTAAATGCTAGAGTTTCATTTTTTCTACAAAAAATTATATTAAACTTAGTTTCCTTTTAATATCTTTATAAGCAAGACTAATCCTTTTTATTATAGTACAAAAATGGCTAATGAATACACCTTTCAACCTTTGTATTAATTATACACTCTGTGTGTGCTTACAGTGTCCAATTTGCAGAAAGCAATTTTCTCCTTTATTTCGGTTTCTGAAGGGTGTACATATTAGTATAATAGGCAACATACTGAGATGCTAATAGCCTATATTCACAGCATTCCCCATCCCCCACTTCATGGCTAAACTATTTTTTAGACATATTTTGAATCTTTCAAATTCTGTTAAAACAACTTCTATCCTTTGAAGACAATAGTCACATTGAGAAAAAACTTCTAAATATATCCTCATTAAAAGTATATGCAAATGTATTTCATGTACACTGATGAATACATATTTTTCTAGATTTTGTATTAGTTATCCAATGGCAAAGACTTAGATAATATGTCATTTCCAAAGGGATAATCACTGTTAGTATATTAATGCCATCTTACCTATAATTATATAGATGTATTTTTGTCCATCCATTATAATATAAGCTATAGAGTGACAATTTAGATATATTTTGTACAAGACAACAAAATTCATAATTTTAGGAAATACAAGGAGATATTAATTTTTCAATTCACAAATTTGAAAGAATAATTTATTTCATTCATTATTTATGTTATCCGATTTCTATGTTATTTTTACAATTGCATTTTGTACATATGCTGAATTCCAAACTTTTATCATTATTAAATAAAAGTAGCATAGTTTTTATTAAGTCTCTTATTTAATCTCATCCTATACTTAATTTATCTTTATATCAAATGTGACAGTACAAAATATACTTTTTGGTTAAGCATTTTATAATTAATTTTTAAATTTTATTTCTTTTTATTTATAACATTGATTACACACAATTAAGAAAAGTCAAAGTTAGTAGAGTTAATGAATGAAAAATACAACTTCCTCAACTAAACCTCCAGAATGTAACAATGAATATTACAAATTTCTTGACAGCAGGCCATCATTAAAAAGATTCTGGAATCTTCCTTCTTTGGATTTTAGAAAAAACTATAGTGGTTCCTAAATATTTATGATTTTTCTTAAAAAAATGAGTTTTATTTACACATCAATCATATAATTTTTGTTTGAGTTTGTTATTATTTAGTTGCTATTTCCTGGGAGGATTTTCAAAGAGAGAATAAAATTCTAACAAAACATCTTCATGTATATCAATAGTTTTATATCACTTATGCCAACATGAAGACAACCTTTTAAAGTTTAGAACAACTAATTGACAGTTGGAGTGTGAGAAATAATTAGAGACGTCAAGAAAAATTTTTACTCTTTGTACAGCATTTTAAAGCATAATTTTGTTTGAAAAAACATTCTACATAAATATATTTCCTGGGTTGTTGTCTGTCTCCTCTTCCATACATAAGATCAACAGGAGCCTCTGACATTTTTCATGATAGGCTATCAAATTGGAAGAGACATGAACTAAAGCTTGCTTTATGTTAACTGGGTATAATTAAAGGAACAATTAAACTATTCAAAATTTCTATCTTTAAATGTCCATCAATGTGCATATACACATAGAAAAATATGCACAAACACATGAAATGGCACCAGAAGGCATGGTTAGAATTGAAAGAATTACTAAATTAGGAAGGAGTTTGTAAAAATCAGGGTATCATCAGTAAGATTGGCAAAAGAAACATATTTATGGCTAATGAGAGCTGCCTCACATGAAATATCATATTTCTTTAGGTCTAAGATGTCATTAATTGCAAAATGTCCTATTGTTTAACATTTGATTTCTTGATTTTTATGATCATCAGGAAAGAAAAAATATTTGCTGTTTCAATCAATAAAATCAATGCTTTTGATTGTAAGACCCAATCCAATTTCAAACATGGCAATATATGAAAATATACCTGGCTTAAAACTAATGAAGTTTGGTAATATGTAAACATATGAAGAACAAGAACAAATAACTTATTATCGTCCAAAACTAGAAGAGAGGAAAGCCGCATTAGTATAAAAAAGGGCACTGGAAATAAACTCAAATAAAAATACTTTTTTAAATTTGTAATACCTACAAATGATTACCTAGCATTAGATCCCAGCTGATGCTTTAAATAAACCTTTGAACGCAGCTTAATACAGTAGTCAGTGAGCCAAATATTGAAAATATAAAATAAAACTATTTGTCAACAGATGGAGCCCATCAGCCTGGTCCATTACAAGAAAAGAACAAGGAACTGATCAAGAAGTCCTTGTCCTAAACCATTCTAGCCCATTAAGTTTCCATTTGCCTCATAATTAGAATTCTTCCAGTGTGTATTGTATTCATAAGGACATTGTAAAAAGGTTTTTGCTATCTTCTTTGCAAAGCCTAACTTCAACAGATGTGTCCTCAAACCATCGGTCTAGGCATCAAGCAGCACAATATTTAGGGGTTTCACACCCTGCAGAGAAATGTTTGTTGAGTTCTGAAAATATAAAAGCATCAAGTATTATATATGTCAACCTGGCCTCTGATTATTTACATGATATATAATTCTGCTAGCACACTCACCTCTGCAGGGAATTTTCAAGGCTGCCAGCCTTTCTACAGTTATTCACAACTGCCACTGGCAAGGGGAACAGGGAGTCTACCTGCTCAGCCCGCCCTGGAGTGCTAAGTTAGCTGTATGGATGCAGCTGTCTTCAGTACAACAGAGAGAAAAATGGAAAACCTCATTTGACCTTATGCTTATCCAACATCTGATTCGGTTTAGCAGAAACACTTCATAGGAAATAAATGCACACAGGTAATTTACAACCCTAATACTTGTATCCCAGTGGAGTCATTCTCAACTGGTTAGAACCCAAGGAAAGGGAGAGTAATTAGCACCATTATAACACTCATAGAAACCAATTAGCACTTAAGTTAAGTAACCTTAATGTGATTTTCTAATTAACCTTAATGTGATTTTGTAATTGTCGTGATGGTTCTAAGTCAAATTAAATCACTAAATCAAGCAATTCAGTATTTGCTAGTGGACAAATATATTTTTCAGAAACAATTTTACTAACAGATGATGAATGAAGGGTTTTCACTCTTTTCTCCAAAAGATGAAGTCAATGTTAAGAATTAAATAACATGAATGTTAAAAACTAAATAACATTCAAGTTAGTCTTCTTTACCCCCAACAGGTTTTTTTTTTCAGTTCAATATTGCAAAAGTATTTTAATTGTTCATTTAGTCATTCATTTCCACTAAAAAAAGAGAAAATTACCCTAATGTATTATTACTTGAATCTTGAAAAATAAGAACAATCTGAACATTTTCAATACTTTAGCACAGAGAGTGAAATATTTCTTTCCACTCTTTGCCAGTGGCTTCATTTAAAAGTCTTATTAAATGTTGTTCTTGTCTGCTATTTTTCTCCAAGCTCTATATTCTTTCCAGATCTTGAATATTTGTTGAAAAGCAAAAATGCGTTTTTTTTTCAGTAGATGAATATGAGGGAGAATAGATAAAATGTATTTGCAAAATGGATACAAAGATGACAGAAAAGATAGAATTGCCAGATAAAACATAGGATGACCAGTTAAGCTTGAAATTCAGATAAACAACAAAACATACGTTGGTATAATTATGTCCCAAATTTTGCATAAGATGCACTTATAATAACAATATTTTTTGACCAAAATTCAAATTTAACTGAGTATCCTGTATTTCTATTTCCTTTTTTTTTTTTTCTTTTTTTGAGGTAGAGTTTTGCTCCTGTCGCCTAGGCTGAAGTGCAGTGGTGCAATCTTGACTCACTGCAACCTCTGCCTCCCAGGTTCAAGCGATTCTCATGTCTCAGCCTCCGAATTAGCTTGGATTACAGGCATGCACCACCACACCCGGCTAATTTTGTATTTTTAGTAGAGACGGGGTTTCACCATGTTGGCCAGGCTGGTCTTGAGCTCCTGACCTCAGGTGATCTTCCCGCCTCAGCCTCCCAAAGCGATTACAGGCATGAGCCACTACACCCAGCCTTATTTGCAAATTTTTTTAAACTGTATATAGCAGTAAACTGAAAGATTATTTACAGTGGAATTCCTAAGGTCAGGTTTCCTTCAACTTGCTTATATGTTCTTTTCATTTTTAATCCTCTTATTCTTGGATTTATAATGTTAGAAATAATTCATTTTACCAGAGTAATTTTTGTTCACATCTGAAAAATCATAAGATTGAGAAATAAATCAAGTAGGATATTAATTTTATTTTGAATTAGTTAAATCCACATCTCCTGTATATCATGGGCTTTCTGTCTATAAATCAATAAGTTATCCCAGTGTGAACTGGGATGATAAAAGACTCTCCAAACATCCTCTGGATATTCCCAAACTTTTGTGTTTGTGCTTCAGGCCTTCAAAACAATTTACCTATTTTGGCTCTATCTCACATGCTTTTTTACAAGAAAAATCATATGAGCAATCGATATCATAAATTTTATAAATTTAACTGAAAATGCATAGTGTCACAATGGATCCAATATATTACACAATGCATAATGTTTGGCCAGCCAGCCCGCTCACTTCTGGCCCGGTACTGAATTTCTTTTCAACAGATGTCATCCCATTGTTGCTCTAGTGTTTTTTGTTTGTTTGTTTTATTTTGTTTTGTTTTAACTGGACTGGTCTATTCCTCTTTCCCTACGTTTCCCTCAGTAACTATTGGATTTTTTAAATAAAACTTTGTCTATAATTATTCTCCAGGAGGAAAGGCAATCAATAGTTTCCTAAATTCGATACACAAAGTTTTCACTCAAGTGATGTGTGAGAAAATAATGCACAACATTTATTGTGACACCTGGGACTCCACTAACTTATGGCTCAAACACCTTTTGCTACTTTTCCCTTCCGTGGAATTGAGAGGAAGAGGAATATGAGGAATGGGAGGAAAAAAAGAGATGCCATCTTTGTGATTATCAAATAGTTAGAAAGCAACATGGAATCTTCAGGAACTTTTCACATTAGTGTATTTTCAATGGAATGGTAACAGGAAGTCCATGGCAAAATTTAAAAATGTGAGGCTGTATATAGTTTATAATGCCAAATCCTGAAGATATTTTTATTTGTCTTTTCCTCACTTCTGATGTTCTTTTCTTGCAGAATTTCAGTGGCAAGTCTAAACATGACTCAAAATCTGCTCACCAACTGCTGGCACTGCACTCTCTATGATTATCTCTAGCATGTAAGTTTGTTATCCTGAAGGCTCACGTGCCTCAGTGTTAACATTTGGAAGAGGGCTGCCAGGCCCAACAAGAACAGAGATGCACAGGCAAGCAGCCAGCTGGGCATAGGACATTCTGTGGTGGTATATGCGGGCATATGAACTAAACCTGATAGATAAGCCTAAAGACTTGGTTTGTAGTTGGATCACTTTGAGGTTAAACCTTTGCATATCCATGATGAACCTGGCAATATCATTTTTCATGAATTTTATATAGATTCAAATTCTAATGCACTACATGCAAGTTGTTATTTATAATGACATGTTCACATAACATCTCAAATGAAAGTATTGGCACATGCTTCCATGGAGAATTAGCAGAATTGTAATGAGAGATTCCAGGGTTTTAAAGGTTATCAGACAAATGTTTGCTTAGTTCGGGATATGCACTGGTCAAGAGAAATCTACTTCGCATGCTCTAGGGCAGTGTTTCTCATCCTGGCACTGTTGACAGTTGAGGTTGGTTAACACTTGTTAGCTACACATCATAGGATGTTTAGAAATATCTCTTGTTTCTACCCACTGACTGCCAGCAGCAACACTCCCATAGTCTCATGAAAGTGTGACAATCAAAAATATCTCCAGTCTCTGCTAAATGTCCCTGACAGTGGGGAACAAAATTACCCCAGGCTAATAATCTCTGGTCTAGAAAATGAGCAGAATAAGATTTTTTATTTTATTGAAAACTTTTTAATAGACTTCATTTTTTAGAGAAGTTTTAGATTCACAACAAAATTGAGCTGAAGTTACAGAGATTTTCCCTGCACTCACATTTGCACATCTTTGCTTGCTATCACTGGAGAGGTATCTCATGTATTGTTAAGGTTGATGAGCCTACACTGACATTATCATGTGAGCAAAGTCCACAGTTTAAATTAAGGTTCACACTTGGAGTTGTATAATTCTATGAATTTTAACAAATGTATAATGACAGTATCCATCAATATGGTATAATACAGAGTAGTTTCACTTCCCTGACAATATATTTGTGTTCCTCCTATTCATCTCTTCTTTCCCCTAAACCCTTGGAAACTACGGATCCTTTCACTGTCTCCATAACTTGTCTTTTCTAGAATGTCATATAGTTGGAATCATACAGTGTGTTGCTTTTTCACATTGACTTCTTTTACTTAGTAATGTGCATTTGAGTTTCCTCCATGTCTTCTCATAATTTGACAGCTCATTTCTCTTTAGCACTGAATAAAGCTCCGTTGAATGGCTGAACTCCAATTTATCTGCTCACTGATGAAGGACATCTTAGTTGCTTCCAAATTTTTATGAAGCTGCTATAAACATTTGTGAGGTTTTTGTATGGACATGCTTTCAACTCATTTGGGTAAATAACAAGTGGTGTAATCGCTGGAACATATGGTAAGAGTATGTTTAATTTTATAATAAATTACTAATCTGCCTTTCAAATGTCTGTACCATTTTGCATTTGTCCCAGCAGTGAAGAGTTTCTGTTGCTCCACATTTTTACCAACATTTGGTATTGTTAATATTTTGTATTTTCAACATTTTAACAGCTGTATAGGGGTATCTTATTGTTGTTTCAATTTGCAACTCTCTAATGACATATGACATGGAGTATCTTTTCATGTGCTTATTTGCATTTTGTATATCTTCTTTGGCTAGGCGTCTGTTCAAATCTTTTGTCCACTTTTTTAGTTGTGTTGTTCATTTTCATATTGAATTTATGAGTTCCTTGTATATTTTGGATAACAATACTTTACCAAATACATTTTTGCAAATATTTTCCCTTAGTTTGTGGTTTATCTTCTCATTTTCTTGACAACGTCTTTAGCAGAGCAAGTTTTTAATTTTAATGAAGTCCAGCTTCTCAATTTTTTCTTTCATGATTTGTATCTTTGGTGTTGTATTAAAAAGTCATCAGTATACTCAAGTATATCTCGGCTTCCTCATATATTATCTTCCAGGAGTTTTGTAGTCTTGCATTTGACTTTTAGATCTTTGATCCATTTCACTTAATTTTTGTGGAGGGTGTGAGACCTGTGTCTAGATTTTATTTATTTTTATTTTTTGGCATATGGATGTCTAGTTATTTCAGCGCTATTTTTTGAAAAGACTGTCTTTACTGCACTGTGTTGTCATTGGTCTTTTGTCAAACATAAATCGACTATATTTACATGGGTTTAATTGCAGACTTTCTATTCTTTTTTTTTTTTATTTTATTTTTTATTTATTTTTTATTTTTTTTTTTATTATACTCTAAGTTTTAGTGTACATGTGCACATTGTGCAGGTTAGTTACATATGTATACATGTGCCATGCTGGTGCGCTGCACCCACTAACGTGTCATCTAGCATTAGGTATATCTCCCAATGCTATCCCTCCCCCCTCCCCCGACCCCACCACAGTCCCCAGAGTGTGATATTCCCCTTCCTGTGTCCAAGTGATCTCATTGTTCAATTCCCACCTGTGAGTGAGAATATGCGGTGTTTGGTTTTTTGTTCTTGCGATAGTTTACTGAGAATGATGGTTTCCAATTTCATCCATGTCCCTACAAAGGACATGAACTCATCATTTTTTATGGCTGCATAGTATTCCATGGTGTATATGTGCCACATTTTCTTAATCCAGTCTATCATTGTTGGACATTTGGGTTGGTTCCAAGTCTTTGCTATTGTGAATAGTGCCGCAATAAACATACGTGTGCATGTGTCTTTATAGCAGCATGATTTATAGTCCTTTGGGTATATACCCAGTAATGGGATGGCTGGGTCAAATGGTATTTCTAGTTCTAGATTCCTGAGGAATCGCCACACTGACTTCCACAATGGTTGAACTTTTCATTGAACTATTTGTCTATTCTTTCACCAGTACCATATTGTCTTGATTACTGTAGCTTTACAATAAGTCTTAAAGTTGGGTAGTGTTTATTCTCCTTCATATTGTGCTGGCTATTTGGAGTTTCTTGCCTCTCCATATAAACTTTAAAATAGTTTGTTGATATTCACAAAACCACTTACTAGGATTTTGACTGAGATTACATAGAATCTGTAGATAAGTTTGGAAGAACTGACATCTTGACAATATTGAAGCCTCCTATTCATGAAGAGAATATCTTTTCACTTTTTTAGTTCCTTGATTTTTTCCATCAGTTTTGTAATTACATAAATTTTATTAGATTTATACCTAAGTATACATTTACAATTAATCTATTTTGACATAACACCATACCTCTTCATAAATAATACGAGTAGTTTTTAGTAAAAAAAATTCCTAATTCCACCATTCCTTGTGTCAGAACTTAGCAATTCTTACTAGTCCTTGGATCACTCATTTCTCACTGTCATTCATTTTACTTACACATAAGCATACATAATTGTCACATTGTTGCTGTTACTATTTTGAACAAACTGTTATCTGTTAGATCAATTAAGAATAAGAAAATAAAGGTAATTATTTTACCTTCACGTCTTCCTTCTCTGATGATCTTCTTTTCTTTAGGTAGATCCACTTTACTGATTTATATTACATCCTTCTGTGTGAAGAACTTTTAAGATTTCTTGTAAGGCATGTCTACTGGTCACAAATTCCCTCAATTTTTGTTTGTCTAAGAAAGTTTTTATTTTCAAACAATAATTTTGCAGGGTGCAGATCTTGAGATTGGTGGCTTTCTACTCTCAATACTTTAAATATTTCAATCAATTCTCCTTCTGTTTGCATAGATTCTGAAGAAAAGTCAGATGTAATTTATAATTTTGCTACTCTATAGTTAGGGTGTACTCCCTAATCCCCTCCCCAGCCTTCTTTAAATTTTTTTTATTCTTTTATTTTCTGCAATTTGAATAAAATACACTTAGGCATATTTTTCTTTTTCTTTTTTGCATTAAACTACTTGGCGTTCTCTGAGTTTCTTGGATCTGTGGTTTGACATCTAGCATTAATGTAGGGAAATTCTTAGTCATTATTACTTCAAATATTGCTTCTGTTTCTCTCTTTCTTTTCCTTCTGGTATTCACTTTACATATGTGTTATACCACTTGTACTTGGCCCACAGTTCTTAGATATACTTTATTATTTATCCAGTCTTTTTTCTCCTTGCTTTTCCATTTTTGAAGTTTCCATTGACATTTCAAGCTTGGAGATTTCAGTCTACTCATAAGCCTATCAAAGGCATTCTTTATTTTTGTTACAATGTTTTGATCTCTAGCATTTAATTTGTATTCTTTTTTAGAATTCCCATATCTCAGCTGACATTGCACATCTCTTCTTGCATGTTGTCTATTTTGTCCAGTAAAGTCCTTAGCATATTAAAAATAACTGCTTTAAATTCCTAGACTGATAAGTCCAGCATTCCTGCCATGTCTGAATCTAGTTCTGATGTTTATCTATCTCTTTAAACTGTGGTTTTCACCTTTTAATATACTTTAATGTTTTTATTGATAGCAAGTTATGATGCACTGGGTAAAAGGTACTGTGGTAAATAGGCCTTCAGTAATGTTGTGGTAATGTAAAGGGGGGAATGGGAAGCATTCTATAGTCCTATAATTTGGTTTCAATTTTTTAATAAGCCTGTGCCTTTGGTCTATGAACTTTACATGTGGTTCTCAGCATCGTCCTCCACTCCCTGTTAGTGAGGCAGGATGACTGCAGAGAGCTGGAGTTGGGTATTTCCCTTCCGATCAGTTAGGCTCTTTAAAAAATCTAATAATTTAGGCTGAGATAAAAGAGTGTCTTGAGGGTGGATCTTGTTAGGAAGAAAATAGTGCTCTGGCGTATTTTAGTGTTTTTATTACCCCTCCTCCTGCAGGAAGGGAGTTTTTCTGATATTTACTGTGACAACATGAGCACCTTGAGGTAAAACTCACACAAGTTTGCAGGCCCCTGTATGAATGGGTCCCCCTGGAGTGTTTAAGTCTCAAACTTGTTCATACTGAGCCTCCAGCAATTTGTCAATTACAGTTTAGGATTTTCCGCCCTGGTACTGTTTCCCATGGAGGTTTCTGCTCCAGTAAGTTGTGATTCTGCTCCAGTAGGTCGTGATTCTCTGAATTCACTTGTTTGTCTCTGCAATTTTGATGGTAGTGGTTTGCTATATTACCTCACTTCTCTGATAGATGCAAGAAGAGTTGTCAGTTTTTCAGAGTGTTCAGCTTTTACTTGTCAGGACAGATTGGCAACTTCCAAGCTCTTTACATGCCAGACTAGAAACCAGAAGGTAAGGTTACAATTTTGTGTGTGTGTGTGTGTGTGTGTGTGTGTGTATGTGTGTGTGTGTTCATTTATATGTTTTATAATATAAATTTCTCCTTCCTTCTTTCCCATAATGTAATCTATATGAAACATTGATTAAAGTCATTATAATGTCTGTCACTTTATCTACTCATAGGCAGGAAATACATTTTTCTTCACTATTTCATGAAAAACCACTTTTTCCTGGTGATGGAGAGAATTAAACTTTGTTTACTGACATCCTAAATAATTTAAATTACTATACTTGACAAGCATTAGTTAATTTATACTCATACTGTGAAGAAAATATACGTTATTAAAGCATTTTTTAGTAACATAAAATGCTATAAGATTAGGTGCATTGTTCAGCATGGAATCTATGTATGCCATTTTATTTTAAAAAGGTTATATAATTCAGTGCTTTCCAGAGTTGAATTTAATAGTATCACAGAATTTTAGTAACAACCAGAAAATAGGACAGGACATATTTCAGTAAGTATGAATGAATATAAGAAATTATTTTAAATGATATTTAACAATTAAAATGCAGACTGAAGTAACCTAAATATTTTAATTATATAAAAGAGTATAATTAGAATTTGACATAATGCTTATTTGCTTATTCTTTTTTTTCCCCAATTATATCCATGATTTTAGGTTCCGAAGTCCATTTATAGGTATTCACAAGCAACAAATGCATAGGCAGTTATCTATGCTGAGAAAATTATAGTTGCTTTTAACTAAATTTTGTGTTGCCTTTGTTTTTCACAAACTTATGAAAAAAAGAACATTTTTCTTGTAAAGACATGTCAGCCAATAAATTATTTTTATCTAGATTAAAACTTTATAAAGTTGGTGTTTCTGAAAAGCCTCTGTTTAAAATGATTTTTCTATGTTTTTCTATAAAGAATCTCAGAGAAACTTGTACCACATAACTGTTTAAATTACAACAGAAAATTAAAAGAATATAAGAAGAAAACATTGATTAGAGCTCACTTAAGAAGTTCCTGACAGATCAATACTAAAATATAATGAGAGTTTAAAATGACTAATCTTTTTATTTTTACAAGAGCATTTAGAGTGTCATCTGAATCTGCTCCAGGCTAAATGAGGAGAACACATGGACACATAGAAGGGGAAAACACACTGGGGCCTATCAGAAGGTGGAGGATGGGAAGAGGGAGAGACTGCAGAAAACAAACTAACACCACTAGGCTTAGTACCTGGGTGATGACATCAGCTGTACAACCAACCCACATGACACAAGTTCACCTATATAATAAACTTGGAACATGTACCCCTGAACCGAAAACAAAGGTTAAAATAATAAAAATATATAAAAATAAAAGAAATGCTAAAAACATAAAAATTAAAAGAAAAACCTGCTCCAGAATAAAATGGTTGATGCTTATATATGGTTGACATAGTTATTTATTTAGCTAAATATATACTGCTCTAATAGATTTAAATAATAGTTGATTAAAACATAAGTAAATGTATTTTTATGAAGTAAACTTCTGAAAATGTCTGTGATTCCATACGTTAGACTAATAACCACATATCCATTTCCAAGATGTCTTTAGTGTAGCTTATAAATATATATGTAGCAGTTTTCACAGTCCTTACTTTATGAACCCTTTCTTATACAATGTCACAACCATATTTAAGTCACCTAAAAATGGTGACATTTGTTCTCTGTGGAGCTTTAAAATACAAGATGTCAATTTTTTATGTAAGGCACTAATATTTAGGCACAAAAGCAAAATAACGGTTGTTCACTTCTGCCTAATCCAGCTACATGAGGTAGTGTGTCTAAATTTTCTTGCAAAATTCTCATTAATGTGATTATGATAATTTTAAAATGTGATTTGAGAAAACAGGAAAGAGCGACATCTATTCACTAGAATATTTAACGACATGATCATCTTCTTAGCATGCCCAATAAGCATATAATGAAATTTGAAATTAATTTCAGGTTAACAAGATCCAGTGTAAAAATACTAGTTGTATTAGTTTTCCATTGCTTTCTAACAAATTTCACAAACGTGGAGGCTTACATGGCTTAAAACAACATCCATTTATTAGGATGAGTTCTGCGAACCAGATGTCTAAAGAAAAGTACAGCTGAGTTCTTTGATGACAGTCTTACAAGGCTAAAATCAAGTTGTCCACCAGATATTATTTATTTTTGAAGACTCAAAGGAATTATTTTTTCTCCAGCTCATTCAGATCATTGGCCAAATTCAGTTCCTTGCAGTTGTAGAATTGAGGTTTC
The DNA here is from genome assembly GCF_000001405.40 of Homo sapiens. Classification (NCBI taxonomy): domain Eukaryota; kingdom Metazoa; phylum Chordata; class Mammalia; order Primates; family Hominidae; genus Homo; species Homo sapiens. The sequence goes on along the minus strand of NC_000021.9, from coordinate 19,004,182 downwards.
CAGTTACTTGCAGGCTAGCAGCTGAGGGTCATTATTGAATTCTACAGACTGGTCCCATTCCTTCTCATGTGGCCCCTCCATCTTCAAAGCCAGCAATGCAGAATCTTCATCATGTAATCTCTCTTATGCTTTGAGGTTCTTCTCTAGGAAGAGCCTTTTGAAGGCTCACCTGAGAGTTCAGGTGTACCCAAAATAACCTCCCTTTCTTAAAGTCCCTATACCATATAACATAACCTAATGGCTGGTGTGACCAGCCCATTGTATTGTCAAATTCCAGTAATTACATAGGGACCATGCACCAGGAAGTGGACTCTTTGAGGCAATCATAGAATTATGTCTACAATACTGGTTGAGAGCAAATAAAATGGAGAATGATTATAATAAAATATTACACTAAAAATCATATTGTGAACACACACACAATCACTGAAAATAATTACATCAAGAAGTGCACAGTATGCCTATAGTCCCAGCTTCTTAGGAGATTGAGGCAGGAGGATCACTTGAGCCAAGAAGTTTGGGACCAGCACAGGAAACAGGGAGAATTGATCTCTAAAAAGATTAAATTAAAAATTTTAAAAATGGCCTGGAAACCAAAAAGAAAAAGTTCACAGTTCTTATCTGCAAATGACATTACATTTTTTGTTTTCTTATTTCATTATAATGATTTTATACTTTAACAGTATAAATTAAATAAGCATTACTTTATTAAAACCTTTCTTCCAACATTATTGCGGACATTTTTGGTCTTATCATATCATTGCACTTACACAGGTTGGCTTTTATTTAAGAAAAATAAAATATTCTTAATTCCATTAGTAGAGAAAAGCCCATTTGGGGAGTTTAATACATTAATGCAAACTATCCATATTTATATTTTTTTAAAAAGTATAGTTTCATTTTGATTTAATGAAAGAGAATACATTAACGTTATATAACTACAATGATAAAATTACATGTAATATTGACTTCTAAAGCATACATTTAAAGATTACATATAATACAAAAGAAAATATTCCTTCCCAAATGAACTTTTTAGTAAATCTTAATTTTCATATTTTGTTTTAGTGTATTTCTCTCTATTTACCTCTTGGTTACATCTATCAATCATTCTGATTTTTATGAAACCCAAGGTTGACTTCATTCTGCCACCCACATTGGGTGGCAACATTCTGTTGGCTTCCTCCACCTAACTATCAGATTGAATATGTTCAGGAAAGTAAACCTCATCGTCCACTTAACTATAGGGAAACTATTAGAAAGGTAGAAATGGGTTGAAATCATATTGCTATCTAAAGCCAAATACAAGTGACTTTTCTTTATACACTATAATTAATTATGTGTACTAGTGCCACTAAACAGATTTTAAACTGCATTTCTATAATAATATGTCATAATATATTTATTACAATTCAAAGATTGTTACTTTTTCTTTTCATTTTCACCCTATAATTTTTTTTCAGAATTCTCTACCATTACAAATAAACAAGCAAACAAACAAACCTCACTCAGTAATAAACTAGAAAAGCAAATAAGTCTTATATGTCATTAGTGAATAATATTATTTGAACTGTTTTGAGGAAGAATTTTTTCCTAAAAGCGTAAGCATCACAGGGCATGGATATCAAAAGATGCTTGCTTACAATAAAGATGGATAAAGAAGAAATTGTTAGTAAAGCCAAGGTACAGCTTTATTGATCATTTTATGAGGGATGAGAGACTATTCTATAAATAAAGGAATAATCAATTTTTCCCTTAGCAAGATAATTACTAGTCCTTGCTTGTTAAAATATAAAAACACTACAAAAAGGTAATTAATTGTTTTCATTACCTAAGATTGCTTCCTAAACACCTAGTTATTCCTAACCGAGGAGGAACCAAACAGGAGAAAAAAAATGGATAACATCCTTATGCATTAACAAGAGCGTTCTATAACAAAGTTTTTTTTCTTTAATGTGTATTTCTTATTTTCATTTTCAATTAACTGCTATTTTAAACACAGGGTCTTTACTTCAAAATAATATTTTTCATGAGACAAGAGAGGAAAAAATAAGAAGTGAGGCAATATACAATTCAAAAAAGGGCAACTGGAAAGAAACAATGGTGTTTGAGTATTTATTATTAAAACTAAACCTGAGGTTTTAACATTGAAGTATTTTATGTAAATAGGTAGACTGTTTAACTATATCAGATTTTACTAAACATATGCTTAAAGTTTTAATTCCCAAGACATGATACTTATTAGATATAACTAAATTTGTTATGTACAACAAATGTTATATATCTTTTTAAAACTTTGATTCCATCAGGTCTCAGTAATATCATATGAGTGAAAATGTCCGCCATAAAATATGTTCATAGAAAGCTTTCAAATAGTTAAAATGAATAACTACAAATCTGCTTTATATAAATTACATGCATGTACAAAATATAAACTATTATCTAATGTAAATAGACGACTGGTAAGCAGATTTATTCATGTATTTAGTAGTGAGATTTTATTTTGTTGAATTTGCTATTCTTTTATTATTTTATGGCTCATCTGATATGTCATTAGCACAATTTTTAATTGTCTTATCCTTTAAAATTTGTTTTAAATTTAAATCTGTTATGAAATATTTATGTCTACTTCATTTGCTAAATGGATGTCAACCTTACAGTAGTTCTAAATATTCAAGGTACAGATTGGATTTGATAATTGTAATATCTATGTTTCCAGCAAATGTTTCAGAAATTTCATTTGTGTATTTATAAAATGGCTTCTCAGATTATCTCAAATCAAATATTGGGACTTCAAATTCTGCTCTTGTAAATTAAACATTATTATTTTAATTTAAAAAGAAATATTTTTCTTTGTTCTCATTATTTAATTTAATTTGCAAACAATTATTCCACTGCATTATATTTATCTATGAATATAATTACTACCTTATTACTTTGAGTGTTTTGTTTTTATTTTAGTTATAGCAGTTAATAATAATTTTAAATCTGAAACATGTATTATAAATGAAAACCATGTTTCTTGTCTTACACATCTGTCCTCTGTCTTAGATCTGACAGGCTGAATGGCCATGCTTAGAAAATGGTTTGATATTCTTTTGTCTTACTCACTTCTTGTCTCTCTCTGCCTGCATCCTGCAAGCATGAAGACCTACTTGCACCCTGTAGCACCTTTTTAACTTCCTCTACTCCAAACCCATTATGACAGTGAATAAAACAGTTCTACCAATTTAATGATTCTCAAATATTTCTATTACTTATTCTCTACTTTCACCCAGAAACAACCTCTTGAGGTCCACTCTTGCAGATTCAAGTCAACTTCCAACTTCATATTTTGCCACTGCAGTATCTTTCATATGCTATTTTACTATTCTAAAAGATAACTTTAACACTGGTCTTCAGCCTATTAGTACAAGTATGCTTACAGAGCATGAGCTAGTGCCTTGGCCCTATTTCAAAATTATCATCATTTCTACTGCCGTCTAAGTTGATGAACAAATATTGTTCTGTTGGTAATAATCTTTGACATATTCATCCTCATCATTTCAAATTTTTAAGTAAGGAATTACATTGTGAACTCATTACTTAGGAAATTAAATATAGTATTATTTATTATACATGCAACTTTTCACACATTTTATAAGAGAGAGAAGCTTTTTATCTATGTGTATTATATTAATCAGTATAATTTTAGAAGCACTTAGGGAGTTTGCAGGGAAATCACTCTTCTGAATATTCAATACTCTTTGCTAGGTTTTATTAAGTTCACAACAAATTTTAAATTTCATAAGAGATTCCAATAATAAAATACACAAAATTATTATGGGTAGGAAAAGGGAAAAATAGTACTTTAAACTGAATACATGTAGCAACGGAGAACATCATCATTCATTGAAAATATTTAGATTCTAATATTTTTGTAACGGTAAAGAAGCACTGAGTTATGAGTCTGAAGAGATGATTTGTAATGCTGGTTGTTTTACTAATTAGGCCTGGTGCTGAGTAATTTATTTTGTCTGTTTCCAAGAAAATAGTATCTAAATTGAGGGTAAATTGGACAAGATAATCTCTCTTTTGTTCTAATATATCACACACACATACATGTGTGTGCACATGTGACGCACACACACTCCACACACATTCCAGAGAGGAACATCCTAGTTTTTAACACGTAGTCTATTGTATCCTTAAAAAGGCAAGGTACAGTCACAGAGTAGCTAAAGCAGACAGTTGCTTTCCTGATTGACTTCCAATGTGAGGTTTTGATTTTTGCCCTTTGCCTCAATCACAGTAAGAAACAGAATCAAGCGAGGAAACTGCATCTGTACTGTTGTAAATGTTAGGGCAGTGATTTAACTAATCATAAAGATCATAAAAACTCACCTAGAAAAGATGTTGCATTCTATAACATTCTAAAATTACAAAATTTAGCTTTTATATAAACAAGTATTAATAGCCATTTTCTAGTGTTAATATTGCTATGACACTTTGGGAAATTATTGTATGTAAAGGGATAAAAGTACAGAATAGGCACTGAGTGTTCACTGTTAAAATATTGTGTAAGTAATATTTAGAATTACTATGAGCCAGTAAAAATTAATTCCAAAAGATTTTTATATAGCTATTTTAGTTCTTTTATTTTAATGTATAATTAATAAATGTATTTTTATTCCTAAATAACTGTCATAATTTTTATATTTTTTGACCAATTATATCCCAATATATTTCATCCATTATAATAAATCCTTGCCAGTTAACTTAATTTAGAATATTTTTGTTTAAAGTTTCATTGAAAAGTTATATGCTTCCAGATTATTTTTACTTACTCGTATAATATGAAACAAAATTGTAAGAGAAGTTATACTTAAAATTACAATATAATTCAGGGAACAAGTGTAAAACCAGCTTATTCATTTACTTGTTTATTCACTTATTTATTTACAAAGTTCTTCCATAAAACTTACTTTCTAGAGAGATAACCAATCAATACAATTTTTACAAATAAATAAGTACATTTTATATGTAGCATTTTAGAAGACATGTTGTCTTAGTTGATCTGGGCTGAAATATAAAGTATCATAGAAATTTATTGCTCATAGGTGGAGACTGGCAAACACAAAATTCAGGTGCCAGCAAACACGGTTTCTAGTGAGAGCCCATTTCCTAATTCAAAGGTTGTGCTTTCTCTCGCTATGTCCTTACATGATAGAAAGGGTAAATGGGCCTATTGGGCCTGTTTATTTATTCATTCATTAATTCATTTATTCATTATGAGATATGGTCTCACTCTGTTGCCCCAGCTGGTTTACTCCTGGTCTCAAGCAATCCTTGCATATTAGCTTCCTGAGTAGTGGGGATTACAGGTCCACACTATGCCACTGTGCCCGCATGGGCCTATTTTATAAGGGCAATGATTCCATTCATGAGGGCTCTGCATTCATGACCTAATCATCTCCCAAAAGACCAACCTCCTAATATTATTGGCTTGGATATTAAGATTTCAAGATATAAATTATATGGGGACAAAAGCATTCTGACTATAGCATATACACTTTGGAACAATCAGAGCAGAGTAAAGAGTATCAAGAGTGCCAGCACCTAGGAAGTTATTATTTACACTTTGTTTTAAAAATGTAACTAAAATAACAAGTATTTTCTACAGAAATATCAGTTTTTGGGGAACAAATATTTTTATTGAGGTGTCATTTAATTTATTCCAGTTTTATTCACAATGTTATATACTGAGAAATCCAAGAAAATAGGTACAGAGAGCAAGAGGGTGAACGGAATGAAATAGTGTCTCAAAACCCCTTTCCAACACAGGAAAGCACTGATTAAATTAAATACAGCAATTCTTTATTTAACACCATTGATAGCTTCTTGGAAACTGAAACTTTGAAAGAAAAAATATGCAGCATGTCCTCAAAGGACATCTTTATCTTCAACTTCATTTTCTATAACACTCATGAAAAACAAGTAGTTATTTTATACGTTGTTTCACTTAAAGTCACAATGTCTAAGAACCTACTGACAATATTAAGTGAGGATTTATTTTCTATTATGTAGTTTGTAAATCACTAAAATGGAGAGGTGTAAAATAAGTTCATTATTTAGGTATGCATGTTTGATATTAGAGAACTAATTTGAAACAAAAGAATTTTTTGGTGAAAAATATTTTCCATGAGAATTATGTATGATTATTAGTTTTTTGATAGAATTGATCACCAAAAGTAAAAGTTTTAAATTTTATATTCTAATATATCTAGAATCCTTTAGCTAGCATATGATCAAATATATGCTTTTTAGTAAATATAACAATACTACACTGAATTATGGAGCCTAATAATAATACCAGGTAATGGGAGAAAAAATAAAGGAAAGAATAAAAAACAAAAACAATTCAGCAATGTCTTCATCTGTTTTGTATGACTGTAACAACACTCGAGATTGGGTAGTTTATAAACAATAGAATTTTATTTGGCTCATGGTTCTCGAGGCTGAGAAGTCCAAGAGCATGGCCCCAGCATCTGGTGGTGGCTTTCGTGCTGCATCATTCTATGGGGAAAGATAAAGGAGCAACAGAGTGAAAGGTCCAACTTTTATAACAAGCCTACTTATATGATAACTAATTCACTCTCATGATAACATTAATCTATTTGTAAGGGTAGAGCCCTCATACATTAATCACCTCTTATTAAGTCCTAGCTCCGAAGACTGTTACATTGAGGATTAAGTTTCCAATACATGAACTTTGGGGGACACATTTAAACCATAGTAAAAAATCTTACAAGAAATTTTAATTATTTAAATGTATTTACTTTCTTTTGGTATCTATTAAAGAGAAATAAATATGCAACACTTTATAATGCATGAAGCATTAACATTCTGGCCAAAGAACTTCAAATATCAAATTAATTGTTGCTCCAAAAGGCAGCACATTGAAAAAAGAAAAAAAAACTATCTTCCCGTAACTCTGAGGAAATAATGGTTGGCCTCCTCAGACATTTGTACCTAGCTTTGTTTAGAAATTGTGATGCTCTTACAAAAAAGATAGAACTCAGGATCATTAAAGGAAGATTTAATGGAAGTTGAAGTATCTTCTATAAATCAAGTGAGGCTTTTACAGAATCATAAGTCATATTAGTGAAGGCAGCTATAACATCAATATTTTGGTTGTCAACTTAAAAATGTTGAACAGATTACTATTGGAAAAAATTATTTATGGAGCTGTGTTAAACCAAGTGCTTTCTTTCAGAAGAACGGATGGAAGAATAACAAGTTATAATTTGGGAGTTGAGAGATAAAATTTTAGTTAATAAAAAGTATATATGTAAGTTACAATGATGAATTAATTATCAAAGCTTTCAATATTTTAAATATTAATTTTATAGGAAAATCACTTTGTCTCTGGAATAGTTTATGATACATTTGGCATTCAATAAATAAACATCATGAGTGAAAATTTCACTGTTCAAAAGCTGAATTCCTTAGAGTACCAATTAAATAAATACCATAAAACAGCCGTTCAGAATGATACTGGGGCTTATTCTTCAGCTCTATAGGAAAGATGACTAAAAAATTTTTAAAACTCATTGAAAACATAACGCTCTTCAGGGCTGAGATATTTGTGCAAAAGCATTCAATTTCATCTTAACAACTTTGTAAAAAAAGTGACAGTTTATGACTTATAATGGTTATTCTGACATCTTTAAGAAGATAGAATTTATATGTAAGACTTCCTATTAAACACACAATATAAATATACTTATTAACCAATAGTATGCCATATTCCTCTTCATTTAATCTATTATCTTGTTACACACAGACACACACATGTATATATGCACATATATAACTGTATATGTGTATATGTGTACATATGTATACAAAAGCTAAATGAATACATATACACACTCACTTGGTTTCTATTTTCATGTATGGAGAAATGTGATCTTTAAAATACAATAATTAAGAATATGAAATTTTTTAAATATATAAACTAGCAGAAAATTGCAAAAACACTTTTTACAATATTCAGTTTATATCAAGCTACTTTCATATCTATTTTAATTTTTTACAAAATATTTCATTGAAAATTTATTATAAACTAAACCATCAGAAAAGTCAAAGAGGTATTTTATTATGGGTATCTTGGTAATTTGTGTACGTTTTGCAGTTTGAATACAAACAAACTACATTTGCCCTTGTCTTAGTACACCAACATACATAACAAGTATGTTCAAATATATATGCAAACATTTTACCCACACTTAAGCTTTTGTATTTGGATTCTCAGAAAATCATTTTGTTACTTCAAAATCAGATAGCTTCTGGAAGAATAAATGATGCATTGTGATCTTCACAGGCAAATGTAAAACTAGAACCAAAGTGATATTAGATAAAATTTCTTGATGTAAAAATAGGTTATGTTTAAACATTATTTTCATGAAAAGTAACTAGATAATATGGTCACTATATTTTGTTTTGTTTTGTTTAATTATTAGAGCTTAATGCAGTGTTATTTCTTAATTCGAAGTAGTGAATGTGAGACAGCATTTCAACTATATACATTTATCCAAAGATATTTTGAAAAGTAAGAACTGTGCTTTCCCTTTTGTTTAGAAGAAATATATATTGATTTCAATGATCATCCCCAGAAGAAGCATATAGGAAGATTCAGAAGAGTTTCAATAGGTTTTTTTTAGCTCAAGCCTTGAAACTGATCCAACAGTCCCATACACAGCTCTTTTGGATAAACATAGAAATTGACTCCTCCAGTCTTAAAGCTTGAAACTTACATTTATTTTATCTGAGTTTCATCCTCAAGAAACGACCCCCTAGATCTCTCAAAAAGTATCAAGGTCTGAAACTCACGAGATCACTGCATCCAGACAATGAGATACTGGGATCCCACATTTTGTTTCCTTATCACACACTAGTTCTTGTTTTCTAACAAATTATTACACTTTTTCCGTGCTGTGTGAACCCCTAATTTTAGTCCTTCAAGGAGATAGATTTGAGACTGAACTCCCATCTCCTTGGCTGCAGCACCCCGTTAAAGCCTTCTTCCTTGGCAGTGATTTTTGTCTCAGTGATTGGCTTTCTATGCAGCAAGTGGCAGGACCTACACTGAACCCCTGGTGTTTCAGTAATACCATCACAGAAAATTTCTGCGTTAGAAACATGAATTGGTGTTTTCTTTTTTCCCCCTTCTTGGCACAAGCCTAGATATAATCTGCCACCAAGGCAACTTGCATTTAGAAGAGACAATGCACTTCAGACATAATAAGCTGCAGTGGTCACTTTTAATTTCTTGTACTATCTGATAAAATACTGTATATTCACCCGACAGACATAGCATATTTGTCTATTCTTTTTGCATGAATTAAGGTCAGGAGTTCAATACCAGCTTGGCTAACATGGGGAAACCCCTTGTCTACTAAAAATACAAAAAATTAACCAGGTGTGGTGGTGGAAACAGTAATCCCAGATACTAGGGAGGCTGAGGCAGGAGAATCACTTGAACCCGGGAGGCGTAGGTTGCAATGAGCTGAGATCATGCCACTGCACTCCAGCCTGGGCAACAAGAGCGAAATTCCATCTCAAAACAAAAACAAAAGCAAAACAAAACAAAACAAAAATTCCAGAGCTGAACAAAATCTCGACCAGCTGTGCAATTCTTTCTCCTCCTTCCTCCTCCTCCTCCCCCTTTTTTCTCCTTCCTTCCTTCCTTCTTTCCTTCCTTCCTTTCTTTCTTTTGTTCTTTCTTTCATTCTTTCTTTTTCTTTTTCACAGGGTCTTGCTCTGTCACTCAGGCTGGAGTGCAGGGGTGTGATCACGGGTCACTACAGCCTGGACTTCCCAGACTTAGGCAATCCTCCCACTTGTGCATCCCAATTAGCTAGGATCACAGGTGCACACCACCACATCTGGCAAGTTTTTATTTTTATTTTTTGTGGACAGGAAATCCCCCTATGTTGCCCAGGCTGGTCTCAAACTCCTGGTCTCAAGTAATCCTCCCAACGTGACCTCCCAAAATGCTGGGATTACAGGCTTGAGCCATCATGCCTGGCCCAATTATTTTTTTGTTATCCCACTAGTTGATTGTGTAGCTTCGGTATAAACACCTTTTTAAATGATTGGAAACCATTTAAATGTTGTGATTATAATATTATAATTGTGTAGCTTTCATATAAACACCCTTTTAAATGATTGAAAACCATTTAAATGTTATGATTATAACATTATAATATTGATATCTTAATAATGCATTTCAAAATGATATACCTACAGCACTCATCAACTTGTGAGATGTGAATGGTTTTATTACCATTTTACAGACATAAAATTGAAATTCCAAGGTTAAATAACTTGTCCGAGGTTCCACACCTTGCCAATTGTAGTACTATTTTGGGATTCAGAAATTAAGTACTACCTTGCCTATGTTTTTGTATCTCCTCATTCTCACAGCTTCTGTGGTTAAAGGCATTTTTCTTTCCAGTTAAGGAAGTTGCCTTTCAAGGTACTTCAATACACAATTATTGTTCAATGAAGGTCAAAATTTCTCCTTGTACTTGTAATCACTCATCATAATTAATTCAACATCAAAATACTATATTAATAATATAAAATTAATTAATAATTACAAATTAGCTCTATATTCATTAATATTAAGGCATTGATATTTATTTCATTTTTATTAAATCTTGATTATCTAATAGCTACTGAAACAACCTACTGCAATTCCAAGTATAGTTTTGCCCACCACAGTCACTTACCAGTTAGAACTTACTAGCTCCCCAAAACTTTACTAGTACCAATGAACTTTCTTGAAGAATAATATATAACATTTATCTTTTTATATAAGACCTCTGAATTTCTGTTTGTTCTTCAGACATACAAAAAACTACCTGGTCTACATGGATGGCCTGAATTGCAATTCTTGCTTCCTGAAATAAAACATTTTACATTTAGAGGTTCTTTTCTATATTTTATTTAACTTTGACTTTCTTGTGCCTTTATTAAAAAAAAACATTTAGTAATGCTTTTTTAAAAAAAAAAAAACAACTCATGTTATGTTCTGGGATACAACCGTAAACAAGATAGATGTGATTCCTCACCTAATGAATGTACATTCTTCTGATAGTGATAGAGCACAAAGAAACAAAGAAATACTGTTGCTGAAAATGCTAGTAAGTTCTCTGAAGCACATAACCGAGGCTCTGAATAGAGAACAATGAAGCCAGAGCAGGACACGGGATGCTTTGGATCACGACTGCTTTAGATCAGGAGAGCGTATCTAAAACGTGAAGGTTGGCCGGGGGTGGTGGCTTAAGCTTGTAATCCCAGCACTTTGGGAGGCCGAGGTGGGCAGATCCCCTGAGGTCAGGAGTTCAAGACCAGCCTGGCCAACATGGTGAAACCCTGTCTCTACTAAAAATACAAAAAATTTGGCCAGGTGTGGTGGTGGCCCCTGAAATCTCAGCTACTCAGGAGGCTGACGCAGGGGAATCACCTGAACCAGGGAGGCGGAGGTTGCAGTGAGCAGAGATCACGCCATCGCACTCCAGCCTGGAGGACAAGAGCGAGTCTCAGTCTCAAAATAAAATAAAATAATAAAAAATAATAAAAAAAAAAACAGCACGGAAGGAGCCAGGCATCGAGTTAGCTGTGGAAAAATATTCCAGGCAAAGAAACTAGTAAATACAAAGAAAGTCCTCTCAATCCTGATTACCCAGCTTTCAGTACATTTCTTTTCACTATGTGAGGGTCAAAGATTGAGACTTGATTCCAGGAAGAATTTGACCAGTATTCTGTTTTCATCTACAGCTTTTCTTCTTGTTAATATATTTTTATCAATGCAGTTCAAAATAATTAGTCTCTGTCAGTATAACCATTTCTTTTCCATATTTGGGCATAATGAATACATGCATGATGTAATATATGGAGCATATACAAAGGATAACCTATATATGTATGTTTGGAGAGGAACCATAGCAAAACGGTTAGGATGATGGATTCTAGTCCCATATGGATAGAGTAGACCCAGTTGGATCTATTTAGATAAATAGAATATATTTAACTGAAATATAATAAATATAGATTAATATTTTAAAAACTTTTAATTTTAACACATTTTATTAATTTGATTTAATATAATTAATCTAAATTAATAAAATTGTATTTAAAATTCTAATTGAATTTAATTTAAATGTGCTCAAGATACATTTTCCAAGTAGTAGAAATTTTTATTTTTATTTTTTGTATTTCTTTATTTTCATTTTTAAAATATTCTACAGTGTGACTAACTCTAACTATAGGCTAGGCCAAGGAAGATACTAAAAGAAAAGTAGTAACAGCTGAGAGGCAATGGAGGGACATAACAACCCTGAAAAATAAACAACAACAGAAAAATCTTTAGTCAATAGAAGAAAAAAAGCCCATGAGGTATAATGAGACCAGAGATTCACAGAGATGGAACCCAGACAATGTAAAAACCAAATATAGAAAGCCTGTCTGTCTAGTACACTTTTGTAGTCCATATGGGTGCCATAATAAAAGTAGTAGCTTGGAACCAGGAGGTCAAAAGCTGGGGGATACGTGGAATCCCAAATCCAAATGTCTGTTTTCTATGATTTCCACATGGGCTCCTAGGAAATAGATAATGTGACTGACTTGACACTTTGAAGAAGAATTTTCAATCCAAATGGTCTTAACAACTGCATCTCATAGTCATATCACTTTCTTTTGAAATCAGAGTAGTTATGTATTATCTTTCTATGATGAAGCTTAGTATTGTAGACACAAGAATTTTTTAATTCAATTGATTATTATACAACCCCATTTAATCTTTGTGGTTAAATTGACTGCCTTTCCAAAACAAATGCTTTATTTTTGCATGGTCTTTTATTTTTAAAGACATAACAGATTTAAAAACACAAATAAACTAGTTATATTTCCCTCTTTCAAATTAATTGCCCTTCTTGTCAATACTAATGAACATTTTTCTGACTTTCACATGTATCATTCTAAATTTATTTATTTGCCAATGAAAAGAAAATCATATTTTCATTCACCTTATTCGTTTATGATCATTACTACTCTACGTTGTTTACTCCTAGATAGACACATGAAACTTTATGCTAATCATGCTCTCCTTATTTTAACAAAACATTTGTTTTTTCTCATTTAGTTACTGAACAAATTCTAAGAGTGATACAACACTTTGGGTGTTCACAAATTCAAAATTGGTATCAGTGAATCAGAAGTTGTTAAAATGGCCCTGGCTCACAGAAAACTGTGGCTCGGCAAGAGAAAGGATGAGTGGGTAGGGCAGGAGAAAACCTTTGGTACTTCGTGGACTATCTGGCCAGCCATGGTATGGAGCCACAGTTGTGCTACAAGAAGTTACTAAAGGTAAAAGTTACCATGGAATTTAGTGATGGATCAAACTCCCACAGAGCTGGTTCACTGGGCACATAGGGAAATGCAAACTAATAAGAAAACAGTGAAATATTCAGCCTCTTTGTTATTGTTTTCTGCAATAGCTAAAATGAAGTTAAAAGAGAGTGCTGGGTCAAAACTTGATGCTATACCGAGCTCATATTTCAGCCAGTCTGAACTTCGGCAAAATTCCCCGAGGGCAAATTTATGCAGGGACAAAAGCAAGTACTTCTAGAACCTGTGGTTATCAAGAAAATAGTCAATGTGAGTAAAGGACAAAACCAAGAAACATTTTTTTAAGCAGACAGGGAGGGTCTCCAGGGTACAGGAATTTAATAACCTTGAGCAATCAGCCTGTTCTACAGCCTCCTGCTTTGCAGTCTTGCTTTTTCAAAACCCTGTGTGGAATGTGGTCACCTAGTTGGTTCAAACCGGCTCCTGACGGATTCCAGCAATTTATAGATTAACCCACATAAACTTTCCTCATTACCATGCTAAAATCTCCACCCTGGGAGGGACGGGGGCTTCATTATTATAACATCTGACCTACGTGCTGGCATAACGACTCACCACATCTTCGACACTGGGACCTCTTCTCTACATGCAATGATTCACCCTCCCTCCTCTCCATCACCCCATAAAACCCTTCTGTCACTTTCTCTCAGAGACACAGCGCCTTGAATTGAATAATACTTTCAGTGTCCTCCTTACCTGTTCCAAGTAATAAAATCCCTATTGATCAAAACCTGTCTTCTCATGGAGAGTCATCTGTTACTCACTAAGTGAAGGAACCCTGTTTTTTTTAGGGGAGTAGTATATTGAAACCAGAGGGTATAGCATGAAGAAATTGTTTTATTTTGTAGATATATTTCATCAGCTTCCTCAGGAACATTTACTAAAATTGATTGTGAGACAATCTAATTTAGGAGCAGTGCTTTTGGTTTTATAGGCTGCAGAGTTGAAAGAGCATGTTTGGGTTGATGCAAACCCCACTGCTCACCATGGAACAATCAAATATAGTTACACACAATCCAGACACATAGAGGTTATTCTTGAGGGAGTTACCAGCCTAGTGGACTGAAAAAAAAAAAGCCACTAGAACATCTGTTTACCAGGAGAAGGGAGATTTTTTGACTCCCTGTGTAAATGCCAAGTGGAACGCCTTAGATGAATTAGCTGATACGTTTCACATGCAAGCTATGTGGGACTGAATTTATGGTGACCAAAATATTCACCTGCTGAATACGCCTTTTATGGCAAATGCTGTGATTAAGGTTGCCCCTTTAACATGGATGCCTCATTTAATCTTGCTGTTGCAAAACAGAAGGATAGTTTAGGAAGCCTTGTCAGATTTGTTGTTTCAGATTTCCCTCATGGATCTTACAGATGCTGCTGAAAACATTAGAGTGATTAACAAGAGAGTGGAGAAAGGCCAAAGGGAAAGTCAAAGGATTTATTCTAGAAGGTGGAAATTATTAAACAATTATGAAGACATAAGGCGTATAAAGAAGAAATTAATAAAAGTAAAAAAAAAAACATGAGTTCATGTCCTTTGCAGGGACGTGGATGAAGGTGGAAACCATCATTCTCAGCAAACTAACACAGGAACAGAAAACCAATCACCGCATGTTCTCACTCATAAGTGGGAGGTGAACAATGAGAACACATGGACATAGGGAGGGGAACATCGCATTAGGAGAAATACCTAATGTAGATGACGGGTTGGTGGGTGCAGCAAACCACCATGGCACGTGTATACCTATGTAACAAACCTGCACGTTCTGCACATGTACTCCAGAACTTAAAGTATAATTAAAATAAATAAATAAAAAAAGTTGATCAGATATCAAAAAAAAGACATTTGTTCTATGGATGCTAGCATGCATTTGTACAAAAAATACATAACACATTTAAATTCCACATACAAATCTGAATAAACGTGGAGATCTGAACAACAACAACAAAAAAGACTAATTGAAAAAAAGGGAAAGTCATGGGACTGGAAATCTTTTTTTTTTTTTTTTTTTTTTTTTTTTTTTTTTTTTTTTTTTTTTGAGTCAGATTCTCGCTCTGCCGCCCAGGCTGGAGTGCAGTGGCGCGATCTCGGCTCACTGCAAGCTCCGCCTCCCGGGTTCACGCCATTCTCCTGCCTCAGCCTCCCAAGTAGCTGGGACAACAGGCGCCCGCCACCACGCCCGGCTAATTTTTTGTATTTTTTAAGTAGAGACGAGGTTTCACCTTGTTAGCCAGGATGGTCTCGATCTCCTGACCTCGTGATCCGCCCGCCTCGGTCTCCCAAAGTGCTGGGATTACAAGCGTGAGCCACCGTGCCCAGCCAGGACTGGAAATCTTTAGATTCTTATTTTAAAATGAGATAAGTGAAATAAAATTGTGTTTATGGTGTTAAAACAAAAGTCTTAACACAATACTATCAAAGGTTTGGTGGACCAAAGGGAGTCCCTGCTGGTTCCCCAACATTAAGGGGTTCCAAAAAGTTTTGCTATGTTTACCCCAGTTTGGAGAAATTTAAAGAGTCAGAAGGCAGAGATTATGATGAGAAATCCGATCTGAAATTGCCTGGGGCAATAGTCAGGCAAATTAATCAAGATAAAGATTGATAAACAGGCCAGTGTCCTTTATCTCAACCAAAGCCTTTTTCACAAGAATGGGTAAAATGGCCTGAGGATGAAGAAGTTCCTGGGACTAGAATACAAAAAAACGTAAGGGTTTATAGTAAAGCAGTATGTTTCCCTGACTCCTAGGCAGGACTCTCAACAGGGGTGCCTCCTCTACTCACACTCACACTCTGCCCTCAACAGCTCCCGGGTTTATAGTAAAGCAGTATGTTTCCCTGACTCCTAGGCAGGACTCTCAACAGGGGTGCCTCCTCTACTCACACTCTGCCCTCAACAGCTCCCCGGAGGAAGCTTGCTAGCAAACAAGTGCGGGAACCGGAGTAAACCAGCAGTGGAAGCAGCCAGCTGCCTCAGCACCAGCGGCATCAAACTCCATTAACTTGGACCTGCTGCATTCCACCCCTCCACTGAGGGAGCGCGCAGGCGAGTGGGTGCAGGAATTGGAGCTGTTGCTTTGGGGCACTGGCAGAAGCAAACGACATTCAGGCTCCACTGTAGCATCCAGGTGTGGGTGCCTGCAACTCCCGAAGCCCCAGAGGGCATGTTACAGTGCTGTTTTTGCTCTGCCATCTGCAGATGGCTTAAGTGTTAACAGTTCAGTGGGCCCTCTGCCTCTGTGTGAGGCGGCTGCCCTCCGCCAGCAAGGGCAAAGGGCCAATGTGACAGCTTTTTGTATCTCCACCTGTGGCTCCCGCGCTCTTGTCCAACAGCCAGGAAAAATGAGGTTGCACGAATAAATTGAAGGGTGGTGGATGTGGGGGATTTTATTGTGAATGAAAGTGGCTCTCGGCAGGAAGGGGAGCTGAGAAGGAGACAGGGTCGGTAGGTAACCCTCCCCGGAAGTCTGGCTGTCTCTGGCTGGATTCTTCTTCGGTGTTAAGCCATCAAGCTGCTTCTCTCCAATGTCCAACCATAGTCCTGTCTACTGGCTGAGTCTGGGGTTTGTATAGGTACAGGATGGTGTAGGGCGGGACCATGGGTGGTTTAGGAAAAGACAACATTCCAGCAGGAGAACAGGGATATAAATTCCCACTTTGGGCCAGTTTCAGACTTTTCGGCTTCGGGGTGGGTTTTTGCTGGGTTCCTGCCGTTTTTTGCCTAGAATTTCCCTGCCCCCGTCCCTATCAATAGGATTATGAAAGTTAGAATGTTAAACAGGCTTTAAATAGAGAAGTTGTATCTCACTTACCTAAATGCTTTATGGGAATGAATATTATGTCTGACTGGGGAATATTTTCCCTACCTAGCTAGTACCATAAAATAAAAGGCATGTAAATCCACCATTCAAGCTGTATTAATTGAATGTGCTAAATGGGAACCAGTAAGATTGCCCAAGCTCAGAGAGCGTAAAATAGAAACTGGAGTGCTGGCATAAACAAATTTTCTGTTTGATAGCCCTATGTGAAATGTAAACTGCATCTTATGTCAAAAGCCTGTGAGTTCCTCCTAGTGATGACTACCGGGATTTTGAACTAGAGAATTTCCACTTGAGGTAAATTTACTACCTTGCTATTATAAAATAAAACTCTAGATTAAGACCCCAGACTCTCCGGATGAGATGGACTCCCTGTGGCTAATAGAGATGCTCTAAATTTAGAAGTAGAACCAGACGCCATAGCACAGTCAGAAAGAGTGGCCAGGCGCTGTAGGTTCTCAGACAAACATTCTGTTTTACACCTCTGAGCTGAAACAGTTCCTGCAACCAGAGCCAAAATAAATTGCTACGAAGCTCCCCAACAACCATTTAAAAGAAAACATCTGACAAAGGCTTCTGGTTTTGGACTTGGAAACCACCCAATCAGAGTTGGACTGTTTCAACAACTTAGAACAGACCAAGTTGAATACTTCATTTCCATAATAAAACTGACTGAGAACCTAAACAGAAACTTCTTCATTTTAAGCCAAACTCTCTATTTGTTCTTAGGAGCATATTTTTCTTTTATACCACAGGCTGCATTTCCCCAATCTACAGGTAATTTTTTAAAGCAAGTAAAGCTCTCTCTTTTTCTTGCAGATCTCATGGTCTTTTCTTAACATCGCTGAAGCTACCCCTAGGACTGAAACATATTAAATAATGAAACTGGAAATTTTTATGATGTCTTGGGTAACGTCAGAGAAATGCTCTAATGAGGATAGAAATGCCCAAGGAGTTTTAGAGTAAAATAAAAAATGGTTTACACAGGAGCATGCTACCTGGGGAATGCAAAGGAGAGATGTTAAGTAACAGAAAGCTTCTTTTTCTCCAGAGCACATTTTAGAGCTTCATGAGGAGTTGCTGGATTCTATCATCACTTGCACAGTGTCCTATAAATACCTCTCACCTGACTGGCAAAGAACTGCTTAGTGTGTAGAAGACAGTTCCAAAGTAAATAAACAACATTCTGTTTCAAAGGATGACACATTGATGAAAAAAATAAAAAAGTAAAAACAAGTCAGCTTGGTGGGCTGAATAGCATGCTAAAGAATTGAACAGTGACAAATGCCCCTGTGTTTGGGTTTTTACTGACTCATGAGTGGTGGTCAATGGCTTATCAACACAGTCAGAGGGGAGGACAATGGAAACCCGGCCTATTAAATGTATGGGGCATGGCTTCATGGAACTTGGAGTGGCAGATTAGAGTAGGACATTTCCATGCCATCAGAGCAGCCTCCTTCCAGGTTTGGAAGGTAATTCAAATTGATAAGCAGATATCCTCATGTGCTTCTTTGAAGTGACTACCTAGATCCATGAAATAAGTGCATATGGGGGTACTACAGCAATGCAGAGATGGGCTGAATCTGGATGTGTTCTTCTTGTACCCTCTAAGGCTCCAAATGCCAGTAAGAACTGTTCTGTTCATCAGCAAGAGAGTCAGAGACTGCACATAACTGTGGAATAGATTTCCTAGCAGGGATATCCTGAACATAGCTGGCAAGTAAGACTAATACTGGCAAGTAACTTAGCTGGCAAGTAAGACTAATGCTGGTGTCCCTGGGAGGTTACCTATGGGTCTTGACAGGAACAGACATTGATTCTGCACTGGACTTTGCTTACCTACTGGTTGATGAAAATGCTCAGAGTGCCATTAAAAAAAAAAAAAGAGAGAGAACACTAAACGTTACATGAATTTGGATAGCCAGAGGCCAATGATCATTTCTTCAGACCAAGCAACATATGGTTCAGCCAATAATGTACAGTAATAGACAAAGTGATATTTTTCTCAGAGTAATGATTTGATAGACAGGTAAAATGGGCAATTAGAACATTGGTTGTCTGAAACAAGGGGCTGTAAAAGCATAAAGGGCCGGTTTACACGCCTTCACAAGTACGTATTCAGACTCAACATGAGTTGATAAGGGGAAGAGGGAGTAGGGAAGAGGTGAGAAGAATGCTGGTATAACTATGCAATTCCTGCCAAAGGAAGAGTATGATGATATAATGATTGTACTTTTTCTTTCTTTCCCATATTACCTCACCATGGCATTGCAGTAGAGAAAGAGTTTAATTCACTTAAGTCCTGGTATATGTCCAAGAACTGGAGTTATCACTCAAATTATTTTCTCAGACTGCTTGGAAGTTAGGGTTTTATGGACAGTTTGGTGGGCATGGGGCTAGGGAATGTGTACTGCTGATTGATTGGGGATGAAATCACAGGGGTATGGAAAATGGTCCTTGTGTCCTGGGTCCACTTCTGGTTGGGACCACAGGATCAGTTGAGTCATGAGTCACAAGTCATGCTGAGGTTAGCCTGAAAATCATCTCAAATAAACTCATGTTAGGTTCCTCAATAGTGATGTTATCTATAGGAACAAATGGGAAAGGCACACATCTTTGACCTCTGGCCACATACCCCATGAAAGGTAATAAATTACAAAATCTATGCCCATCTTTGACCTCTGGCCACGTAACTCCTGAGCAGAAAAAGTGTGCAGAAACTATGTCTTGGTAGAGTTCAAACCACTCCCATAATCCCATTCTTGTGGCCTTTCATTAATCTTACAAAGGCCGTTTCAGTCCCCAAACAAGGAGAGGATCAGCTATAGAGATGGATTATTATCATCCTTGCTTTCAAATTAAACTATAAAGTAAATTCCTCCCAAAGATAAATTTGCCTATGCTCAAGAGTGGCCAACAACAGCTTGGAGGTTGGAAGCAAGATGGAGTTAACTATGCGAAAGGAAAATAAATCTCAGGGCCCTAAAATCACTAAGCTAAAGGGAAAAGTCAAGCTGGGAACTGTTTAAGGCAAATCTGCCTCCCATTCTATTCAAAGTCACCCCTCTGCTCACTGAGATGAATGCATATCTGATTTGGAGAGGCTAATCTGAAACTCAAAAGAACGCAATCATTTGTCTCTTATATACCAATGACTTGGGAGTCTCCTCCCCGATTTGCGTTGTTCCGCCTTTGCTTCAAGTTGTCCCACCTTTCCGGACCTAACCAATGTTCATCTAACATATGTTGATTGACGTCTCCCGTCTCCCTAAAATGTGTGAAACCAAGCCATCCTCTGACCACCTTGGTCACATGTCGTCAGGAGCTCCTGAGGCTGTGTCTCAGGTGTACGTCCTCAACCTTGGCAAAATAAACTTTCTAAATTAACTGAGAACTGTCTCAGATGTTCAGGCTTCACAACTATGTCAGATTTTGTACTGTAATGAATTTGCAAAGGCAGTTTCAATTGCTGAGTAAGTGTAACAGTTTAAGAAAGTTTAAGACTAATTTCCAGAGTGATTGAACCATTTTACAATCTGGCCAGCCATGTATGAAGCATGCAGTTTTTCCACATCCTCAACAACAATTGCTACCTTTTATATGGGTACTAATTTCATTCATGAGGGCAGAATCCTTATGCCTTAATGACTTCCCAAAGGCCACATTTTTAATAATGTTATATCAGAGTTAAAACTTCAACAGGAATTTTGGGGGGAACACCATTATTTGAATCATAGAACTATCCCTACATCTATTTTGATGAAGTGTTTGTTTAAATCCTTTGTCTGATTTCTAATTGGATTGTTTTCTGATAATAGACAAAGGGGACATAAGTTTGTTTGCCATCAGAGATTTCGTGTCTGCTTCAAGGAATAGATATTCTGGATTATTATAATGAAGACTGAATCTCTTAAGATAAAACATTGTTATAAGAGAAAAAAATTCAACCTCACTGGCTTCACATAGTAGGATCTGTTCTTTTAATTTATTTAAAATGAGTGTTTCTGATCAACGTGTAACTTTCCTGTAAGCTATGATGTAATGACCTAGGCACCTTTGAACTTAGGATTTTGCAAATTTCTATAGATACCCTCCAAACTCGGCATGTTTTCCTGCATTAATTGTATAGAAAGGAGAAAACATGGAGAACAATTTACAGAAATGGTAATGGTCTAGGCCTGAAGATGACATACACCCTCTGCACATACCCCACTGGCAAAAACTGTCACATGGCCAACTACAAAAGAACTTAAAGATGTAGTCCAGATCTGTGTCCAAGAAAAAAATGTTTTGTGAACTCAAAGAAACCTCTGCCACACTCCCTCTTTTCTAATTATTTATGCCAACCTTCTTCTCATACGTAGAGCCATTCAGCAATTATCACTAACACAGAGGACCCAACATCTTACCAAGCAGAGTCTATTATCCTAGGTAATCCTCAGTTCTCTCCATTAAGATGTAATATTCATGAACCATTGTCCTTTGAAGTCTGTCAAGTTTTATCTTCTCTCAATAAATATACAAAACTAATTTGAGGACAGGATACCTATCCCCAAAGAATGGGAAGAGAAGAAGGCATATAGTAATCAGTGATTCAGAGAAATCATAATATCCTGACAAGTCAACATGGAAAGTTTTCTCAGCCCTGCAAGTGGACAAAGTCCTGTAATTAACCCTATTATTACTCTCTGGGAAATACTACGTGGTCCCTTGTTTTCAGACACCCCTGGACAGTTTCCTCTTTGGCTAGTAATTTCATATTTATACATGTGTTTAGAGTTGCAGCGATGCCCCATTTGGATAGTACAACATTCACATCCTCTTTTATGTTTTGTGGCAAATTTAGAAGTAAAAAGAGATATTTTAAGCCTTAAAGAGTGAAATGTTTATTATCTTGGGTACATTGTTTTGATGGGAATGTTATTCCCTATAAATTTGCCCTTCTTCTGATCTGTATTATTTTATTTAATTTAATGTGCCAATAACTATACCTAAAGTTCTTCCTAGCATTTATTGCATCCTTAGAATAAAAAATATCATCTGCTTTAAGACACTATTATTTTATGTACTACTAAGGAAAAAATGCATGACTTATGCTTTCTTATAACTTATTTTATTTTATGTTTCTTGAAAGAATTATGTTTGACTTATTTAGATACAAATTTACATAAAACATAATACTTGTGCATAATAAAAAGAATATATGAGTAAAGTAAATTGGTTAAATTATTCCTGAGACTAATTCAAAATTAGAAACTGACTCTTCTGAATTTCAAGTCAATTTTTTATCTCCATGTTCTTTCATGCAATATTGGGATCTGCGTCATCAAAAGTGTCGGTGACATAGCATGTTTTAAGAATGTTCAAATCATGTCTTCTGCAAATTCAGGCCACAGAACCGAATCTGCAAGTTTATATGTGTATAAATGGGTAGCAATAGCCATTTCACTGTTGCCATATGGCCAGTAGAAATTAATAGGTGCATTCTAATTCCAGAAATAATAAAATGAGTGAATCTGAATTTTGCCATTGGTGAAAATGGAAATCCTCCTCCATTTTATTACTTTTGTTTTCCCATGTTCCTTTTTTTTGAAGAGAAGATTTTCTGTGTTTTACTGAAACCAGAAGATCAGGTAAATCTCCGTAGATCTGGGATTCTCTTTTTCTTGCTATAGCTTTCTAATAAAAATAAATAAATAAACACCAACACACACATTGCACATCAACCCCTTTCATCCACCTGCGCACCTGCTCCAGAGCTACAGGCTCAGTAGTTATGTGGCATTTTGCTGCTGCATAATAAGTGTTTTCACGTTTTGTTTTTTTTTTTGGACAGAGTCTTACTCTGTTGCCAGACTGGAGTGCAGTGGCAAAATCCCAGCTCACTGCAACCTCCGCCTCCCAGGTTCAAGCGATTCTCCTGCCTCAGTCTCCTGAGTAGCTGAGATTACAGGCATGTGCCACCACACCTGGCTAATTTTTGTATTTTTAGTACAGATGGGATTTCACCATGTTGGCCAGGATGGTCTCGATCTCTTGACCTTGTGATCCACCCTCCTTGACCTCCCAAAGTGCTGGAATTACAGGTGTGAGCCACCACGCCTGGCCGGTTTTTCCCATTTTTAGCATCTAATATCAATTTGCACTCACTTACTAGTTGGATGGGTTATTTATGTTCTTATCATTTAGGTATGCACCTGCCCACTTTTAATGGCAGGATCTTACTTCAAGGAACATGTTTCTAACTTAGTTAAGGATTAACATACACTAGCTGCCACTCAGTGGTTTTAGGCTGATTTCTACAAGTCTTCTGCAAGTGATGATTTGGGGCCATTTTGGGTCTTCATCTTTACCATTCATCTTTCAAATACATCATTTGTTAATGCATTAACATGGTAAAATAAAGATATTAGCAATCAGATGAGAAATATTTCAAAGATAGAAGCCTCGAAAAAGTGTTCTCTTTATTCACTGAACTAGAACTCAAACATAAAGCCAGCCACATTTAACTGCATAGAAGGCTAGAAAATATAGTGTAAATACATGTTGAAAATAAAGAAGAAATGTGTTTGACACATAGTACTATCTAACCTAAAAATCAACTGACATTAGGATACCTAGAAAAAATAAACTACCAAAAGAATAAAAAGAAAGTTCTTTAGCCACACATGGCTCTGGTATTTTGCTCATTTCTACTGAAAATAAGTAGGAAGTTTTTAATTAAAAATTATTTGTATTGAAAGTTATACATTATAATTAAGAAACAATGTAACTCTCAGGTCAAATTTTGGATTTTTCTAATTTTATAAAATCATTTTATATTCATAAAATAGAACAGTATAGATATATTTATCATCTGGCATCCTTAGATAGAAAATAATTAGACAATGAGTTTAGAAATATAACTGTACCACCTAGTAACATATACCATTTAATTTTTATGATGTTAAAACCTGAACTTTAGCTTTCTTAGCTTTCTGAACTACTTTTTCTTTGGCAGTAAGATCCCTTTAATAAGCATGGTCTTTTACAATATTTTGGAGCAGACTTCAATTCCAGTCCGGTTCAGCACATAACTATAAGAATAGGAAAGCTGGAGTCCCACTTATTTGAAATGCCTCTTTTTCCCCAAATGGCTTTCTCTGAAGTTCTTAAGAACTTGCAAACCTCTGCAAAACAGTAATGTATAATATGGTTCCAGAGAATTTGGGGCCCCACCTGAGTACAGAAAAAGAGAGAAAGCTTGGAACATGGCAAGCCTACAGGAACACCATATTTTATTTTATAGATGCTGTTTTTAGTAGTAACAATGACAGCAATGTAACAATAATGAAAATAATGTTTTCATTACTTTTCCCATACCATTGAAACTCTAACCGTTTTGAAGGATTTTGGGGGGCAATAACTTTAATGTTACATTGAATAAAACATACATAACAAAACACCCATAGATACATAATTTTCACTGGGAAAATTTACACTATATAGTATAAATATGTGGATTTAAATGTATATGTTTCTTCTATAAAAAAGTGTCATTTATTTGCCCCTTTAACTATTATCCATTCTTATAAATTCCTTCTATGAATAATGGTTAACATATTAGGAGGAAGTATATAATGCAACTTATTACAACAATTAGTACTAAAAAGTCTTTAGCAAATGTATGTTTTCTGTTTAAACATTTAGTTTTGGTCAGTGAATAGCCTTTTGCTAGCCACTACTGGAAATAAACATTATGCCATTATGAGGTAACCAATATATTTTCAGGATTATGGAATATAATACTGGCTTAAATTCATACTTTAATTGTTATACCTTAAATTTATACTTTAATTATTTTATCAAATGACATGAATGTCTCTTATTCACGACTATTAGAATTCCAAAAATCAGTGATGTTAAGACAACTCTAAGTCTCATTTTGCATATATTATCATTTTTTTTCAAAAAAGTTAAATTAGAATATGGTTCGACTTATAATAATATTTTGGCATCAGTGTGTTCTTGGCTAGAAAAAGATAAAAGTAGGTTACAGAACAAAGTGATATCAAAATATACCTAAAAATAATTTACTGGAATGCAAACATATTTCTTATACTGTCAGGAATACGTTTTTCCTCCCACCCTGATTCCCCAATCACTTCTTCAGAAACGTCTGACGTTTTCTTTGACAAGAACATAGGAACTTAGTGAATACATTTTGTTTTGGGAATAGAAGTAACTAGTCAAAAGAGGGTAGTTATTAAAAAGATTAATTTTGTAGAGGAGAAAATAAAATATTAAGTAACTAATTGTACTGTCCAACCACAGGAGCTTAACAAAAATAAATAAAACAGTTAACAAATTTCTTAAAAGGAATGATGAGTTGATTTTTCTAGTCTTTTCTCATTCTGCTCACCATTGAGTCATGGGATTAATGTAAATGGCAACAGAGTACATCAATTAAGACACAACTATTCAGAGAGGTAATAAAACATAAGTGGCAAGAGTACATGCCCTAGATGCCAACATTGAACTCATTGAAATCTTAGAATAACCTCAACATTCTAAGTTTTCTAATGTAAAACAATGTGTTTTCATAGGTTTGTCATGAAAATAAAATAAAAATGGAACTTAGGTCTGTGCCTGCCAAATGACAGTTAACACATGGTCACTACAGTAAACAAACACAATCCCAAAAATCACATCCCCATGCCTTGAGAAACAGACCTTCACGATTCATTCACGTGAAATACATTGCGAACCATTTAGAATTCCGTGAGTCTACAATTATAGCTTTGATTATAGAACAATAAAATCACTTTGGTGCAGTGAAATAGCTCCTAAAACTATTTTGATGTTGAATCATCAGTAAAAATCGATTCAGACAAAACTTCATCATGAATATGTTTACATCTGTCCTACATAATGTTATCAAATTTTGAATATTAATGGGAGAAATCTTCAATAGTATTGAAATATAGGATTGACCCTCTAATTTTTAGGATCTATTATTGCACAAATGGTAAGATACTGAGTAAATAGCAGCTTAGTAACATATTTGTAGTCTCACCTAAAATTCTTATTTAGAACATTTTGAAACATGCATATCAGTCATTCTCATGATGATTGTGCTGTTTGTAACCATGATTATAATTACAAACATAATAATTTAAAAACTTATCAAAGACCAAGTACTTTGCTAATTGCTTACATATTTCCAGGTGTATGTATTATTATTCATGTGTGAATAACTTAATAAATTATTCAATTTTATTATTAATTATTGAATTTATTACAATGATATGATTTCACTATTGCTATTGGCACTTTACACATGTAGACACAGAAGTATTTTCACCAGTTTCATAGCACTATTAAGTGACAGAGGATTAAATGCCACATCTATTGGAATTCAAAGCTGTTATTATTATTAGAGTTCAAAGCTGTTATTATTATTATTTTTTAGTCAGGGTCTCCCTCTGTCACCCAGGCTGGAGTGCAGTGGTGTGATCACAGCTCACAGCAACCTTGAGCTCCTGGGCTCAAGCATCCTCCTACTTTGGACTTCCAAGTAGCTGGGACTACAGGCATGTGCCACCACACCCAGTTAATTTTTGTATTTTTTGTAGAGACTATGTTGCCCAGGCTGGTTTAGAACTCTTGGGCTCAAGTGATCCACCTGCCTCTCAGCCCCCCATAGTGCTGAGATTACACGTGTGAGCCACTGGGCATGGCCCAAAACTGTTTTATATGAAAGTACGATTACCTGCTTGGATGGTTCTAGTCAAGGTGATGAAAGTGAAGATAACCTCTTATTCTTCTATTTTTAAAAAGAAGCTTATGTAAATAAAGAAACAGGTTGTATATGTAGAGTATATATCTTGCTATTAATATAACAGACAATAAAATTATAACTAAAAGTAATTTGAGCCATTTTTTAAAAAACAGACCCCTGTCACAACCGAGTTCTCCTATGCCTAGAAATGACCTACAAGAATGGACAGATCAGCCCAGAGAATCTGGAATTCACACTTCCTGTGCACTCGTCAATTGCTGCTCATGTGAATTTTTCATACATCAGTCAATTTCGGCTTCATTTTATAACATTATTAGTTATTATTTGTTGATTGCCATGTGCAATGGATATATTGTGATTATTATCTTAATATACATTTTGTAGAATTTGACATTGTAGATTACCTTTCCTTTTGGAAATTCTTCTCCAAAGTGATTTACAGAATATTTCTTGCTTTACTTAGGATAGACTAAGTTTCTTTAATGTAGAAATCAAAAAAGTAATAGGTTTATAAAAGATAAACATTTCTCTCCCTCATGTAAGTTCAGAGGTAGTCAATGTTCCAGGGTCAGCTTTATGAAGTTGTCCATAAAGCTAGATTTCTCCTTATTTATTATCCTACCATTTCCTTGCTGTTGTCTTCATTCAGGTGATCAAATCTGGATCACCTCTCTGTGTTCATGTTCCAGCCTGCGAGAAGGTGAAGAAAAGCCTCTTTGCAATAACATATTCTATCCCTCTACTGTTGACCAAAATACAGTCACATGGTCACATTGTCCTTTGAGGCAATTCAAAAAATACAGTATCCCGAAAGGTGGTCACAAGTCCATCTAAAATTCACAGAGTTTCACTGGCAAAAATGAATGGATATTGGGCTAAAACTAGCAGTCTCTGCTACACTCATGTTTTCATCTTTTCTTCTTAGAACTTTATGATTTGAGCGACTTTTGAAATTTTGTTTTTCTTTACTCATTCACCATAGAAGACTTTGTTTGTCCTCCTAATTCTCATTCCTTGTTTTTTTCCAACCCTTTGTGGTGTGTCTACTCCATATTTTCTGGAGGAAGTGCTAGGAATGACATTTCTTAGCCTTCATTACTGCTTGGTTTCTTTAATATTATACCATACATTCATACATGCATGGGGTTTGAAAAGTGACATTAATTAAACAAGCTTAGTTGGAGACTATGATTCTTCTACTTCCAAGGCTTCTCTTTTTTCTTCAATTTTATTTTAAGTTCAGGGATACATGTACAGGATGTGCAGATTTGTTACATAGGTAAATGTGTGCCATGTTGGTTTGCTGCACAAATTATCCCATCGCCTAGGTATTAAGCCCAGAGTCCATTAGCTATTCTCCCTGATGCTCTTCCTTCCCCCACGCCTCCCCTTCAACGAGACCCACTGTGTGTTGTTCTCCTCTCTGTGTCCAAGCATTCTCATCATTCAGCTCCCACTTATAAGTGAGAACATGCGGTGTTTGGTTTTCTGTTCCTGCATTAGTTTGCTGAAGATAATGGCCTACAACTCCATCCATGTTCCCGCAAAGGACATGATCTTATTCCTTTTAATGGCTGCATTATGTTCCATGGTGTATTTATACCGCACTTTGGGCACTTAGGTTGATTCTGTATCTTTTGTATTGTGAATAGTGCTGCAATAAGTATACATGTGCATGCATCTTTATAATATAAATATAATATAATACTACACTTTATGTTCCTTTGGGTATACACCCAGTTATGGCATTACTGCATCAAATGATATTTCTGTTCTAGGTCTAGGAGGAATTGCCACACTGTCTAACACAACGGTTGCACTAATTTATATTCCCACCAACAGTGTAAAAGTGTTCCTATTTCTCCACAGCCTCACCTGCATCTGTTGTTTCTTGACTTTTTAATACTCACCATTCGGACTGGTGTGAGATGGTACCTCACTGTGGTTTTGATTTGCATTTCTCTAATGATCAGTGATGTTAAGCTTTTTATATATGTTCATTAGCCACATGTATGTCTTCTTTTGAGAAGTGTCTGTTCATGTCCTTTGCCCACTTTTTAATGAGTTTTTTTTCTTTAAATTTGCTTAAGTTCCTTGTAGACTCTGGATATTAGATCTTTGTCAGATGGATAGATTGCAAAAAATTTTCTCCCACTCTGCAGGATGTCATTCACTCTGATGATAGTTTCTTATGCTGTGCAGAAGTTCTTTAGTTTCATTAGATCTCATTTATCTATTTTTGCTTTCGCTGCAATTGCTTTTACATTTTCATAATGAAATTTTTGCCCATGCCTATGTCCTGAATGGTATTGCCCAGATTTTCTTCTAGGGTTTTCCTAGTTTTAGGTATTACATTTAAGTCTTTAATCCATCTTGAGTTAATTTTTGTCTATGCTATGAAGGGGTCCAATTTCAATTTTCTGCATATGACTAACCAGTTGTCCCAACATCATTTATTAAATAGGGAATCCATTCCCCATAGCTTGTTTTGGCCAGGTCTGTCAAAGATCAGATGGTTTTAGGTGTGCAGCCTTATTTCTGAATTCTCTATAGTGTTCCATTGGTTTATATGTCTGTTTTTGTACCAGTATCATGCTGTTTTGGTTACTGCAGCCTTGTAGTACTGTTTGAAGTTGGGCAGCATGATGCCTCTAGCTTTGTTCTTTTTGCTTAGGATTTTCTTTGCTATGTGGGCTCTTTTTTGATTCCACATGAATTTTAAAATACTCTTTCTAATTCTGTGAAGAATGTCAATGGCAACTTAATGAGAATAGCATTGAATCTATAAATTGCTTTGGACTGTATGGCCATGTTCACAATATTTATTCTTCCTATCCATGAGCATGTAATGTTTCTCATTTGTTTCTATTTTCTCTGATTTCTTTAAGCAGTGGTTTGTAGATCTCATTGAAGAGGTCCTTCACTTTTGTTGTTAGCTGTATTTGTAGGTATTTATTCTTTTTGCAACAATTGTGAATGGGAGTTCATTCATGATTTGTTTTTTGCACATTGATTTTCTAACCTGAGACTTTGCTAAAGCTGCTTATCAGTTGAAGAAGCTTTAGGGCTGAGACTTTGAAATTTTCTAGATATAGGATCATGTTGTCTGCAAACAAAGATAATTTGACTTCCTCTCTTTCTATCTGAATACGCTTTATTTCTTTCTTTTGCCTGATTACCCCATCCAGAATTTCCAATTCTATGTTGAATAAGAGTGGTGGGAGAAGTCATCCTTGTCTTGTGCTGCTTTTCAAGGGAAATGCTTCCAGCTTTTGCCATTCAGTATGATATTGCCTGTGGGTTTGTCATATATGGCTCTTATTATTTTAAGTTATGTATCTTTAATACCTAGTTTATTGAGAGTTTTTAACATGAAGGGATGTTGAATTTTCTCCAAGGCTTTTTCTGCATCTATTGAGACAATCATGTGGGCTTTGTCTTTAAAGTCTGATTGTCAGAAACTAGGATTGCAAACCCTGCTTTTCTTCTGTTTTCTATTTGCTTGGTAAATTTTCGCTATCCCTCCATTTTGAGCCTATGTGTGTCTTTGCATGTGAGATGGGTCTCCTAAAGACAGCACACCAATGGATCTTGACTCTTTATCCAGCTTGCCATTTGTGTCTTTTAATTGGGGCATTTACCCACTTACATTTAAGGGTAATGTTGATCTGTGTGATTTGATCCTGTCATCATGATGCTAGCTGGTTATATGGATGCTTCATAGTTTCACTGATCTGTGTACTTCAGTGTGCTTTTTTAGTGGCTCGTAATGGTTTATCCTTTCCATATTTAGTCCTTCCTTCAGAGCTCTTGCAAGGCAGGCCTGGTGGTGATGAATTCCCTCAGGATTTGCTTGTCTGAAAAGGATATTATTTCTCTCTTGCTTATGAAGCTCGGTTTGGCTGGATATGAAATTCTGGATTGGAAATTCTTTTCTTTAAGAATGTCGAATATTGGCCCCCAATCTTTTCTGGCTTGCAGGGTTTCTGCTGAGAGGTCTGCTGTGAGTCTGATGGGCTTCCCTTTGTAGGTGACCTGGTCTTTCTCTCTGGCTGCCCTTAATGTTTTTTTTGTTTTTGTTTTTTCTGTCATTTTGACTTTGGAGAATCTAATAATTGTGTGTCTTGGGGTTGATGTTTTTGTGGAGTATCTTACTGGGGGTTCTCAGCAGTTTCTGAATTTGAATGTTGGCCAGTCTTGCTAGGTTGGGGAAGTTCTCCTGGATGGTATCCTGAAGTATATTTTCCAATTGGTTCCATTCTCCCCATCTCTTTCAGGTACCCCAATCAGTCGTAGGTTTGGTCTCTTTACATAGTCCCATATTTCTTGGAAGTTTTGTTCATTCCTTTTCATTCTTTTTTCTCTATTTTTGTCTGCCAGTCTTATTTCAGAAAGATAGTCTTCAAACTCAGTTTCTTTCTTCCACTTGGTTTATTCTGCTATTGATACTTGTGATTGCATTGTGAAGTTCTTTTGTTGTGTTTTTTCAGCTCTAATAGCTCAGCTGGGTTTCTCTCTAAACTGGCTATTTTGGCTATCAGTTCCCCTATTGTTTATCATGATTTTTAGCTTCTTTTCATTGGGTTACAACATGTTCCTTTAGCTCAGCAAAGTTCATTATTACTCATATTATGGAGCCTACTTTTGTCAATTCAGCCATTTCAGCCTCAGCTTGGTTTTATGCCCTTGCTGGAGAGGTGTTGCAGTCATTTGGGGGAGCTCTTCGAGTTTTCTACATTGCTGCTTTTTGAGTTTTCTGCATCATTGCCTTATGAGTTTTCTGCATTGTTGCATTGATCCTTTCTCATCTTTGTGGGCTTATCTGCCTTCATTCTTTGAGGTTGCTGACCTCTGAATGGGGTTTTTGTGGGGTCCTTTTTGTTGTTGTTGCTGTTTTCTATTTGTTTGTTTTTCTTTTAACAGTCAGACTGGTCTTCCATTGGGCTGCTGTTGTTTTCTATAAGTTCAACAAATAAAAAAATTGAAAACATGTTGTTTTATATATATATATAGATATACTGCAAAATTGGTGAATTGAGCTAATTAACATACATAACCTGACATACTTACGATTTTTTTGTAGTGAGAGCACTTAAAATCTATTTTCTTAGCAATTTGTAAGAATATGGTGTTTGCTATTAACTACACATACTATGTTATATAAGAGAACTCTTGAACTTATATCCTTTTATCTAACTGAAATTGGGTATCCTTTGACCAAAGTCTCTTCCTTCTCCCTTCCCCACTTCCACTACTTCTTTATGTGGTTTTATTTAACTGTGACAGATGTGAAAGAGATTTAATGTCTAGTCCCTAGTTTTGTGAGTACCAAAAAGCATAACATCATGCATATATTTTATGGATATGGATTGTTCCTCAGCTGCTATGGCTACAGTTATGAGTCAATAGTTTTGAGAGACATGTAGCCATCTTTGGGTAATGGCAAAGGCAATTTACTGGTAAAGACACATTTGTAGGATCCCCTGATTTCCAATGAAAAATATGGTTGGTATTATACAATGTTGGTATAGAAATATATCTGAAACACAGGAAATTCATTAGGAGCTTCCTAGTACAGTGTAAGTATGTCCAGGGATAAAATATAGTAGCTGATTATATGAACCTCATGCAGGGAAGACCTGAAAGGATTCTAATTCTTTGAAAATTTTTCAGGTTACATCATCAGTAAAAGCACCATGACAAGCTAAGGGATTGGTGAAGGACAAGAAAACATACAATGAACAATTAAAAAATTACATATACCAAATACAGTTAGTTTCATGACAAGGTCAATAAATGAAAGCTATAGAATTAACCCATACTCTTTTAATAACATGTTGTCTCTCTCTGTGTGTGTGTATGTGTGTGTAAATTTTTTCCTCTGTAATTTTATAAGAGGCATGTTGGTAGTACAATATGTAACTTAATATTCCATTCTTTGATTACAAGATAGTTAGACTGAGATAGAGGAGAAATAAACACTTGTCAAACTGGTTTCAATGACTAATGATTATTTAGAGAAGGAAGTAAGCAGTCTTATCATATTAAGTATGGTCATATTATCTTAGGTTGGAGAATATGGCTACCGTTCATTTATAGTTGAAAATTTAGAAGAAAATTGTGTGTGGGGAGGGGGGACTCCAATTGGCCAATGGTTGCAAAGTACTGTGGGAATAAAGATCATGTTACCCCACTGTCTCCAAAGCTCCTTTAGTATGCTCTAGTGCAATTTCATTTAGAAAGCTAGATATATTTTCCAGAGTCTCTCAAAACTTTCCTGTGACATAACTTCTGCTAAGCATATATTTATGCCTGAGAATTGAAAGGGGAAAATGAGCATAGTTGATGCAGGCTGCTTCTGCTTTTTCTCTTGAAATCAATGATGCTGGTGACATTTGTGTTTGTCAGCGTGAGCTTTAACTTAGGTCTCATTAAATTTTACCTTCAAGGCTAGATTTTATCTTCAAAGGTGTTAAGTGCTAGGGTTTCTGCATCTGTTTTGCTGATGTGAATACTAAGGTGGTCTGTGAGGCCACAGTTGTGATTGCAGCTTTTCCTGGCCATGGCAGATGCAGAAGATTTCATGGCAGACTGGGTCTGTGAGTTTTGTGTTCTGGGAATTCTGAAAGCTTATTTTGGAGGCTGTTTCTTCTGGCATTGTAACAATTGTGTGCATCACAACATCTAATTGGCTTAAATTCATTTCTGGTTTAACTATCTAGCTCTGTTGCTCTACCATCTCTAATTTTTAATTATAATTCTTTTTTTTTTTTTTTTTTTGAGATGGAGTCTGGCTCTTTCACCCCAGGCCAGACTGCAGTGGTGCTATCTCGGCTCACTGCACGCTCCGCCTCCCAGTTTCACGCCATTCTCCTGCCTCAGCCTCCTGAGTAGCTGGGACTACAGGTGCCCACCACCACGCCCAGCTAATTTTTTGTATTTTTAGTAGAGACGGAGTTTCACCGTGTTGGCCAGGATGGTCTCGATCTTTTGACCTCGTGATCTGCCCGCCTCGGCCTCCCAAAGTGCTGGGATTACAGGCGTGAGCCACTGCGCCCGGCCTATTAATTCTTCAAGTTGTAATCTGCAGAATATTCTAGTCTCCTTTTCAGCATTCTAGGGAACATTTGTTTTGTATTTCAAACCATGCATCAGGTAAACATCATGCAGGTATCTTTAACTTGTCAGTGTTTCCTGATATTAACTAGAATATAATCAACAGTAGTGTACATGAAGGTCAATTATTTTAAAATAAAACAAAAACCATGGCTTAAGTTAAATCTTCTTACATGAAAAGTCTTTGTAAATGGTGTTAAATGTAAAAATTAAAAAAATGAGAGTTAACAATTTTCTAGATATCATGCATAGAATTTAAAAATAAATACCTATCTAAGAAAAGTATACACCAAAATATATTGTTTATAAAAAATAAAATATTGTTTAAAATAGTAAAATAATAAATTGTGGATGCCAAGGTGTTTTAGTTATAGAGTTATTTAATAAATGACTCAGGTGTGAAGAATGGGTTAGTGCAACTAATTTCTTAAAGAAATGAATGCTTGCTGATCCAATCTTGATATGAAAGCTTCTATTTGATAGACATGTTTTTGGATTTATTTTCTCCAGCTTCTGTTATTTTTAGCCCTGACTGGTAAGTAACACATCGAACATGTGCTTGAATATGTTGTCAGAAAACAGATTTTATCACCTTTACAAGGTAGTTTTCATGTTAATTTCCATTCTGAAACTAAGGAATTAATTTATTTGATATGTTTTGATTACTTTTTGACAACAGCAATTTTTTTAGCTTTTTTGGGATATTCATCTGGATGTTTGGTTATATAGCAAAATAATTAAAACTTTTTTTCTAAATAACTGTCAAACACTACTAACTTTTAAATATTGATTTAATGTCAGCAGTTTCAAAGTAATGCAGTAGAATGCATGCTAAAGTTGCCTTATTCATGAAATGGTATTCCTGCAGTTTCACCTATAAAACCTACACAATTTTTACAACCTAAATCCACTTCTATTACATTCCCAAGGTCTTGGTCATATATTCACAGGTAGCCATTTAACTACTAATATGTTTCTGGATATGTGCTAGGAGCTAAATATAAATTAAATGTAAATATATGTAATGCTACATTTTAAAACATATGCGACATTTTCATAAATATTTGAATGAAGTCTAATAGTAAGAAACTAAACATAACTTCAAAATTAGAACACCAAAATAAGCAGAAGAAAAATAGAAAAAATTAAATAATAAAACAAAGACCAGAAATAATTGAAACAGAAAATGGAGATTTGAAACAAGTACTAAATCAAACACTGGTTTACCTATTACCTTCCTCCTTCCAAAAAACAAAACAAATGAAACAAAATAAAAACAACAAAAATACCTGAAAGACAAAACAAAACAAAAACAGGGTCATAATTAGAAGAAAGTATAATTTATAAAGTAAGTAAATGTTCTTTTAAAATATATGTGAGTAAAAACCATGAAATTGATTATTTCTCTAAAAAATTAAATTTTTACTGATTCATAATTGTAAATGGCATTATAGGATGATTTAGGGAAGAAAAAGTACAGGCTGACTTCACTCATAGACAGAGACACAAAAGTCCAAACTAAACAGCATATAGTAATTGCTTTTTAAAATACAATTAAAATCAATTTTATTCACTTCCAGAAAAAGCCCTGTTAATATTTTAATTTCATGTTAGGACGCTCTATTTGTTTAGTTGTTAGTTCTTTAAATAAGATTTTATGGTTCTCTTCCTTGAAAAAAATATGAATTTTATTTATTCTGACAAATCGTAGATTTGTAAACATCTATTCTTACAAATTGCAGATTTTGCCTTTTTATTGTCAAGGGGTTAGCTGTATCACTTAGAAAATCTTATTGTTACAGTAAAGCTATAGATCTTTGAAAAATGTGATTATAATAATTATAAATCAGTCGCTTTATACTGGTTTTTATTATCATATGTCTTATTGATACATCTACAATTCTACAGTTTCTTAGATTTTCCAGATATATAATTGTATTATTAGAAACAAAAGTTATTTTTTATCTTTCAATACTAACTATACCCTTATTCCAATTTTTTCTCATTCTATTTATTAGAAACTCGTGTCAGTATTGCATAATAATGCTGACTATCCATCTCTCATTCCTTAAATATTTTTTACAATTTAAGATATTTGCTCCATCTTTTGGAAAATTATGTTCATTATATCTAAGTAGATTTTGTTTATCTCTGTGATATTTAGTGTTTTATTTGAAAGGGCTGCTGTATTACATAAGCTTTCTTGCTATTGGCAATATTTTAAATTTTTTTTCTGTAATTCAATTATATTGTCAATTATACTATTTTCTCTTTTTGAGCCATGTGGGCACTATTAGAATAAACAATTCCAGTATTTCTGGATATTTCTCTTTTTTTTTTTGAGATGGAGTCTGGCTCTGTCGCCCAGGCTGGAATGCAGTGGTGCGATATCAGCTCACTGCAAGCTCCGCCTCCTGGGCTCACGCCATTCTCCTGCCTCAGCCTCTCGAGTAGCTGGGACTACAGCCTCCCGCCACCAAGCCTGGCTAATTTTTTTGTATTTTTAGTAGAGACTGGGTTTCACCATGTTAGCCAGGATGGTCTCGATGGGTATTGCTCTTCTGAAAGACTATTGATTCTTATTTTTGACAATTTATTTATAATTTTTTCTCTAATTTCATAAATGAGATTATTTCACAGCATTTAAAATTGTGTTTAAAATGTTATGGTGTTAAATGAACAGATGAGTTTAGATGATTTCCACATTTTCTCATTGGAGTATAGATATATACAAATACAGAGATCCATAGATACAGATATGAAATGACAATATAGATAATAAAATTGGGCTCTGAATCCATCTATTCCAAGTACCCCTTTAAAAGTTACATCTTTATTTATGAAAAGAGATTACGCCGGAATTCTCAAAGTTATTTGTGGAAAACTTGAGCGGGAAAGGCATTAAGTATCTCTTTGGAATCCTCATATTCTTGCTTTTTCCCTCTGTTTCCAAGTGTCCTGTCCATGGCTGCAGTCATTGGCCCCATCTCCCACTGATGTTCTCTGAAGCCATGAGGAAGCAGTGGGACTGCAAACATCCCAGCGCTGTTTTTAGTAATCTAATGTACGGGTATATTTGCTGTATTCTCTGTTGACACAAAGGACAATACCTTTTCTCCGCATAGTGTGATACAAAGTCCTCTACCATCTCCTAGGGGATACCTTGTACTGGCAATCTCTTAAATCAGTTTCGTTCAAAGAACTCTTTAAGAATAGATATTAGGGCCGGGAACCGTGGCTCACGCCTGTAATCCCAGCACTTTGGGAGGCCGAGGCGGGCGGATCACTAGGTCAGGAGTTCAAGACCAGCCTGGCCAACATGGTGAAACCCCGTCTCTACTAAAAATACAAAAATTAGCTGGGCGTGGTGGCGTGCGCCTGTAATTTCAGCTACTCAGAAGACTGAGGCAGGAGAACCGCTTGAACCCAGGAGGGGGACGCTGCAGTGAGCCAAGATTGTGCCACTGCACTCCAGCCTGGGCAACAGAGCGAGACTCAGTCTAAAGAAAAACTGAGTCAAAGAATAGATATTAGAAGACATCCACAGATTCTTGATTTCTGCATTATTATTGAACTAAGAGAAACTTGGCTAGCTCTACCTTTCTTTATAACATTCCCAGAAGACTTCACTTACACATCCAAGACTCCACCATTTTTCCACCAATGTCCAAATCCTAGGACAATGATTTAGTTTCAAGGTCAATTTTTTTTTCCTGCAGATGTATCTAGAAAGGCCTACAATATTGAAAGGAAAAAAAAAATCTTAGGACTGAAATATAAGTGAAAATATAAGTTAGAAGAGTTTTAGTTATAGTGGCAAAATAAAATGAACAGCTATCCAATCCCTTATTCCACACGGGGAATACAGTCTGTAATCAATTTTATTCTCTTACTGCCTTTGGCTTTGTTGTTCTGGTCTAGTAATGAAGAAATGCCATAACTTCTTCATTTCACCAAGGGGGCATTTATTTCTTTACTGCATCTGTCTTGTAACCCAGAATGGCCTCTTCCTGATTAGAGTGGTTCTGTAAACAGATAATTTCATTCAAGGGAGAAACTTGTGTACTTGACAGAAATTGCCAATTATTTCTTTCATTTCAGAATTCTGAATGATATTTACTAAGTTTCAAACAACTCCAGTGCTGTTTTATAGAAGCTAACTTTAGACATTTGCCTGAGTTTTCTCAGGTGCATAAACTCTTATAATTTGGTAGTTCTGGATAATTTTCTTACCAATCTCCATTTATTAAAATACAACAATGGTCTACCATTTAATGAGGTATAAATATAATATTCCATTTATGTATAAAGCAAAATGTACCTTATTGCACAATGAAAATATCTGATTTTTTATTATATGAAATTGTCCAGAAGGAAAGAAGGTAGATGAGTCATGAAGGAGAAATCCTGACTAAATCCAGAAATAATAGCTTTATTGAAAAACAATAAGACTTGTAACAAGATAAGCAAGAATATGTTACATGTACGGGTTGCACTAAGTTCACAAATAATAGTCAGTAAGTCTTGAATAACTCTTCAGAAGCATCAAGTATAAGAAGGGAAAAGTTGTCTTGCAACTCTGAACTTAGTGATCCTGAAAACATGCCTTCATCATTTTTATTCTATTTCTCCAGCTTTTTTGAGGTATAACTGACTATATATATATATTTGAGGTATACAATGTGTTTTGATATTCGTATATATTATAAAATGATACCACGATTGTGATGCTTAATATTGAGTGTCAACTTGGTTGGATTGAAGGATGCAAACTATTGTTGCTGGGTGTGTCTGTGAGGGTGTTGCCAAAAGAGATTAACATTTGAGTCAGTGGACTGGAAGAGGCAGACCCAGCCCTAATGTGGGTGGGTACCATCTAATCAGCTGCCACCATGGCTAGATTAAAGCAGGCAGAAGAACGCAGAACGACTAGACTGGATGAGCCTTCCAGCCTTCATCTTTCTCCCATGCCAAATGGTTCCTGACCTCGAACATCAGACTTTCAAGTTCTTTAGGCTTTGCCCTCCTGCACTAACACCAGTGATTTGCCAGAAGCTCTGGGTCTTTCAGCCACAGACTGAAGGCTGCACTTTCAGTTTTCCTACTTTTCAGGTTTTGGGACTTGGACTTGCTTCCTTGCTCCTCAGCTTCCAGATGGCCTATTGTGGGACTTCAGCTTGTGATTGTGAGACTCAATACTCTAATAAACTCCCTTTCATATATAAACCTATCCTATTAGTCCTGTCCCTTCAGAGACCCCTGACTAATACAATGATCAAGCTAGTTAACATTTCCTTCACCTCATGGAGTTACCATTTGTGTGTGTGTGTGTGTGTGTGTGTGTGTGTGTGTGTGGTGAGACCATTTGATATCTACCACTTTAACAACTTGTAAGTATACAGTACAGTATCACTAATTATAGACCAGCTTAGCTATGCCCATATGCAACAATGGAATACTAACTCTAAGGGTTTCGTAAGTATTACATAAAATAATGTATTTTAAAGCATTTCATATAATAACAAGGGAACAATTAAAATCCATTGGCCTGCTTTGCTATCTAATATTTTGGTGTCTCTGAGAATTATTGTTCTTTAAACATTGGCCTGATAGTTAATTAGAGAGTAGGGTGAAGGCTGTGTAGGAGAGAAAAAGCAAGGTTACAGATGACATACTTTAGCTTTCATACTTATCAAGCGCTCATAAAATTATCTGTGCACTGTACACCTTTTGAAAAAGGTTCTGAGAAAACGGTTTTCTCCACTGAGTTAGTTTCTTAAATATGTTAGCATCCACTGATATCTTAGAAACATCTAGATTATAATTTTTTCCCTATGAAAATGTCCAGCTTTTTATAGGGAAAAAATTGCTCAAATACTCATTCTTTAACTCACTTCCGAGTGCTTGATAAATAGAAAGTGCTCACACATGTTAACCGCCTTTCTCTCTTTCCTCCATTCCTCCCTTCCCCTTTCCCTTTCCCTGTACCTCCTCTTCACTCCCCTCTCCTATCAGAGAAAAACATGTGAGCAAAGCAATTATAATGCAAAATTCACCACATTCAAGGAAGCATGAATGGAAATGGTTGAGCCAAATTGAATGTTTTTTAGTAAATTTATAATGAGTAGTAACAAAAATTTTAAACACATAGCCAAGGCCAGTTAATTAAAACATTTTGTAGGCCAAATTGATGAGACTAAATTTTATCTTTTAAGAAACAAGAAATCATTGAAAGTATCTGAGGGTGAATGTTGGAGGGAAGTTGGAATGGAATCATAAGTTATTTCAGAAAGATTACTTCGAAAGAAAGGATGACAGATGGAAACCAGTGCAAACAATTAAGAGACAACCATGGCATTACTTTCTTATTATTGTCATTTAAAAAATACAATCACATGATACCAGTACAGTGTAGAGTTACAACTTTACACTAGAAGAAAAATGAGAAGTTAAGAGTCCTAGATGGTGGCAAAGCAAAAGGAGAAGACAAGATGTGTGGGCCAGGTGTGATGGCTCAAGCCTGTAATCCCAGCAATTTTGGGAGGCCAAGATGGGAGGATCATTTAGACCCAAGAGTTCTAGACCAGCCTGGACAACATAGTGACACCTCATCTTTACTTTAAAAAAAGGGACGGGGGAAGAAAAGATGGGTGTAGGAGTCTTTATGGGGAAGAATACTTTTTAGCTACCCACTTTTGGGAGAAAAGTGGAAGGAATCAAGGAAAAAAATGTAAAAATGTTACCAGTATTTTGGTAGAACTAATGTGTAATTTCTTACAAAGGAGAAATCTAAACACAAGCTTGTTTAAGGCATAACATGATGAGCACAGTTTCCAATGTTAGAAAATGAATGTCAAAAATAAAAAGGCTAAAAATGATATAATTAGTCTAAATCAGAAGAGAACAAAAGAGTAAAATAAACAGCAACTAAACAAAGGCATGGAATTGACAAAGAAGAGTAATAGAGATTCAGAAAGAATATTTGTGTAAGCTGAAATCAAGGGAGGGTATTATTATTGAATATTAAAACAAGTAAATTTGAGATATAAAGACATTAAAACCTCACCCAATACATGAAAGGAAAAAAATAATTGTCTCTGTATAAACATTTATTTCAAAAAGAG
The DNA here is from genome assembly GCF_000001405.40 of Homo sapiens. NCBI lineage: Eukaryota > Metazoa > Chordata > Mammalia > Primates > Hominidae > Homo > Homo sapiens. The sequence continues at coordinate 18,962,887 of NC_000021.9, read as the reverse complement.
TAATATTACTTTTTCATGTATTATGTGGATTGTTATTGGATAGATGATGCATAACTAGAAGTTATATGGACTATTTATGCTGTTTATTACCTCATTGTGTAGCAGCAGTGAGCTTTTACTTCCCTATTGGCTGTAAATGAAGAGATGCACCCATCCAAATATAGCAGAACCACAATGCAATGTATCTCTGGTGAACTAAGTTCTGTAATATATATTCAGCCTGAGAGCACACTTAAATTTTTGTCTATGCTACACAAATGTGTGCATTTTTTAGCTTACAAGACTCTTCCAGAGCATAGCAATATTAAACAACTTAAAAGTTGAACACTTTTATTAATTTCATATCACATAGAAATACTATTGAATATGGGGGGCTGTTTGATTTCTAATAATTTATATAATGAAATTTATTTTCTTTAGGTAACTGCAATAAAAAAATTATTAAAAGGTGCATTTTGAAAACCATAGTACAGTGTGCATTTGTCAAAAAAGGAATTTCTGTAAATCGTGCTATTTTAAAATTTAACTTATCCTTTATGTCTACAGTAGAAATTACATCAATTGAAAAAGAGCTGCAGAGTGGTATCAGTTAAAGATATTCTATATATGCTATTATTTTATTGTATCATAATATTATGATCCTTATTTTTACATCATTTTGATTAATGCAATATATACAAACCAGCTCTCCACTCTGATGACCAAAACTGGCTCATTTAATAAACGACAATTATGTTATTTTGGGTAGTATTAGTCACAAACAGAATGTCTGTGTCTAACATGAAGGATATGTAAAGCAAGGTATTAGTTAAACTATAAAGATGGCTGAGCTGACAAATAAAGGAAGGTAACGCAACCCAGGAATTAGCAACTGCTAGAAGTTTCCACTTCCATAAACTGCAAGGACGTACTAGGGCCTGGAGCCCAGGATCACCAGGTAGAGGCTGGAGTCAGAGACTTTGTCTGCCAGACATGCCTCCTAGGACAGAACAGGAGGGGAAGAAGTAACCGGACTTCTTGGAATCACCTGTTCGCCAATCCCTAGTCAGTGCTTGCCATAGGCATAACCCAGAGAAAAGTAAGGTGACACGGGAGATGGATACAGAAAAACTCTAGTGTTCAGGCCCCTGAGACACCTAGCAGAGATGAGGAAGGACAAGGAATAAATAAGGAGGCAAACAGACCCCCATGTTAAATGAAATTACAGATAAATCTACCAAGATGAATTCTGAGAAATATTCCATGTATATTATTAGATATCATAAAAAATAAAAATACTTGAAAATTTGACCAGCAACTCAAAGTCTTAACCTTGATCCAGGAACAGGACTGCAGAAGAATGACAAAATAAATGCACATTATAACAATGTGACATGGCTTCAACTCTTTAGCTACAACATATGTGTTGCAGTATGTGGTTAATAGGACAAAATGGGCTATGTTAAAAATTATAAAATATCAATTATCCTTCTTTCTATATAATACAGTATGTTTATTTTCTTTGCTTCCATTTTAGCTTGAATTTTTCAAGAAGGATCCTGAAATAGGGGAAAGACTATTTGTCCTCGACTAGAGCCTTCAGAGCAGATTTAGTGGCTTGTTTTTGTCATTTGCTAGTTTTGTGACTTTTAGCAAATCAATTATGCCTCTGAGCTTTATTTTCCCTACAATAACAGTTACTGGACTGTATATCTCACAAAAGTATTGAGAGTTCAAAAATGAGCTGGAATTCACTTTAGAAACTATAATATCTCTTTCCATATGAAACATATTTTTTATTATTTTAATTCTCATCAAATTATAGGTGTAAAATTTAGACTTCTTTTAGATCTTTATTACAATTGTAACAGACCTATTTTTTCTGGTTGTTATTGTAAGACATTTCACATTAATGTGAAACTAAAAATTGGATTCAAGTTATAACTGCCTAAAGCAAAATAATTATTTATGAAAGTAGGGCGTGTATTTGTCTTTGAGGAGAGATCATCAGGTTTACTTTTATGAGTATACTTGTATCAGAGTGTGTGTGTATGTGTGTGTGTGAGAGTGTTAGTGTGCACTTCCGTGTGTGAGAGAAATTTGGTTTAGACTTGATCGAAGATATAAGACACTTTAAATTCATCCAGTGCTATTAAAGAATTGTACTTTAAATCAGTTTGATTTTATCAAGGCAATTTATTTTGCCCTCATACAAATGTAGGAATGATTTACAATGAGTGTCTTTATCTCGTAAAATAACTAAATGAGTTTTCTGCTTCAAAAGTACTTAAATCATACCAGTCCTTCCATTTATGCAACAATTTATGCTTTCGGTAATACGATCACAAACATAATATCAAAATCTGTTATTTTTGGTATCTTTTTTACATGCTCATTGTTTACAACTCAGTTTAATCTAATTACTCTTTGTTGTATTTTCTAAACTCAATTATGTATTTATTACCAAAGGTCTTTTCTGTATTACCATTATCATTAATCACTTGTGAATTACTTGGCTTCCTATGCATTTTTATAGCCTCCATTACAGTTGCTGTCTGGCCTTTCCTCAGAAGTAGCTAAGCCAAGTGATTTCAATTTAGTGCAGCTTTCTCAACAAAAGATTTCAAAACTATATCAGTCTTTTTTCTTGAGAAAAATAATCTTGTGTAGTTTTCACTGGTTACAATCATAGAACAATTTTTGGCTAATAGTAAAAGATGAAATTCAATAAAAATCACAAAAAAATTAAAAGGAAGAAATAGAAGTTTGATATTTTTGCAACATTTAAAAATACCCCTCTTGATCACAATTACCTGTGGCTCTTAGGCATGGCGGCACCAGGGCTGTCACATTTGCCTTTTTATTTTTAGCTTTTGACAGTGACATGTCTTACAAAATGTGAGTAGACCTCACGTGTCAGAATGCAAAAACAGCTACATCAGTGAGCTATGAGCAGTTGCTGACAGGTGTTAGAAAGAAACAGTGGCGATTTTCTTGAGTTTAAATAGAATATTTTTGGAAAATGACACTGCAGCAATGTAACAGGCATGCTGAGGCATCTTTGTAACTCATGCTATTTCCATACATTTTGATCTTTAATGGCAATAAAGTACAAAATTTTACAAAGTTATAAAATCTTAGGGTTACAGGGCAGGTTTTAAAAAAATATTGTCCATGTCCCTTAATATTTAGTGATAAAAAATTTAGAGACACTGGTTCTGAAGCGAATGAGCTCTAGGTATAAAGTCGACTTGCCCAAACGCTGAGCAAGCATTAGCGGAGAGTCATGGGCATTTTCCAGAAGCTTCTGCTTGTTCTCCTGAGAATCAACCACTTTGCCTGCATGAAGATTGTCCTCAAGGGTTATCAGAGCCGTTTTCTTCCAGCTTTCCTGAAAGCCAAAAATATTTCTTCAACTACTCCTTCTCCAGTCCGCTTTTTGGTTGTATAACGTTAAGTTCCAACTATAATAACTTAATTTCTCTTGAAGTAACTAGAGCTGTTTGTTTTTCTGAAATAAACATAAGGTACAATGCCTTCTTTCTGTTTGAATGTGTGGCCTACAAATTCCTGAGAGCTGAGTATTGATTTAGCTGTACTGAATTTGTAATTGGAATAATTTAAATGGAAAATAAGTATTGAGTCAGTTTGGGGCCAAAATGTCGGATTTATATTTGTATATATGAAATCTGAAATGAAATCTTTATACAACAAATACAATACAAATATAAATATCCTATAGCATATGCTGATATTTTCTGGCTCAATTAAATGTTTACAATATGCTATTAACTTACATATGCATGTACAAACACTCATGCACACTAAATTTTATTAAATAGTGAACATGAGCTAATGCAGTTACAATTTTTTTCACTTGTTTACTTGTTTAGTTATCAAAATAGTTCTTTTTATATATTATTTGTTTATTTTTCATCTAAAGAAACAGATATAGACAGGTTAAGTGACTTATGTAAGTTAACACATCATTTAAGGATCAGAGGCAGAAATTAAGCCTACTTAACCTTATAAAAATGCTCTTACTTATACATTATAACTCCTCATAATCAGTTTAATGGTGAAGAGTTTGTTCCAAAAATCTAGTGATTTAGAAATAGAGTCTATGTCTGATATTTACATTATCACATTTTATACTAACAACAATCTTAAGATAAAAAAATTTGGCATTTACTTTATGTTTGTCAGAAATTAAAAGAATGATGTTAACCATTTTTTCATATACTTGACAATTTGTATGACTTCTTTTGAGAAATGGCTATTTTGATCCTTTACCCATTTTCAAATCAGATTATTACTTTTTGGCCATCAAGTCGAGTTCTTTGTATATTCTGGATATTAATATCTTGTTGAATAAATAATTTGCAAATTTTTTTTAACTCTGCAGGTTGTCTCTTCACTCTATTGATTGTTTTTTCTCTATATAGAAGTTTTTTGGGTTTAAATAATCCCATTTTTCTCTTTTTGCTTGTGTTGCTTGTACTTCTGAGGTCTTCATCATAAAATCTTCCTGCAAAACAATCTCTGAAATCTTTCCCCTGTTTTCTTCTAATATTTTCATACTTTCTGATTTTACATTTATGTCTTTAATCTATTTTTGTTGATTTTTTTTGTATATGGTGAGAGATAGGGGTCTAGGTTCATTTGTCTGCACATGGATATCCAGTTTTCCCCACAGCATTTATTGAAGAGGGTGCCCTCTCTCCAATGTATGTTCTTGGACATTTTGTTGACAATCAATTGGCTGTAAATACATGGATTTCTTTCTGGGTTCTCTATCCAGTCCCATTGGTGTATGTGTCTGTTTTTATGCCAGTAGCATGCTATCTTGGTTACTATAGGTGTGTAGTGTATTTTGAAGTCAGACAGTGTGATGCCTCCAGCTTTCCTCTTTTTGCTCAGGATTGTTATTTGGCTCTTTGGTTTTTTTTTTTTTTTCTGTGTGTGTGGTTCTATACAAATTTTAGAATTGTTTTTTAGATTTATGTAAAGAATGTCATTGGAAATGCAAACCAAAACCAACTGAGATATCTTCTCACCCCGTTTAGTATGGCAATTATCAAAAAGACATAATTTATTATACAATTGCTGCCAAGGATGCAGAGAAAGGGACACTTTTATACACTGTTGGTGGAAATATAAATTAGTAAGCCATTATAAAAAACAGTGTGGATGTTCCTCAGAAAACTAAAAACAGAACTATATATCCAAAGGAAAGGATATAAATATATTGAAGAGATATCTGCATTTCTGTGTTTACTGCAGCACTATTCATAGTAGCCAAGACATGTAATAAACCTGTGTCCATCAGAGGATGCTTGGATAAAGAAAATGTGCTATACACATATTGGAATACTATTCAGCCACAAAAGGATGAAATCCTGTCATTAATAGCAACATGGATGGAACTGCAGGACATTAAGTAAAATAACCGGGCTCAGCAAGATAAATATGTGTTCTCATTCATATGGGAAAGCTAAAATAGTTTATTTCATAGAAGTAGTAGGTAGAATAGTGGTTACTAGAGGCTGAGAAAGGTAGAGGTTTGGGGGAGATAGTGAAAAGTTGTTTAACAGATATGAAATTATAACTAGATAGGAGGAATAAGTTCTAGTGTTCTATACACTGTAGGGTGGCTATAGTTAACAACCATTTACTTTACATATTTCCTGATTGCTAGAAGACAGGATTTTGAATGTTCCCAGCACAAAGAAATAGTACGTTTGAGGTGATGGATATGCTAATTACTCTAATTTGATTATTACACATTGTATACATTATATATTGTATTGAAATATCATACTGTGTCCTATAAATACATAAAATTACTATGTATTTTAAATAATTACTATTTTTTACTATTTTACTAAATACTATTTAGTATTTAAAATACTAAAAATTACTATTTTAAATTACTATGTTTTTTAAAATAATAATTTTAAAAGCAGTAAGGCAAAAAATAAAATAGGTGTTTTTATCAAAGAAGCATCAGCAACGAAAATAATCAAGAAAACCCCTCAACCTCAACAAGAAGAGCAAGAATGGAATTCTGACTGATGTTGTTGTGTATGAGAAGCTGAATTAAGATTTTATTTTGGAAAATAGATAAATATTATGTATACTATTCTTTGGAAATGTGCATTTTAACATTTTCTATTATATATGTTGAAAAGAGGAAGACTGACCTTAAAAAATGTAGGGGGTTAGGATGCAGAGATTTGTGGTTAAATTGAAAGTCCATAGCAAATTTTGCTGCTTATATTCCTTTTTTCCGCGGTATTCATGGTGTAAAACAATGTGAGGAAGGAAGTGTCAGGGATAAGAACAAGTGGAAGTATTTTGGAAGGAAAAGCATTATCACAGTATCAGAGATGGGATTTTTTGAAAGGATCTCAGGTTGTCTTTGATGAGGCCATGGCTTGTTGAATAGTTTCAGCTACTATTAGACTAATCCTGGTGGAAATGGGGGATGGAAGCATTATCTGTTAGCTATTTATGAGCTTTCTTTAAAGATTACTTAGTGCTGTCTCCATAACCTTCTTTGGTTCTTAGAATAATGAGATAATTCTAGACACCTGCTCCTTGCAACAGCAAATTTATGTCCCACAATATATGTGGGGCAATATATGTGGAGATACTCATAGACAAATTCAACTGCTGTCATTTTTTATTGTGAATAGTGTAATGACACATTCTTTGATGCTATGTTTCCTTAAGATTTCAATTTATATATCATGTGGATTAAAGTAGCTTTTCTCTACTTTGTTTTTCTCATCATCATAAAAGACAGGAAGAGTAACATTCTCCTATACAACATTCCCATGCATTTCCCTGGGACCAGGTGCTGCCTCATTCTAGTTTATTCCAAAAAAAATATGGCTGACAAGAAGTAAAAATGACATTATTATCTAGAAAATACTGCCTTTGCTCTAAATTATATACAGATATAACTTTATTATACATATATATATTTTTTAAAGTTTTGAAGTTTTATATATATACATATATATATATCTCAAATGTCAGCACAAATTATTTGCTACATAATTCACAACTAAATACAGCACTGAAATTTTTCCCAATTCCATGTTTGAGAATCTCTGCATTAAAAATTTATAATTAGTAAATTTTATGTTTTGAGAGCTGAAATTCAATGGAGGGAAGAAAATGGTGCTATTAGTAAAAATAAAGCACAATTATTTTAAACAATTTAATAAAAATTATTTTAAGTAACTTAACATGTATTTTTCCTGGTGCAATAAATGCTGTGCCAAAAATAAAATCTAAAGACATCTAGATTTTTATCTGGAAAAAAATAAAATAAGCCAAAATATAATGTTTTATAATATTTGGAAGATTTGATTTTTTACACTGTCACATTTTTTATAATCGACTTAAACTTTTATTATATTTTTAGGATAATTCAAACACATAGTAACATTAATTTTGCCCCATACATGTATATATGGTATAAATGCATGATGTATATATTTATATATGACTGTATATTATAAATCCATATAAATTATACATGTACATATATAAAATATATGATATATAGATGCACACATATATTTTATATACATACATATACATATCACACATAGCTATATCTATCCATCTGGTTGTTTTAATACAACTAATTTTTAAGTAGAAATATTTGAAAGAGAAAATTAACGTGATCATGTCCTATTTCAATTATATTAGAATTTGAGTTAAATTATTTTAATCTCAAAGGAAAAAAACATGACTCTAGAAAAATAATTAAAGAATAAAAAAAAACAAGAAACTTATCCACAGTGCACTTTATACTATTCTGAAGCTCAATTTGTTTGTTTTCAAGGTTCAAGGTCTTAATTTCAGAATAGTGGAGAAAACAACCACCACAGCCAGAGAAACTAATCCTTGAAGAAATAAATTGTTTTAAAATTACCACTCAGAACAATACAATTAGGATGTCGTTTTTGCTGTTTAAACAATAAGCTAAAAACTCAATTGCCGTATTATTCAGATGAAATGTAATCAACAGGTCCAAAGGTTAGTAGATTGCAAACACAGCCTCAAAGTTTCCCTGCTCTACTCATTTTCCTTGCATTGCAACTTGCAGCTTCTGTCATCAAGGGTGCAGTCTGTTTTCCCACTGACTTTCAGTGTGACCATGTGATTTATCTTGCACAATTGAAAAGTAGCAAATGTAGCACAGCTAGAGGCTTGAGAAGTGCTGACACCTTAATGTTCACTCTCTTATTGCATTTGTAACCCTGTAATCATGTGAATAGATGCATGCTAGCCTGCCTGATGATAAGCCATTACCTGGAGAGGGGCCTAGTCAATAGCATTCTCAGACAAGGCCTTCATAATCCAGCTTGCCTTGGCCACCAATCATATAGCTTACCACAGACAAAGAAGCCAAAAGAACCAACAACTGAGCCCAATTAAAACTGCCAGTCTGCGGAATCATGGGCTGAATCACTGGCTGTCATTAAAAGACACAAAATTCTGGAGTTGTTACGTAGGAAATTTAACTGACAGAAAGGCTAAAGATAAATACTAGCTCAACGTAAATCACATTCAAGCTCCTTGGATAATATATTACAGGGCATCCTCATAAGACATTTTGTAAAGGCTGAAGCTGCTGTAGTATTATATATAGGCAAATTTTGCAGATAAGAATACACACACATCACTGAAAGCTACCAGGATAGTATCTTGTAGTGGGTCCTCACAAGAACTTTTATAGAAGCTGAATTCACTACAGAATCATATATTAGCAAAATTTGCAGATAGAAATTTAGATATAGATACACAGGAGTACACGTGTGCATACACAAATAAAACAAATAAATAAAATGGAAAGCTACCAGAATAATACCTTTTAGTGGGTCTTCACAAGAATTTTCATACAAGCTGAAGTCACTGCAGTAGCCCATATAGGCAAGTTTATATTTTGTTGATCTATGTTTCCAAACCGAGGTTTTGATTTGCTTTTGCTACAGTCTATTTTCTAGGTAATAGTGAATAAAAGATGCATGAAAAATAAGTGTTATCCTATGAATTTCAATAGAGTTAGACATTAATTATATGTCAATTTACATTACTCAGGGAAACCCTTTCAGTGTATAGTTCATATGTACATATGTGTATATGTGTATATAATTATGTCTCTAACTGCAAAATTTCATGTGGTAACAAACTCATAAGTATTAATGCTTCTAATATGAAGATAAGAGATAAAAAAAGCTCCTAATAAAAATCTAAGAAATGTGTTCTGAAACTTTTTTTTTACAACTCTTGCTTTTTATATTTCCTTCTAGGTTTGCCTGTACTCATTTCATCTTTATCTCACCTGAGCTTTCGAGATAATAATTTTATCTCAGAGAGAGATTGAAGTCCATTCTCTACAAACTTTGAAACAAAATTATATTGTTAGGTTTAAGAAATATGATATACAATAAAGAGGAAGATGATAGAATTGTTTTGGAGGATTTTGCCTAGGCTACTCTGTTATTAATGTGGCTGATATATTAAATCGATAAGAACTGATAACAAAAGTAATGTTCATAAAATAAACTTGGCTAAGCATAAAAAATGTAAAAGAAATTAATAAAGCAATTCTGTAGAAGATAATATTTTTAATAGATAATACTTGATGGACAATATATTTTAAATACATAATCGCAAGAAATGAATATTGCTACATAAGTACTATTATCAAGTAAATTGGGTGGCATTTATTTTAAATTAACATTAGCAATCTATCAATTATAAAGCAATCTCTTGACTCGGGACCAAACTTTTATCCTGCGTACACACAGAAATTTGTTTCTAGAGTCCTTGGTAATTGCCACTAAATAGGTGTATTAGTGAATAAAATTAGGCTGCGTAAATAAACTAAACATTTAACTATAGCCAAATACAGCACATAACTAATTTAAGAAAATACTAGATTCTTTAATATTAAGATCTATCCTTTTATTAATATTTGTAGGTTTATATTTGATTTCTAAGAGCGCTGTATTTCTGAATCAGTATGTGGAACATTGAAGACAAAGTTTTGCTATATTTTGTAATAACCAAGATTTCAAAAATATTAAAAGAGTAGTGTAGGCAGGACTTATAGAATGGTTGAATAAGGAGAACAGTGGCCCTTTTTTCCAGCCTTTTAACTGGTGAACATTTTAAAACACAATCATTTAAAGTCTGGAAATTGTCCAAAGGGCATATAGCAAATGCTAAAACATTCAATCAAGAAAATCTACTAAATCTCAGTAAGAGCAGCAGCCAGGTGGGGCATTTGAGTCATAACCCACTGAGTTACTGCACTGCCCTCTCCCCTCAGCTTCATGTTTCATCCCTGGAGGGGCAGGTTGCCTGCTTTTCTTACCCTCTACTACCAACCGCACATTGCAGAAGCTCCATTCTAGGCAGGTGTGGTATAGAGCACCAGCTATGCCTTTTTCCATCCAGCTCCCACTTTCGGAGCCAAAGGTGGCCCCAGGTGTGGCAAGCTGAGAATACTGGGGCCCTAATCACCCCACCCCATCTTTTTCAAAGGACTTCAATTTCACATCATGAGGGGCAAGCCAAGAAGACCAGGGTCTGCTACTTCCCACAAACACAGGCACAGTTTCGGTCTAATTTGTTTGTGCTGCTATAACAAAGTACGTAAGACTGAGTCATTTATAAACAACAGAAATTTATTTTTCACTTGTCTTGAGGCTGGGAAGTCCAATATCAGAGTGCCAGCAGTTTTGGTGTCCGGTGAGGGCTGCTCTCTGCTTCCAAGATGATGCTTTGAACATTGCACCCTCCCAAGGGACAAACACTGTGCCCCCACGTGGCAGAAGGGAGGGAAGAGAGAAACTTGTCCCCTCGAGCCCTTTTATAAAGCCCCAGTCCATTCATGACGATGGAGCCATCATGGCTTCATCCCCTCCTAACGGTTCTACCTCTTAACACTGTTGCATTGGGGATTAAGTTTCATCATGAATTTTGGAGAGGAACATTCTTCATTCAAACATTCAAACCTAACGCAAACACTGCCCTCTACTGGAGTAGGGATGTGACTCTGGAAAAGGCGGGTGTCTACCCTCAGCTCGGGTGCAGTACCATGTAAGTTCTGACGAGAGAGAGGTCAGGACTTAAGGATAATGAGCTCCTCAGCTTTGTTTGAGGGGACTGACTTTATTTAGAACAGAGAATGAAGAACTTCATCTAAAGGCATTGTCAAAAGTAATAAAGATCTTGGTGGAAAGCAATTAAGAGTAAAGTGGCATTTCAGTGATACTAGTAAGACAGGAGAACAGCCAGAAGTTTAAAAGAGAAAATCAGGGGAAAGGACAGCTAAGAAGAGCTGTCCTGAGATCAGAGGCAACCCTGAGCATCGAGAAGGCTGTGCGCATGCGCTGGTTTGCACCCACGCGGAAGTGATCAAAGTGGGAAAAGGGAAGGATTTAAAGCATTCTTCATGTTGCACAATGACCCATCAATACAGGGGGAGGCTCACCGACACAAGGAGCTTAAACACGACTTCTGACCAAAGGATGATTGAACAATAAGCTACTCAGATCAAAAGATCTAAATAACTACAAAAGATCAAAAATAAAACCACCCACATCCATGGCTGTGGACGCTGTGTGCCTGTTCAAAGCTGCAAGGTTTATGAAGCAATCAGAGGGGGAACCTCCAAAGTACTAGTACTTGGCTAAGACCAAAAAAGAAGTAAATTCCCTAAATAATGATAGCAGTATCCAAGCCACATTCATAGTTGGCAATAAAGGGTTCGAATCTAACTAGCTAAGAGGAATACAGCACAATCTTTAAATAATAAATAAATTTTACTGATAAAGGGGTAAACCCTGAGTAGACAGGCTAAAGATAAAAACAAGCAAAATTTAACTCAAAATTAATTATAGACCTAAATGTAAGAATAATAATTATAAAACTCTTAGAATAAAAGATAGAAGTAGTTTCTTAGGTTTAAACTCTGAAAAACACAAGTGACAAAGAAGTAGATCAATGGGGGTACATCAGAATGTAAAATTTTTGTGCTGCCAATAACATCATCAAGAAAGTGAAAAGACAGCCTCCAGAATAGAAGGAAATATTTGCAAATCATGTATCAGACAAGGGACTTGAATTCAAAATTATAAATACCTCTCATAATTTAATAATATGAAGACAAATAACTCAATATAAAAATGAGAAAAGGGTTTCAATAAACGTTTCTCCAAAGAAGATATGTAGACTGCCAATAAGTACAAGGGGAGTCTCAACATAACTTGTCATTAAAGAAATGCAAATCAAAACCGCCAGGGGATACTACTTCAAAACCACTAGGAGGGTGTATTAGTCAGAGTTCTCCAGAGGGACGGAACTAATAGGATAGATGTATATATGAACGGGAGTTTATTAAGGAGAATTGACTCACACGATCACAAGGTGAAGTCCCACGATAGGCCATCTGCAAGCTGAGGAGGTAGGAAGCGAGTAGTGGCTCAGTACAAGTCCGAAAGCCTCAAAAGTAGGGAAGCCAACAGTGCAGCCTTCAGTCTGTGGCCAAAGGCTCCAGAGCCCCCGACAAACCACTGGTGTAAGTCCAAGAGTCCAAAGGCCGAGGAACCTGGAGTCTGATGTCACAGGACAGGAAACATCCAGCACGGGAGAAAGATGAAAGCGCACTCAGCAAACCAGCTTATCTATCCCATCTTCTTCCGCCTGCTTTGTTTTAGCTGTGCTGGCAGCTGATTGGATGGTGCCCACCCACATTAAGGGTGGGTCTTCCTCTCTCAGTTCACCTGCTCAATGTTAGTCTCTGCAACACACTCACAGACACACCCAGAAACAATACTTTACCAGCTATCTATGCATCCTTCAATCCAATCAAGTTGACACCTAATATTCACCATCACAGATGACTATAATAAAGTGACAGAAAGCAAGAATGGGCAAGATTGTGGAGAAATTGTGGAACTCTCACACATTGCTAGTGGGAATGTAAAATAGTTCCGCCACTTTGGAAAACAGCTTGTCAATTCCATTTCTAGGTATACATGCCAGAGAAATGAAAATTCACATCCACACGAAAATTTCTACATGAATGTTCATAGGAGCCTGCTTCATAATAAATACAAAGTAGAAACAATCCAAGTTGCCATCAGCCGGTGAGTGGGTAGTTTACATGTGGTGTATCTATACAATGGAAGAGTGTTTCACAACAAAAGGGAATGAAGTACTGACATATCACACAGCATGGATGAATCGTGAAAACAATATACTAAGTGAGAAAAGCAATTCAGAGAAGATGACATACTGTATGCTTCTATTTATATGACATTTCCAAACAGGTAAATCTATAGAGATAGAAGGTAAATTACTGATAATGAATACGAGGTTTCTTTTGGAGGAATGAATATCTACTAAAATTAGACTAGGGTATGGTTGTACAATTCTGGAAATATGCCAAAAAAATTGAATTGTACGTTTTTGTGTGTCAGTTGTATAGTATATAAATTATATCTCAATAATGCTGTGAAAAAAACTCTGGCTATTATTATTAATACTTTAATGAGGAAGTGAGCACTGCTTTAATTATCTGAAGCCAGAAACAGAGTATATTGTTTTCCCATTTCTGTAAATTAAATTTCCTATATCAAGACAATTTCCAAAATAAACTACACCTAATCTAGCAGCTCTCAAATCAGTTTCTTAACTTAATACTAAAATATTCATGAAGATACAGACTAAATAAAAGCTCAATGTATAAAAATCACAAAGAAAAAAACAAGACTAAGAAACACATGCTGTCAAGAACTTTAAGGAAACTCCATTTTTCTTAAGGCATAGGGGCTTGCATTGGAATCAAATATAATACAGAATTGACCTCATAAAACATAGTCTAACTAAATAAAAACAGGAAGATACCCTATACTTCTTCCATCAGTAATGACAACTTCCACAAAACAGATCATTGGAAGGTCTGTGTATAGTTCGATGTAGGGATCAGGATAGAAGCAGCACAGGCTGAACAGATTGGCAATTGCACTATTTTCTAGGACATTACCTCCATACAAAGGATTCACTCTGTGAAGGAGTAGGGATAAGAAACATATTGTTGCCAAGACATTGTAGGAAATGTAGTTTTTAAAATATTCTGATAATGTAGAGCATTGAAGAAACTGGACATGCTCTGCAGCTCACACCTGTAATCCCAGGACATTGGGAGGCTGAGGCAGGAGGATTGCTTGAGGCCAGGAGTTCCAAGACTAGCCTGTGCAGGATCCTGTCTCTATAAAAAAATTAAAAAAAAATTAGCCAGGCATGGTGTGCACACCTGCAGTCATAGTTACTTGGGAGGCTGAGGTGAGGAGTTCAAGGTTATAGGGAGCTAAGATCATGCAACTGCACTCCAAAGAAAGACTGTCTTAAAAATAAAAATAATTAGTTTGAGAGATGGCAGAGAAAGTCAGTAAGATCAAACAGACTTACGAAATAATGGAAGCCTACTAAAAACTGAACCTTGAATGTGAGATTTTCATTAGTGCTTTCTCATAAGCTGTGTACCAGAACTGCAAATGCAGTACTACATAGATAGGGACGGTGACCTACGTATGTTCAGAAAGAATCCATTTTTATAGTATGCTTAAGGTAAAGCAGAAACAGGGGAGGATGACACTGCAAAAGTAAAATATTTCAGAAAAAGGGAGAAGAAAATAGGAATACCAGAGGGTTCAATGAAGGATCAAAATAAATGGTGCCATAAAATATTAAAAATTTTCAATAAATGTAAATAATACACAATTGGATTCTTTAGCCAGAAACATGAGCTTTATTGTGTCTCCTCTCTCTTTCTTCTCTTCAATGTTGAATCATCACAGAGTACTGTTGTAACCAACAGAGTTATACTTTTAAAAATAGCCCTCAAATCTACTTACTTTTTTCCATCTCCCGTTCACTGACTCAAATTATTATTGGTGGAACGCATCTGTACAGGTCTGCAGCAACTTCAATTCTTGCTTCCTCAGTAGAAAGAATTAGACTGAAGGGTATAAGGCAGAAAAAGAAGACGGAGCCAAGTTTTAGAGCAGGAGTGAAAGTTTATTAAAAAGCTTTCGAGCAGGAATAAAAAGAAAGGTACACTTAGAAGAGGGCCAAGCTGACCTCTTCTTGCAGGACAAGCACCGCATGTGACTTTGGACTTAGGGTTTTATATGTTGGCCTGCTTCCGGCACCTTTGTGTCCCTTTTCCATTGATTCTTCCCTTGGGGTGACCTTCCCGCATGCGCGGTGACCTGCTGGCACTTGGGAGGTGAGTCTGCTCAGTGTGTTTCCTGGAGTTTATGCGTGCTCACCTGAAGCTTTCCTTGGAAGCTTCTTCCCTTTACCTGCAGCATAACCCTGGAGGGTCATATACCAGTTAAACTCCGCCATTTTGCTTTTTAATGAGCATGCTTGAGCCCATTCAGCCAGCTCATGAGATCTTATCAGGAAGCTGCTGATCACCAGCTTCAAGTGTTTCCTATCTATAGGGAGACTGCCTTTTTCTGGTGCTGGCTGTGACCAATTAGTATTTTATAGAGACAGTTAACAACAGCCTGACCATCACGTGCTGGTCATCAGACTTTCCTGGTGGGGGGGTGGGTGGAGTCCTCCCCTGCTCTGCTCACGCCTGACTAGCTACCTCCTGTAACAAACTGAAATTCTGCCAATTTCTAGAATTGCATATGTGCAAATTTCTTAGTCTAAGTTTTAGTTCACTCATCTGTAAATGATGTTAATAAGTATCTCGTCATAGAAATAACTTGTTCCAATGGAGTTTGGAGGAGAATTTGGTGGAACAGGTGGAACATTAATGATAAATCAATTAACAGAGTATATGGCATATAAGTAAGAATGTTATTAAGATTCAAATATCATTATCCATAAAATACATTAAAAATGTCCTTGCCTTTTTACACAGCTCAGAAAGACATTCCAGAAATACCATTTGACCCAGCAATCCCATTACTGGGTATATACCCAAAGGAATATAAATAATTCTAGTATAAATACACATACACATGCAAGTTTATTGAAGCACTATTCACAATAGCAATATATATATATAATCTCCACAGTAAGGTATATTGGTCTGAGATTACTCTTGTTTTCAGCAACATTAAAGCCAAGTATAGTACAAAACAAGAAACTATACACTGTAAAAATATTAAAAATTAATTATGATTCAGCACTTCAATTTTATTGAAAGTTACCAATGCTTTGAATGAGCAAAATTGTTGGCAAAAATATGTTAAACTACTTAAATATACTATGAACACACAAAAGGCATAATATCATTCAGTATTTTAACAATTAGTAATATGTTGCTTAAAGAATTAAATGTAAATAATTGTATTTACATTTTAAAAACAGGATGTATTGCTTGTATAGTACTGAAAAAATAAGAACATGTTATTAAAATTAAAAACTATAAACAATGAAAAGAAAAGGTGGAAAAACACAAGTCTACAAAGATAGTAAGAACAAAATAAACACATTAAAACAATAATATCAGCATTTTAACCTCCACAATAAAGGCCAAAACTTCAATTGGGGTTAAAAAAATATTAGTCTCTAAATTGTATGACAGATGCACCTAAATCAAATTATTAACAGACAAACCCAAGAGAACAAACATTAGTCATTCTAATTAAGAAGGAATACCAAATAAATCTTTCTTTTAAATTTCAAAATCTGTAAACTGAAAATGTGCAAGTAAAATATAATTTGAATCTTTGAATTCTTAAGCCATACTTGAGGCATAGTTATAGAGTTCATTTTCTTTTTTAAAATAAAAGCAAAATTATATTAAATTCTCATCTTTTATAATGAGAAATTGGAGCTGGAAGTATGTCTCTATCTATATTCCCATATTGTTATATAAAGATGCAATACAGCAAATAATAAAAATAGACCAAAAATTCATATTAGGATTGATAGACTTACTAAGCTGTACCTATGAAGGACATTTTGGTAATTACTACTTGGTTCTCTCTCTCTTTCTTTCTCTCATACACACACACACACACACACACACACAGAGTTATAATTTATGATGCAAATCAAATTAATTAGAGCGGGATAGGACAAAAGTGAAAATGGGGTGTTTGTAGGCACAGACATATTTGCTACTGAGAAAAAAAGAAAATGGAAAGAAATAGAAAAAAGGAGGAAAGCAGAGGGCCAGGTGGCCAGGTCCTGTGAGTGACGTTGAGTGAAGGGAAGTGTGTTAGAGGCAGAGAGAGGTTCAAGGCCCCTTCATGGATGAGCCATGTGGAGAACAAGAGGAAGAGCAACACAGCATCTGTGAAGTACTGTACTTTGAGTTTCAAGAGACACAAGAATATTAGAATTATTTTAAACTACTTTTGATTAATGGATGGTTCTTTTTGAATGTCGAAATAGGGCCACATAGGGCTGGGAATTTCTTCTGGCTATATTTTGTGAGGTTATTCAGATTTCTGTGCTCACCTGTACTGGTTAAAATCCTATGTTTCTGCCTGGACCTCAGCAGAAGGCACACTTTTAACAGAACTGTCATCCCATTGGAATTCAGTGGGAAAGTGGAAGAGGCATCCTGACCCAGGCTGACAGGTTTGAGAAGAACTCACAAGCTGGGCAGGTATGGCAGTGATATTGCTGAGCTTGGGATTGTAATTTTTGAGAAAATGAACATTTCAGGATTGGGTGATACATGTGTTAGAAAAAAAATAAAGTTGAGGAGTAAATGTGGTTTCAGTAAAGATTTTGGGGAGCCAAAAATATGTTCCCTATGGATGAATTTACTAACTGAAAAATTACCTGTCACTTTGCCTCAAAGAAATGGCAATTCCTTATAAAATGAAAATCATTTCTGAAAGTACAGTAGAAGCTGGTGACAGATATTATGAGATTTGTTCAAAAATAAGTGTTAAGGTATATTTTATTGGGAAAGGTAGCTCTTCATTTGCTATCAAAGCATTCTAGAAAAATTAAATATAAAATATTTCTAAAATATAAATAGAAGTCAATATATTTAATTGTGTATATAAACATAGGATAAGAAAGAACTTCATAAATATGACAAGAATGCCAGAACCCAAGAGGGAAAAATATGTACATTTGGTAAGTTAATGGAAAATGGACAGGAAATTTTAATGAAAATGTAATACGTAAATAAACATGTAAGACGGTGAAATATAAAAATAAATACGAACTTAGACTACATGTAAATATAGCTACAGATACAGATGTAGATATGTGTTTTTCTATAAAATTGCCAAATATAAATAAAAAATATATATTTAATTTACATGTACATGTCTGCATATTTGTTTATCTATTATCTACCTGTGTATTGATCATCTATTCTGGAGTGAAATTTAGTAATTTGGAATGTGGCTAGGAGATTACACCATGTTTTTTAAATTACATAATGCAAGAAATTTTGGAAATTTCTGTTTCTATTTAACCTTTGCAGCAGTGTGTGTGTGCGTGTGTGTGTGTGTGTGTGTGTGTGTGAGAAACAAAATGGATATCTTCTGAAGAACCTGTATAAAATTTTAATATAATCCCAGAGACTTTTGAATATTCTCTGCTGAAGTTATTCATAAAATATTTTCCCACCTTCTTAAATTCGGAAATAAAATGAATAAGAATGCGAAGGGTATTAACTGGGGGATTAGCTGTGTGAGCAATGGTGCAGGGGCGTGGCACACTGAGGACCACACAAGATTGATCCTACAGAAAGTGCTACAGATTACATAAGGAAAACATTACAAGTGGGTAATGTAGGTTCAAAATATGAATAATTTGAATAATTCTTTTAATAAAATGCCCACTGCTATGCCTGAGTAGATGATAAAAAATATAGCACTCAGAAATAAACTTGAATATTGAACCTTCTTCTTTAATTTTAAGGGGCCCAAAAATATAACATTCAGGCTCTCACAATAGAAATATATGTATAGTCTACTACTATGAAACTAAAAAGAAATGCATATTAATCTATAAATTCAATGGTGCAGGCATTTAAACTCTACTCTTAGCACCCTTTACACAAATCTAGTTACTAACAAGGTATTCCTTTGTCCCATGTGTCATAGCTTCTTCAGTTACTGTGGCTCTGCCACTTTCTTGCCAACTGGGAGATGGGCATCTCATATGAGGTCCTCTAGCGAATTAGGAGGTACATCATCATCTCACACTCTTGTGGTCTTTTAATCTATAGCTAACAGCTAGATGCTATCATGAAAGCTGAGTTTAGGACTCACTTTTATGTTGTTCTTGTGTTTCTATAGACTAGCTAACAGATTTTAAAAGTATGAGAAAAATATATAGCTATTGCAATATAAACTCATTTATTACAATATTATCTCTTTGTTTGGAGAAACCCATTTATTCTTGTTTGCCCTCTTAACTGTACTCACGTCTCCATAATCTTAGCAACCACTCATTAAAGAAGTTTTCAGGTTTGACTGTTCACTTAGTATAGAAATGTTACTTTGCTGCGCGAAGTTTTTCACTGACATAATAGATTTTTGATCCGTTATGAGGCCTACTTTAGTTAGATTTAAATTCAATTACATACAACATATAAATTCAAACTAACAGTGGTAAAAATGGATAAAAGTTTATTTTTTCTCATAAATAGAAATGAAAAGGTAGACATTTTGGAGGTAAACTACCTCAGGGCCCCTTGTCTTACTGTTTTACGTTCTTAGATAATGCCTTATAACACAAAACTGTAGCAATTTCCAGGAGGAAATAACAGAGAAAGACATTCTTTTTTTTATTCTTAAAGAGCTGTCCATGGACATCTGATAGACTACTTTACATAAATTTCATTCAGAATCTAATAACATGGCCATACCTATTTGAAATTGAGGCTGAGAAATATAAGCTTTATTAAATTTGGAAATATTGCCGAACAAAAATCTGTGTTTTGTGACCTATGATGATGAGGAGTATAGATATTAAGAAAAAATTTGTCATCTCTGACCAGTTTTCTATATTATTTACCTTCAACACACATCAAAGAATAAAATGAGCTCTAAATTAATCTTGTGGGGGATGAACAAAAGGCTCCAAAAGCCGCAACTGTGTACTTAAGTACAGAACTTAATTTCAATTTTTGTAGGTGATCTTGGAATGAATAAGTTGTAAATTCTCTAACCCAATATATGTGTGATATATTTATTCTTTATCCAACAAATCTCAATTCTTTTCTTAATATTTAAGTAAAGATCCCTGTGAGCTAGGAAGAATGTTTGGATTTTTTTATATACATGTCACATTTGTGATAGGCAGAAAGTATCTCTCTCAAAGATATCCACATTCTAATCCCCCAAAACTGTGAATATGTCAATTTACATGGCAAAAAGAATTTTGGAGATGTGATTAAAGACCTTGAGATGGAAAGATTATTTTAGATTATCGCCCTGGTACCAATGTAATCAAAAGAGTCCTTTTAAAAGGGAAGCAGGAGTGCAAGAGAGAGAGATTGAGAGAGAGAGAGAGAGAGAGGGAGATTTGAAGATGCTATATTGCT
Organism: Homo sapiens; assembly: GCF_000001405.40. Classification (NCBI taxonomy): domain Eukaryota; kingdom Metazoa; phylum Chordata; class Mammalia; order Primates; family Hominidae; genus Homo; species Homo sapiens. The sequence goes on along the minus strand of NC_000021.9, from coordinate 18,942,324 downwards.
GGCTTTGGAAATGCAGCAAAAGGTCATGAACAAGGGAATGCAAGCAGTCTCTGAAGCTGGAGAAGGTAAGGGAACAGTTTCTCCCCGAGAACTTTCAGAAGGAATGAAGCCTCACTGTCACCTTTATTTTAGCCAACTGAGGCCTCTGACCTATAGCAGCGGTCCCCAACCTTTTTGGCATCAGGGACCAGTTTTGTGGAAGACAAATTTTCATGGACTGGGGTTGGGGAGAATGGTTTGGGGATGATTCAAGCTCATTACATATATTGCGCACTTTATTTCTACTATTATTACATTGTAATACACAGTGAAATAATTATACAACTCACCATCACGTAGAATCAGTAGGAGCCCTGAGCTTGTTTTTTTGCAACTAGATGTCTCACCTGGGGGTGGTGGGAGAGAGTGACAGATCATCAGGCATTAGATTCTCATAAGGAGAGCACAACCTAGATCCCTCCCATGCACAGTTCACAATAGGGTTTCTGCTCCTGTGAGAATCTAATGCCACTGCTGATCTCACAGGAGGCAGAGCGCAGGCAGCAATGCAAGCAATGGGGAGAGGCTGAAAATACAGAGAAAGCTTTGCTTGCTTGCCTGGTGCTCACCTCCTGCTGTGCGCCCTGGTTCCTAACAAGCCACAGACCAGTACCAGTTTGTGGCCCAGCCGTTGGTGACCCCTGACCCATAGCACTGTAGACATAAATTTATGTCGTTTTAAGCCACTAAATGTATGGTAATTTGCTATAGAAGCAATAGGAAAATAACATACTATTGAACAAGTAAGAGTTAACAATTTAAACGTTCAAATAAAATTTAGTTTCTGTATTTTCTGAAATGTGCTTAATTTGTCTTCTGGATAATCACCTTATTAAGGTAAAGAGGAGAATTCAACTTGCAAACTAATTACGTCTCAGCTTCTTCTATGTAAACTGCCTCATGATTATTGTTCATGCTTTCACATCATCCTTCCGCCATCACCTCCTACTTACCTCTAGGATAGTATCTGGTTATATTTGGGATGGGGTCTGATGGCAGTAACATAGAAGTGCCACAAATCCACTTTTGTCTCACAGTTTGTCTATTTTTATCACTGAACTGGTATCTATGAGATGGGACTGGTCTTAACTGGTTCTTTCTTCATAACACTGAAAATGAAGTATATTTGACTCTGATCACAAAGGTTGTGAACTCTGTTTTTCGGCTTCTAAATTTGCTGTTCGTGGCTCCTCTCAGCTCATGTATGACCCTGAGCGTGCATGAACTTCTGGATTACCTATGCATCACTCCCGGTGTCTCAAGAGCCATGAGATCTTCCACAGACTCATTCAACTGAACACTTTCCTTGGACAATGATTCACTATTACTACATACAGGGTATTGTGCCAAGCTGAATGTGAGGATGTGAGGCTTTATCATGAAGTATACAAATCTCCAGACTCTTCTAAGCAAAGCAAGCCAGCATCACTGATGCCCTAGGCTTCCTTAAACTGTGTCTGTGTATTTCTTTCATACCCCTATTAAGGGTCCTTTCAGAGAATTAGAAAAAAACAAGGACACTGATCTCTTAGAGTAAATGTATTATCGTTTTTCTCTCTTTTTCTTTCCTCTATCTATGGAACAATAATGAATAGGTTTTCCACCACCTCTGTCGGGTTGGATTTCCTTTTATATTAATAAAATACTCTGATTTCTCCCTTTTCTATATGAAGGTTGTCAACCTACACTTCAGATATGGAAGGGTCTCTTAATGAACTTGAACCTCTCTTTTCTTTCAGGGAAATAGCTGTCTCTTAAGATGAGGCCTCTCTATGGTTTGAAAAATAAAGCCAGCTTGGAAACTCAAGTTACAATGACCCTTTTATTGTTGATAGTTTTCATTCACCTTTTGAAGTGATAGATGCCATTTATTTAAGAGTTTAGATATGCACATTTACTGGCCATGAAAACACAATTCCAAATATATCAAAACTTACTGTTCTTATACTCATATTTTTGGAATAGACACCACTTATTTCCTGTTTATGGTGACACTGCTTTTATTTCATTTATACTGGACTTTCCAATACAGTGGGGAAATAATTTATTAATATCTTCCAGGTTATTTTTTTTCCATCTCAAAAAAAATTCCGAGTATAAATGTTCAAAGCACAAATATCCACGAAGGTAAATCCATTTTAAGATAATTTTATTTTGGACTTTATTTTATAAAAAAGTGAGAGTGATTGTAGATTCTTGAAATAGACACTGACATTTTGAAAACATCTCTTTACTAAGATTGATCTACTGGTCATAAGCAAAACAATTTGTGGGTGACTTAAAACATTTTTAGTTCCCATCACTAAATAAACATTTTAGGAGACATCAGGCAAAATTTTGACATGGCTGGAAGAGTATTTCATTCTGAAAATAGTATGTAACCAACCTTATAAATATACTTATTTTATTCATGCACTTAAATTATAATTAGTTGAATTTATCATTTAAAAAATATATATAAATTGTATTTCCTTAAAATTATAATAAAGTGATATCAAATATTCTGACTTGAATGACGTGTGGCAAGGCTTAAAGGAAATTTCAATATTCCTAAAAACTCTGTGTTTAACTTTGGAGCTTCCTACTAAAAAGATGATTTAGTTGTAGAGTTGCTGCTGACAGTAAGATTTGAACATCTTATTGTTAAAACTTTCTGAACTATAGAATGAATAAAATGTTTACATGTGTATATGTATGTGCATGTTTAACCGATAAAACAAAATAACCTATTCAACAAGAACTTTTAATGCCTCTAGCATTTAAAATGAATGAATTTGCCAACTTTCAGCTGGCCAGTCATTAACAGAAAGATAGATTAATGACAGAGATTGTGTTTATGGAAGTGCATTCATATTAATTTAAAAATTGCATCCTCAACTTACTTTTATTTTCATGTATGAAGTTTAAAGAAAAATTTACTTTAGTTCTTTTTTCTTACTCCACTTTAAAACAGATGTCAATAGAGTAATATGAGCCAGCTCTGAAAATGGACATAAAGAAAATACAATATCCAGAGGAGGAATTATATATGAAAGCATATTCCATAAGATATTCATTTTATTTTCATTGTAATTACTGATGTCATGGACTCTTCTACACTTTTCCAAATTCATACAATCTAATCCTCAGTGTAATTACTGGTTGCCCAAAATGAACTCCTTGGCAACAAAGTCCAATATTTTCTGCCTCATTTCTATGACACTCATAAATCAATTATGAATTCAAATCATCAACTTTGTCTGCAATGGCATGCATAACACTGATGAAGGAATGTAAATTTGCTTAAAAATGTCAATTTTATGGACAATTTCTGCCAATAAGTTTGGCTTATTGTAGAGTACTAGAAGCATAGTTTCTACCCTGTAGTAATTTTAAAAACATCAATCTATGTTTTTCCTCTTTGGAAAGTTTAATTCTGCTAGATGGAACATGGAGGTTAAATAAATTTAGTGTTTTCTATCATGCTTGACTCTTTTGAAACAAGAGGTTTGACTTATGTTCTAACTTATTTGCGCAAAAATCCTTCAGCAAGCCACTGTATACGTAGACCAATATAAACTGAAAGTGAGGGGTTCATTTTTGCCATGTGAGAAAACCAAGTCTGAATTTGTTTTCAGTACATAGCTGTTAAAAAAGAAAATTTAAATGATAATATAGATGCAGACATATTAAATGAGGCTAATTTGAAAGGATGTGCCATTTACTTTTATATAGATTAATAAATAGGTATAGATATAAGAATTCATCTCTCTGTTAAATGTGTAAAAATGTGTGTCACACATACAAACACACACACACATACATAATAGACCTATTTTCCCTTTTAGAACTGCTATTACTAATTTTCCAGGCCCCATGATTAATTCAGGTATTATTATGAGTCATACATAAAAATCAAGAAACATTTCAACCATGAACTGAAACACATTAAAATTGGCTTTAATGAAAAAATAAATTTAAAAAATAAAATTGGTTTTATGAGAACATAGTTTGGATGCCTGTACAATCCTGCATAACTAAAAGACACATATAGAAGTATTTACTCTCAGTGGTTTTTAAAAGCACCATGATTTAAATTTTTTTTTAATTTTAAAGTTTTGATGACAATCACATCAATTTAAATATCCAACAGTTTGCAAATCACTAAGTACTATTTAGTTTTAAAAACACTAAATACTATTCAGTTTTAAAGCGTTCTGTGTAACGCTTTCTTACACAGAAGCCAGTGATCTCAGATATTAAAGCCACTGATTACAAAGAAGAGAAAGTAGAGCGAGGGATTCAGAAAAAAAAAATAATAATTGGCACATAAACTCAAAACTCAGGAAAGAACAGAGGATGAGAACCTCCACACTTATATTTAAATTGGAATAGGCAGTATGCTATAATACAAAGAACCCTGGAACTATGGTTGGGAGGCCTACGTTACAGTTAGAAATCTATCAACTGTTATGCTGCACTGTGTAATGAGATTTGACTTAGGATCCATACTTGTAAAAGGAGGAAGATGCCAGCATCACAGGCTGTGTACTTAGCACAAGTGTATTTAGTGAAAACACATGTTGCTTTGAAGACCAAAGAAGACTCGTGTAAATGAATTTCACAAAACAAATATCCTTATGCATTCACGCTCCATAGTCCGATTTCCCATTTACTGCATTACAGATTTTCTGTCTCTTTTCAAGTTTTAAGCTCATAACTAAGTATGAGATCAACTATTGAGTGATACGTCCTGTTTGAGGAGCATTACTCAATGGCAACGCTGGAGATTCAGTTAAGTAACATAATTTTTTTTTCAGCACTAAAGGGCAAAAAGAGCCAAAGAAACAAACCAAAACAAACAAAACGAACCAAACCACAAAACAGCTTCCGGGATCTGATGCTGGATTTTGAGATAATTTATTAGAGTAATCATAGAATTGGATAGTAAAGTATGTGAGCTATTTAAGTAACAGGGTATTATATTATTCATCTTACTGCTTAAAAATTAAAATATATTGAATAATATTAATAGTAGTTCAATAGGAAGAGGTTTTGTTATGCATGTGGTTCAGAGCGTTTTCAAGTGATCAATATCAATGAACAATAAGGGTTAAGTGTAAATTGTTTCCAGGGCTAAAGTGTCCACTTATCAATAAATAAATTTTTCTACTAGTTCAGCTAGAAACTCAACTTTTCTATCAATAGCAGGAAGAAAATCCGATTGCTTCCAAGACCAGCTTCCCCTTCTAAAGAAACATTAATCTTCAAAACCTGATTATAAAGTTCCAATTGTTTAGGGCTTGATTCTATTCTCAGATATGGAGATGAATCCCAGTTCTGTGCCTTGAAAGTCAATTATGGTAACTGCATTTCAAATGCAGCAGAATGATTTTCCAAGGGATTAAGATGTATGTGTTTGTGAGAAAAATAAATTTTGAGTTTCCATGGCTATAAAAGATGTGAAATGGTTAAGCTTTGAGTGCTATCATAGCAGTTTTTCAAAAAGACTTGATGTTTTGTCAATATTGATTCAAGCTTCTCAGTGTCACTGAAGTAAAAATAATAAAGTTCTGTTGCTGCAGGGACATGAAGGAAAAAAAGTTTGATTGATTCTTCCATTATCCAATGACAGCTATTATAAAGCAAAGAATAAAAATGGCAATTAGATGGTTGGTCTAAAGAGAAAATATGTGAGACTGTGTAAGGAATTTTTGAGTGGAGACAACAGCCTAAATATGCAAAAATGAAAGAAAATCCTCAAAACCAAATCTGTATCACTCCAAAGATTAGAATATTACATTTATTGTTAAAAGTATAACAAATAATCTGTAACTCTTTTTCTTATATATTTAAATGCTACATCTGAGTTTAATATACAATAAAGATGTGGAATCATTTTACAAGTTTAATTTAATAATAATTAATGGTAGGATGAATTTGACTAACATTTTAAAATTAACAAAGGAATTTCACATTATTTTATTAGTTCATTAGAAATACTGAATAATTATGCTGTGACTGTTCCATTTTTCTATTTCCCATTTTACATGGACAGAAATCAAAAGGTAGCATAGTTTAATGAACTATCAATGATGTTTACCTGGAGTCAATACTAGAATCTTGACTTTCTAAAAATAATTTTATATTCTATCTGTTTTTACACACACACACATAGGTATACAGTAATAAGAAGTTACTTTTGACAAACTTTATGGAATAAGTACACCAGTTAGAGTAAAATTAAAATACATATGCAATTTTTTCAGTATTTTTTAAAAACAAGATATATGTATATCTTAACTAGCTAAATAAAACAAATAAAGGGTAAATTTTATATGGTTTGTAAAATCATGTGAGAATATCAATAGAATATTTAATAGGTTAAATATGTTAGAACATGTGAAAATAGTTTAAATGTGTAATCAGTAATTGTTTATTTTGTAGAGCTAAAAGAAAAGAAAGAAGAAAATAAAAATAAAAGAAAGGTAGCTTCACCTCCACCCAAATTTGGAAACATCTATTCATGCATTTTACAGATATATGTGTGACATACACTATGTAGGAGAAAATTCAAGCTGTGAAAGAGAAAACCAGTGCAATGGCTGCCTGCATGGAGATTACAGTGCAATGAGGAAAATAGATGTGAATAAATGAATGCAAGTGTCATCGAGAGGAAACCCAAGCAGCTACTGGAATGTAGAAGCCATGGACTTCAACAAGTCTTGAAAATGGAGTGAGTGAGAAGGAAAGATTCTTGGCGGAAAAAAAAAGCTGGAGTTAACTGAAGAAGTGAAAAGAACATTTCAAGACAAAAAAATGGTAAAGTAAAATGACTGAGGTAGGAAATCGAAAAATCCATTTGAGAAAATAAAAGAAGCCAAGCATTGGATGGATCTTAAACGACAAGTGAGAAAAAGGCACAAAACAAGTCTGAAGAGAAATACGTAAGGAAATGGAGGCTAGTGCTTCCTGTTTCTCTAAAGGGAAAAGGGGAAGACTGAACGATGTTAAGAGCAAATTCCCTAATTCACATGAGTGTTTTCAACAAAACTATTCTGGCTGTGCTGTGTATAAGATATTAAAAGTGGGCAATACATTCACTGGATTTCTTACTGGTAATGTAATCAGTAAGGGTGTTTACAATACAGCTTGTTTTAGATAAGGACGATAAAGGTATATCAAGCTAGATTGAAATCAGCAATATCTAGGAGTTGGAATAAGTAAGAGTTAATGACTAATAAAATATATTGGAGATGATATTTATGAAAGGCATTTAGTATATGCAAGAAATGTCAATCTGGGCTTCTGATATAATATGTGTCCTGTCTGCATCAGATGGTAAATTAAGTCATAAGAAAACATGAGACTTCTTAGATGAGATTCTAATGTAGGAAGAGAGTTGATTTACTCCAACATTTAAAAGTAAACTTGGAGAAAAAAAGGCAATAAATATAGTTGAAAAGGAACTCCTGGAGACATGGAAGGAAACCTGAAGGAAAAAAAATACTTCAAGTAGTTAGTACAGGTTAAGGGTGCCCTATTCTGCTAAGGTAAAGAATATGGTGAATTTAAAAATATATTTACTATATTTAGCCACATGAAGATTAATGATGATGTTAGTGAGAACAATCTTAGAATGTAAAAACACAATACAATTTGGAGTATTTTGATACTGGAATAGGAGGCGAGAAAATTGAGAGAAAGATTGTTTACCATAAAGGCACTATAGAACACATTTAACCCGCTATGATGAGTCTTTTATTTCAATGGCATTAGTTAACAATATTAAACGTGAAATTATTTTATATAAACTTTCAGCTCCTTGGCTTTTCTTGAAAAATCTCATAATTCAATAACGCATTATCTCACATTACACCATAGACAATAAGAACGGCTACAAATGAATACCTGCTGTCTCTGTTCAATAGATAGTGTTCTTTGGAAATTGTTTCTCTGAGTCGGGTCTGGTTTTCATATTGGTTCACAATGAGATAATCACATAGAGCTCTTTAAAACTGTCAATCAGTAAAGAGATAAGATAAAAGTCTATTCATGATTTCTATACTTATTTCTGTGAGCACCACTGACAAAGTGTGTCTATGTCAGCAAAGTCCACAAATGTGATTTTGAGTTGGACTGCTCTAGAATTTGCTTCTGTGCCAACTGTTCTTTGCAATCTCCTTGACACCGAGTTGGATATCACTTGCTATTTTGCATATTGTTCACGGTCTTGTTTCCTTATTGGAAAATTAAGAGGTAAAAATATTTCTTCACCCACTGCCTCTAACAAAACCAGACAAATTAAAGATACATTAAAAGCTCCACTAATATTAAGAGAGGTGAAGAAAGAATATGACTTCAAGAAAGAAAAATATATTGATACACGATTAATAATCAAAACTAAGCTTACATAAAAAGTATACAAGTAAAATAGAAATTTGGAGGCCATCACAGTTGACATAATAAGTTGCCTGTTGTAGTCATTTGCCTTTTTAATGTTGATATTCACTTTCAAGTAAGTCTGGCTATATAAAGGAAGAGAAAGATGAGGTACTAAGAGAGAGTGAATGAATTGTTCAGACTGTTGTTGATGCATTTTTTCTTTTCTCACTTTTGGATGGGAAAGCTAGGAACTTTAAGTGATTATAGGATAAAAACAGGTAAGAGAGTGAGGTTGAACACCTAGTAGAAATAAGGAATATTTACAAATTCCGGAGAAAGAGAAAGACTGGGATCGAGAGAAAAAAATGAATGAGTTGATTTTTGGTAAAAGGAAGAAAATGCCATCTATTGTAAGAAAAAAGAGAATTAGTAATTCATGATCTTAATAATTAATAAATTGAATAACTGAAAATTTTAGATTTATTAACACTGAAGTTTAATTATCTCGAGCTTATCTTCTTTTACTTTTATTTATTTTTTCCTTTCAGAAATGCCTTTAGACTTTGCCCATGTACTTTGTATCAAGCATGTTTGTATAAATTATGTTACTTACTCTGGAAAAACCGATTTAACTGATGAATAATTTCTTAAAGCTCAAGTCAAGATTTTTCATTTAAGTTCCTTGTCAATAATGCAAATCTTACAGCTCTCTAATATATTAAGAATAACTTGTTTTTACTATTATTCATGAAACTCTCTATAAAATTAGTGATTTGAAATAGAAGTAATGGCATTTTATGCCTCAAATAGTAGCAAAATTGAAGTTACATACCTTAGAGTAAATATTGCAAGATAAGTTAAATTATTATAAGATATTAGTAATATGAGTTATTCTTAGTCAGCTGGAGCTGGAGTGATTAATTTCTCAGCTCTAGCAGCCCTGAAAAAATTTTACGTAACTACTCATGGAAGAAAAAATTGAGTACTCATCTGAATAAACTACATAATGGTCCATTATTTCAGCATATATCTCCTTTGTTCTATTTGATTTTTTTTTTTTGAGACAGAGTCTCGCTCTGTCATCCAGGCTGGAATGCAGTGGTGTGATCTCTGCTCACTGCAACCTCTGCCTCCCGAGTTCAAGCGATTCTCCTGCCTCAGCCTCCCAAGTAGCTGGGACTACAGGTGCGTGCCACCACACTGGCTAATTTTTGTATTTTTCGTAGAGATGGGGTTTCACCGTGTTGGCCAGAATGGTCTCGTTCTGTTGACCTCATGATCCGCCTGCCTCCACCTCCCAAAGTGCTGGGATTACAGGTTTGAGCCACCGCACCTGGCCTTGATTTTATTTATAGAAGCAACTTAAAAGTAACATATATATAAGTATGTATATATAAAAGTAACATACATATGCATACACACACACATATATATAATAATGCATACAGTTTTTAACTAATAGGATAAGAAGCACTGAAATATTGCCGTCTAGCACAACCCTTGAATTGTTTTGGTTTCTAATGTTAGTGCCTCTGGTCTCCATTCCATTATTCTGGGCAAGATTTCCCTTCTGAAGAGCAGCTTTGTCACACTTATTGACATGGCTTTGCCCTCGTTTTGTCTTTTCTCATTATCACAAAGTGGCTGCAGGAGGTCTAGGCACTGGCTTCAGACAAGGCAGAAACTGACCACCTCCACAATACCTGTCATGTGGATGTGCAATTTAAAAAAAGTTTCTAATCATTCACAACAAATTCCCTCTTTCCTAACATTAATCAGAACTGAGTCACATGCTGACTGTGTAAAGCAGTGGTAGTGATTGGAGAATAGGCATCTTTACAAAGAAGACTATCCATTTTATATTACGTGAAGTTCCATATTGATAATTCAGGTAACGTTTCCTTTTTAACAAGCAAGACAAATATATACAATAAAAAAGAGATAAACTGTTTCTCTTACACACTCAATAATATTCAGGATTTTTCTTAGGAGAGAGGAAGTACTCTGCTGTACGCAAATGGTTCTCAAACTGTGGTTCATTGACCAACAGCATTATTATTACCTGGGAACTTGTTATGAACACACATTCTCAGATCTTTCTTAGACCTAATGTACAAGAAATTCTGGGGCAGAGCCTAATAATCTGTGATTTACTAATTTTGTGGATGATTCTGTCGCACACCAATGATTTAGAAATACTACTCCATGTTGTCACTTAGTAAGAGAAGCAGATGGATACTTTGCCTATCTCAACACGTAATGCTCAAAGTCATTATGGTCATCTCCAACCAGTTAGTGGAAAGGCAACCAGTCTGGAGAAGCAGGAGAGGAAAGTTTACTAGACCCCACTTGGAATCAGTACATATAAATTCCATCCATTTTTCATTGGCTAAAGTTCAGTCATGTGGCCATACATGATTGTAAGGTAAGACAGGAAATTGCTGTGTGTGAAACATGACAGAATGTGTGTGAAGAAGAATGACATATTTTGGTTAGAAATTAACAGTTGCTTTTACAACCTGCTTCTCTCTTTCCATACTGAACTTTGTTCACATTTGACTGTGTCTTACAACATCCTGTTAAAAGATTTTCACATGCACTAATCTTGCTTATAATATTTATAGGGATTCTTCAATTTTATTTGCTTTGAGTTGTTTAATTACTATGCAACCTCTGGATTCCATCTCAAATCGCATTTCCTCAGGAAATCAACTATATTATATCCTCTTCTTGCATATGCTCATGGTACCATATTGCTTTCTGTTATAGTTAATAGGTAACATATTTTCTCCTCTACTTGAAGGCAAGGTCCAGGTCTGATTTTATTCACCTAATATCAACACACCTTGTATGATGCCTGGACATAATAGAAGCTCTGTAAATTGCTTCTGAATAATAATAAAAATATTTTAACTATATATAATATATAATTTTATATTTATTTGAATAAATATATATGTACTCGAATTAGAATGGGCTACACATGTTTATATAGGTGAAAATGTTTAGACAGGGAGTTATTTTCATAAAAATTAAAAAAATTGAAAATTTTTGCTTTCTTATATCAAAAGAAAAATAGCATAAAATGTAAATGCAGGCAATGCCAATTTTCATTTTGAATACTCTTTATTTTAAAACATATCATCTTTACTTTAAATTTTATCTTTATTAGCAATTCTCTTCTTTTTCTTTCATGACTAAAAAAGCAACTGTGCTTCAAAACCTAGTACCTCTCTTTCAATTTGCAACCCCTGTTGAGACTAAGGATGACTGAAAACAAGTTTTCCTTAGAAAAGAATATTGAAGCCTGATGTGAAGGAGAGAAAAGTGAAGGCATTTATTGCTAAGCCATGGAAGCTGATTTGGAGTTTGAGATAATAATTTATATCATCTCTTTAGAATTTTTTACACCCCATTTCTGAGCTTCCTTTTCTCTGAATCTTAATATTTATAAAAATAAAATGGTGTCTAAGGATCTCTAAAGTACAATTTTATATAAATTTCTATCTGATTGAAAATTTGAGTTCTTTCAGAGGTCCAACAATGTATCTAAATGTTCCACTGCAATTCTTGAATACAAAGAAGCCAGAACACAGTAACACTTGTTATAATCATCACATACAATGGAAGTATAAACTTTAAAAAAGGTCAGCCTTGTAGAGAAGGACTCTGTTGTTTGTCAGGCATCCATGGCGCTTTGACTTTTTCCCTCCTTTCATAACAAAAATTGTACATGAATTCCAAATGAGTGGGTATGAATTTCCTATCAAGATGATGTTCCAACTAATTAACCCATCTTCACTGTAATTTTAAACCTATCATCTTTGGGTTTTTTGATAACCTTCACAGGTTTATGTGGAAATGAAAGAAATGTCAACCCATATTTATGTTCCAACAAAAGGTGCTAGAAAAAAGTTATGACACCATCAGTAGTTTCATTAGTTTCTTTCTCTGTTAGCAAAACTTTCCAAAGAAGTGTGAATTAATGTTTACAGAAACAAAAAATATTAACCACATGAAATAGACAGTTTTATGATATTGCCTACCTGCTCATGCATCAAACCAATGAAAAGCAATTTATAATTTTCTAGCTGTATTATATCTTACTCACAGAAACCAAATGTTTGAGCTACATTGAAAATGGCTACTGGACCCATAATTTTGGTCACAGCCTATGCCACAATGATTGATAGGTAAAATTGGATCTTTACTGTGAAAGTTTCAATCTGTTTAGATCAAGTGAGTGAAATGAATATATCGATCAATTGGGGTTTGAATAACTCTAACTTTATACTGTAACTCTGTGTTGATACTCTGTAGTGATAGTCTGGACTTAAAGGGGGTATTTTTGTTTCTATATAGTTCTGTTTTCTATGCATGTTTGACTATAGAATACTCTGATAGAATCTCTAGGGGAAAGAAGTATTCCAGGAAATACCAATGGGGTACATTTTGCCAGATGACATTATGCCAGGCTGGTAAAAGGTAAATTTCCTTGAACAGAAAGCAACTTATTGTCTCAAGTGTTTTGTTAAACTTTATTTAAATTGCATGCGATGTTTCCCAAGTGAATCATACCTTTACACATTTGATTGTTGTATTTTAAAACATTAGGTCTGTTTCTACATTTTTCATTTTGCTGTCCAATTTATTTTTTAAGATATTTCAGTTACTCATAGGAATGTAATACACTCTGTTACTTTCATTTTCACATCTTTTTTGTTCTCTTGGGATTGTGTGTTGGTGGAGTGGGTGAGGAATGATGAATACATGTACGTGTAAAGATGGCATTTATTTTCTGAGACTGCCAAAAAATAGAGAAATAAAAAACAGACTGTACATGACAAAAAATGTATAATATACATAGAATCTGGATAAAACAATGTAAATTTGTTGTGTAAATACATTTTAAAAGACTGAATAATTTCCAGCGTCATGTAGGATAAATAAATTAACATCGTGTGTGTATGTACATGTGTGTGCACGTGTGGGTGTATGTGCGTGTGAGTCTACATTAAAATAAAATCAGCTAATGCTTTATTTGGCATTTATATCTATTCAGTAAGTCATTCATACGTTAAGCAGACCTGGAACATCTTAATTATATTTGATATGATACATATAAAAGTAAATTATATTAATATGAAAATTGGTTGTTAATGCCAAATTAGCTTTATCTTGTTCCTGCTACCGATGTTTTTTTACTTTATCACTTTATTTATAATAGATTTTCAAGTCAAAATAGGAGATTACATGACAAAATTATGAAGTCACTTTGGAACACCACAAAATTATGTTTCTTTACAAACCTAAGAGGAGCAGTGATCTTCAGCTGTTCCCTGGACCTCATGCATATGATTTGAAGATAATATTTTGCATGCCTAATTATGAGATTGAAACATCTCCTGTCTTGGAAATACATACTGTTTTTATGTTGAAAACAATAGACAATATATTGGATTAGTTAAGTGTAAGTGATCACAATGGGGACAGCCTATACAGAGGTCACAATACAAATACTAGAAAAAGTGGCACATCATTTTCATTAGTGTATTTTATTTAGCATATCTCTTTTTAAATAACACCCCTTCCCTGATACTTAAAAGAAGAGGTGCTGTTCTCTACTGTCCAGATAAAGAGGCATTTCTAATATGTCAGAATTTGCCACTTTTTTCACCATTAAAAGCCATCTAGTGTAACATGTAGCAAAACCTTCAAGCTTGCTATCACTCCTCTGGGCTCCCTCCAAAAAGCAATTTGTATCAGCTGGCAAGGTCATTAAGGAAACTGGTCAAAATGCAGGTGGGAAATGCAACCCTGTTGGGTAGAGTCTTAATGCATCCATTTATCAGGGATACAACGTCATTTCAATGGTGTTGAGTATTAAACCATGATTTTCCAAGCATCTCATGGCAACTGCCAACTTGGGAGATGATATAAAATGTGTAAGTGTGCAGGCATATTTCTTAAAAGTATGTATATATAGAGTTAAATATATTAATGATGTATGAGTTTATTTCAAAAATTATATGAAGCAAAATTTTTTTTTTGCAAAATAATACTGCAGCATGTCGTATTCTCATGGCACATTAAATACAGTTTTTATCTACTCATTGATTTCTAATATTCTAACTTTCCTTCGGCAAATTGCTAAAACATCATGATCTAGCTACCCTATCCCTAAAGTGATAAAGTTATGCAATATGCATTCTTTTTATTTTTGAGACAGAGTCTCGCTTTGTCGCCCAGGCTGCAGTGCGGTGGCAGGATCTCGGCTCACTGCAAGCTCCGCCTCCCGGGTTCGCGCCATTCTCCTGCCTCAGCCTCCCGAGTAGCTGGGACTACAGGCGCCCGCCACCACGCCCGGCTAATTTTTTGTATTTTTAGTAGAGACGGGGTTTCGCCGTGTTAGCCAGGATGGTCTCGATCTCCTGACCTCGTGATCCACCCGCCTCAGCCTCCCAAAGTGCTGGGACTACAGGAGTGAGCCACTGCACCCGGCCCTGCAATATGCCTTCTATAATGAGTTTCTGGTAGAAAAGAAACTACACACACACACACACACACACCCCGAAGTTACCATACTATGTCTTCAAAAAGTCTAGATATTAACATTGCAACCTTGTCTTTCCTTTCACTTTCCTCAGAAACCCCTTTCCAGAATGCCTGAAGGAATGCTTCAGGCCTTTTGAAAGTATATGCTCAGGAAGGTTGTATTATGTAGAAATAATATTCCTTTTGTTGAATGGGCAGCCATGACCAAATCAAGTTTCTAAGGTTAGTGTTAGATCTCTAGAAAATAAGAAAGTATAATGAATATCTCTTATAATTATTTTTCCTTCTATCTTTTTGATTTCTTCATCAATACCCTGCTGATGTGCATATTATTGGTATACCTTGTTTGTGCATAGGTCTCTCTAATAATAACCTACTCAGGCCAGTCTCTCCCTTAGGCATCATGGCTTTGTCTTTCCTGGTCTTCCTACTCTCTATTCTTTCTCCCATACCACTGAGAAAGCAAGGAAGGAGGGGAGGGAGGGAGGGAGAAAGGAAAGGAAGGAGGGAGGGAGGGAGGAAGGAAGGAAAAAAGAGAGGGAGGGAGGGAGGAAGAACTTACATAAATATATTTTAAGTCCATGCCTTTCACACGCTAGTTATTACTAATAACAGTCTTCATCCCCAAAAGGTCATGTATACTGATTCATATAAAAATGTTCAAGCCCAAAGTGATATAACTTACAGTTTCCATTTCTAAATTTGTACCATTAAGGAATACAGACTTTTATAGATAACTCTCTGAGGTTTACATATTTTGGTAAAAAGGTGAGAGAATGTCTTGTTGAATTATGTTATCACAAAAATCACAATCAAGATGAATATACTTTGACTAAAACTACCAGAATGTAAAAATGGAATCTCAGGCAGAAGAAATAGCAGTTAACAAGACAAAGAGGCATTCAGTTGCCTGGGACGACTGGGAAAAGGTCAGTGTTAAGGGAAATTGGAAAGGAAGACTAGGGGCGTGCTATGTCAGTTTGGTCACCCTTCGAAGCAATCATGAAGATTGAATTAGACATGTACCAGGTTTATTACAGTAAATACGTGTGAAGGATGAAAGAGTTAAGAAACAGGAACAGATGTGGTGAGCCTTCAGTCACCTTGGAAAGGAGAGAAAGAAAGGAGGAAGATTGAATAGGAAGAGCCTCAGATTGCAGCGTGGCTCTGAAAAAGACAGCCAGACTGAAGGAGTGTTCTCAATCAAAGATTTTATGTTTTGAGCAGTCTTGCATGAGGATTCCTACAAACTGAGGTTAAACAACTCTACAAACTGAGCTCAACATACATATTTTTAATCTGAAATCAGATTACAAGTACAAAGGAAGGATATGGTTTTGCTATTGGCTGTATTCATCATTCTCTGAGTATTTTTGCCTGTATGTTTTTGCTCATTATTGTTCTTACAGCTGGAATGCTGCTTACATTGAAGAAATAATACGATTCTGTATCTTTTATAAAGTGTTCTTGGATTTCTCCAAAATTATTAGAATTTAACACATCTACCTCTACATCTAAGTAGTATTTTTCTTATGTCTTTTATGTGACATATTTGCACATACATACTTTTTACTAAAATTTATCCTTCTTTCTTGAAATTATTTCTGACACTGAAAAATAGTCAACGCATAACAAATATGTTAAGTCACTTGGCATAAACTATAAATAATATAAAATATCTACCTTTCAATGAAAAATTACAGACCAAGTAGTATTGATCAAGGGCCCAAAATGACTCAAAAAATATCATTTTTAATATTCTGGGAGTTGCTCTTCTTGTTGAAGTTTCTGCTGCAACAATTGCCAGGTTGGAGTAATTGATTAATAAAAGTGTAATTCATGAAAGCTGATTTATTTAACTCAGATTTCAGTGACATTATGTCTGTGAAAAATAAATTTAGAGTGAACAAAGGATTTGGCAATACTTGGATGTTCTCTGACTTTTCCGGGAACAGTTGCAGAAGCGAAGACTGAAATGCATTAAGCTCAAAGCTGTCAGCCATGACAATGGTCCTAAACTAGAAAGGATTACAAAATAGAGAAACTAATATTGACTGGACATAGAAGCATATGCAAAACAAAATAAAACAAAGAAAAGAAACCATGTATAATGAAGAAAAGAATAAGATATTTCATGACAAGGATTTACCATCAGATGATGAAGTCTGATATTTTTGGATATAATTAGATACTTTAATTAAGAGAATAAACATATCTGGATTTTGACAAAGATCAGAGAAAACTTTCTGCAAAGATTTAACATCATTTCACACTGGATGCCACAAATTGAGTATAGGTGATGTGTGTTTTGTTGGAAAGTTGGTGTGGACTATTCAGCTGATGAGCTAGTTATTTGACACAAACAGCATTGCTGTACCCTTTAGAAACTAACTTTTGAAGATCCTGAACTTGAAAATTAAGCAGAAAATTCATCACTTTACTTTTGCTTTAATATTGTGGACTTGTGACTGGTTTGCCTTTCTTATTCAAGACAGTTTGATATGAATTATTTTGTTTTTAAAGGAACAAGAAAACTGATGTTTACATAGAGTTTATTATGAAAATATGGACAAATTATGTTTGTAAAATTTGCTGTGGTTCAATTTATCTAACAAAGCAAGAAGTGTAACACTTAATCTCCTAAAATTAACAACCTATGTTAACATCCTAATGGAACATGCTTAGCCTTTCCATCAAATATCAGGTCTGGCCCTAATGCCCTCTCAGTATTATAAGCAGGAGCAAAGAAAACCAGGTATATCCCAATATGTCATGCTCTATCCCCTTCCCACCTCCGTTGTAAAAGGGAGGTATTTAATAATTGAGCCTTTCATATTATGGGACACATATTTGGTTACTCTACTTTCATTTTTAACAGCCTTTTTGGGATATAATTTACATGTATAAAATCCCTCCACTTAAAGCATAAAATGCAATGGTTCTTACTATATTTACAAAGTTGTATGAGCATTAACATGAACTGTTTCCCAAAATAAACCTTGCATGCATTCATTAGCAATGATTCCCTGTTACACTCCCCACTTCTCACACCACTCCATGCAGCCCCATTCCTAGGCAACCACTAGTCTACTTTCTGCCTTTATGGTTTTGCCTGTTCTGTACATTTTATCTAAATGGAAATTACATATATGTTTAGATAGTTGTTTTAATTTAATGGGAATCAATGTTTTGTGCTTAGGTTATGCATATTTCATATTTGTGTAACAGGGCTTCCCAATCCTTTTCTCATATACTTTTTCTTAAAATAATTAGAGTTAATATTATTTGTAGAGTACATATTATGTAAATTCATGTATTTTACCTTAGTAGTTTTCTAGTGTGAGGCTTTGGGCTTCAACTATTCTAATAAATATCTCTTTAATAGCCAATGGGGAAAAGTAGATGTTTCCAAGTTATTATCTACATTCAAAAAAGAAAATTACTCATTGTTCTCTACTAACTAAAGAACATAAATACACGTGAATCTTCCTAGACCCAACCTATCAATTTCTAGTTGTTTTTCTGAGTTATGAATGGGTACTGGCCATGACATGGCTGAATAACCAAGTACCTGAGAGGAGCAAGTTTGAAAACAATAATGTCTGTGAAAGTGGAATGAGAATGGACCAGGGGAAGGCACCAAAAGCACTCGGATCTTGGTGTATCCTATCACCACCCACCAAAGAGTAACTACTGCACAGAGCCACCAAAAACCAAATGGAAATAATGGTGCATTAAAAGTACACCAGCCAGCATTTGTCCTCAGCCACCCTATCCTCCTACAGTGAACCCTTGGTGGCTGGTTTGGAGGTTATGAATGACTGTACTAGCATTGCATCCCCTCATGTGCTTCTTCTTACATCGAGACTGATAAAATTATTCCCACTGCTGAATATCTGACCTGTCCAGTATTGGAGACTGCCCCAACTCTCAATATGGTACCATTCTTTGAAGAGACCATCCACTTGATGTCTAGTTAATTACTTAAAACCCCTTTCATCCTGGAGAAGGCAATAACTCATCTTTTTGTGATTCATACGTATATTGCATGTGGTTTTGCCTCTTCTGCCCACGATGCCTCTGCCAGGGCTTTCTGAGTGGCTGGAATTCTGCAAAACTTCCCTTTGGACCAAAGGATCCTTTTGTAGCTAATAATTTTGACACTGGATGCATAAAAAGTGAAACCATTATAACCAATATATCTATATCTATATCTATATCTATATCTATATCTTTACATATCACCCAAAAGTTAGTGGCCTAATTGATAGAATGTGGAATGACTTTTTAGCTAGGATGTCAGCCTGGAGATGGCACTTTGTAGGGCTGCCAATCTGTCCTCTGGAATGGAGTATACATCACATGTCCCCAGTAGCTAAAACGCAAAATGAAAGAAAGGGTGAAGGTAGCATTAACAGTATTCATTATCATTCTTGACCCTTTGGAGAAGTTTAGGCCACCTAACCTTGCAATTTTAGTCTCTGAAGGGTTAAATGTCATGGTCCCTGTGTGGGGTGGATTGTAGATAAAAGACTCTATGACCATCCATAAAATCAGAATATTTCTTATCCTAAAACCATGACTGCCATCTAGCAATTTTGGCCCTCATGTATATCAAAAATATCAAGCCAAATAAAGGAGCTACTAGGTTCTCAGCAGTAATTATTACATAGGGCTAAAGTTGTCACAACCTACTGAGGGGCAAGAAGCAGTAGATCTGAATATGAGACCCTCACTTCAGTGCTTCATAGTGTGTCCATGCCTGATGATAGCAGCAAAGAGCAATTGCAGTCCCAGCATTATAAGCAGGGCTTGGGTACAGGCAAGGTGTTCAGAACTGCTAGTCAAGGATCTGGGAATATAGAATGGGAGGTAGAGAGGGAGAATGATGTACATTTATTATGGCATCAGAATCAGCCAGAACAACACAGACTGTAGCTGGTTTCACTAAGCTTTCATTTTACGGCTTTCATAGAAATTGTGGCAATTACTCTGAAGTAACAGAGTGTGATTGGTATAGGACATGTACAGATTAAAATGAACAAGAAGTGAGTCGTAGAGTTGCTCACGCATATCTGCCGAGAACACTTCTGGATTCACTTGCAACTTTTGTACACAGTTTCCTGCATGCCAACAGCTTCCTACATTAATTACCTGTATATCTCTCTGCTCCTCTGACTGAGGCCTTTCTCAAGCATGACAAAACCACACTTTGCCATACTCAGGTGCAACCTGGAATTGTGATTTTGTTCAGTCTCCTAGGGTCAATAGTCAAACAATAAAAGACAAGAGTCAGAAGAAAACAGGCAGCTTCCCTGGCTTCTTAAGAAAACATTCCGATGTGGGTTACATAGTTTGCAAAAGGCTCACAGCATGAGTGAGCCCTAGTTGCTTTTAATATTGCTATTAGTTAATGAACCTGTTATTACTTTCCTTTTTTCACGTATCACAATCCCATGTGCCTTGCTTGTACTTCCTAGCAATATCTACCACATAAACTGCCTGATCAAGGGTTACTTAAGTGCCTACTTTTGATGGGAATTCAAATGGAAGCTATATATCAGTTTGAAATTAGTTATACGATTTGATTCATCATTTTGATGGAGTAACCTTTAAGATAATCTTCTTTTAAGAATAGATTTTTATGAAGCTTGTGTCATTAATATTCTTATTCCAAGCCCCAAAGCAAAAATATTTGTCAGAGACTGGGGTCCTGGATGGCTCTAAATCTCAATACAGAAGACTGATTTTTATTATTTCAGTTAGTAAGTGTGATAGTCAGAGTAATTTCTCTTCTCCCAAAGATGTCTATGTTCTATTCCCAGACACCTGTGACTAGGTTATATTACATGATAAAGGGGAATTAAGGTAGCAGATGGAATTAAGGCTGCTAATCAGCTGATGTTAAACTAGGAAAATTATTCTAAATTATGCAGGGAGGCTAAGTGTAACCACAAGGGTCCTTAAATCTGGAGGACAGAGGCAAACAAGTCAGTGTCAGAGTGATGCTATGTCAGGGAGAACACTGCTGCTGCTGGCACTAAGATGGAAGGGACCAGAAGCCAAGGAATGCAAGCTGCCTCTAGAAGCTGGAAAAGGCAATTGCATACTCCAGATAGTACACATTTCCTCATAAGGCGTAACTTCTCTTGACTCTGTTATGGGCTGAACTGTGTTCCTCTGAAGTTTCATATATTGAAGTTCTAACACCCGGCACCTCAGAATATGTACTTGGAGATACATCTTTTAAATAGATAATTAACTTAAAATGAGGTCATTAGGTGGGCCCTGTTTTAATATGAGGAATTTAGGACACAGACACATATGTGTATAGCATGAACATGAAGACAGCCATCTATAAGTCAAGGAGAGAGCTTTAGAAGAAACCAGCCCTGCTGACACCTTGATCTCGGACTGCTAGCCTCCAGAACAATAAAAAAAAAAATTCCATTTTTTAATCCACCTAGTTATTTTGTTACGGCAGCCCTGGCAAACAAATATAACCTCTTAAATATTTTGTCATATTTCAAATATAATGATATACTGGTGCTTTTCCATTGCAATATTACATTTATGTAACTGATCACAACACAATTAGTTTTTACATTTTTAGTACACCTCTGAGAAGTAGGAATATGAAGGTTGCATTTTTAGTAGAACATATAGAATTATAAATAGTTATACTTTTATAATAAACCTTTCTTTGAATACTTGTATAAAATCGAATACTACTTAGGACTCAGTTGATGTGCTGGAAGTTTGGAAGCTATTGATTTACTAAAAATATTTGCTCTTTCTCTCTCTCTATTTGGAGGGCAAGGATGATATAAAGCACCTTTCCCATAAAAAAGTAGCACCACTGGACACAATCTTTCTAAGAAGGAAGGTATCCACTCAAACAGTTATTTTCCTTCTGAATTTATATTTTATTTTCAACCACATCTAAAGCCTCTAGAAAATGGTATTGAATGTTAAATCTCAAAGTATGAACAATTGGCACATCCATATATTAGTGATTTCATAATGTCTTCCGGAAAGTAACCTGGCTGATTTGCACGTTCTAACTAGTTGAATCTTTAAAAACTCAATAAATTATTTAGAATAACTTGTAATGTGATTAAACAACTATATATATAAGATGAATCTGGGATATACTTGTAATTTAACCCTGAAAGTAATTCATTGCTTTAATGTTTCAACTTATGTAGAAAAAATTAAGATATGTACAGTTTTTACATTATATTCATGCACACACACACGCATATTAAGGTTCATATAAATAATTTCTAGGTTAGTTGATTAACAAGATGTTTTTCACACACAATTTTATCTTGGCCTCTCATCATTCCTTTAAAACTTATTCTGGCTGGAAGGGATGGGAGTGGTCATCTTCCCCTGTCCCTGGGTGAAAATCTGGGGCAAACCTCATGGCTAACAGAGACTAGAGAAATTACGAGAAATTTTAAAAGGATTGTTAAGTGGCAGCATAAGCTTAAAGCCCTGATTTATTCAAAATTTTAATCACTAATAATATTCCTAATGAAAGAATAACAGCCATTTGTTAAACTAAATTCATGTGCCAGCCTCTAGGTTCAGTGATTAATGATTACCTTGTTAAATTTTCCTGTAACTCATTAAGGTATGGGCTATTATTCTCTGACTTATAAAAGATGATCGAGCCATATAGATTTTTAGTTACTTGCCCAAATTTACATAGAAAATAAGTAGTAGAGCTGGGTTCAAATCCAGGAGTATGATCTGAACCAGCACAAGCACCCGCTACTGACCCCCTGCTAAGCCTCAATCTTACCATTTGTCCACTTTGTCTTTTCTTTAGAGAAGGCTGGGAAGACTGGAGTGAATTAATTTAAAAAGACTGATACACAGTGGACTAGTACATCAAAAATACTAAAATATAGATGGTATTAACGCTTTTCCTCTGTTTAATCTGGAATTATATAACTGCTATGAGATTAGAATAGTGAAGTAGTTTGAATTCTGAATTCAGTTTGAGTGGCCTCACTCATCTAAGTGCTCAAGCCATTGATAATTATAGTACTCACACATGTGCTAACTTAAAAAAATTCAGACAATTTATAAATTTGGAAAGAAGATTTTATTTTATATAAAGGTTTACCACCTACAAGGTGGCCCTCCTGACAGGTTGGGAAGTGTGGCCTTTAGCTGTCAGCAGACACTTTGAAGGAGGAGGCATTGGGGAGGTAGCTTTATGCGAAATGGGCTGGCTAAACATATATATTCAACAGATTATAGGAGCAGCTATGAATATTCATGAAGGTGGTCCTAACACATGTGTACTGAATAAACATGCAGGTTACATAACACCCATGTTCACCCAAGACTTATCATTTAAAGGTATACAATTAGCCCCTATCCATATAAAAGGTCTTTTCAGGATACAAAGGGGCTCAAGTGTGCACCCTCTGTAAACTGGCTGGAATCAGTCCATAGTTAGTGGTCTTATCACGAGAAAGTGACTGATACCAGTCTCTTGTCCAATCAAAGCTGCAGTTATGGCTTGCAGAACACAGGCTGCGGGTCTATGTCTGGTGGTGGCTGGGCTGCAAATTGTTTTAATATTGCTTGTCTTAGGCCAGTGCTTGCCTAGCTACCAGAGAAACAAAACAAAACAAAAACCTATGGCAGTTAGTACATAGTTTATTCTTTAAGTGTAAGGGTGTGTGACTTTACCCTTGCCTGGCATGGTCTTAGGTCTTATTTATAATTTGGCATCTTATTGACACAAAGAGTCCATTCTGTCAGTCTAACGATCTCTATTTTAACACAAATGCCGGTCAATGTCTGGAAAAGGGAGTGGGTATAATGTGGGTGAGGCCTATCTGACCTTCCATCCCATCATGACTAGGAATTAATTTTTAAGGTTTCTTTGGGATCCCTTTGGCCAAGATGGGGTCTGCTTATTCGGTTGCAAGACTTAGGGTTTTATTTTGTTTATAATTGTAATGATAATAATGAAAAAGTAGGGTAGAGGAAGAAAAAGAATATATAAATTTAATGTATGCCAGACCTGTTCGTATTTTTTATACTATCGATATGTTTTGCTTTGTTTTCCATTTTTGCAAGAGCCCATTGAGACTTATACTGTTATTATCCTATCCCTTTTACAGATGAAGAAACTAAGGATCAAGCACCAAGTCAACTGCACAAGATGTTATAATATGTTCGGCTTAACTTGGAACCATTGCAGTATTACCTCAGTCAACTTTCTTTACTATAATTGAAAGTGAATGATTACCGGCTTTTTAGCTAATATCAAAAAAGATTCATTCCAATCTAGAAGACTGCCTGCAAGCAATGCGAACACGTGTGTCTAGTTTCTTGGCAGGGTCTCCCAGTTTCCCCTGTCTTTTTTCTTTCTCCTGATGCAAAATCACAGAATGCTTTGACAGCTCTGTGACCCAGCCAACTTTAGATTTTTCCCAGTAAGCTTCAAACAAAACCGAGATCTCAAACATTCCCAGGCACTGATAAAGTTATCTAGGTTTTTGCCCAAAGCACTGAAAGAAACTGGCCTTGGCCCTGAGCCAAATTTCTTAAACCTTCCTGAATATGCCATAACTGGACCTCCCTCACTAGAGCTGTATTTAGGTAGAACGTGCATTTCTCTCGCTGTCTTCTAGAGGATTGCTGCAGACTGTGTAATAAATGCTTTGGTCTGGTCAACCAGGTGTTTTGTGCTTCTTTGGAATCTCAAACGGCCCGATCTTTGGATGGTTTGGAGCACTCCTTTGTAGGCTGTTTTCTGCAGCCACTCATGAAGTTATTCCAGACAAAGTACTTCCCCATCCTTGCCCTGACATCTGGGTCACACTGAAATCTCTAGACCTATAAAGGGCATCAGAAAACCAAGTCCAGCCCCAAATCACGGATGGTACCTTCCACACACCATGGTTAGGAAGTTCAGCTAAAATACAGAGCAGGTGGGCAACACGGAAGTAAGACAATGTTTTTCCTCCTGAAAATTCTTACCTTCCAATGTGGTTTAAGTAAAAAAGAAACAAGCAGAAGAAGATCCCCATCACCCCAAAGCCCTCAATTTGGAGCCTGGGTCTTGTAGGCACTGAAACGCTTTTATTTAAATTGCAATTTATGACTGTATACCCGTGGAATTCCAACGTAGCACCTCTCTGATTGTCCTTGCAGTTATAACCAGTAGAGGCTCCTCCTTGATGCAGTAGGCAGAAGCCCAGCCAGTGGCAATGCATAGCCATAATGTGTCCACAAGAGAAGTCAGGCTAGACAGCAAAAACAAGAAAGAATGCTGCCCCCATCTCCACAGCCACCACCTCCTTCCCTGAGAGACACGTGTGACATGTGTCACTGAAGCCAGAGGGAAGACAGACAGATATATGGATACGATGGGCATGTAGGTAGAGGTTGTGATATGACATGTTACTTTTTTAGCAGAATTTTTTTTTAAAGTTGTTAGTCATTCGGATTTTCAATCTCAACAGTTTATCTTCAGGACAGATTCCCTTATTTTGGAAATACTTTCAAAATGGAATCTTTTTTAACAGAAAAATTATAAAATAACCTCGTATTTTTCCTGGGAGAAATAAAAAACGAAACTGTGGTGTCATTGTACATGTAAATACAGATGCAGACAACTAAAATGCTAAAATATTATCATTTTATTATGTATTGTTTGTATATATAGCAAGACTTTGCCTTTGAGAAATAATACTTTCACTCACATAAGGGAAAAGAGAGGACTGGTTACCTGTTCAACTACTGTGGCAGTAGAGGTTGGATGGAGTAATGTCACTTGTAGAAGCTGTGTAGAAAAATACGTAGCACAATAAACATGCTACAAGGCTTGTTAATGTATGTGTGGAAAATGTTTAAAGAAGCCTTCCAGGCCATCACCAAATGTGCTGTGACTGAGGAAGGATGAGGCTCTGCAGCAGAACAACCAGTTCATCCAGAAACAGTCTGAATGAACATTTTCCACACATACATTAACAAGCCTTGTAGCATGTTTATTGTGCTACATATTTTTCTACACAGCTTCTACAAGCGACATTACTCCATCAAACTAATACTGCCATAGTAGTTGAACAAGAAACCAGTCCTCTCTTTTCCTTTATGTGAGTAAAAGGTAAAGAAGTATAGGGTGAGTATAAGGTAAAGAAGAACAAGAACTTTTATCTACAGTAAAATCTCCTTTACATTTAATTGGAGCATCCCAAACTCTGTGCTGAGCTGCTTGCATATCTCAGAGTACACCTAGACACAAAGTACATCCATGTCTGAGGTAGTCTTTGCCCTAAGTGAGGGCAGGGAGCTTGTAGTGGCAGGAATCAGATCTCTCCAATTGTTATTATGCTACTAAATTAATGATTATACTGATTTGTAAAGCTAAGATAATGTTTCATAAATTACATGTATCTTTCAAGCAAGAGCACTAAGCTGGATTGAGCAGTGAACATATATATATACACATACACACACACACAACATGAATAATATATTGCATAATATATGTAACATATATAAATAATGTGTATATACAAGGAGAGAAAGAAAAAGAGAAATAATGAGGCCCACAGAAAATATCAGCATATAGGTTAACCTCCCTACCTCTCTTGTGGAAATCTCCATATTTTATTTCTTATCATTTCTCTCAGGGAGAATTTATGAACTGACCATTTAAGTTTACAGTACAGAGTCAGGAAGCCCAGCAACCCGGGGGCACAGGAATGGGGTTGCAGATTCAAGGACAGTCCACAAATCCAGCTTGCATCTTTCATCCAGTGGAAACAAACAAAACAAACAAACTCAAACTCTAGGAAAAAAAATAGCAAATACAATGGAAGACAATTATATAAATGTTTGAAAAAAAGGTTTAAAGAATTATCTATTTTTCCTTTAGTTTAATTTTAAAAAAATCTTAGGCTTTCTGAGAAAAACAACAAGATAATTCTACAGATACAAAAATAGAGGTGGATGTGATTAGGACAGATTGTAAGGAACTCAGAAAGACAACATAATTAAGATTTACCACATTCACATTTGTAGGAAAAATGAAATGTGTGGTGCAGAAAATAAACTTGAAATTGTTCTCAGTTTATGGAGGGAAAAAAATGGAGGAATATAGTTGATCATAAAAAAAAAAAAGATGAGAGAAGAGGAAGAATAGAGACCTAAATTGGAACTGCTCACAACTAACTTTTATTACGCATCTTTGAAATGTAAGAAAGATATAAATTTGAAATTCTAATTTTTCTTGCAAACAGCTTCCAAATGCCAACATTTATTTTTTAGAATGTTTTAATATGCAAATCATAGTGAGAAAAATGCCTTTAATTTGTTTGATTGAGAGCAGGTTCTAAGCAAATCATGAAATAGACAAGGCAATATTAAGTATTGCTCCTTATTACTATTGTTATTTACTACTAACTATTGTTTGGCGGAAAGCTACCTCCATACATAGTGAATTATTACCTAACTTAATGTGTAAACAAACTGCAACCTAACCTGAGTGTATACTCTTGTAACAAGTAGCCTATTCTCAGCCACTCTTAATAGCCAAACCTTCAGCCAATCATAGGCTGACAGCTACCACAACATGCCCAAATAAGGCAAAAGCTAAACTGAATGCAATCAGGCTATTTCTGTAGGTCATTTCCATTTCTCTTTCTGTACATGTGCATGAACTCCTTGCGGAACAGAGCTCTCTGAACTGCTTTTTATCCTGAGTGCTACACTGTTCCTGAACCATTTTTTTTTCTGCTCAAATAAACTCTGTTAAATTTAACTTGTCTTGGGTTTTTCCTTTACTACCGTTAACTAATTTTGGACGTTAAAATGTTTTTACGTTGGGAGGAAGCAGAGCAGGATGGACAAACAGAAGCCTCCAACAACTGTCTGCATTGTAAGAATACCAAATTGAACAACTATCCACATACACACAAAAAAAACCTTTATAAGAAACTTTATAAGATCCAAAAATCAGGTGAGTGATCACAGTACCTGGTTTTAACATCATATTAAGGAAAGAGGCCGAGAAGATGCTGGGAAAGACCATCTTGAACGGCTTACACCACCCCTCACCAGGTTTCCAGCAAAGTTGTATGGTACAGAAAGAGAATCTGAGCACTTAGGGGAGGGAAAGAGCAGTGATGTGGGACTTTGCATTGGAACTCTATGTGCTGCCTGTAGCAGTGGAAAGCAGCATGAAATAGAACTCAGCAAGTGCCAGTGGAGGGAGCCGGCAGCCCAGCCCTAGCCAGAGGGAAATCACCCATCCCAGTGGTTGGAAACTGAGTTCCAGCAAGCCCTGCCACCACTGGTGAATGATGAGCTCTGGGATCCTAAATGAACTTGGAAGGCTGTCTACGCCACAGGGACTACACTTTCTGGGCAAGTCTTGGTGCTGTGCTGGACTCAGAGCTTGTGGACTTGTGCCGTATGTGACATAGCGAGACAACAGCCAGGGTGGCTAAGGGAGTACTTGTATCATCCCTCTCAGCCCCACATAGTGCAACTGGCAGCTCTGGGAGACTCCTTCCCTCTGGATGAGGAGAGAAGAGGGGACAATAAAGAGGACTTTTTCTTACAATTTAGATACCAGCTCAGCCACAGAAGAACAGGGCACCAGGCAGAGTCCTGAGTCCCCCATTCCAGGCCCTAACTCCCAGATGACATTTCTAAACACTCCCTGGGCCAGAAGGGAAACCACTGCCTTGAAGGGAAGGACCCAATCCTGGCAGAATTCATCATCTGCTGATTTAAGAGCCCGTTGGCACTGAATAATCAATAGTGATAGTCAGGCAGTGTGCACCACAGGCCCTTGGGTGAGACTCAATGCTGTGCTGGTTTCAGGTGTTATGCAGTGCATTTTAAGCTGTGGTGGCTACAAGGAGAGACTCCTTCTGCAATCAGAAAGGAAAAAGAAGAGTAAAGAGGATTTTGTATGGCAGCTTGGGTACCAGCTTGACCACAGTGTGGTACAGCACCAAGCTGACTCCTAGGGTTCCCCATTCTAAGCCTTGACTCCTGGATGACATTTCTGGATCTTCTCTGGGCCACAGAGAAGCCCACTCCCTCAAAGAGACAGACTCAGGAATAGCAGCAACTACTACAAGCTGACTCAAGAGTTTTGGAGCCTTAAGGGAACATTGTCAGTATCCAGGCACTACTCACTGCAGGCCCGGGGCAGTGGTCACCACAGGGTGAGGCTCCTCTGCTTAAAGAAAGATGAGGGAAGAGTGCAAAGGACTTTTTCTTGTGTCTTGAGGACCAGCTCACCTACAGTAGAATAGAGCACCAGGTTTCCTAAGGTTCCTGACTTGAAGCCTTGACTCCCAGTTGGCATATACAGGCCCATCTTTAACCAGGGGGGAATTCATTGCCCTGACAGGAAGGAAACAAGCCTGGATGATTCACCACCTGCTGATTGTAGAGACCTTGGGCTTTGAATAAACGTTGGCAGTAGCCAGGCAGTGGTCATTGTTGGCCTTAGGCAAGACCATTAGGCTGGCTTTGTGTCTGACCCAGCACAGTCCCAGTGGTGGTAGCTACAGGTGTGTTTGTGTCATCCCACTCACAGCTCTAAGCAGCTCATCACAGAGAAGGAGACTCCATTTGTTTGGGGAAAAGTAAGGGAAGAGAACAAGAGTTTCTGCTTGATAATCAAGGAATTCTCCTAGATCTTACACAAGACCTACACAAGGCAGGACATCTTTGAGTCTGTAGGAGCCACAACATTACTGGGTTCGTGGTGCCCCCTAATGCAGATACGGCTGCAGTGACCAAAGATGTAGATCACAATAATCAAGCCCCTTCGAATATGTGGAAAGCCTTTCTAGAAAGAACAGGTAAAATAAGCCCAGACTGCAAAAATTATAATAAATACCTAACTCTTCAAGGCCCACAAATATCTAACTCTTCAATGCTGACAAACATTCACAAGCATCAAGGTCATCCATGACAACATGATCTCACCAAACGAACTAAATAAGGCACCAGTAAACAATCCAAGAGAGAAAGAAATAGATGCCCTTTTATACAGATAATTCAAAATAGTTGTTTTGAGGAAGCTCAAAGAAATTCAAGATAACACTGGGAAGAAATTCAGAATTCCATCAGATACATTTCACAAAGAGATTGAAATTATAAAAAAAAAAAAACAAACAAAAATCCAGGAGCTGAAAAATGCAATTGACATACTAAACAATGCATCAGAGTCTCTTAACAGCAGAATTGATCAAGCACAAGAAATAATTAGTTAGTGAGCTTGAAGACAGTCTGTTTGAAAGTACACAGAGGAAACAAAAGAAAACAGAATGATGCACACCTGCAAGATCTAGAAAACAGCCTCAATAGGGCAAATCTGAGAGTTACTAATCTTAAAGAGGAGGTAGACAGATTGATCAGGATAGAAAGTAGAAATGGGATAAGAACAGAGAACTTCCTAAACATAGAGAAAGATATCAACATTTCAACAAAAGACATTTATAGAATGCCAAACATATTTAACCGAAATAAGATTACCTCAAGACATTTAGTAATCAAACTCCCAAAGGTCAAGGATAAAGAAAGAATTCTAAGCAGCAGGAGAAAAGAAACAAATAACATACAGAGGAACTCCAATATTTCTGGCAGCAGAATTCTCAGTGGAAAGCTGACAGCCCAGGAGACAGTGGCAGACATATTTGAAGTGCTGACAAAAAAATCCTTTAATTCTAGAATGGTATATCCAGTGAAAGTATCCTTCAAGCATTAAGGAGAAATAAAAACTTTTCTGGACAAACAAAAGCTGAGGGATTTCATCAATGCTAGACCTGTACTACAAGGCAAGCTAAAGGGAGTCCTTCAATCTGAAAGAATAAGGACATTAACAAGCAATGAGAAATTGTTTGAAGATAGAAAACTCACAGGTAATAGTGAGAACACAGAAAAACACAGAATGTTATAAAATAGTAATTGTAGTATGTAAACTACTCATATCTTGAGTAGAAAGACTAAAAGATGAACTAATGAAAAACAATAATTACAGCAATTTTTCAAAACATAGACAGTACAATAAAAGTAGAAACACCAAAAGATAAAAAGTATAGAGTTTTTAATGTTTTCTCTTTGCTTGATTGTTAGTTTGTTTATGCAAACAGCGTTATCATCAACAATGTCAGGTATTTGCAAGCTTCATGGTAACCTCAAATCCAAAAACATGCAACAGATACACAAAAAATAAAAACCACGAAATTAAAACATACCACCAGAGAAAATCACCTTCATTAAAAGTAATGCCCAGGCTGGAGTGCAGTGGCGGATCTCAGCTCACTGCAAGCTCTGCCTCCTGGGTTCATGCCATTCTCCTGCCTCAGCCTCCCAAGTAGCTGGGACTACAGGCACCCGCCACCACACCCAGCTAATTTGCCTCTATGATCCAATCACCTTCCCCAGATCCCACTTCCAATGTTGGAGATTACAATTCAACATGAGATTCCGGTGGGGACACAGATCCAAACCACATCAAGGGGATTTAGGAGCTCTGTGTAAGGTGTTCCTGTCACCCTCATTACTCAGGAAACCTCAAGAATTTTAGCAGCTCTGTGTCAGGAACCTGGGACGAAAACCACATAAGATTTTTTTTCTTAATGTGTTACATCTCCTCATCAGAGGAAAGGCAATAAAAGCATTGAACTGAAGTAATTTATATATTTCAACTTATTTTCATCTAGAAAATGATCTTTTAGAGATTATTTTTAAACATTGTACCAGATATATTTTCTTTAGAACATTTCTCTATAAAAACATAATTCTCAGAGATCTGCACAGGGACTGGCCTGTGTCCATTGCATGGAAATTACGAACATGATACTCAATCCATGTATCTTGGGCAGTTTATTTTTCCTACTGATTTGTGAAAACTCCAATGAAATAACATTACCATTGACAATTGAAAATGCTCAAATTATTTCACTAGAGCCTGCTTTTACACTGCTATAAAGACACTACCTGAGACTTGGTAATTTATAAAGAAAGGAGATTTAATTGACTTACAGTTATACAATCATGGTGGAAGGTGAATGGGAAGCAATTCAGGTCTCACATGGCGGCAGGTGAGAGAGAGTGAGCATGGGGAAGTGCCAGACACTTATCAAACAACCAGATTTTGTGAGCAATCATTATCAGGAGAACAGCAAGGGGGAAATCTGCCCCCATGATTCAATTACCTCCCACCAGATCCTTCCCTTGACATATGGGGATTACAATTGGAGATGAGATTTGGGTGGGGACACAGAGCCAAACCATATCACAGCTTGATACACATTTTTAAAAACAAAAATGTATTTTCTCTACAAATTAATCAATAATTTAATCCTGCATTTAAATAACTATTTAAAAACATTTGACAAAATATACTATCACCCTCTTTAAATAACCGTTGCCTGATAGACTGAAAATTCATTGCTGACAGAGAATGCTTCTCATTTGCTTTGGTTTAAACATGCCTAGCTTATCGTAAGTATTAAATAATTGTTGAATGAAATAAAATGTGGAATGAATTAATTAACTTATATCTCACTAGCCGCATTCTCTCTCTTCTCATCGCCTCTCTCTCCAGAGGAACAAAACATTGTTGGAAAAATAGGAAGAGACATAAAAACTTTATAAATTACAGATTCATGATCTCCAATTTAAATTTGATTTTTGTTGTGGGTCATTGATATTTTGATTAGTCTCTCATTGTCCTGCTTAAACTCTCATTTCTTCTCATGCCAAAATCTTCACTCTCATTAAGCTGAGGTCATTTCCTAGTTTATTGAGAAAAGATTGTGACAATCTGTCATTAAATAGCTCATTAACTCTCATAATATTTTCCTCAATATATAAGTAACCTTAAGTATTTATTTTATTCCTACCTACTATATGAGTGAGAGAGAGAGAGCACTCTTCAAATAAATATAAAATTTTCTCTATTTCAATAAGGCACTGAATTTTTTCCTCTTTCTTTCCAAACACATTTTACTTCCCCACTACTGTGTTTACAATTCTAGTACTTTTTTTCTTTTATTTTTACAAAGACAAATAAGTTAATGGTCATCGTTTACTATCCCAGTGTTTTAAACTGTACATTAATGTTTCTATACTTTTTGTTCCTTTTTTTTTGAAATGTCACTCTTTTCTCATAATCTCACATTAAAATGATAGCAATGATATAAACAAAAATAGATCTACCACAGTGTTAATTTCTAGAAAAGGAGCCATTAGCAAACCAGAATTTCTTAGAAAATATAGGAAAAATTAGTAATGGAATAAATGAGAAACCTGGGTTAGAGGGAAAATTGCAACCTAAACCATGCATAGGAGAAGACACTGCGCATATTATAGGTGTTTCCTGACTGATACTTTTAGAGAATTAACTATTTTGAAGAACATGTGTGTTTAGTTTCTTCTAATGGAGGCCCTTAAAAGACAAAACAGTTTGTGCTGGCCTGTGCCCCAGCTTGCTATTTTAAGGGAAAGATAACTAGTATCTCTAAGTGTTTTATAAACTACTTTTGAACATGACATTTCAAGTTAGCTCCTATATGCAGTGGGCTTGCACTCAAGGTATGAAGTCTTTTTTTAAAACAAAACAAAACAAAACAAAACAAAACGGAGTCTCACTCTGTCACCCAGGCTGGAGTACAGTGGCGCTATCTTGGCTCACTGCAACCTCCGCCTCCTGGGTTCAAGTGTTTCTCCTGCCTTAGCCTCCCATGTAGCTGGGACTACAAGCGTGTGCCACCATGCCCAGCTAATTTTTTGTATTTTTAGTAGAGACGAGGTTTCACCATGTTGGCCAGGCTGGTCTCGATCTCTTGACCTCATGATCTGCCCACCTCTGCCTCCCAAAGTGCTGGGGTTACAGGCCTGGGCCATCACGCCCGGCCGGTATGAAGCATTTAATGCTGGAATTGTCTGATGACAGTCTTGGGAACATTAAGAAAGACCAGTTAATTCTTGTTGCCCCTTTTTTATTGCAATAAAATACACATATCATAAAATTTACAATCTTCACCATGTTAAGTGTATAGTTGATGGCATTAAATAAATTTATAAAGTTGTACAACCATCATCCACCTCCAGAACTCTTTATATTGTAAAACTCAAATTCTACACTGGCTAAATAATAATCCTGCATTCCCACTGCCCCCAGTTCAGCCTCTGGCAACCACTATTCTACTTTCTGGCTCTATAATTTATAATACTGGCCAAATGTTTGCTACAGAGTGGTACAATACAAGGTGCAGGAAAGTGGTAGGTCAGCATTTGTGCCGAAACAAACAATCTGTGACATTCATTTTCAAAGAATGTAACAGTATCAACTGGACAATGAAAGAAATAAGAACCACCGAGACCTGAGTAAAACTTTCTCATTTAGGAAGAAGCTATCCTGGACTCCCAGGAAATTATGTGACTAATTTAAGTGAGATTATACAGCTACTCATCATTGTTCTGGACACCCTTCGATATGTCCTAACTACCCAAATACATCTTTTATAAGTGTAAGATCTGTTCATTATTCTCTATAAGGCATATTTTTTATCTATTTTTAAATCTCAAATCTGTGATTTTTTTGCTTAAAGTATCACAAAATCTTTGGAGACATTTTTTGTTTTTGAAATTAACATGGCAAACTGCCATTTCATAGATTTATTCTCTGAGATTTTCTCAGGAGAGGCTCGATATGGAAAAAGTACTTAGGAAGAATATGGAACATCTAGATCTTGAGTGATTCTGTAGAAAACTGTGCAATAGAGAAAATGTGAGTGACAATGAAAAAGTTCAACAAACCACAGGGGACATTGACTCTGAAACTTTTAATGTCCACTAGGTTTAAGTCACTAGTTGAAATGTGTGTTGTGGCTGGGCATTAGCCCTGAGTAAAAAGCACCTTTCAGAATCTAGAAATTATTCTCCCAGAATGGTTTTGTCAATTAAGGATACATTTGGCAGCATGTAACAGACGTTTCAAATAACACTGGCTTTAAAACAGAATTCCTTTTCTCATGGTTTACTGAGAAATCTTGAGATAAGCATATGGTGACAGTCACTCAGCAGCTCACTGACATTAGGGTCACACTCTCTTCAGCTATGTTCATCATTTCAAGAAGGCTTCTGAACCTCCAGGCAGTAAAATAGAGAAAGAAAAATGATGTGGTAGGACTGTACTTAAAAGATATTACACCTCGTTTTATATATAGCATTATTAAATAAGACAGTGGAGTTTGGGAACAAAATTAGAACATCAGGCTGCTGTATGGAATATAGAATAAATAAACATAATCTTAACTTGATTTATATCAGAGTGGACATTGACAATAGGTGGGTATAATATCAACTTTATAATAAAGGATGCAAGGCTTCTAGCTCCACCTTAAGCCACAAGCAGAAAATCAACTCCAGTTGGACTAAATACTTACATGTGAAAGGTACATTATAAAACTTTAGAGGACAATAAGAAGTAATCCACAATTTTGAAACGGCAGGTGATTTCTCAAAAGAAACAAGCATATAAAATATAAAGAAATACATTGATAAATCTATCAACATTAAAGTTACAAATTTCTGTTTTAGCATATGTCATAAAAAGTAAAAATACAGTCATCCCCCCTCTATATCTATGGGAGATTTCTTTTTTCCAGGGCCCACTCTCCCTCTCCCCCTGCAGACACCACAATCCGTGGGTGCTCAAGTCCCTTATATGAAATGGCAATAGTACTTACATGTAGCCTACTACACATTCTCCCGTATACTTTAAATCATCCCTAGGTCAACTTGTAATAAATAATACAATGCCTACATATCATTTCATTTACATGAGCTCAGCACAGGACTCAGTGTCTGACAAATTCCAGTTTTACTTTCTGAAATTTTGCAAAATTTTATTTGAATATTTTGAATCTGCAATTGATTGAATTCATGGATGCAGAACCCAGGGATTTAAAGGGCTGACTGTACAAATAGTAAATCAGGATGAGCTATATTAATCAAATAACTGATGAAACATTAATATCTACATTATATAAATATGAAAAAAACATAGAAATTAAAAAACAAAAGAAAAAGACAAACAACCAGAAAGAAAGAAATGCAAGCATCATGAACTGAGATCCCATGGAAGAGACAGGAATAGTCTATAAACTTTCGACACTGGTAATACCCAGAAAAATGCAATCTGAAATTAAAATTAAGTGCCATTTTTAAGTCCTTGATGTTGGTAGAAAACTAGAAATTAGATTATGGAGAGTGTGAAGGAGGTAATGGAGGAATCGATCTGTTGCTCACTGCCGGTTCATGTGAAAGTGGAGCATTTTATTTTAGAGGGAGTTTGGTGTACTTAAAGTCTTAGCTCAATAAAGAGTGAAGGAAATAGGGAAGCGAGGAAGGAAGAGAGTAAAGTAATGTAGAGCGGCACTGAAACCTCCCAGGAAATACTGCTGTTTGCTCAGTGAAGTAAATTTTCTCTGGAGAAGTTTTATGAACCCACTACACTGAAGAAAAGACTATTAAGAGAGACAGAGCGTGAGAAATGTGTTCTTTTAAGCCCCGTCTCCTGTCTTTTCTTGATCAAAAGGCATCTCAGTCTGTACAAAATGTGGAGCACTTCAGAGGAGTAGAAAGGCCCTTCAGGCCTTGTGTGATCTGGCTGGATTAGTCCCAAAACCTCTAGCTAAAGTGACAACTACCAAGTTGAGCACAATGATTTTGGAGATGAGACAATGACTGAGGTTCTCCACTGAACCAGTAGCCAAGATTCTGACATCAATAAATACGGAGAGGTATCTATTTTAGCCCAGTTCATCCACTAAAGTTAAATATATGCAGCCCAGCAACTCCAATTCTAAACAAACTCCTGTGTATATAATCTAGGAGTTATGTACAAAGGAGCTTTTCTTAGAAATAGTTGGGGTTAAAAACAAAAGAGGTGACAAACCAAACAAAAAACCCGTTCACACCCCTTAAATGAGTGTCAAGAGTAGACCGAACATAAAATGCAGAAAAAAAAGAAAAAACTGTAGTTACAGAAATCAACCTGAAGAAACGTCACAAAACCAATGTTGGAAAAAGCAGCCAAATCACAAAACATTGCACACAACATGACTGTATTTAAATATAAATTTCAAAATTACTAAACTATAAATATTATTTCTAAACAAAAATTTCTAATATAAACAGGCTTTCATTCATGGAATGAGAACAGCAGCTACAAATGAAAAGTGTTCTACAAGGAGTTTCTGAGATACTGGGAATACAACACTTAAGATAGTGAATATTTGAGTGTGTATTGTATTGTTATTTATATTAATTATACCTTTTATAAATTATTCATTTATATAAACATTTCACGAAACCAAACACATTACATAGTTATCTAGAATAGTCAGTGAAATGATTCAGATTGCTAATATTTAAATAATGCTTTATTAGTTTTGAATGTTTAATTATGTTAAAAAATAATGATTTAACCTACAACTAGACTATTATAACTTTTTTCTTAATTTTTTTGGTATTAGATTGAACTCTAAATAAATATAATTCCAATTCTTTGGAGAAACATTGGAAAGCAATAGTAAAAGAGTACTCTGGTTACCTTTTTGATTGTTTAGACTTTTGGAAATAGCTCGACCCTCCAAATACACTTATGAACTAATGTTTTGTTTTACCAATAAATTCATCAGATATCCTATTTGAGATGTGTTACATTGCTATTGTCTCTTTGCCAGTAAAACAAATATAATTGCATACTCCAAATTGAATAGTTGGAAAACATACAAAAAGAGTAATTTGGATTTGCTTATTTGAGAATAAAATAGAACTATTACTGTTTTTTCATTTAAGTTTCTCAGATTATACATTTCACCTGCTCACTGGACACACTGGTAATAATTGGGATAGACAAGCAGAATGCTTTTGGACAGATTGTTACTGATTGATTTGACAAACCATTAAAAGTATGACAGCTCTATTAAAGGTATTATTTTAAATAAAATAATTGAAAAATATATTTAAGGCACTCTTCCAGTCGTGAAAAATCTCATAAAAGTAAATAAAACATTAAATGATAAAACAATAAAAGAAAGGGTGACATCATTTACACAATAGGTCACTATATTCCATAGACACTAAGCTTAAGAGTGTGAACGAGTTTTGATTCACAGAGTATGGGCAAATCATACAATACATTTGCAATTTCCCCTATTCATTCTGTGTGGGTGAATGTATATTTACCTTTCAAGATTAAATAAATAATATACATGCTAACTCTGATACATAGTTCATGTTTAATAAGCATCATATTCCTTACATTAAGTAAAATATTATAAAAAGTAATGGTAAACAACTGCATTAATTACAAACCAAATAATCATTTCTATTGCTTCAAAGCATTAGACTTATGTTTATTTAAATTTCAAACTAATTTTTAAAACCTAAGAGAAGTGTGACAACACTACTAAAACTTTTCAAATAAAGGGAACACACAGGAAATCTGAATCTATGAAAACAAATGACAAGTCAAATCTATTTCATTTATCTACCTTTGTCTTCTGTTAGTCACTGCATTTTTGTTGATGGAGCTCACATATCCTTATATTCAAGAAGAAATAAACCATTAAAAATGAAAAAAAATTATTTTTCCTACTACTTATTTTCAGCTATATGCAGTAAAGGAGGTTCATATTATACAGCTATACATGAGTCACTACCTCAAACGGACATTTGATAGTTGTCAAATTTCATGTTACTCTTATTTACAATATTTCCATCTTTATTAATGCATTCAAAGACTTTCATTGAGTTACTACGATACTTTGTAAACACCATGTATTTTATCTGCCTCTTTCTAGCCATCTCAAATGAACAATCTAAGTAAAAGTAGTTTTTTTCTAAGTAACTACTGATTCAAAATCATCTCCTACACACTCATCCCTTTGCTGACTGAATTGTTCCTCTAAGCTTCTATAATGTAGGAATTTTAGTGCTGACTATCATTATGAAAAATAATGATCAAAGGTAATGTGTGTATCACAATTTTTTCAGCTATAAATCCAAGTAGATTTTCTGCTGGAATAGGATACAGTGTATGAAGAAGGCATCACAAATAATTAGCTAAAACTAAAATAAAAACCTTTTATTAAAAATGACTCTATCTTTGCTGAAAGCAAGCAAGAAAAATTCAACTTAAGTGTAGAATGGGTATTTTTTGTTGTTGAGATGACAGCCGGAGAGAATAGACTTTTTAAGCCAGATTCCTCAAACTTTGTCCTACTGAGAAAGCTTGGATTTCTTTCTTTTTCTGTCCTGGTGATGTTTTCTTAAAGAACACAAATAGACAATCTTTGCATGATTTCTCCTTCCAGGCAGAAATATCTTGACATTTTATTTCACTGTTTGCGTGCAACTTTTTTTGTCATTGTAATAAAGCGACAAGGATTAAGGTATGCAACACTGCACAGTATGAATTCAGCAATGGAGATGAGTATTTGTTCAGCTTTTTATTCACAATCTGTTATTCGTGTGCTAATGGATTTTCCTCTTATTAATAGCTATATGGAGATTTTTCTGTGAAAGGGTCTAGGAAACACTTTATAATCAAAGGTTTCAAGACATAAATTATATGCAGAGATCTTAATTATATTTTACCTCAATTTTCATTTAATTTTACTATTCTTACATCCAACTACTTAAGTAATTAAAATAAAAAAGCATGCACTGAAAAGTCAGCCACTCATTTCTGTGCAAAACAGCACATTTTCTCAACATCGGCAACTCTCCCATCATAACACACCCAAGAGAACACTGTGTCTTAGGATTTCTGTTTTCTTCCAGATTTCTTTAAAGGTATATGTAGTAAAATACAAGCATATATTCTCAGTTGTCCTCCTTTCCTCAATAAAATACACAACTCTGTACATTATTCTGCTTATATCACTCAATAAAATATTTGAGACCTCTCTATATCAAAACAGAAATGGCTTCCTCATTGTATTTTATTGTGTTTTACTGTATCTTTTTGTGTAAATTTGAATTTATGTATATAACCAGAACCCAAGCATTGACAACATAGTTGTTCCCAATCTCTTGTTAATACAAGCAATGCTACAATGAATAATTTTGTACTAATGTCATTTCATGCATGCAATTACATCTTTCAAGTGAGTTCTCAGATATGAAAAGGTACATACATTAGAAAATGTTACAGATATTTCCAAACATCTACAGATATTTTCAATCCTAAGAATTGTACCAAGTTGCACACCCACCTTTAATATATTAAAGTGCTTGTTTCCCTAGAGGCTTGCAAAATAAGTGTATTATTTAACATTTTCTTTGTGGTCATTTGGATGTATCAGTTATTCTCTATCATATTAAGTACAGTGCTTCACATGTACACATACACATATATATATAAATTGTAATTGTCATGCTTCTCTGTACTATGCTGTAGTGAAATTCACTTTGTCTTTGTATGTCTATGTAATTTCAAAAAAAATTAATTCAGTGTTCAGCTGGACATGGTGGCTCATGCCTGTAATCCCAGGAGGCCAAGGCAGGTAGGATTGCTTGAGCTCAGGAGTTCAAGACAAGCCTGTGCAACACAGAGAAACCTTGTCTCTACTAAAAATTAAAAAAAAAAAATCAACTGGGTGTGGTAGCACACCTGTAGTCCCAACTACTAGGGAGGCTGAGGTGGGAGGATTGCTTGACCATGGGAGATAGAGGCTTCAGTGAGTCGTGATCAAGCCACTGTACAACAGCCTGGGAAACGGAGCAAGAACTTGTCTCAAAAAAAAATTAATACGATGTTATAACTCGAGTAAAAAAGGAAAATAAAATAAACTTTTAACAATCTTTGTGTTTTGATATGTAAGTACAGAGATGTGCCTATATAAGAAATTATAATTATGTCATCTGCTGTGTATACAAAGTAGAATTTATGTCCTGCAAAGACAAGTCGTTTTGGTTACTCAGATACCTCCTGTGGCGTTTGTATGGTTGATGTTACATTGCAAATTGTGGACAGCTCTTGATAATGTTGCAGAAAAAATTCAACACTTCTATTTATTCGTAAGGTAAAGTTATGTTACTAAGATGCTGAATATAATTTGAATTCCATTCTCCGTGCATTTTGTGGAAATATATAAACCTAATAGAGGTTCTAGGCTCATAAAATCATAAACTCGTTTTAATACATGAATGCCTGGCAAGATATTTGGAAATTCTGTGGGACACCAGCTTATTTTTTTTCTTTTTGTGAATCCATGCCATTTACTACAGGGACTG
This sequence comes from Homo sapiens, assembly GCF_000001405.40. Taxonomy (NCBI): domain Eukaryota; kingdom Metazoa; phylum Chordata; class Mammalia; order Primates; family Hominidae; genus Homo; species Homo sapiens. The sequence continues at coordinate 18,901,044 of NC_000021.9, read as the reverse complement.
TACATCAATGTTCCCTATCTTCTAAATATCTGAAGCCCGATAAAAATACCTCCCTAAATTCCAATGTTCTCCATTGATAACTAGAGCTAGTATGATAGACAAAAATAGTATCTTAATGGAACCTTAATTTTTCTTTATCTTATGAGTAAACTAAATATTTTTATAGGCTTAAACCCCATTTATGTGCCCCTTTCTGTGATCTGTACATTTATCACCTTTACCCATATTTATTGGGTAATGTTTTACTAATCAATTTCTGTATGATTTCTGTGTTTAATAGATAGCAGATCTTTCTGGTTCAAATTGCAAATCTTCCCCAGTTTTGTTTGTTTGTTTCAAACCTGTTTTTTTGGGTACTTTTTTTAGCACTTTGATTTGTGTGTTTGATTGTTTTCTCTTCTGCTTATTTTTTTATTATCTTGATGTTATTTTTCTAACTTTTTCAATAGGCTGTTATTTGTTTTCATTGTTATTTGATTATCAATAGAAGTATTAAATTTTGTTAATTTAAGCTGTATCCTCTATGTACTGTGTTTATTTTTGATATGTTCTAAAAGTCTGAAATCTCAATTAATATTGCCTTTCAGACCACAGAATTGCTTAGAAAACATTTTGAAATTTCTGTTGACAAAGGTGTTTTAAATTTGTATTTTGTTATAAATTTCTAATTACATGCACTGTAATGAGAAAATATTTTCCATACTACTTCTACTTTTTTGTGTATTATAATACATATGAATATACCACACAAAACTCTTACAATACATAGATAGACATTGATAAATAAATAGATATAGATACATAATTAATTATTTAGTTATTTGACACTACAAGTGTATTTCCTCAGTTTGACATTTATTTATATTACATGTATCAATCACTATAAGCAATAAAACAGTAACATGTTTTCTCATCTATAACCCCCCTTCTACTCTTCTGCTGACAATTTTAGTTACTAATATTAGGCCTTGCATGTTTACCTTTACAATGTGAAATATACCTGTATTTTTATTACTCCATTTAATTCTGTTCTCAGGGATTGGACATTCAGCAAACTTAAATCTATATCCTCCTCCATTTCTTCTCTTACCTCATCAAACTGTAAGTAAAGTTACTAAAGTTAAGGCACACAACATTTTATTCAATTTTATGTACAGTTAAACAAGCTTTGCAGCTAAATATTGTCAGTATTGATAAGAATCATTTTGTCATAGTTTTCCCAGTCATATCCAAGCTATATCTTGTCCTTATAGTACTTACTTAAAAAAGAATCATGGCAATGAAATATTCTCAGTTTTTCTATGTTTATGCCTGTTTGTCTTGACATTTTGCTTACCGTAGAGGTCAGTAATTTCCTACTAAAGATTATTCCTCCTTCAGACAATAGCCAGAAACTCTAGACAATTTTTAGTTAACACCTGAAGACCCTGGATCATGAGCAAATGTAAGTAAAATTTGGAGGGCAGTCAATACTTTGAAGCAGGAACTAACAAGAAAAGTTTTTTTTATGTTTCTACAACTATTCACCTGAGAGCCACAGTCATTTCCTGTACCTAGAGGCTAAAACTGATAGAAAACCTGCATTCTTGCCAGATTTAAGAGCTAGAGGACAGTTTGAAGCAACCACAACAGCTGGAAATAAGGGGATTCACAGAAAGGAGATACTGTGAGTTGACAAGTTTCTAAATCTCTTTTTAAAATGTCTCCAAAAACCTGTCTGATATGCTAATACTGACCCAAGCATGTGTGAGGCAGATTCAGTTCAACCCAGTTGAAGATAAAATAATTGAATTGAGACATGTTTCCAAGACACTGAGTTTGCTGGTTTTTGTCCAACCAAGCTAAGTGCCCACTAAAACAAAGAAATGGAATTCTTCAAAGGAATATAGCATAATGCAAGTTCTCTATATTCAAGCTAAAATTTAGAGTTAATCAACATTGAATATAAAAAAATCAGTGAAACGTAATCCAGTCTTTAGAGGAAACAAAATCAAGCAAGAACCACAAAGAAAAATGATCCCGTTATTAATATTAGCAAGCAAAGATATTAAGGCAGCTAATATCATATTATCAATAAAGAAAAACACACTCACATTCAATGAAAAGATAAGATACTTCACCAGAGAGAAATATTAATACATACTTAAAAAGGAAGCAAAAGGAAACACAGGATTTAAAAAATGAAGCATCTGAAATAAAGCAGAATGGAGAAGACAGAGGAAGGATTCACTAAACTAAACGATAAGTCAATATAAATCATCTGATCTAAAAAACAGAAAAAATAGAAAAACATAGAGTCAGCAAACTCTGGATCAAATAGGTTAATATATTTTTAAACTTGAGATTTCAGAATTAGAGAAAGAATTGAAAAGAAAAAATACATGTTTGAAAAAATAGCCAAAAGTTTCCCAGATTTAATAAAAGGCAAATATTTTAGAAAGTCAGTAAACCCAGTGACCCCCCCAAGCAGGATATTTGCAAGCGAAAGCAGTTCCAGCCTCAGCATAATTAAATTATTGAAAGCATACATTTGAAGGTCGTGAATGAAATCCAGTTTATCACAAAAAACAGAGGGCAAAAGACCATGAAACAGCATATCTAAATTGATGAAAGAAAATAACTCTGAACTTAGGAATCTATATCCAAAGAAAATAGTCTATAATATAGGCAAAAATAAAGATATTTTTGGTCAAAGAAAATGAATAAAATTGTTGCTGAAAGAATAACATTTCAAAAAAAAAGTTAAAGGCAATTATTTGAGATTAAGGGAAATGAATACCATATAGAAACTTTGACCCTCAGGAAAAAAAGAAGAGCATCAGAAATGACAAATCTTTAGGTAAATATAAAACATAATTATCCCAGGTGGAAGACAGGTGGCAATTCCTCAAAGACCTAAAGACAGAAATACCATTTGACCAGCAATGCCATTATTGGTTATATACCCAAAGGAATATAAATCTTTATACTATAAAGATGCATATGTAGGTATGTTCATTGTGGCAATATTCACAATAGTAAAGACATGGAATCAACCTAACTTCTCATCAGTGATAGACTGGATAAAGAAAATGTGGTGCACATACACTATGGAATACTATGCACGAATAAAAGAAAAACAAAATCATGTCCTTTGAGGGGACATGGATGGAGCTATAGGCCATTATCCTTACATAAACTAACACAAGAACAGAAAACCAAATACCACATGTTTTCACCTATAAGAGAGAGCTAAATGGTGAGAACGCATGGACACAAAGAGGGGAACAACACACACTGGGGCCTTTTGGAGGAACAGAGGAGGGAGAGGATCAGGGAAAATAACCAATGAGTACTAGGGTGAATACCTGAGTAATGAAATAATTTGTACAACAAACCCCCATGACACAAGTTCACCTATGTAACAAACCTACATATATACTGGTGAACTTAAAATAAAAGTTTAAAAATCCCACAATTTTTCCTCTTAATACATTTAAAAATATGTATCATTATTTAAACAAAACTTATTAATGTTTTGTGAGATGTTTATAGTATATAGATGTAATACTTCTGAAATCTAAAGCATAGGAAATGAGGTAGGTGATAAATGGATTGAAATCATTGCTTTATATTGTAGTTTTAGCGACGCAGTATTCATTCTAAGTCCACTTAATAATTTTAGGACACGCATAGTAATTTCTAGAGAAACCAAATTTCACAGTATTCCTCAAAATTATATTCTTGTATGTTGAAGATTTATATATTTATTAAATTTAGTAATAATAGAATCCAGTAGACATTGTAAATGGAGAAAATCTAAATATATATGGTAGGGACTTTTAGAATTTTAAAACAGCAACAAAACTTCAGTTTTGCATTTTAAAACTACTTTTCTCTCTGCCTATATGTAGACTGTATCTTCACGTATTTTTAAAATATCTATACCATTATATAATGATAGTTCGTGTACTGATCCTGCAGTTGAGATGTTCTTTTTCACACTGATTTCTTGGTGCTTTGATGAATATTGGAATCTTCACTTGGATCTTTATGAATCATCTCCAGAACAGGCACTTTCAACTGTTTCATTTCCATTTATCCCAAGAACTGATGCATTTCAGATTTTTTTTCTTTTTTTTCCTGTGGAATCACAGTTGACTTTCATTCTGGGTGCTGATGTACCTTCTATTTTGCGACCATAAAACACTCTCAAGTGCCTTTGCCGAAATACAATTATTTCTACTGGGTTTTTTGTTGTTGTTGTTGATCAGCAGTGTAGCTTCAGGTGCAGTGGCTGCCCGGACTGAAATCAACGGGCTCTGTCTCTTTGTGGTCTTCCTTCCTTCTCTTCCTTCATAAGGACTTCATTGAGGTATACTCTACATACCTGCATTTATTTTTACCTCTAGGCTGCCATTTTAATTTATTTTTCAGTATCTATTCTCTTTGTTTCTGTTTTTTTTTTCCTGCCTCATCTTTTTTTTTTCCTGCACTATTTCATTTTGTCATTAAGTGTGATCATTCTACTTCCACCCCTTTCTAAGAACTGGTAGCTCATATATGTCATCTCCTTATTCTCGTTCTCTCTTTCTCTCTTTCCTACTCTCTCTCTCTCCTGCTAATATTTTAATGGGTAAAAGTTCCATTAAAAAAATCTATTGCAAAATATTTCATCATCATTTTTTTTCTGTATCAATATTTCTATATTTTCTGTCAGTGTTAATCATCTTTCTGTAAGTTCTGATTCTGTTTGTTTATCATCTATATTTAAAATAGCATTTTATCAATGGTTTTTAGTTTCTCTGTATTACTAATCATAATAAATTGCAGTTTCCTGGTGTGACAACTTGCAGGTTTCCTGGGGTGAGCTGGGAAGCTGACTTTCTTCCCCTTTTTATGTAGTCTCAGAGGCCATATGGGTGATTCTTTTCTGTTCGTTTATTTGTTTGTTTTGAGAAGAGGTATCACTCTGTCACCCAGGCCGTAGTGCAGTGGCCAAATCTTGGCTCACTGCAGACTCCCCTTCCCAGGTTCAAGCGATTCTCCTGCCTCAGTCTCTTAAGTAGCTGGGACTACAGTCACGCACCTCCACACCTGGCTTTTTTTTTTTTTTTTTTTTTTTTTAGTGGAGACAGAGTTTCACCACATTGGTCAGACTGGTCTCGAACTCCTGACATCAAGTGATCCACCTGCCTCGGCCTCCCAAAGTGCTTTATAGGCATGAGCCACCACGTCTGGCCTGGATGATTCTTTACACAGCCATGTTGGCAAGATTTCTCTGAATCCAGCTGGAGCAGGGTAAAGAACAAGTTATTCGGTTTCTACATCAAATAAGACTCTCATCTGTAGCACGTGAATTTTTGTTGGGGATTTTTGAGGTATTCTCCTGGCCCTTTTCATGCCCTCTCACACAGCTCATGTTCAAACTCAACTTTGAAAAGATGTACATGTATTTGGGAGTGTGTAAATTTTACCTTTCTCCTAGTTTTACTAGAAATGTCGTCCTTTTTTGTTTATTTGTGTTCTTATATTTTTATTCTTGCTATTATTTTAAGAAAGAGGAAAATAGTAACTCATACCTCACTTTTATACTGGAGTTCAATACTATTTTATAGTCATATGTATAATTTTTGTTTTCCTCTTGAAATGAAATTAGAATACTATGTTCACTTCCTTTTTAAAAAATATATCATTTTAGTCTTCTTGCAATCTGGACCACCTCAATAGAAAACTACCTGTTTCATTAAAGAGAAAGATTTATGTCATATTTTGAAATAGAATATTGGACTTAATTGGGCATGTTTTTTCAGAGATATACATTGGCCAAATTATAGAAAAAAAAACAGGAAAACATTTATGAATGAATTAAATCCTCTGGGATATTTTCTTCCAATTTTTGATGAGAGCCAGTAAGAGTTTAAAATGTTCACATTGCATGAGAAAATAGTTTTTGAGTGTTTAATAATGGCATAAATTTTTTTTCACTCAGTGTACTAAGATTTTTCTGATAATATACTAAGGATCAAAATAACTCCTAATTTTGAGTTAGTAACCTAAACATGACATTTTATTTAGTTCGCTTAACTCACAAAATAAGTAAACCTTGTTTTACGGAGACTGTATGCGTCTTGGAGGTGCATTTTGATACACATTCATAATATTCCAAATATATACTGCTTGTTCACATTTATAGCTGTCTCTTTGTAGAAGAGAGATCAATAATCAACACATTGAGATTTTAAAAGAGAAAGATAAAGAGCAAAACCCAGGAAACCTCACAATGACACGTAATTGGAAATAGAATTTGAATGTTTTCCAAACAGACTATTGTAGCTTTTCTTATACACAGCACAGATTTTCATTAACTAGGTTCCCTGGTAATAAATTGTATATTTACTAGGGCTTTGTTTGCAGTGTCCCTATGAGATGATACAGCAAGTTCAAAGGCATCAATAAAAGTGACTTTAATATCCAGGAAAATACTGATGCAGCTGTTTGTTTTCTAGCAGTGCTAGTGACTCATAAATAAAAAAGTAAGGCAGGCATACCTTGGGCAAAGTGGCTGTATTATCCTTTCTATGGCTCTAATACCAGTAAATCAGTTCCTGACTTCAGATTTCTTAAAAATTTTCTCTGCTAGTTCCAGAAATTGTTCAAGTCTAAAACAATAACACCAGCAACAACTTTATTTACCATATAGGTGATCTTTCCAGGTTGAACGCAGTTTACTTTCTAAGAATTATTACAGTATTGAATAACGTAAGAGTTTTAAGATCTTATTATTTAAAAAAAAATGTTTTCTACAATTCCCAATTGAAAGAGCCAGCCAGTTAAAAATTCAATCAAGGAAAACAAAGCCTTAAAAACACAGAGATTAATGATATTTGAATTAAATAATTGTATCCTAAATGCATAGCATTGTTTCTCACACATAGTAGATAATCAATTATTGATAAGAGAGTGAATGCATGAATAAATAAATACTTCAAATTCCAATTGTTTTTGGGGACACTCCCCTTCACATGGACTAGTAGTAATATTAGTCTTTTCAGGGAATTTACTTTCAAAATATTGTTTAAAATCCCTAGAGGACTTAGGTATGGCCAGAGATTGAGAGAAACTGTGAGGCTGGACTCTTAAATGTCTGGCTTCAACAATACTTGAAAGAAAAGTATATCAATGCTATTTGTTTGAACTTTCACCAGACATCCACCCCCACATTCTCAGTTCTACCTGTGGAAATGATTTTGTGCCATTAACACTTGTGTATCTGGTAGAATAAGGAAATAGGCACCTATCTATCTATGAAAACAATTAATTTTCTTTGAAAATTTATCAATATGCTTCAAAGGAAAAAAAAGAATTCCTCGCTCTGTGTTATCCTCTGCGAGTAGCCAACAAAATGAAACCTCAAATACCATGCTTCATGATAAATAAACTTTGAAGAATGTAAAGTTATTGCATCATGAGGTGAGTGCAGGGAACATTCAGAGACCCAGAAAAGAGCCTTGGGAATTTAAAATATGATAACAAAGGATTGGAAGATAAAAATAGAGGGAATAGCCCAGGAAATAGAATAAAATAGCAAAAAGGTGTAAAATTGGCTAGAAAATATTTTTGGCTTAATAATTATGAATAAATTAAAGTGGTACAACAGATTAAAACAGGTAGAAAGAATTGAGAAAACAGAAGGGATAATATAAATTAGCAGGAAACACATTAGTCGCCAACTTTAAAGAACCCATATAGTGCTTAGAACTATAAAATATAAAAGTATATTTTTGTAAACATTATTAACATCCAAGATAAAGAGATGACCAAGACTATAAAAGCTTTCAAACAAAAACAAACAAACCAAAAATTGGTTATAAACAAAGAATTAAAAATGACAATAGGATCAGACTTAATAGCAAGACCAAAAGGTAGACACAAGGGAGCACAGCCTTCAAAAATTCTGAATGAAACAGTTACCAGAGCATCAATTTAAATCTAGCCAAACTCAAATAAATACAAAGTTGCAAGAACATATTCAGATATTTAAACTGTATAAAGAAAAAACTGTTCTAAAGAAGCTACCGAAAAAGAGGGTAGGCTTTAATCAAAATGAGAATGAAAAATAAATACATAAATAAACCAGAAGAACACATGGACTCCAGGAAACAAGGTGTCTAACCAAAAAGAAGGCAGAGAAAGTCTTTAGAATAATGGCAAAGATGAAAAAGAAATCTCAGGATGACCCTTACATGTCCTGACTACAAAGCAAACAATCTAGACTGGATGGAAGGTTATAGGAAGTATACCTCGAGAAAGAAAACGACATGGTTAATTTGTGCTGTTTTTTAAAAACATAACAACACAAATTGAGAGGTGATTCAGATTTCTGGTGGAGCACTGAGACAAATTTGTGATAAAAACATAGAATAATAAATTTAAAAAAAGAAAGTAGTTATTAACTACAACACAAAATAAAAAAAAAGTTCATATTGCACTAGAGACTTTAATTTCAGAAATTATTGACATTGTCACATAAGAGAAGTTCTGAATATTGATATAACCAAAAAGTGAAATAATTATACTGGGAGGATGGGCAAGAAAGAGTGATCATTGAAAGGTAAGTTATTGTATAGTAGAGCTAAATCTTCAACTGAGAAATCTCAATACAGAAATCTAATACAGATAATTAAATAGGCTGGAACAAGACGAAATATGTGGTCAATGAGGAGTAAAAATCAGAAGTGTGAAGTCATGGGTCAGGAGAACACTTTTTCTTTATGAACTTTGTAGAACTATTTAACATTTCAGTCTCTATCCTTAGGGTTCTATAATACAAATTATAAATTAATCAATATATATTTTTGAAAATCTACCATCAACTCACAGATGTGTTTCTCCCTTCTCCTTTAAATATCCAATGACCTTCTTATAATAATGTAAGAAAATATTTTTCATAGAATTATTAAAGCAATCAATCAATAAATGTAGAAAAGAAAGAAAATGGAGCTCAGACTATTCTCTTTTTTTTTTTTTTTTTTAGCAAAACACTGACCTAGAATATTTGTTAGACTTTATTTTTTGGAACTGTTTCAGATTTGCCAAAAAAAAAAAAAAAAAAAAAAACGAGTAAACAGGTGAATGGAAATTACAGAGAGTTCCCATACATGTCCCTTCCCTGAATTTGTCTTGCCTTATCTCTGACATCTTGCATTACATTTGCTATAATGAATGAAGTAACATTGATACAATATTAACTAAAGTCCATAGTTTATATAAGATTGCCTCTTTATGTTGTACATTCTATGGGTTTTGATCAATGTGTATTGTCATGTATTCACCATTTCAGTATCTTACAGAATATTCTGTCAATCTAAAAATCCCCTGTCAATCGCCTATCAATTCCCTCCTCTCTTCCCCCTCAATCCCCTAGAATGGATTAATCTTTCTACCAACTCTATTTTTCGCCTTTTCCAGAATGGCATGTAGTTGGAATAATACAGTAACTTTTCAGACTGGTTTATTTCGCTCAGTAAGATTCCTCCATGTCTTTCAATGGCTTCATAGTTCATTGCTTATTATTGATGAATAATACTGTACTCCATTGTACAGATATGAAATTTTGTTTGTCCATTCACCTATTGAAGGACATCTTGGTTGCTTCTGCTTTCAGAAGTTATGAAAAAAGCTTTTTTCTTCCAAGAAAATTTTTTGATTTTTTTTGAGATTTTCTACATCAACAATCCTGTCTTCCATCAACAAAGATTTATTTTTTCCCTTCTATTCTGTATACTTCTATTTTTTTAACTTTATTATTGCCTTGGTTCATTAGCTACAACTTCCAGCACTTTGTTGAAGAGGAGATGTGAGGGGGACATCCTTCTTTTGTTCTCTTTCTTGGGGGGAAAGCATTTTGTTTCTTCTTTCTTATTTTTTGTTTAGTTGTATTTTTTTTTGTAGATGTTCTTTACCATGTTGATAAAGTTTTCCTCTATTTTGAATTTGCAGTTTTTACCATGAATGTTAAATTTAGTCAAATGCTTTTTCTACATCTATATATGATCATATAATTTTTATTCTGTATCCTGCTGGATATAATGGATTACATTAATGGATTTTTAAATGTTGAACCAGATACATGAAACAAATCCCACTAGGTCTTGGTGTATAGTTCTTTTCTATATACTGCTGAATTTGGTCTGCTAATGTTTTGTTGACGATTTTCATATGTACGCTTATGAAAAATACTGGTCTGTAGTTTTCCTTTATTACAATGACATTACCTGGTTTGGTAGTAGGGTGACGGTGGCTTTGTAGAAAGAGTGTTACGCTGAATGTTTGTTTCCCTCAAAATTCATATATTGAAGCCTTAACTTGCATTGTGATGAAATTATGAGGTGGCGCTTTGGGAGGTAATTAGGTTTAGATGAGGTTAATTAGTGCCATTATAAGAAGGGAAAGAGACACCAAAGCTACCACTCTTTATTTTGTGAGGATAAAGTAAGAAGGCAGCCATCTTCTCGGCAATAATCAGGTCTTCACCCGAACCTGACCGTGCTGGCACCCTAATCTCAGACTACCCAGCCTTCACAACTGTAGGAAATAAATGTCTGTTGTTTGAGTTGCCCAATCTCAGGTATTTTGTTGTAACAGCTCAAGCTAACTGACAAAGAGTTAAGATGTGTTCCCTCGGATTGTATTTTCTGAAAAACGTGGTAGAGAATTGTTATCAATTCTTCCTTAGTATTTGGTAGAATTTACCAGCGAAACAGTCTGAACCTATTATTTTCTATTTGGAATGTTATTAATTATTGGTTCAAATTCTATAGGATATAGAGGCCAATTTAGATTTTATTTTTCTATTTGTGTGAGTTTTGGCAGTCTGCGTCCATTGGTAACAAACCTTTTTTATTTGATATATTAGCAATTTTTCTCTTTTCTCTTTTGTTCTTGGTTAACATGGCAAGATGGTTATCAATTTTATTGATCTTTTCCAAGAGCCAGTTTTTAAGGATTTTTTTCTATTGATTTTCTGTTTATAATTTTAATATTTTCTCCTCTAATTCTAAATATTTCATTTTTTTGTTTTCTTTAGGCTTTCATTGCTTTTTTTTTCTTCTCATTTTCTGAGGTGGAAGCTTGGATTATTAATTTTATAACTTTCTTCCTTTCTAATATACACATTCAAGGCTATCAGTTTCTGTGTCTGCACTGTTTTCACTGAATCTTATACATTTTGATAAATTGTATTCTTATTTGTATTTAGTTCAAAGTTTTTGAAATTTATTTTGAGACCTCTTCTTTGATCTATGTGTTATTTCCAAGTGGACGTTTAATCTTCAAATGTTTTGGAATTATCTAGGTCTCTTTCCATAATTAATTTATTTTCAAATTCTATTGTTGCCTGAAGGCAAACTTTATGTAATTTCTCTTCTATTAAATTTGTTAAGGTGTATTTTGTGACTCATTATCTGGTCTGTCTTTGTGAATGTTCCAGGTAAGTTTGAGAGGAATACGTGAATATATGTATATGTTCACATACTTATATGGTGAACATATACATATGTATGAATATATGTGTATGTTCACATATATATGGTGAACATATACATATGTTCACATACCAACACAAATATATGTATATATAGTCTTAGTTATCACAATTTGAAATCACATTTAACCATGTAGCTTTTATTTTATTTATACTGATAAGCCTAATACAAATGAAAGAAACACACATTTTATTAGTAACCAGATTGAATAACCAGTTTTTTTCCAAATGTCAGAGGGAGATCATGCTTTTTTGCATTAAAACTGATTTTTCTAGAGCAGAGACTGTCAAATACACTGTGCATCTACTTTCAGTTCATCTCTTAGCAGGATAATAATAGTATTTTTTTCTTTTTAAAAAAATTTAAAGCAGAATTAACTACATGTAGTATTTTTCTGAATAATACAAAACAGGGAAATTATGTATGTGGCTAATTGTGACAGGTGTGTTTATATAAATACAACCCAAACTCAGCTTTATAAAATCATGTCTTTCTATTAAAATGGATTGCATCAGAGAAGAAAAATGAAATATCTAAATCCATCTCTTTTCTCATGATTAGCAAACCCAGCCCCAGTCTCTCTTGAAACACCACCTGCTCTCTCAAGCACACTCATAGGTAAGGCTTATTGAGACTGAAGGGAATTATATAGAAGCAAAAAGAAACAACAATAAAAGTAGCTTAATGAAATTCTATTACAAACTGGAAAAAAAGACCACATCATCTTTTAAAATAAAATCTGAGCTCCCGTACACAAATCCAATAGCTTGCTGAAAAACACTTAGTTCTCTTCAACGTATAGCAATTCCATAGCTGCTGATGTAAACACAACTTTGCCTGAAAGTTGCAATTATGAGAAAATTGAAAAATGCCTTACATATTAAAACTAATTTTATATAAACAAATAAGGGACTGACAAAGGTAAAATATAAATTACATGATTGAAAAGTTTGTTATGTTGATCTATTGATGTAAGTTACAATTCGCAATATTGCATTTTCTTTCCTGGTGAATAAAACTCAAAATTGTTCCTTCCACCTTGGCTTTATGAGTTTATGGCTTTATGATTTTCTTTATATCCTTCCCATTTGTAAATTACATTCGGACTTTGTTAGGTTAGCATAAATATGTGACAAGCTGTAATGACATGTTTAACTTCTGAACACATAAGCATTAAACTATTATTATTCACCTCTATTGACTATGTTGTGTCCAGTCCTGCACTCAAAACTGCTCTGTGGAATAAGCAATGAAATGTCACCCCAAGTGATCAAAAGGTGCTTTATCGATCAGTGTAGGAATTCCCATTTACTTTTTTCTCAGCTTCTGTGATGGTGGAAGCCAGTGTTGGGATAAAGCTTTGGTAGCCTGAGTTCCAAAGCCATAACAACGAGTAACACCCTGTGCTAACCCACAATGGGCATGTGATGTGAGCAAAAAATACACTGTACTGCTTTGAGCTACTGAGAGTTTCTGGGTTCTGTTTTGTTTTGAGCCATTGGTACCCTGAGTTTTTCTAATTGATATGAAAACTGATCCTCCCATAAAAATACTTTATGTTTAAATTGTATTTATTAATTTATTTTTAGTGATAGGGTCTTGCTCTGTCACTAGGTCTGGAGTGCAGTGGCATGATTGTAGCTCACTGTAGCCTCAACCTACAGAGCTCAAGCAATCCTCTCACCTCAGCCTGCCCAGTAGCTGGGACTATTGTTGTGCACCACCATGCTCACCTAATTTTTTATTTTATATTTGTTTTTTGTTGTTGGTGGTGTTATTTTATTTTATTTTTTCATAGAGATGAGATTTTACCATGTCGCTTAGGCTGGTCTCAAACTCCTGAGCTCAAGGAATCTGCTCACCTCAGCCTCCCTAAGTGCTGGGATTACACACACGAGCCACCATGCCAGGCCAAGTTGTTCTTTATTTACTCAGAATGTTCTTGCTGTAGATATCAACAATGCTTATTCTCTAATCTCAGTTAGCTGCTCTAATGCACCTTTCCAAGGGGGTCTTCTTTTACCACTCTACTAAGTATACATCCCCTTTTCAGACTTGAACTATCTCATTATTTAACCTGATTTGTTACCTGCTTGTGAGTTTCTCACCCACACTGTGCTGTGAAGTCCACAAAAGAAGAGATTTTCCCATTTTATCTTTGTGCTGCTGGTCCCCAGAACAGTTTCTGACATACAGTTGGTGTGTTTATGCACACACATGCACATATACACACATTATTAAATGAATAGATTGTGTTGAAACATACACAGGACATGATGAAAGCATGAATATAGCTGGTTCCCATGAATGGGCTGTATTGACAGCTGAGCAGTTAGCACTAGTGCTCTGAGTGAGCTCTCTTCCTGGTAAAGAAGGTATCTGAAGTGCTAGATTTAGAGGAAAGCCTAGTTAAAAAAATTTTTTTAAAGGCAAATTGCTGCTAAGTTTTAAGTAATGGGAACGTACAGAACAGCAGTGATCATACAGGAAGAGACGAAGAATTGTTTTTTTAATAGAAATGTTTGTGAAAGATGTTCTTTAGGTGGGCAAGTAAATTATGAAGATATATCACATTGAATCCAACATTAACCCTGGATAAGTAAGAAGAAAAGTCTATGTCTGTCACGTGAGTAGTAATTATGATTCAACAACAAAAACAAATGAAAGAAAAATAAACAAAGCAAGAAACACCCAGAAAATAAATGTTACATGTAAAGGTTAAGAGTCTGGAGTCTGCAAGTCTTAGCTGACTACAGGACTAAAATAGGAGACCAGAACAGAAAGACAAATATTGTGACAAGGAGAATGTTCTCAACATGGGACCAAAGCACAGAATCTCTGCAGCAAACCTCAACACTGATCATTAAAAGCACTGGATAACGGAGTTCTTCATCCAAAGGAAACTGATTTAGTTTCTGTTGTTGTTAGGAATTTGGCCTTAGTTTTCTAGAGGCCAGAGGGGAGAAGAAGTTTAGTGAAAAAATTAGCTCAAGAGCTCTAGTGAAGAACAGATTTAGGTAATTATTAACTTACATGGCATTAATTTTCTTCACATTACAAAATTATTTATGAAGCCTGTGTTGAATTATAGAAATAAAATTTTAATTATGTTTACATTAACATGGCTTTGTAGCTTCTAGAATATAGACTTACATATAAAGAAGATAATTAATCATATGAAGAAATCTAATATAAAATAGAATTATAAGGTGAATCATTATCACCTACTCCTTAATTAACTGCTTTTATGTTCATTTTGACAGAGAATTCCTTTTCATTTCTATTTTACCATAAAAATACTTAGAGAAAATCATGATCTATATAGTCTACAGTATTTGTAGATGGATATTCATAACATTTAAGAGACTATGCAATTATTCATATGATAAGACTTCCAGGAAACTCGCTTTGATATTCTAACTTTTAAATGGATATGTAAGACAAGTAAACCCTATTTATGTAAGATAAGTAAATCCTTAAATAGAAAAGAAAATTTATGACTGTTTATAAGGGGCTGACAGTTAATTATTAGAGCTGTTGTGAATAATATTTATTTGCAATAGTTTAGTTTAAACTTAGCGTCATTATGATATCCTCTGTATAACTGTTTAATATAGCTAATATCACAAAAATGTTGTTTTAAAAGACTTACAACAATAATAAATGTGCATACTTCTATCTTCACATAACCAAGCCCAGAAGACATGTATCTATTCTAAAAGAATTCTGTAATAAAACTCATGATTAGATAATAACATTATTCATTTAAAATTGTTATTAATTGGTCTACCAATGGACATAATGAGATACTCATTTGCTGCAATGCAAGCTGTATTTTATTTTTCATTGCAGTAATTTTCTGGGTGTCACAAAATAAGGAGTTAATTTTTAATATTAATGGACATTAAAATAAGAAGATATGGCAGTATCATAGGAAAGAAAATTAATAAAATTCTTTTTCCAATAAAATTATCCTAAAGTATGTATTTTGTTTATAAAAAATATAGCAAATTATTATTACTTTTGAATATCAGGCTGACTATAAACATTTTCCTGTACAAGTCATTTAAGTCTAAAAATGTATAGTGTAATGTAACATTTAAAGGAATATCTCTAAACCTTCTTTAAAAATCCCATTTATTAATGTAATAATTTATTGTTATTTATCTATCTTTGTTTCAATTTAGCATATATAGATGTTAAACATGGACACACACACACACACACACACACACACACACACACACTTGGCCTGTATTTTAGGCATTTTTTTAATGTTATGGCTGCCTTTGAAAGTCAAGTGACTTTAGCTTTTGGATTTTAAAGGCATTCTACATCTGATTTCCATTGGATATTTTATGTTTTAAAGTGCCCATTATTTGGTTTTTTTAATGAGATAGAAATTGACAGTCTTTTTCATGCTCTTTTCTACTATTAAACATCACATCTGATTAGACATTGACATCCAACACTTAACCCAGTCATTCTCTGTCAGCATCCAGTGCTTAAAAGAAAAAATATTTTCTGAAGTTTTCCCAGAAAATTGTTTTTGTCCTTGAAAATTCCTGTGCTGTGCACTGTGAATTAGCTATGCAATTCACCTACACAACCATCCCTTCCTTCCTCAATTCAAAAGCAAGAATAGCCATAATTAACAAACCAAAAAATATATAGATGTTGGTATGGATGTGGTAAAAAGGGAACACTTTTACACTGCTAGTTGGAATATAAACTAGTACAACTACTATGGAAAACAGTATTCAGACTCCTTAAAGAACTAAAGTAGATCTACTATTTGATCCAGCAATCCCACTACTGGGTATCTACCTAGAGGAAAAGAAGTCCTTGTATGAAAAAGACACTTGCACATGCATTTTCCTAGCAGCACAATTTGCAATTGCAAAAATATGGAATCAGCCTAAATGCCCATCAATCAATGAGAAAAGAAAGAAAGAATACACACACACACACACACACACACACACACACACACACCATGGAATACTACTCAGCCATAAAAAGGAATGAAATAATGGCATTTGCAGCAACCTGGATGGATCCGAAGACCATCATTCTAAGTGAAGTAACTCAGGAATGGTAAATGAAACATTGTATGTTCTCACTTATAAGTGGGAGCTAAGCTACAAGGATGCAAAGGCATAAGAATGATACAATGGACTTTGGGGACTTTAGGGGAAGGATAGAGGAGAGGGATAAAAGACTACACATTTGGAACAGTGTACACTGCTCAGGTCATATGTGCACCAAAATCTCAGAAATCATCACTGAAGAACTTACTCATGTAACAAAACACTACCTGTTCCCCAAAAGCCCATTGAAATTAAAAACAAAAAGCATAGATAAATTAAGAGAAAATTGCTCACCCTTTCTCTCCTGCCTTCTTTCTGCATGATGCACGGACATGCTACCTGAGATGTGGCAGTTATTTTGAAGCCGGGGGAGAGAACTATATTGTAGGAGTCCCTAACCCCAGGCCAAGGACTGGGCTGCCTGCCAGAAGGTGAGTAGGAACTGGCCACACAGCAGGAGGTGAGCAGCAGAGGAGCAAGTGAAATTTCATGTGTATTTACAGCTGCTCCCCATTGCTTGCATTACCACCTGAGCTCTGCCTCTTGTTAGATCAGTGGCAACATTAGATTCTCGTAGGAGCACGAACCCTATTGTGAATTTTGGTTAAGCCCATGCAAGGGATCCAGGTTGCATGTTTCTTATGAAAATCTAATGCCTGATGATCTGAGACGGTGATGCTAGCACTGGGGAGTGGCTACAAATACAGATTAACATTATCAGAGAGGTTTGACTGCACATAGACCATAATAAATCAATTACTTGCAGTCTCATATTAAAATCTTATTGAGAGGCAAGCGACAATTAAGCTGCATCTGGTGGCAGGCTTTATAGTGGCAAGTGAGTTGATGTACTTCATTTGTATAGCTGTATCTGATGGCAGGCTTTAAGTCCGAATCTGACACTTATTTTAGTCCACATGTGGCCTACCCATTATTTTATTTACTACTTCCATTCTTGACTCTTTCCTACACTGCACACTTGTCTCAGTCACAGTTTTGATTAAGCCCAGAAGCTAATCCTAGCCAAAATGAGTAAAAAACAATTTCACTGGAGAGCTTTTATGAAAAGGGGGAAAGACCCAGTGATGAGAAAGCAGAATACTCTAAGACTGAAAACAAAAAGAAAGCTTCCTTTAAAAGAAAATACCAAGAATCA
This sequence comes from Homo sapiens, assembly GCF_000001405.40. NCBI lineage: Eukaryota > Metazoa > Chordata > Mammalia > Primates > Hominidae > Homo > Homo sapiens. The sequence goes on along the minus strand of NC_000021.9, from coordinate 18,883,273 downwards.
TACTTAAATTATGAGTTCATTGTAACAAGTGATTCACATTCTCCAAGTCTGCTTTGTATAACATGTGGCCACCGGTTATCTAACGAAGTAATGAAACCTTCAAAATTGCTTCACTACGTGGAGACAAAGCACCCCACATTAAAAGACAAGCCTTTGAAGTTTTTTCAAAAGAAAAAAAAAACGTGAACATGAAAAGAACCAATTATTGAAGGCTACCACTTCATCGAATGTGTCTGCATTGAGAACATTATTGTAAGTGGCTAACCACATTGCTAAAGCTAAGAAGCTCTTTTGTAAGATGAAGAATTGACCCTGCCTGATGCTTAGGACATTTGTCATGAACTTTTAGGAGAGGCTGCAGTTCAAAGGGCAGCACATGTTTCTCTTTTGGCTAGCACCATAACTAGACAAATTGATGAAATAGCAGAGGATATTGGGCACAATTGTTAGGATTAATGTGTTACCGTCGTATGCAATCCAGGTTGATGAGTCTACTAATGTCAACTACAAAGCAACAGTGCTTGTTTTCTGGGATATATTTTTCAGGAGGATGTGCATGAGGATATGTTACAACCACTTTTGTTGCCAACCAACACCACAGTTGCAAAACTATTCAAGTCTTTTAATGATTACATCTCAGAAAAACTGAACTGGTCATTTTGTGTCAGTATGTGCCCACACACGGAGCAGCTGCCATGACTGGACAGCTTTCTGATTTCAATACTCAGGTCAAAGCGGTCACTTTTGAATGCGAGTCTATGCACTGTGTCATCCATAGAGAAATGCTGGCTAGCCAAAACAATTCACCTGAACTTAACAGTGCTTTTCAGTTGTCAACCACATTAAAGTACATGTCCTTAACTCATGTCTGTTTGCACAGCTCTGTGAGATGGACACAGAGCACAAACATCTTCTCTTATACATAGTAGTGAGATGCCTTTCTAAATGTAGATCACTGGTCAGAGTTTTTGAGTCTTGAGAGGTGCTCTAGAGATTTCTTTTAGAAAAACAGTTACAATTGGCAGAACATTTCAGTGACACAGAATGGGTTGCAAAACTTGCTTACTTGTTTGACCTGCTCAAAGAACTCATTATGTCACTTCAGGGCGGAACAACAACTGTGTTCAAGTCGCCAGATAAAAATAGTTGCATTCAAAACCAAATTGGAATTATGGGGGCTATGACAGGACATTGGGGTTTTTGACATGATTCAAACAGCAGCCATTTTGAAAGAGACTGAGCCAGGGGCTCTTTCTCTTAGCTGGTACATGATCACCACTCTCAGCTTTCATAAGAGTTTGAGCATTACTTCCCAGCAAAAAAGGCCTCTGAACTGGGAAGGAATTGATCTGCTACCCATTTTTAAATAAGCCAGGTCAATTATCTTTGTTCGTCGTAGGAGAAGAGCAACTGCTTGAAATCACAAATAACAGTGGCCTTAAAAGTATGTTTGAGACAACTTCAAATCTCCATACGTTCTGAATTAAAGTCAGTGTAGAATATCCTGAGACTGCCACAAAAATCACTGAAAATTCTGCTTCCATTTCCAATATCCTATCTATGTGAATCATGGTTTTCTTTAGTGACAGCAACCAAAAGGAGATTATGAAGTAGATTGGACATAAGCAACACACTTCCAGTGTCACTGTCTCTGATCATCCCCAGATGGAACCATCTAGTTGCAGGAAAACAAGCTCAGGGCTTCCACTGATGCTACATTATGGTGAGTTGTATTATTCTTTCTTTCTATATTACAATGTAATAATAATAGAAATAAAGTGCATGATAAATCTTATGTGCTTGAATCATCCTGAAACCATCCGATCCCACCCCACTGCAGTCTGCGGAAAAATTGCATTCTACAAAATCAGTTCCTAGTACCACAAATGTTGGAGACCACTGCTATGCAGAATGCCAAGTGAGAGAACTAGAGAAAATAGTATATGCCTGGCCATGTTATGTATGATGAGTAAAATTTAATCTGTTTAAGCTGGTTTTTTGTTGTGCTTTCTGGAATTTGCAATAGACAGTAGTAACTGACGTAGACTGTTCTTCTTCCCAGTGTTTTTTTTTTTATTGTTTGTTTTTGCTTTTGGACATGTCTTAGTATCAGGACTGATGAGGAACAAGATGACACTGACATGGGTTGATCATCCCCACAGTTAGAAAGTACTAAGCTTTATCTGTTTCCTTCTCAGGCCAATCTCTACCTCTGCATTGATTGAAGACATCTTTCTTCCCATTCCTCCAGAAGGAACATTTAAGACTATTTAAAATGCATTGCTTCTGTTGGTTTTACAAGTTTGGCTAGGCACTATGTAACGGTGAACTTTAGAGAGGGAAAGAGTGGCAGTTAATATTGGCAAATTATCAACTATGTGCAGAATCCCTGCTGAATCATTTACATATTGTCTCATACTTATCAAAGCAATGTTTTGATACCTCATTACTTTTAATACTTTTAATACCTCAATAAGTGGAAACTGAGTCTCAGAGATATCAAGTGTCTGTCTTAACATCCCAACACTAATAGAGTCAAAATATTTTAAAGTAGTGGTTCTCAAAGTGTATTCTCCACACCACTAGCATTAGTTTTGCCTGAGAACTTTCTAGTGATGTAACTTTTGGAACTCTATTCCAAACTCACTAAATCACAAGCTTTGTGTTTGAGGCTTAGCAACCTGTGTTTAACAACCCACCAGATAATGCTGATATATACTAAAATTGGAAACCCACAGTTGTACATAAACAGCTCCTAATATTTACATATTAAACATAACCTGACAATTTAGACTATAAGGCTTCTTTTTTAATATTTAGAAATTTATCTTATACTATGGCTCTCAAAATAGGGGGTATACGAATTTATAACAACACTGCCATTCAGATGTTAGTCTAATGGGCTATGGATTTCAAATTAGGCCAATATCAACTCAGAAAATTTGAAGAATTGTTTAAATAAAATCCTATGTTTTCAAGAGTTTATGGCAAGAGGCTTGATGTGAGCCAAAGGACCAAGAGCTAAAAGAATTATGCTACTGCAACTAATTTAGCATCAAGATGAAGCATTAAAAGCCAGCAGGGATTATTGAGGAGCTTGTTTTATTTAAGAGCTTCTTCATTAACCCTACTGAGAAAATACTAGGCTTTAGCTTAAAGCTTGGTTGCTTGCTGGAAAGAAACAGCTTAATTGGACTTTTAAAATCCCAGAACAGGTAATAACTTATTTAAGATTGTCCAACAAAGTGCCATTCAGGTTATATCACTCACTTTCATTCGTAAACAGGAAGACTGAGTCTGTTCAGTGGATGATTTTAATTCCCAGCTTTTTAGGAAAGTAGAGCTTTAGGCTCAGACTTATAAAAATACATAATTTTTTTTATCCAAGAGTAATTTATTAACTTTTCATTTACTTCCCTGATTTTAAGATTTTTGTCCCAGGTCCTTTTCAAATACTCCCTAGGCTAAATCTTTATATGTGTCTCTTATGACTGCCATATACAATTTGTTTAGGCAAAAATATTCTCTTCATCATATATAAAGCTGTCTGACACAAAAATATGTTTATTTTTATTTTATTTTATTTACTTATTTTTGAGACGGAGTCTCACCCTGTCGCCCAGGCTGGAATGCAATGGCATGGTCTCAGCACACTGCAACCTCTGCCCCCTGGGTAAAGCAAATCTACTGACCCCACCTCCCGAGTAGCTGGGATTAGAGGCATGCACCACCACCACCAGCTAATTTTTGCATTTTTAGTAGAGATGGGTTTTGTCATGTTGGCCAGGCTGGTCTCAAAGTCCTGACCTAAAGTGGTCTGCCCGCCTCGACCTCCCAAAATGCTGGGATTACAGGCGTGAGCCACTGTGCCCAGCCCTTTGTTTATTATTATTATTTTTTACATCCTTCTCTCCTCTTAACTAATGTAACATTTTGGTGTAAAACTATCTAGCACCATGTTCAGTTCATTACTTCCACTGAATCTTAAAAGCACCTACAATTTGGTAATTATTATTAACATTAACACATTATATTTTTATAGTTCTCCACAGAATTCAACAATTCTTAAATTTTAGGTTATTTTCTATGTATAATATATCTCTTCATATTGATTATAAAGAATTTACTGATAAGGTGTTTACATGCTTTAAATCTTCAGTGCTGCATTCTATGTGGGGAAAAGAATTTATGATTATTACACATAAATTATAATCTTTTATTAATTTCCAAAAATAGTTTTTGTGTGATATTTTACAGTTCTTTTTGAGGAACTCTGCCATTGTCTCCTAAATTAAACATTATTACTCTTGTAGCCTATATGATTTGCTTACTTCCTAAAAATAAAAAACAATCAGTGTGACTATTTACATATTTAAATCTCAAGTTTTCTCTTAGAATATTTTTAATGAGAAGTGATAGAGTATTATGTTTGGCTATGCCCATGCCTGTTTATTATAATTAGTTTATCCATTCATTCACTTTATTTCTATGTATATATTGGAGGATTAAATGCACATACATCAGAAATTGGAAACAAAAGACCAAGAAGATTTCTTGAAGTGACTACTAGTATTACTTTACTGTGCTTTTTATCAAAGCCAATTTTTAAAATTATTTTTAAGTAGGGAAACTATTGTTACACGTATAATAGCATATATCAGAAAATGCTTAGAAATATCTTATATGTTTAGATATATTTATTCCTCCTTTTCTCCTTTCCATTCCATTTTTTTTCTACTTTATTCCACAATAATCAAAGGAAGCTGCATTTGAGATATGAGTCCTCTTTTAAAAGTAAACAAAGATTATATATACTGTAAAAATACTTAGAAAAGAGACTTGCCAAGGTGGCCAGCTAGAAGCAGCTAGTATGCCTTTCTCTCATGGAGAAAAATAGAAAGAGGAAGTGAATACAGCACCTTCAACATCCTTGTAAACACATGGGATTCATCAAGAAAATAACCCACAGAGAATGGAGGGAAGACAGGACAACTGCCCACCTGACAGTCACACGGAGCCAGGGGAGCCTCGCCTGCCCAGGGAAATGGTGAGTGAGTAAGCAACCCTGGGGGCCCGCACTTCTCCTACGGTTCTCTGCAACCCTCAGGTCAGGAGATTCCGTTATGAACACACTCCACCAGGGTCTGCAGTCTGACACGCAGTGCTGTGTGGAGTCTTGGCAGAGCAGCTGTTCAGGCACACGTGGAGCCCCAGGAGCTTTAAATATCTCGGCTTCCCAGAAAAAGCAGCTGCAACTCCAGCAAAGTGAGAAGTTAGACTCCTGCGCATACTCCTAGGAAACAAACTGAATCCAGGGGGCTGAGCAGCTATGGTCTGCAGGCCCCCCTTACAAGGCCCCTCACAGGATAAGACCCAGTGGCTTCTAACTCCAGCCAGCCACTGGTGGTAGCAGCATTACACCTCCCTGAGATGGGGCTCCCAGGGGAAGGGGCAGGCTGCCATATTTGCTGTTTCACAGCCTTAGCTAGAGCCATTGTTGCCTTTGGGCTCTAGGGAGTCCAAGGCAGCTAGAGACTGGAGCAGTCCCCCAGCACAGCAGCTCTACAGAGAGGCAGACAGACTGCTTTTTCACCTGGGTCCCGGATCCCATTTTTCCTCACTGGGTGGGATCTCCCTCATGGGGTCTCTAACTAGCTCCTGCAGGTGCATTTGGGGTACAGCAGGTATGTACCTCTCTGGGATGGAGCCCCCAGAGGGAGGGGAAGGCCACCATCTTTGTGGCTTTACAGCCTTCACTGTGGATACCTTCAGGTGCTAGAAAATATGAGGTGACTAAGGACTGGAGAGGCCCCCCAGGATATTGCAGCAGCCAGACTATTTGTAACATGGGTCCCCAGTTTTGTGTCTCCTCACTGGGCAAGTCCTCTCTGCTTGGCTTTCCTGCCACTCCCCAGCTGGGGCTATAGAGCCAGTATCAGCTCTGCAACTCCCTGAGACAGAGCTCCCAGAGGGAGGGATGGTGATACAGTTTGGATTTGTGTTCCTGTCCAATTCTTGTGTCTAACTGTTATCCCCAGTGTTGGAGGAGGTGCCTGGTGGGAGGAGAATGAATCATGGAGGCAGACTTCCCCCTTGCTGTTTTTGTAATAGTGAGTGAGTTCTCATAAGATCTACTTATTTAAAACTGTGTAGCACCTCCCCTTTCTCTCTATTCCTTCTTCTCCAGCCATGTAAGACATGCCTGCTTCCGCTTCACCTTCTGCCATGATTGAAAGTTTCCTGAGGCCTGCCCAGCCATCCTACCTGCACAGCTTGCAGAACCGTGAGCCAATTACATGTGTTTTCTTTATAAATTACACAGTTTCAGGTACTTTTTTAAAGCAGTGCAAGAATGAACTAATATAGATGGGTTACCATGTTTTCCGTCTCACAGCCCTTGCCCTTGCTGTCTTCAGGTTCCAGAGAGCCATGGGGACCAGGGGCTGATCTGGACTCCCAGCACAAAGCACCCACCTCATGGAAAAGTGGCCAGACTGTGCTCCACATAGGTCCTGGTCCTCACTTCTCACTGAGCAGGGCTGCTGAGCCTGGGACTCCAACACAACCACTCTTCCTCTGCCTGACCACTTTAATTAGAGGCAACCCAGCAGTCAAAGAAATACCCACACGTAGACATGAGAAAGAACCAACACAAGAACTCCAGCAACTCAAATGGCCAGGGTGTCTTATGTCCTCCAAATGATCACACTGGTTCCCCAAAGAGGATTCTTAACCAGGCCGAGTTGGCTGAAATGTCAGAAATATAATTCAGAATATGGATAGAAATTAAGATTATCAATATTCAAGAGTATGGCAAAACCCAATTCAAGCAAAATAAGAATCACAATAAAACAATATAGGACAGAAAAATTAGCCAATATAAAAAAGAAGCTAAGTAATCTGATAGAGCTGAAAACCACTCTACAAGAATTTTACAATGCAATCACAAATATTAACAGCAGAATAAGCCAAGCTGAGGAAGGAACCTCAGAACTTGAAGATTGGCTCTCTGAAATAAGACAGTCAGACAAAATCAAATAAAAAAGAATAAAAAGGAACAAACAAAACCTCTGAGAAATATGGGATTATGTAAAGAGGGAAATCTATAAATCATTGCAATCCCTGAAAGGGACAGGGAGAAACATACAAGTTAGAAAACACATTTCAGAGCGGAGGAGCCAAGATGGCTGAATAGGAACAGCTCCGGTCTACAGCTCCCAGCGTGAGCGACACAGAAGATGGATGATTTCTGCATTTCCATCTGAGGTACTGGGTTCATCTCACTAGGGAGTGCCAGACAGTGGGCGTAGGTCAGTGGATGCGTGCACTGTTCGCGAGCCGAAGCAGGGCGAGGCATTGCCTCGCTTGGGAAGCGCAAGGGGTCAGGGAGTTCCCTTTCCTAGTCAAAGAAAGTGGTGACAGAGGGCACCTGGAAAATCAGGTCACTCCCACCCGAATACTGCGCTTTTCCGACGGGCTTAAAAAACGGCACACCAGGAGATTATATCCCGCACATGGCTCGGAGGGTCCTACGCCCACGGAGTCTGGCTGATTGCTAGCACAGCAGTCTGAGATCAAACTGCAAGGCAGCAGCGAGGCTGGGGGAGGGGCACCCGCCATTGCCCAGGCTTGCTTAAGTAAACAAAGCAGCGGGGAAGCTGGAACTGGGTAAAGCCCACCACAGCTCAAGGAGGCCTGCCTGCCTCTGTAGGCTCCACCTCTGGAGGCAGGGCACAGACAAACCAAAAGATAGCAGTAACCTCTGCAGACTTAAATGTCCCTGTCTGACAGCTTTGAAGAGAGCAGTGGTTCTCCCAGCACGCAGCTAGAGATCTGAGAACGGGCAGACTGCCTCCTCAAGTGGGTCCCTGACCCCTGACCCCCGAGCAGCCTAACTGGAAGGCACCCCCCAGCAGGGGCAGACTGACACCTCAAACGGCTGGGTACTCCAACAGACCTGCAGCTGAGGGTCCTGTATGTTAGAAGGAAAACTAACAAACAGAAAGGACATCCACACCAAAAACCCATCTGTACATCACCATCATCAAAGACCAAAAGTAGATAAAACCACAAAGATGGGGAAAAAACAGAGCAGAAAAACTGGAAACTCTAAAAAGCAGAGCGCCTCTCCTCCTCCAAAGGAATGCAGTTCCTCACCAGCAACGGAACAAAGCTGGACGGAGAATGACTTTGACGAGCTGAGAGAAGAAGGCTTCAGACGATCAAATTACTCTGAGCTACGGGAGGACATTCAAACCAAAGGCAAAGAAGTTGAAAACTTTGAAAAAAATTTAGAAGAATGTATAACTAGAATAACCAATACAGAGAAGTGCTTAAAGGAGCTGATGGAGCTGAAAACCAAGGCTCGAGAACTACGTGAAGAATGCAGAAGCCTCAGGAGCCAATGCGATCAACTGGAAGAAAGGGTATGAGCAATGGAAGATGAAATGAATGAAATGAAGCGAGAAGAGAAGTTTAGAGAAAAAAGAATAAAAAGAAACGAGCAAAGCCTCCAAGAAATATGGGACTATGTGAAAAGACCAAATCTACATCTGATTGGTGTACCTGAAAGTGACGGGGAGAATGGAACCAAGTTGGAAAACACTCTGCAGGATATTATCCAGGAGAACTTCCCCAATCTAGCAAGGCAAGCCAACATTCAGATTCAGGAAATACAGAGAACACCACAAAGATACTCCTCGAGAAGAGCAACTCCAAGACACATAATTGTCAGATTCACCAAAGTTGAAACAAAGGAAAAAATGTTAAGGGCAGCCAGAGAGAAAGGTTGGGTTACCCTCAAAGGGAAGCCCATCAGACTAACAGCAGATATCTCGGCAGAAACTCTACAAGCCAGAAGAGAGTGGGGGCCAATATTCAACATTCTTAAAGAAAAGAATTTTCAACCCAGAATTTCATATCCAGCCAAACTAAGCTTCATAAGTGAAGGAGAAATAAAATACTTTACAGACAAGCAACTGCTGAGAGATTTTGTCACCACCAGGCCTGCCCTAAAAGAGCTCCTGAAGGAAGCACTAAACATGGAAAGGAACAACTGGTACCAGCCGCTGCAAAATCATGCCAAAATGTAAAGACCATCGAGACTAGGAAGAAACTGCATCAACTAATGAGCAAAATAACCAGCTAACATCATAATGACAGGATCAGATTCACACATAACAATATTAACTTTAAATGTAAATGGACTAAATGCTCCAATTAAAAGACACAGACTGGCAAATTGGATAAAGAGTCAAGACCCATCAGTGTGCTGTATTCAGGAAACCCATCTCACGTGCAGAGACACACATAGGCTCAAAATAAAAGGATGGAGGAAGATCTACCAAGCCAATGGAAAACAAAAAAAGGCAGGGGTTGCAATCCTAGTCTCTGACAAAACAGACTTTAAACCAACAAAGATCAAAAGAGACAAAGAAGGCCATTACTTAATGGTAAAGGGATCAATTCAACAAGAAGAGCTAACTATCCTAAATATATATGCACCCAATACAGGAGCACCCAGATTCATAAAGCAAGTCCTGAGTGACCTACAAAGAGACTTAGACTCCCACACATTAATAATGGGAGACTTTAACAACCCACTGTCAACATTAGACAGATCAATGAGACAGAAAGTCAACAAGAATACCCAGGAATTGAACTCAGCTCTGCACCAAGTGGACCTAATAGACATCTACAGAACTCTCCACCCCAAATCAACAGAATATACATTTTTTTCAGCACCACAGCACACCTATTCCAAAATTGACCGCATAGTTCGAAGTAAAGCTCTCCTCAGCAAATGTAAAAGAACAGAAATTATAACAAACTATCTCTCAGACCACAGTGCAATCAAACTAGAACTCAGGATTAAGAATCTCACACAAAACCGCTCAACTACATGGAAACTGAACAACCTGCTCCTGAATGACTACTGGGTACATAACGAAATGAAGGCAGAAATAAAAATGTTCTTTGAAGCCAACGAGAACAAAGACACAACATACCAGAATCTCTGGGACACATTCAAAGCAGTGTGTAGAGGGAAATTTATAGCACTAAATGCCCACAAGAGAAAGCAGGAAAGATCCAAAATTGACACCCTAACATCACAATTAAAAGAACTAGAAAAGCAAGAGCAAACACATTCAAAAGCTAGCAGAAGGCAAGAAATAACTAAAATCAGAGCAGAACTGAAGGAAATAGAGACACAAAAAACCCTTCAAAAAATTAACGAATCCAGGAGCTGGTTTTCTGAAAGCATCAACAAAACTGATAGACCACTAGCAAGACTAATAAAGAAAAAAACAGAGAAGAATCAAATAGACGCAATAAAAAATGATAAAGGGGATATCACCACCGATCCCACAGAAATACAAACTACCATCAGAGAATACTACAAACACCTCTACACAAATAAACTAGAAAATCTAGAAGAAATGGATAAATTCCTCGACACATACACTCTCCCAAGACTAAACCAGGAAGCAGTTGAATCTCTGAATAGACCAATAACAGGATCTGAAATTGTGGCAATAATCAATAGCTTACTAACAAAAAGATTCCAGGACCAGATGGATTCACAGCCAAATTCTACCAGAGGTACAAGGAGGAACTGGTACCATTCCTTCTGAAACTATTCCAATCAATAGAAAAAGAGGGAATCCTCCCTAACTCATTTTATGAGGCCAGCATCATCCTGATACCAAAGCCAGGCAGAGACACAACCAAAAAAGAGAATTTTAGACCAATATCCTTGATGAACATTGATGCAAAAATCCTCAATAAAATACTGGCAAACCGAATCCAGCAGCACATCAAAAAGCTTATCCACCATGATCAAGTGGGCTTCATCCCTGGGATGCAAGGCTGGTTCAATATACACAAATCAATAAATGTAATCCAGCATATAAACAGAACCAAAGACAAAAACCACATGATTATCTCCATAGATGCAGAAAAGGCCTTTGACAAAATTCAACAACCTTCATGCTAAAAACTCTCAATAAATTAGGTATTGATGGGACATATCTCAAAATAATAAGAGCTATCTATGACAAACCCACAGCCAATATCATACTGAATGGGCAAAAACTGGAAGCATTCCCTTTGAAAACTGGCACAAGACAGGGATGCCCTCTCTCACCACTCCTTTTCAACATAGTGTTGGAAGTTCTGGCCAGGGCAATTAGGCAGGAGAAGGAAATAAAGGGTATTCAACTAGGAAAAGAGGAAGTCAAATTGTCCCTGTTTGCAGATGACATGATTGTATATCTAGAAAACCCCATTGTCTCAGCCCAAAATCTCCTTAAGCTGATAAGCAACTTCAGCAAAGTCTCAGGATACAAAATCAATGTACAAAAATCACAAGCATTCCTATACACCAACAACAGACAAACAGAGAGCCAAATCATGAGGAAACTCCCATTCACAATTGCTTCAAAGAGAATAAAATACCTAGGAACCCAACTTACAAGGGATGTGAAGGACCTCTTCAAGGAGAACTACAAACCACTGCTCAATGAAATAAAAGAGGATACAAACAAATGGAAGAACATTCCATGCTCATGGGTAGGAAGAATCAATATCATGAAAATGGCCATACTGCCCAAGGTAATTTATAGATTCAATGCCATCCCCATCAAGCTACCAATGACTTTCTTCACAGAATTGGAAAAAACTACTTTAAAGTTCATATGGAACCAAAAAAGAGCCCACATTGCCAAGTCAATCCTGAGCCAAAAGAACAAAGCTGGAGGCATCACACTACCTGACTTCAAACTATACTACAAGGCTACAATAACCAAAACAGCATGGTACTGGTACCAAAACAGAGATATAGATCAATGGAACAGAACAGAGCCCTCAGAAATAACACCACATATCTACAACTATCTGATCTTTGACAAACCTGAGAAAAACAAGCAATGGGGAAAGGATTCCCTATTTAATAAATGGTGCTGGGAAAGCTGGCTAACCATATGTAGAAAGCTGAAACTGGATCCCTTCCTTACACCTTATACAAAAATCAATTCAAGATGGATTAAAGACTTAAACGTTAGACCTAAAACCATAAAAGCCCTAGAAGAAAACCTAGGCATTACCATTCAGGACATAGGCATGGGCAAGGACTTCATGTCTAAAACACCAAAAGCAATGGCAACAAAAGCCAAAATTGACAAATGGGATCTAATTAAACTAAAGAGCTTCTGCACAGCAAAAGAAACTACCAACAGAGTGAACAGGCAACCTACAAAATGGGAGAAAATTTTCGCAACTTACTCATCTGATAAAGGGCTAATATCCAGAATCTACAATGAACTCAAACAAATTTACAAGAAAAAAACAAACAACCCCATCAAAAAGTGGGCAAATGACATGAACAGACACTTCTCAAAAGAAGACATTTACGCAGCCAAAAAACACATGAAAAAATGCTCATCATCACTGGCCATCAGAGAAATGCAAATCAAAACCACAATGAGATACCATTTTACACCAGTTAGAATGGCAATCATTAAAAAGTCAGGAAACAACAGGTGCTGGAGAGGATGTGGAGAAATAGGAACACTTTTACACTGTTGGTGGGACTGTAAACTAGTTCAACCACTGTGGAAGTCAGTGTGGCAATTCCTCAGGGATCTAGAACTAGAAATACCATTTGACCCAGCCATCCCATTACTGGGTATATACCCAAAGGACTATAAATCGTGCTGCTATAAAGACACATGCACACGTATGTTTATTGCGGCATTATTCACAATAGCAAAGACTTGGAACCAACCCAAATGTCCAACAATGATAGACTGGATTAAGAAAATGTGGCACATATACACCATGGAATACTATGCAGCCATAAAAAATGAAGAGTTCATGTCCTTTGTAGGGACATGGATGAAATTGGAAATCATCATTCTCAGTAAACTATCGCAAGAACAAAAATCCAAACACCGCATATTCTCACTCATAGGTGGGAATTGAACAATGAGAACACATGGACACAGGAAGGGGAACATCACACTCTGGGGACTGTTGTGGGGTGGGGGGAGCGGGGAGGGATGGCATTGGGAGATATACCTAATGCTAGATGACGAGTTAGTGGGTGCAGTGCACCAGCATGGCACATGTATACATATGTAACTAACCTGCACATTGTGCACATGTACCCTAAAACGTAAAGTATAATAATAATAAAATAAATTTAAAAATTAAAAAAAAAAAAGAAAACACATTTCAAGGTATTTTCCCTGAAAATATGCCCAGTTTCCCTAGAGAGTTCAACAGTCAAATTCAGAAAATACAGATAACCCCTGTAATAGTCTCATTTGTGATTGATTGTGATTATGATTATGGTTATAATTATTTAGAAACAGAGCCTTGCTCTGTCACTCAGGCTGGAGTGTAGTGGCACAATCTTGGCTCACTGCAACCTTCACCTCCCGGGTTCAAGTGATTCTCATGCCTCAGCCTCCCAAGTAGCCGGGATTACAAGTGTGCACCAACATGCCCAGTTAATTTTTTTTTGGTTGTATTTTTAGTGGAGACAAGGTTTTGCCATGTTGACCAGGCTGGTCTCAAACTCCTGACTTCAAGTGGTCTGCCCACCTTGCCCTCCCAAAGTTCAGGGATTACAGGTGTGAGCCACCACATCTGGCCTCAGGAAACCCCTGAAATATCCTACATGAGAAGATCATTCCCAGGACACATAATCTTCTTATTTTTAAAAGCTGAAATGAAAAAAAATGTTAAAGGCAGCTAGAAAGAAAGGGTAGGTCCCCTACAAAGGGAACCCCATTAGGCTAACAGCAGACCTTTCAGCAGAAACCTTACAAGCCAGAAAAAATTGGGGGCCTATATTCAGCATTCTTACAGAAAAAAATGTATTCTCAACCAAGAATTTCATATCCAGGCAAACTACACTTATTCAGTGAAGGAAAAATACGATCATTTTTAGATAAATAAATGCTGAGTAAGGTCATTAGCACCAGATGCATCTTAGAAGAGATATTAAAAAGAGTTTTCAATATGGAAAGGAAAGACCATTATCAGCCAATACAAAAACACACTGAAGTACAAAGACCAGTGTCACTATAAAGCAACCATACAAACAAGCTGGCATAATATCCAGCTAATAACACAATGACAAGATCAGAATTACACATGTCAATACTAACCATGAATGTAAATGGGCTAAATGCCCCCATTTATTTATTTATTTATTTATTTTTGCAAAAAATAATAAAATGATTTATTTTGGGTGCTTTTCTCAAAGAGGTATATTAATCTCTTGATCCCTTTCCTCTGCTTCATCTAACTCGTAGGGTATATACTTTATATTGCTGTGCTTGGCATCGGGAACTGATGTGACAGCTGTTCCTCTGTTCTATGAAAAGACGGTGTACATTTTTTAAAAAAAAGTTTCTGTATAAAGTGCTTATATCCACTCAATAAAATCTCTAACAAGTCTAGCTACTTTAAAAGGAACACTTAGGTCACAGGTTTTGCTTGAATGATAGTTTAAAGAATTACTGTATTTTTTCCCGCTAGCTCCATCTAACTTGGGTTGTCTCAAAGAAATCCACTGGAGCTGACCTTCCTCAATAAGATGCCTTTTGGTTTTGTTTTATCATCATTCCTCATCTGAGAACCAGAGAGAGAAAGCTGTCAACAAGTTATAGTTTCGTCCAGTTGGTGGAGTTGTTTGTACATACCCCCATTTAAAAGACAGAGTGGCAAGCTGGATAAAATAACAAGACCCAATAGTAAGCTGTCTTCAAGAAACCCATCTCACACATAATGACATTCATGGGCTCAAAATAAAGGAATAGAGAAAAATCTATAAGTAAATGAAAATCAGAAACAAGCAAGGGTTGCAATGCTAATTTCAGACAAAATAGCCTTTAAATAAACAAAAATTAAAAAAGGACAAAGAAGGGAATTACATAATCATAAAGGGTTGTTGAAATTCTACAAGACTTAACTATTCTAAATATAAATGCATCCAACACAGGAGCACTCAGATTCATAAAGCAAGTTTTTAGAACCTACAAAGAAACTTACACTCACTCACAATAATAGTGAAGGGCATTAACACTCTGCTGACAGTATTAAACATATCATTGAGGAAAAAAATTAATATAGATATTTAAGACCTGAACTCAAATGGATTTGATAGACCCGTACAGAACTCTCTACCCCAAAACAATGGAATATATATTCTTCTTACCACCACATGACACCTAGTCTAAAAGTGACCACACAATTGGATATAAAACAACCCTCAGCAAATAACTCACTCTTGGACCACAGCACAATAAAAATAGAAATCAAGACAAAAAAAATCACTCAAAACCATGAAATTATATGGAAATTAAACAACCTGCTCCTGAATGACTTTTTGGTAAAGCATGAAATGAAGAAATCAGGAAGTACATGAGAACAAAGATGCAACACACCAGAATACCAAGGACACAGCTAAGGCAGTGAGTGTTAAGAGGGAAATTTATAGCACTAATTCCCCACATAAAAAATGTAGAAAGATCTCAGATTAACAACCTAACATCACAACTAGAAGAAGTAGAGAATCAAGAGCAAACCAATCCCAAAGCTAGCAGAAGACAAGAAAAAAAAAAAGAGCCAAACTAGAAGATTAAGACACAAATCCATTCAAAAGCTCAATGAATCCAGTTGATTTTTTTTGAAAAAATTAAAATAGGCCACTAGCTAGACTAATAAAGAAGAAATGAGAGAAGATCCAAATAAATATAATTAGAAATGACAAAGGCGATGTTACCACTGACCACAGAGGAATACCTCTGTGAAAACAAACTAGAAAACCTAGAAGACAGATGAATAAATTCCTAGACACACGCTATCCCAAGGCTGAACAACAAAGCACTTGATTCTCTGAACAGAACAATCATGAACTCTGACATTGAACCAGTAATAAACAGCCTACCATCAAAAAAAAAAAAAAAAAAAAAAAAAGCCCAAGACCAGATAGATTCACAGCCAAATTCTTCTAGATGTACTAAGAAAAGTTGATGCCATTTCTATTGAAACTATTCTAAAATATTGAGGAGGAGGAACCCTCCTCAACTCATTCTATGAGGCCAGCGTTGTCATAATATTAAAATCTGGCAGAGACAAAGGAAAAAAAGAAAACTTCAGGCCAACATCCTTGATGAGCATCCACGCAAAAATCCTCAATAAAATACTTGTAAACCAAATCCAGCAGCACATTAAAAAGCTAGTCCACCATGATCAAGCAGGCTTCATCCCCAGGATGCAAGCTTGGTTCAACGTATAAAAATCAATAAATGTGATTCATCACATAAACAAAACTAAAGACAATCACATGATTATCTCAATAGATGCAGAAAAGGCTTTTGATAAAATTCATTATTCATTCATATTAAATACTCTCAATAAACTAGGTATTGAAGGAACATAACTCAAAATATTAAGAGTCATCTATGACAGATCCACAGCCAACATCATACTGAATGGGCAAAAGCTGGAAGCATTCCCCTTAACAACTGGCAAAAGACAAGGGTACTGTCTCTCACCACTCCTATTCAACATGGTATTGGAATTCCTGGCCAGAACTATCAGGCAACAGTAAGAAATAAGGAACAACCAAATAAGAAAAGTTGAAGTCAAACTAACCCTGCTTGCAGATGACATGATTCTGTATCTAGAAAACCACATAGTCTCAACCCAAAAGCCCCTTCAGCTGTTAAATAACTTCAGCAGTTTCAGGATACAAAATCAAAGTACAAAAATCACTAGCATTAGGCTGGGCACGGTGGCTCATGCCTGTAATCCCAGCAATTTGGGAGGCCGAGGTGGGTGGATCACTTTAGGCCAGGAGTTCGACATTAGCCTGGCCAACATGGTGAAATCCCATCTCTAGTAAAAATACTAATATATATTTATATCTGGGTGTGATTGTAGTAGCACATGCCTGTAATCTTAGCTACTTGGGAGGCTGAGGTAGGAAAGTCACTTGAACCCTGAGGCAGAGATAGCAGTGAGCCAAGATCATGCCACTGCACTCCAGCCTGGGTGACAGAGCAAAACTCTGTCAAAAAACAAAAACAAAAACAAAAACAAAAAGATACTAGCATTCCTATATACCAACAACAGGCAAGCCAAGAACCAAATCAGGAATGCAATCCCATTCACAAATTCCATAAAAAGAATAAAATACCTAGGAATATAGCTAACCAGGTAAGTGAAACATCTCTATGATGAGAATTACAAACACTGTTCAAAGAAATCAGAGATACACCAAAAACGGCAAAATGTTCCATACTCATGGATAGGAAAAATCAGTAACATTAAACCATTCTGCTCAAAGCAATGTACAGATTCAGTGCTACTCCTATCAAACTACCAATGACATTCTTCACAGTACTAGAAAAAAATATTTTAAAATTGATATGCAACCATGAAAGAACCCAAATAGCTAAGGCAATTCCAAGTAAAAGGAACAAAGCTGGATGCATCATAGTACCTGACTTCAAAGTATACTAAAGGGCTACAGTAGCCAAAACAGCATGCTACTTGTATTAGTCCAATCTCAAACTGCTATGAAGAAAATACCCAAGACTGGGTAACTTGTAAAGGAAAGAGTTTCAATTGACTCACAGTTTCACATTGCTTGGGAGGCCTCAGGAAACTTGGAATTATGGAGGAAGGCAAAGGAGAAGCAGGCACCTTCTTCACAGTGCAGCAGGACAGAGTGAGTGAAAGCAGGGGAAATGCAAGACCCTTAAAAACCATCAGATTCTATGAGACTCACTCGCTACCACCAGAAGAGCATGGGGCAAACCACCCCCATGATCCAATCATCTCCAACTGGTCCCATCCTTGATACGTGGGGATTATGGAGATGACAATTCAAGATGAGATTTTGGGCAGGGCATAGCCAAGCCATATAAGTACTGGAACTAAAACAAACATATAGACCAATGGAACAGAATAGAGAAGGCAGAAATAAGGCTGCACACCTATAACAATCAGCTTTGATAAAGCTGACAAAAATAGGCAATGGGGAAAAGACTTCCTATGCAATAAATGGTGCTGGTAAAACTGGCTAATCATATGCAGAGGATTGAAACTGGACCCCTTTCTTACACTATATGCATAAATCAACTAAAAATGGATTAAAGATGTAAATGTAAAACTCAAAACTATGAAAACCCTGTAAGACTACCTAGGCAATATCATTTTGTACATAGGAACAAAGAGTTTATGATGAAGACTCCAAAAGCAATCGCAACAAAAGCAAAAATTGACAAATAGGATCTAATTAAACTAAAGAGCTTCTACACAGCAAAATAAACTATCAACAGAGTAAAGAGGCAACCTACAGAATGGGAGAAAATATTTGCAAGCTATGGATCTGACGTAGGTCTAATATCCAGCATCTATAAAGAACTTACACAAATTTACAAAAAAAAATTAAAAAGTGTGCAAAGACATGACCAGACAATTTTTCAAAAAAAGACATACATGTAGCCAAAAATAATATGAAAAACAGTTCAACATCATTGATCATTAGAGAAATGCAAATCAAAACTACAGTGAAATACCATCTCATACCAGTCAGAATGGCTATTATTAAAAAGTAAAAAAATTAACAGATGTGGGACAGGTTGTGCAGAAAGGGAATTTTTATACACTGTTGGTGGGAGTGTATATTAGTTCAGCCATTGTGAGAAGCAGTTTGATGATTCCTCAAAGAGCTAAAAACAGAATTACCATTTGACTCAGGAATCTCATTATTGGGTATACACTCACAGGAATATAAATTGTTCTATTATGAAGATATATGCACACATATGTTCATTGCAGCACTATTTATAGTAGCAAAGATGTGGAATCAAATGAAATATCCATCAATGGCAGATTACATAAAGAAAATGGGGTACATATACATCCATGGAATACTATGCAGACATAAAAAAGAATGAGATCATGTCCTTTATAGTAACAAGGATAAAGCTGGAGGCCATTATCCTTAGCAAACCAACACAGGAACAGAAAATCAAATATTGCATGTTCTCCCTTATAAGTGGGAGCTAAATGATGAGAACACATAGACACAAAGAGGGGAAAAACAGGGACTGGGGCCTACTTGAGGGTGTAGGGTGGGAAGAGGGAAAGGATCATAAAAAATTACTATTGGGTATTAGGCTTCGTACCTAGGTAACTAAATAATCTGTACAACAAACCCCCATAATATAAATCTACCTATATTACAAAACTGCACATGTACCCTAAGCCTAAAACAAAAGTTAAAGAAAGCTTAGATATAATATTCACTTACATAATAAACTGTTACAACTGTATTATTTTTCCAAAATTAATGGTAAATTGCTCCTCTCAATCCTATGAGTTATGTAAAACAGATAAGAAAAGTTATATCATATTATATTTTCTTTCTCCTAGAGTAGAAAACTAGTATACAATTCCAGATCTTCTGACTACAAACTTATCCTCGCTCTAGAGCTTACTGCTTCTCTCATGTAATGTCAACAAGACATTGAATCTTGTTTTTAAATTTATATCAACTTTTGTCTATTAAAGTTTAGTTAGCACTATAATAATGATACAATATTTTCTTAAAACTGGGTTCATTTCTTAACACAATACTGATGTCATAGTGTAGGTTACATTCTATATGTCAAAGATTTGTTTAAGTTTATGTGCTGATGTTTGGCACAATAATTGAGACACATTTTTTCATGGATGAATCAGAAAGCAGAATTTCTAGTATTTTCCTTGAATTCTAACTTTGTCAAGAAAAAGGAAGGTCAGAATGTCATACAGACTTGAACTTAATGAGAAACTGGCCAAAGACATGCTTTTAGCTCCATCAGGTCAGTTTTCTCAGTGACCAATTAAAATAAAAATAATAAATTTATAATGAAGACAGTTTAATTTGCATTGTTTACCTTTGCAGCTAATGTAAATTAACTCTCTAATTTTTATGTTTCTGCTTTTTGAAAAATATAAGCTGATGCTAACACTTTTGATATCTGACTACAGAATCCAATAAATGGTTATGGCTTTCAGTGTGTGGAGATCTTATCCAGACATCTTCTCAAAGTCATAGGATCTGGGTGAGATCATATCTATTCTGTTGTATTGGAATTTTATCTTGACACTATGGTTTCAAGTCAGTTTATCTTATTTATCTTTATTTTTTAAGGATCATTTTTCCATATTGTTAAGAATAGACTGAAAGAGGTGAAGGGAAACAAATGAAGACTTTTTTGAAGGTTATTGAAGTCTTCCAGGTAAGAAATGCTACTTGAATAGAGTAAGAGTTGGTCCAGTTTGGAATGTATTCTGAAGGAAGAGCCAAGGTTTAATTCCTGGGGAATGTGATGTGGCATATGGCAGGAAAAGAAGACTGAACTTCTGCCTTGAGCAATGAAATCACCAAGGGGGAAAGCAGATTTAGGGGAATGGAAGATCATGGTTTAATTTTTCATGGGTTAATTGGTTCTCTCTGAGATGCCTGCTAATCGTCAAAGCATGGATATTGAACTGGCACACGTGGGGCTGGAATTCAGAAGGGAGACATACTGGATGTATATATTTGGGAATTGTTGGCAGAGATTGTATGTAAAGCTGTAAAACTGGATGGGATCATTAAGTGTATGAGGCTACCTAGAAGAGAGAAAGCACAAAGGCAGAATCCTAACCCTAACCTTAATGCTAGCCCTACCGCTAACTACTGAATGTTTAGAGATTGGAGGAAGAGGGTGAACCAGTAAGAGAGAGCTAGAGTAACAGCAAGGCAGCAGGGAAGCTGAGAGAGCATGTTGGAGTCTTGCAAGCCAAGCGAAGGAAATTCATTCAAGCAGGGTGGAGTGAGTGCTGCTGAATGTATATTGATGTGGAACTGAGAAGGGAAAGGAAGAGCTAATTTAGTAAAATGAAGGTGTAGCAGTTACCATGTACGGGTGGAGGTGAGAGCAAGTTGAACAGATTCAAGAGAGAATGAAATAATTGAAGAGAATGCATATTTTACAAGAAGTTTTGCTGCTAAGGGGAGCAAACAAGAAATGCATGGTGAGAAAAGCAAGGTAAGAGAAAAGACTTTTTTAAGACAGAAAAATAATCGTCCTTACATTGCATGCTATTGGAATTGATCACTGTAAAGTAAAATAAGTTGTGATACAGTAGAAAGTGGAAAAAAATTCTAGAATGCCAAAAATAATATTATAGGAAATTTTCACCTATTTAGCAGATGAAGTTATTTTGTTTTCTTTTTTAAGACACTTAACCTGGGTTAAAAATAAATTTTAAAAGACTATTCTTTTCTCTTAAATAAATAATGTACTTCAAATGGTTCCAACCATGTTCTTCACAAGCTAATGTCTCCTTTTTATTTAGTCTGTTCCTTTGTAAACAAAGCTATTTAGAGCTTTTTCAACCCTTTCATATCCTCATCAAAGTGTCTCTTTTGACTCTCCTATACAAAGACTCTATAGCAGTGCTATTACTGTGATATAAACTTTAATTATATCTATTGACATATTTGAGCCTACTAACAAAAGAAAAGAATAGGTAAAATAAATTGTGGAAACATACTTTTCATTGGAATGAAGGGTACATTAATATACTTTCCCCAAACTCCTCATCTGTTTTAGATGCTGGTTTTAAATTGTGGTTTGAATTAAAAAGTGCCCACTAACTTTTAAGTAAATAAAAGCTAATAAAAAGTCCTGCTAATTTTAATTTATTTCAAAGAAAATAATACAAGTTATTTTGTAGATAAAAGCCCTTAATATTTCTTTAAAATGGATTTCAATGTTTTACATTTTTACTCTCTAATATAATAACGAATATCTTTAATGCACTTTTTATACTATTGACTACCTCTGTGGAAAAAAACAAAGATGTTTACACATATTTTCTCTAAAATTCTATAAACTTAGTTTATACAAAAAGTATTCATTTGGTTCTTTTTATTTTTTGAGACGGAATCTCCCTGTGTCGCCCGGGCTGGAGTGCAGTGGCACCATCTCGGCTCACTGCAACCTCTACCTCCCGGGTTCAAGCAATTCTCCTGCCTCAGCCTCCCAAGTAGCTGGGACTACAGGCACCTGCCACCATGCCATTTGGTTCTTATTAGATGTGAGTGATTGAGCTACGTGCAAGAGATACCAGGTGGTTTCATGATTTGAAACCATTGTGTTTTTTAAAGTGTTATGTGACAAGAATAGAAATAAATAGTTTTTCCCACAAATGGCATATTTCTTTTGATTGTTAATTTAAAATTTTACTTTTTTTAATAGCTGAGGGAACAATAATGCTAATGTCCTCATGAAGATGGCAGAAGTAGAAGAAAGATAAAGTAAACCAGATTAGAGAAATACTATCAAATTGTTTGGAAATAATCTTTTCTAAGTAGAGGTTCAAGTTCTCTTGGTAAGTTAGTGGATGTCAATATTCGTATACCAATGTTGCTAACAAAGTATTATCTACTTCTTGAGAAAACCTGGGGAAAATATACCCCACATGCATTTATAAGAATGTTTTATGATTTAAACAATAAAGTTGTATCTTTAAATTAAGGTAATAATAACTTAGGCCTTAAGTTGTTGTAAGGCTATGACTACTATGAATAAGGACAAATTTTTAATCGTTAGAAACCAGGACAAAAGATAAGTGGAGCAATATTTCTGCCTTCAAACTTATGAATCATAAATTAATGAATAGATTCAAAGTAAAAAGAAGAAGCTAATTAAATAATGAATAATGGGAAAACTTAAGAGGCCATATAAAAATGGCTGTTTTTGGAAGGTGTCTAATGGAAAAAAGTTGAATACTTCAAAAAAATAGCTTGTGAATGATTTTACACAAAAGAGTAATATGCAAAGTGCTATATAATTTACAATAATTAACAGATTATTTGGTCTAAAAACTTGATGCTATATAAAAAATCAAAGCATAAATTAAACATGCCATGTTGTTTATCAGGTTTAATGCTGATGAAAATTAATTTAACTCAGACACATTTATTTTTTAAATTAATTTTGAGAAATTTTGTGACTGAAATAAATTATTCTGCTGAATTTTGTATGCTTCTATAAGATTGAGAATTTTCAAAGCAAAATTAAGTAGACAAAATAGGAAATGCATTCTCATAAATTATTTTTCTTATCAATAATTCATTGGTCTCTGTACCATTGCTCATTATTAGTTGTTACTGGAGAAATTATTAATTACTTTCATAAAATTATGGAAACAGAAAATATATGAAAATGTGCTTATGCTTATACATGCCCAGTGAATGGCCCAGTTTTATAACATTGGTTTCCGTCTCTGAACATTTATTTTTATACAATCTCTTTGCCAGATGTCTTTGGCATATGCTAAATATTTTAGTAATTCATTCAAAGAATACTGCAAAATCAACACTGTTGACCTATTTGGTCTTTAAAAGTAGGAGCTAAATTTTGTCGAATATAATTTGAAATAAATTATAAAATTGAGCATTTTTAAATAACGTAAAGAAAACACAGAGAGAAATCTGGAAAGATTTTCTGTCTTGAATGAAAACAACACTTTAAAAATGTTACAGCAATTTGGTGGAGATCTTCTGCTTAAGGATAATATTAAGGAGAATAATAGACAATTAACATTTCTTTCACTAATTAGTAAAATGTTTCTAAATGGAAATTCACTTTTGTTTAAGAGACAGGCTGTGGCTCTCTTGCCCGGGCTGGAGTGCAGTAGCATGATCACAGCTCAATATAATCTCAAACTCCTGGGCTCAAACAGTTCTTCCACCTCAGCCTCTCAAGGAAATTTATATTCTTCCACACACAAAAGAAAAATTAGCAAAATGAAGCAAGTGAAATAAATCCAAAAATGAAGAAACAGATGTGTAAGCAAATTGTAAATATTTTATGTTACCTGGAGTTCTCCAGAGAAACAGAATCAATGGGATATGTGTGTATATATATATATATATATATATATATATACATATATATATATATATATATATATATATATACATATATATATATATATATATATATAGAAACGTATCTTAAGGAAATGGTTCATGCAGTTGTGGAAGTTGGCAAGTCTAAAATCTGCAGGATAGGCTGACAGGCTGGAGTTTCTGGGAAGAGCCCATGTTACCATTCACATCTGAAAGCTGTCTCCTGGCAGAACTACTTCTTGTTCAACGTGGGTTAGCCTTGTTTTCTATGCAGACCTTCAATTGATTGGGTGAGGCCCCACATGCATTATGGAGGGCAATCTTCTTTACTCAAAGTCTACCAACTTAGATGCTAATCTCATCAAAAACATCCGCGCAAAATATCCAGAATAATATCTGATCGCATATCTACACACTGTGATCCAGCCAAGTTGACATGTAAAATTAACCATCACATATGTGATATGAAGGTAATTCTAGAAATTATATTTTAGCAAATAATGTTAAGGTCAGCTTTGTATGTGATAATTAAATATTACTTTAAAACAGAATTCACAATAGTAATTTATGGGGGGAAATCACAGAGAATTCTGAGGTTAAATCAAAACCTTATTGGTGAATTATATTCCTTTTTAAAAAAAAATCTTTATGTGGGCTACAGCCTTCTGATGAAGAAAATCTAACAAAACGTATTGGAGACTCAAATCTCACTAATTATGGGGTCTTAAAATTGCCCAACAAGTCCTTCTCTTAGTCTACTTTGTATGCTCTCTTTTCAGCAACATTTTCTAAGTAATTGCTTCTTTTTTTTTGTTTGTTATTTAGTTTTTATTTCATAATCATAAACTTAACTCTGCAATCCAGCTAGGCATGGGAGGGAACAAGGAAAACATGGAACCCAAAGGGAACTGCAGCGAGAGCACAAAGATTCTAGGATACTGCGAGCAAATGGGGTGGAGGGGTGCTCTCCTGAGCTACAGAAGGAATGACCTGGTGGTTAAGATAAAACACAAGTCAAACTTATTCGAGTTGTCCACAGTCAGCAATGGTGATCTTCTTGCTGGTCTTGCCATTCCTGGACCCAAAGCGCTCCATGGCCTCCACAATATTCATGCCTTCTTTCACTTTGCCAAACACCACATGCTTGCCATCCAACCACTCAGTCTTGGCAGTGCAGATGAAAAACTGGGATCCATTTGTGTTGGGTCCAGCATTTGCCATGGACAAGATGCCAGGACCTGTATGCTTTAGGATGAAGTTCTCATCTTCAAATTTCTCCCCATAGATGGACTTGCCACCAGTGCCATTATGGCGTGTGAAGTCACCACCCTGACACATAAACCCTGGAATAATTCTGTGAAAGCAGGAACCCTTATAACCAAATCCTTTCTCTCCAGTGCTCAGAGCACGAAAATTTTCTGCTGTCTTTGGGACCTTGTCTGCAAACAGCTCAAAGGAGACGCGGCCCAAGGGCTCGCCGTCGACGGCAATGTCGAAGAACACGGTGGGGTTGACCATGGCTAATAGTACACGGTTTTCCTCGGCGGCGGCGTCTGCAAAGCCAAGTAATTGCTTCTTAAGACGCCATCCTACCAGCACACCTTCAGTCTTGCCTTCTAGTCACAGAGAAAATTACTGCCATCAAATAAAAATACCTTGTTTTTTTATGCAGATCTTAACTGGACCTAATATACACCCTTCTGATACTGCTTTTTTATTTCTTGTAACAATGAGAAGAATTCTCTCCTTCTGTCAGAAGCCAAGTTCCACAGGTGCCTCCTGGGCAGCATTGCCTTTTACCTTTGCAAAAGATCTCATAATACAATTCGATTACTTTTCCTGAATTGTCCGCTTCATACTGTTTTCTTTCCATCTATACTGAAATATGTTTATGGTTCTCACATACTTACAAATATAACCTACCTTGGATATACATCTTACAGCCATGGCCGTATCATTTTTTGCCCAATTGTATCTTCAAAATACTTGAAAAAAAATGTACAATTATTTCCTTCACTTTCTCTCCTCCATCTTATTTCTCTATAGTCAGTTTTCCAGCTTCCTATTGGACATATTCAGTGATCTATTCTGCAGACACCTAAAAGCCAGCTGTACTGGATTGAATAAATGAAGTAACTTTGCTGCAAAATTCATTAATCCTTCTCTCACGTTCCCTAACTCCAATCAAAGCATCACCCGTTACCAGAGTTAATATCCCAGCGTCAACCTGAAGTGTTTCTTTTTTCTTATCCTTAAATCCATTTGGCTGCTACACCTGATTGATTCCGCCTGTTAATTATGTCTATCTCAATACTCACAGTCACCACCCTCATGCATCACGTCTTGCCTGGACTATTGAATAACTTCCTAACTAACCTCACCATCTAATGGAGATTAATTTGTTATGGGAAAAAAAATGAACAGTATTCTCTTCAAATCCTTTCTTCCCAATACTTTTCTAAGAGATTCTTTAGATGCAGAAAAAAGTTCATGCAATGAAATTATCTATTCTGAGACCCTCAGATCTTCATTCTTATTTATAAAGGAAACAATTTAAAATCACTATAGGGTCTTATGTAGTGGTCCTTGAAATAGCAGAAGATAGTTACAAGTCTTTCTGTGCATGATAACTTTATGCCTCCAATTATCTGCTTCTCTACATTAGAAATGGAGTCAGTGGAAGAAAGCTTAAATATTTGCCAAGGTCAGTTTCAGACTAAGCAGTTCCAGAACTGACCAGTAGTTCCAGACTAGCAGATGGTGAAATTTCTGGTTTCTAATTTTGAATTCATTCTTCATTGTTCATGTTTGCCTATAAAACCATTTTGTTCTTAATATTTGTAAATGGCCACCCCGAGTGCCTCTTTGGTGATTTATTATAAAACATTTAGAAAATCTGCAACTTTGTATTGTGAATGCTTGTGGCCTATTTCATACATGGTTGGCAAAAGTAGTCCAATTTTACAATACTTGCCTAATGTGTTGGCAATATTATTCAGTTTTAATTCATCTTTTAGTAAGTAATAATGAATATCACCACGGGGCAAAATACTAAATGCATTGAGTGCAGATCTAAAGTAAATCACACACACACACACACACACACACACGCATACACAATACAATTATATATGGTTCAAATAGCCTTTTATCGTCTCATCCACCTGCAGATTATTTCTATCTCATCTTATCATCCTTAGCCTGGGGATTTCCCTATCATGTAAATCTATTTGCAGTTCCAGAAGTATCCACAGCTCTATTTTCCCTTTAGGCTTTTGTTTATGCTGTTTCTTCTGCCTTGAACACTGCCTTTTCTTCATGTGATTACGCTTCCATCAAGTCTCTGCCTAATACAATTTCTCTTCGGCAGCAGAAGTTAAATGTTATTCCTTTGTTCCCATAGTTTCTATATATT
Source organism: Homo sapiens (assembly GCF_000001405.40). Taxonomy (NCBI): domain Eukaryota; kingdom Metazoa; phylum Chordata; class Mammalia; order Primates; family Hominidae; genus Homo; species Homo sapiens. The sequence continues at coordinate 18,855,881 of NC_000021.9, read as the reverse complement.
GGCTATCACTATGATGGTTGCACCTGATTTTAATGTCTTATTTGCTGGCAGTTCCATTTTACAGCAAGTGCCTTTAGAACAGCACCTTTGTCTTTTTTCTTCATCATACTTACGATATCCAGTACCTAGCACAGTGCCTGACACTGAACAACACCTCTTGAATAACTGCACACTATTTTTATAATGGGAAGTATGAGAGGGAAGAGGTCAATGGTAAACTAACCAGTAGAATATGAATTACTGTATATTATCATATTTTTTATCTGAGAGTATATTTTATTTTATTTGATACTCGTGATAAATCTAATCCATTAATATATTTCCATTCTTGTTGGTACATTCTTTTTCCCTTTTGTCAAGGATCCAATAAGGTCAGTTCATTTAAAATTCAATTTATGAGGTTCCTAATCTCCATATGTTCAGTTATGCAGTGAAATATGATTTGTTTGCATTGCATAGACATCCTCATAGATTTATCTTCCTAAAAAGATACCCAAACAACAGATTTTAGCGTTTTAATATTAGTGTAGAAAGTTAGATAATGCAATTTTAAAAATTAAGATATTTTACTGTGTATTCTGCACCTCTAAATATAATGCTTTTGTACCTGATAGTTTGTATAAGAGAAAAGAAAAATAAATATAAATGCTTTCCAGCAAATATATATCTTTGTGCCTGTATAACTTATTCAGGAAATGGCCTAGATTTTCTGATGTTTTAATTCACTGTAAAACAAAAATAGTGTAAAGGACTTGTTGCTATGAATATTAACATGCAAGTTAAGCTGCTAACTCTCTTAGAGCAGTAGTCAGATAATATCTTGTAGAGTGCATTAAAAGGAACCCCATGATCCTTTAGTGAACTATGAAATGGCAATGAAAATTTGCCACCAAATTTGAAACTAATTGGAAGATTATTTAACTCTTCAAATACTTATTGAGCATCTTCCTTGTATAATTACTCGAGATTGAAAAACACAGGTTTGAGGAAAAGTCTAATACCCATAGTTACTTACACCTACATAAGAAATGTTGATTATTTGCTCCCTAAGCAATTGCACAGATTGTATATTTCTCCTAGTGCACGAATGTAACATTTAGAGCAAAACATTAATAAATGCACAGATTTAAAACTTAATTGTGTACCCACGCTTTTGCCCCAGTGTCATTCCAACACATTGTTATTACACAAAATTTTAAACAATGGCATCCTAATGGTCAGCTGAACAGTCTTATTAACTCAGTCTTGAATATTTTTACTTGATGTCAACTCTAATAAACAGTTCTGCACTTAAAATGTTGCATCACCTGAAAAACTGCATTCTATCTGGTTTTCAAAAATAGGAGTAATGGAAAGATGCCAGTGCACACAGCTTCTGTCCAAGCAATTCATTGATTTCTTTTATCTTCAGCTAGTTTGATAATTTAATGTAGTCCCACGGCAATGGGTTGTCGTTTTATTTCCCCAAGTAATTCCAGTTGAAAGGAAAGCTGTTTTTCCCATATGGCGTCCCTAATAAATTAATTAAGGCAAGAAGTGCCATGCCATCTGTACCTTATGTGTGAAGGACATTAATCAGGGCAGACTTCCCAGTTGGGCATATCTTTAGTGTGTAGCCACTTAGAACACAAACAGTGCCATGGATCAGTAGAGGCCATCAACATAGTCACAGGAAGGTGTAAGTGTGCCAGCTATCCTGCATTAGGCTGCTCTGGAGGGATTTCTATTCACCACCAGGCTCTATTTTTACTATCCTAAATATCTATCCACAAAAAGTTTAAATTGGAATTTGTACCAGATAAGTTTTTTAAAGTTTCAGTTAACCAAAAAATAAATTTAAAAAATAATGTGAATGGAAATATAAGAAAAGAAAGTAATTTCATACTGTGAAGAAGAAAAAGTATAACAACAAAGTGAACTTATAAAAAAGCTAATAGTGAAGACTTTGTTTCCAGGAAGCTGGCTAGGTATCCTGAAAAGCACTCCTGATGTGGGCTGATGACATTTCTAACATAACATTTAGTGCTATACATGTACATATTAGTACTGCTTTAGCTGCATCATGTAAATTTCCTATGTTGTACTTTTATTTTTTAATTCAGTTCAATTTTTTAAAAATTTCCCTTGAGGCATTCCTCTCTGACCCATGGATTATTTAGAAGTATATATTTTTTTAATCTCCAAGGGTTTAGATATTTTCCTGTTTTCTTTCTGTGATTGGTTTCTATTTTGATTCCAGTGGTCATATAACACTCTATACTTTTACTCTATAACACTCTATAATTCTTTTAAATGGTTTAACAATTTTGTTGGATCTTTTTGTTTGAGCATAGAATGGTTTAGTTGCTCAGAATATGGTCTATGTTGGTACATATTTACAGGCATTTAGAAAGAATATGTATTCTGTTGTTTTGTGTTGAAGGTTTGATAAATATCTATCAGATCCTGTTTCTTAATGATACTATTGAGTTTTTCTACAGCCTTCCAATTTTTTGTCTCATTTACTCAAATGTTGAGAAAGGGATATTGAAATCTCCAACTGTAGTTGTGGATATGTCTATTTTACTTTTTAGTTGAATCAATTTTGGCTTCATATGTATGGTTTCTTCTATTATATCTTCTATTTTTTATTTTTATTTATTTATTTTTTTTTTGAGATGGAGTCTTGCTCTGTCATCCAGGCTGGAGTGCAATGGCACAATCTTGGCTCACTGCACCCTCTGCCTCCCAGGTTCAAGTGATTCTCCTGCCTCAGCTTCCCAAGTAGCTGGGATTACAGGTGCCCACAACCACACCTGGATAATTTTTGTAATTTTAGTAGTGACAGGGTTTTACCATATTGGCCAGGCTGGTCTCAAACTCTTGACCATGTGTAATCCTCCTGCCTTGGCCTCCCAAAGTGGTGGGATTACAGGCATAAGCCACCATGCCCAGCCCTATTATATCTTCTATTTCTTTGCTGAGACTTTGTATGTTTTCATTTGTTTTAATTATGTATATAATTGCTCTTTGATATGGTTTCGCTGTGTCCCCACCCAGATCTCATCTTTAATTGTAGCTCCCATAATCCCCCCTTTTCATGGGAAGGACCTGGTGGGAGATAATTGAATCTGAATCATGGGGGTAAGTTTTTCCCATGCTGATCTAATTATAGTGAATAAGTCTCAGGAGATCTGATGGTTTTATACAGGGCAGTTTCCCTGCAATTTTCTCTTGCCTGGTGCCATGTAAGACATGACTTTGCTCCTCCTTCACCTTCCACCATGATTATGAGGCCTCCCCAGCAATGTGAAACTGTGAGTCCATTAAACCTCTTTCCTTTATAAATTACCAAGTCTCGGGTAATTTTTCATAGCAGTATGAAAATGGACTGATACACTATTTAAATCATTTTTTGTTACTGCTTTAAAATCTTTGTCAGATGATTCTAACACCTGAGCACTAAGCTCTGATATTTTTTCTTTCCCAAATTCCTATGTAAGAGGTCCGGGGTGTCATGCCCTAAAAACCATTAATTCTCATCAGATGGGTTTTATTTAACCCTGCATATTATGACTTAATTTCTAATCTGACTCTGGCATAACATTATGTGACAAATAAGAAAGTCAAAATATTTTACCCTAAAACATGTTCCTTTGCCATATCTTGAAATGGCCATGCAAAGTTGTCCTTTGTTGGGGGGGGGTGAATTTTCATTTGAAAATAATCCCTATTAACATAGCTAGATATTTTTCTTCGGGCCCTCCTAATCTTAAAGAGATGAAATAAAAGCCTAGTAACTTCTAAGAATCTGAGTAGGAAACATTTGTCATCTATTGTCACTAAGGGAGGAAACATTTACCATCTATTGTCACTAAGGGAAGCACTATAAGACTTCAAAAAAACCTTGGTCTTCACAATCCTTTATCTTAACCTGAACATTTCCTTTCTATGACCACAGGTGTATGGACAAACTCAGCTGATGGTCAACGAGAAAATGTTTAAATTTACCTACAGTCTGGAAGCCCCCTCTTTGACTTGTCCTGCCTTTCTGGACCAAACCAATGTATTTCTTAAATTTATTTGATTGATGTCTCAAGCCTCCCTAAAATTTATAAAACCAAGCTGCACCCCAACCACCTTGGGCATATGTTCTCAGGACCTCCTAAGTCTGTGTCACGGGCCATGGTCACTCCTATTTGGCTCAGAATAAATCTCTTCAAATATTTTACAGAATTAGTATCTTTTTGTCAACACACCTCGGTCATTTTGTTTTCTTTCTCACTTAAGATATTCCTGGTTCTGGTATGATTAATGACTTTTTGAATAAAATCTGGATATTTTAAGTACTGTGGACCTTATTTAAACACACTATTTTAGCTGGCCTTCTCTGATACCACTTTGGTACCAGAACAGTGTATGCTGCCTATATTAGTCTGTTCTCACACTGCTATGAAGGAATACCCAAGACTGAGTAATTTACAAAAGAAAGAATTTTAATTGATTCACAGTTACACATGGCTGATGAGGCCTCGGGAAACTTACAATTATGGTGGAAGGCAAAAAAAGAAGTAGGAACCTTCTTCACAGTGTGGCAGGATGAAGGGAGTGCAAGCAGGGGAAATGCCAGACACTCATAAAAACTTCAGATGTCCTGAGACTCACTATCATGAAAAAAACATGTAGGGAACCATTCCCATGATCCAATTACCACCACCTGGTCCCACCCTTGACATGTGGGGATTATGGGACTTACAACTCAAGATGACATTTTGGGTGAGGACACAGCCAAACCATATCATGCCACCCCGACCCCTCCCAAATCTCATGTCCTCACATTTCAAAACACAATCATGCCTTCCAAACAGTCTAACAATGTCTTAACTCATTCTAGCATTAACCCAAAAATCCAAGTCCAAAGTTTCATCTGAGACAAGGCAAGTCCCTTCCACTTATGAGCCTGTAAAACCAAAAGCAAGTTAGGTTACTTCCTAGATACAATGGGGGTGCAGGCATTGGGTAAACATGCCTGTTCCAAATGGGAAATACTGGCCAAAACAAAGGAGCTGCAGGCCTCATGCAAGTCCAAAATCCAATAGGGCAACCATTAAACACTAAAGTTCCAAAATGATCTCCTTTGACTCAGTGTCTCACATCCAGGTCACGCTGATGCAACAGGAGTGTTCCTATGGTCTTGGGCAGCTCTGCTCCTGTGGCTTTGCAGGGTATGGCCCCCCTCCCAGCTGCTTTTGTGGGCTGGTATTGAGTGTCTGTGGCTTTTCCAAGTGCATGATGCAAGCGGTTGGTGGATCTACCATCCTGTGGTTTGGAGGACAGTGGCCATCTTCTCAAAGCTCCACTAGGCAGTGACCCAATGGGGACTCTGTGTTGGGGCTCCAATCCCACATATCCCTTCCTCACTGCCCTAGCAGATGTTCTCCATGAGGGCCCCAACCCTCAGCAAACTTCTGCCTGGACATCTAGGCATTTCCATGCATTCTCTGAAACGTAGGCAGATGTTCCCAAATCTCAGTTCTTGACTTCTGTGCACCCAAAGGCTCAATACCTTGTGTGAGTGTCCAAGGCTTGGGGCTTGCACCCTCTGAAACAACAGCCTGAACTGTAAGTTGACCCCTTTTGGCCATGGCTGGGATGCAGAGCACCAAGTCCCAAGACTACATAAAGCAGCAAGGACCTGGGCTTAGTCCACAAAACCAATTTTTTTTCTCCTAGGTCTTCAAGCCTGTAATTGGAGGTGCTGCCACAAAAGTCTCTGTCATGTCCTGGAGACATTTTTCCTATTATCTCAGCGATTAACATTTGCCTCCTTATTATATATGCAAATTCATTCAGCTGGCTTGAATTTATCCCCAGAAAATGGATTTTTCTTTTCTATTTCATTATCAGCCTGCAAATTTTCCAAACTTGTATGCTCTGCTTCTCCTTTAAACCTAAGTTCCAATTCCAAACCATCTTTTTTTGAGAATTCATGGAACTGAATGCTTTTAAGAGCACTCAGATCATTTCTTAAATGCTTTGCCACTTAGAAATTTCTTCCCTCAGATACCCTAAATCATTTCAGATACCCTAAATCATTTCTCTCAAGTTCAAAGTTCCATAGATCTCGAGGGCAGGGGCAAAATGCCATAAGTCTCTTTGCTAAAGCATAGCAAGAGTGACCTTTGCTCCAGTTCCCAATAAGTTCTTCATCTCCATCTAAGACAACTTCAGCCTGGGCTACATTGTTCATACAGCATTTTGACCAAAACAATTCAACAAACATGTATGAAGTTCCAAACTTTCCTACATTTTCCTATCTTCTTCTGAGCCCTCCAAACTGTTCCAATCCCTGCCTGTTACCCAGTTCCAAAGTCACTTCCACATTTTTGGGTATCTTTACAGTGGCATCCCACTCTCTGGTGCCACTATAAAGCATGTGGTGCCAATTTGTTGTATTAGTCCATTTTCACATGGCTATGAAGAAATTCCCAAGACTGGGTAATTTATAAAGGAAAGAAGTTTAATTGACTCACAGTTCCACATTGCTGGGGAAGCCTCAGGAATCTTACAATCAAGGCAGAAGGCAAAGGAGAAGCAGGCACCTTCTTCACAGGGCAGCAGAACAGAGTGAGTGCTTGCAGGTGAAATGCCAGATTCTTATAAAACCATCAGATCTCATAAGAATCACTCATTATCACAAATACAGCACCAGGGGAAACCACCCCCATGATCCAATTACCTCCACCTGATCCCACCATTGACACCTGGGTATTGTGGGGATTACAATGGAAGATGACATTTTGGCATTGAGTGAATGTTAATCACTGAGATTAAAATGTCTGAGATTAAAATGTGATTTGGCAAACCATATCACTGACTTTTACTGCAAGGAAGGAGTAGAAGTCCAGGCTTACCACATAGACTGTTCTGACACTGCTAAGTTGTGACTTCCTATTCAACCTGTTATGTCACCATCCCAAAAGGACAGGTGGGGGTGCCTAATTTCTGCCTGGTAAGGGTGTAAGCTTTGGTTACCCAGTAGGTATTCACTGGTGCATTGGGAATAGGGGCTACTTCCTCCCTCAAACATTGTGGTGCATGGGTAGGTAGAGTGATTATTGTATGAAAATGTTCTGACTTGCTAGGATGTCCCTTTCTTGGCCTTTTGGCTAAACAGATCAATTTTTCTTGAAGCTTTCTGTTTTTGTTCTGAACCCCTTGGCCATGCTGGGTGGGTTACCAGTCCAGTTTACCCACACCAATTATGAGATATACATGGCAAAATAAAATCCAGAGATCTTACTTCTGTGTCATTACTTGTATTTTTTTACTTTTTCTGGTTTTTTTTTTAAATCTTTTACAGGATTCTGTTTGTTTGACATGTAATAGCCAGGATTTTTAGTTGGTCTTAGAAGTAGAAATAGGGAAAAATACTTTGACTCCATTTTCATAAGGCACAATTCCAATTAATTTTTTACTTTACTTTCATGATGTAATAAAATTTGTCTTTGAAATGGATAGTGCTATCACTTTTAGTTAAAGTGATAAGTCTCTTTGCTAAAGCATAGCAAGAGTGACCTGTGCTCCAGTTCCCAATAAGTTCTTCATCTCCACCTGAGACAACTTCAGCTTGGGCTACATTGTTCATACAGCATTTTGGCCAAAACAATTCAACAAACCTTACGATTGATGACAATTGTAAGAAAGACAATGAAGCAGATTTCTCTTTCATGATATCATATCAAAAATATCTCCTGGAGAGTATGAATAGTTTTATATAGCATACTATTAAAATGGCACTGCCTTCAATTAGTTATCAAATGCAATGTATGCATTAATGTCATGTGAAATGATTTTTTTTTTTTTTGAGACGGAGTCTTGCTCTGTCACCAGTCTGGAGTGCAGTGGCGCGATCTCAGCTCTCCAACCTTAGCTGCCTGGGTTCAAGCGATCCCCCTGTCTCAGCCTCCTGAGTAACTGGGACTACAGGCACGCGCCACCACGCCCGGCTAATTTTTTTGTCTTTTAGTAGAGACGGGGTTTCCCCATGTTGGCCAGGATGGTCTCAATATCCTAACCTCGTGATCCACCTGCTTTGGCCTCCCAAAGTGGTGGGATTACCGGCGTTAGCCACCGCACCCGGCCAAAATGAATTATAAGGTATGACATAATGATATAAAATAATTGTCATTCAGATAATATTGTGAAACAAATGGAAAGGGGCCTGAGATAAATTCCATTTCTGGATTGAATTAAAACCTCTAAAAGAAAAAGAAAGAGTAGTTTAAAATGATAATCTATATGTAGACATTCTAGGTTCATAACCCAGATATCAATGATTTTGGACAGCTAGAAAGAAGTAGTTACATCCATATATCTTAAGGGGAAACAAACTTGGAACATTTTTAACCTTTCAAGTCCATAAGCAGTATGTGAAAATATTTATCTTTTTTTTAATAAAAAGAAACATTTGGATTATCAATCATATTCTTAGTCATTTAGGCATTTCAAGTCCCTCAGGATATAGAATTAAAGTAAAAGCTTTCTTTCTTTGTATCTGATGTACATATATCTGATGTACTTTTAAACTTATTTCTTCACAGAAATAAAACTAATAACCAATAAATCAGAGCACAGTTATAAATTAATTTTATATCAACTTAGGCCATTGAGTGTTTTTTTTTCCTCAGATAAATGCTAGAGAGTTTTTTAAATAAATGACCAAACATCTTGTAAACTGAAACATATAAGGAAAATAGTTTTTAAGACAAATAGGGGTGATAAACTGGGATAATTCAATTATGGTTGTGCCACATTCATCATTTATATTAACAATAATGAAAACTGAAATAGCAAGGAGGAAAAAAGTCATCATTATTTTAACAGTCCATTGAAGGGAGACAGAACTTACAGAAAGTTTGAATTTTGGTTTCTGAATACTGATGCAGTACTGATTTCTTTTTAGGAGTAGTATGGACAAAAGAAATTAGAAATACTTTTTCTTTGAAGCACCTAACTACAAAGTTTATTACAAGATGTAAATATTTGTGAAAAAATGGCATAATAAAAGACATTTTTTCAGACACTATTTATGGAAAAACATTTTACTTTATATAATTTTATGTTATAATTAATACAAACAAGGAAAATTTTTAATAAAATTATTTGTTATATATGTTTTAATCTTAGTTTTTGTTCATTATCATAAAACTCTGACTCTTCGGTGTTTTTCCTTCAAAACTCACAATTCTTTTGAAACAAATTTGAGTTAGTGAGAGAAAAGGTACATATTTCATTTGAATTTTAGCTAAACCATGTAATTAATCATTCTAATGCTTTTACTTATTCAAAAATATTGATGTCTCTAAAAGTTAACAAACCATGAAATTGAAGACATTTAGAAGGTTACTAACACTTCAGAAAATTCTTCTGAAATATGGGTTATAGGAGTCACTGATTGAAATAAGCATGAGTATTTATAGGTTTATTTCTATTAATTGAAAAAAATAATTTGATGCTTCAAGATACAAGGCATAGATTTTGAGTAACTTACATCTTATAATCTTATGTATATATAAAATAAGCATATGAATCTTAGCTATTTCTATTATTACTAAAACCTGTGGATATTTTCATTTGTTTCTGTGTCATTATTTTCGGCATAGAGAATGTTTAAGTGCAGGCACCCTACCCAGTTTCTATTCTTTTTATTTTACCTTTAATAAAATTAATTAATTAATTAATTTTTTAGAGATGGGGTCTTGCTATGTTGCCCAGGTTGGTCCTGAACATCTGGGCTCAAGTGATCCTTCTTCCTCAGCCTCCCTAGTAGCTGTCACTACAGGCACATAATACCATCATGACAACCCAGATTCTATTCTTGACCTTATCATTTCTCTTTCCTTCCACCCAGTCTCCATGAATCGTCATATCACTAGCCATGGCTCCAGCTATCATTAATGTCCTCTGGCTTCCAGCTCTTTAGCGCCTTCATAGATTTCTCATAGGCTCAGAGCTGCACTTTCAGCTAGCTACAAGAGACTTCCTCTTGGATTCCATAGGTACATCAAACTTTTGTCCAAATACAATAATCACATTTAAAATGCCTATTCACTTCCCCTCATTAATATAATATTATTCTGCTCACATAACTGTCTTGCTGTTCCTACTGTCTTAGCAATCACCAGATACACAGTAGACTCTTGAACAACACAGGTTTGAACTGTGTGGGTCTACATATGTATGGATTTTCTTCTGCCTCTGCCACCCTGAGACAGCAAGACCTATCCCTCCTTTTCCTCCTCCTCATCAGCCTACATACTGTGAAGATGACAAAGATGAAGACCTTTATGATGATCCACTTTTACTTAATGAAGAGTAAATAAATTTTCTCTTCTGTGTGATTGTCTTAATAACTTTTTTCTCTAGCTTGCTTTATTATAAAAATACAGTATATAGCACATACAACATACAAACTATGCATTACATGACTGTTTATATTATCAGTAAATCTTCTGATCAGCAGTAAGCTATTAGTAGTTAAATTTGGCTGAGTCAAAAATGATACGTGGATATTGACTGGCAGAGCATCAATGCCCCTGACCCCCAAATTGTTCAAGGGTCAACTGTACATCATGGCTATAGAGAGAAAGAGAAAGAACTCCGAAGCCACACTACTGGCTCAAGTCCTGGCTTCACCACTTACCAGTCGCATGACTTTAGACAATGTACTAAACCTTTCTGTGGTCCATTTTTATCATATAATATGGGGTAATAGAGATAAATAAATGTATTACCTACATCATAGCATTTTTATGAATATTAATAACATATTATATGAATTTATTTAGAACAGTGTCATATGTACGTTAGCTATCAGCTATTAGCCCTGTTCTTTCTTGCTCTGATGAGTAAAATAGCCTCATATTCTTACCTGTTAATACTCTGCCATTTCAAATCAATTTTTATCAGATGATCACTTCACTTTTCTATTTAAAGTACTTCTATAACATTCATCTAAGTTAAATTTGCTTGAGAAGCCTACAATCTCGTGGATGAGCTAGCCCATGAATGTTTATTAGAAGACTCCCGTTAGTCCTTGGATATTCTGGGAAACTAACTCTGAGGTGAAGATTAGTGTGTAATGGGTTCATTAGGAATTGCTCTTGGGATCAACACCAGTGAGGGAAGGGACAGAAATTGAGCAGAAAGAAATTGAGCCGTGACACAGTCACAAAGGAGGCCTCAGCTGAACTTACTCTGAAGCTGAAAAAAGCTTTGGTTTCTCATGCCAACTAAGAGGAGGAGAATGAGAATTTATATTATCATGTCAATGAATTGAAGGATGCAGGAAATGACTTCTGTTGTTATCCCTAAATATTGTGGTCATTGGTTCTTCACATGAAATGTTATGTTTTTTGTCCTCTGATGCAAAGATAAATACCTTCTAGATAAAGAGCTCTTCCTGGTGTCTGACAAAAGAGAGGACATTTTTCCTGTTATCTCCTTCCACCTCACTTTTAAAGACAAACAAGAAGATATTCATCTGTGGGCAAGTTCCTAGTGCATAATGTGGTTCTCATTTTGGGAGTCCTACATGTGTTGTTTACACACAAGATATCTTCAAAAAATATGTTCATTAAACATTTTACTTTATAATTGAGAGGAATTAAGGGTGAAAATTCATCTTTGTCAGAAATATTATGAAACATGCACATATTCTCATAACAGTGTGAGATGTAAAGGATTAAAGAAAAATCGTGTGTTTCTTTCCTTTATTTTCATAACATACATAAATGATCATTTATGAAAAGAAACATTTAAGCTTTCCCACTGAAACTTTCTAAAGTCTATTTGTCATAGATTTTAAAAAGTAATACTGCATTACAACTAGCCAAGGAAAGCCCCCTCTCTTTCAAGATTAAGAATCACCCAGTATTCTTTTCTACCCCAGGGTAAAAAAAAAGAAACATATCCATTTCTAACGTCAAATGATGTCCTGCCAGGCAAAGACTGGTTCCTTTTTTACTCAATATATCCACTTTGATACATAGAAGTTGTTACAAAACTGGCATGTTTTCAGTAGCAATTCTTCTACCAAAAAACAAAAAAGAGTTAAAGACTTCCTACTCAAGTCCCGCTGAAGATACATTTTGAGATTAATTTTATTATCTTCTTTACTTAAATGATACCTTTTAAATGGGCTTACCAAAAGTATTTTTAAGTGAACCATTTTAGTAGCCACTTGTGTAAATTGTAAGATTACTTTCATTATACTATAGCCAATTATAGATTATAACACATAGTCTTACTAATATAGTTATTGGGTAAATTATTTTGTCAGAAATATTCACCACTCTCCTCCACTTTCAAGTGAAGGAATATAGATTTTGACTTCTTTGTAGTTGAGCTTGATCACGAACTTGCTTTAAGATCAGATTGGGAGGTACATTCTTTCTACCCTTTAAAGCTGGGCTCAGCCATATAATTTATTTCAACCAATAGTATTTTAGCAGATATTATATAATATATTCTTGAAATATGTTGTGAGTTTTACACCTGAACTTTTTTTTGTCTTTGCCAACACAATGAGAATACACCTGGGCTAGCCTGCTGTCCGAAGAAATAGATGAAAGACAAGTGGAACAGAACCATACTCAAGAGAACTCTGTCTAGGTTAGTCTCCCTGCCAGCCATTCTGTAGAATTATGAGCTAAATAAATGCTTGTTAGTACATTCCACTGAGATCTTGTAGTTGTTATTATGGTTGTTATTATATTATTATCATGCAGCATTTTTGTGACAACAGCTAACTCAAAGAGGGACATCATGTTTTAGAGCAACTTTCATTTTGTATATCTCTACTAGCACATTTCAAAAATTTATTCTTATTTTAGTTTCACTATAATTTATAATAGCAACCTTTTGTATTATGATTAATTTCATGTCAATTTTTAAATTTTGACTCAAGTACTATTGATGGTCACCTAGATGTCACTCTGTTTTAAATAAAATCAAATAACAAAGGCATATTTGCTAGATACAGTGATTTTAAATAAAAGTAGAAGTGCTGGTTTCTCACCCATAAAATATTTACTTCTTATGATAAATGTTCTACACTATGAGAACACATATTTTTTCTGTTCCCTTCTACTCTTCACTGTAGTGTAATTTACTTCAATGACACTTGAATTTACCCAATGTAACTTTATTTTAAAAATTGAAAATTTGAATCAATATATTGTAAGAATAATGATTGAATATTCTTCATATTGAAATTAAAAGAATAATCCACAAGCTCTAAACATTTGATATCAAGCCAACAATACTATCAAAATGCTATACAAAGTCTAAATTTTAAAATCAGAAGTTTTGAAATCTAGACCTCAAAATATTAATCTATAGCTGTATCAAATCTCTTTCATCATTTAATTTCTCCTTGATATATCTGAAAAAATGCTTAATTATCATATTGTTATCCAGTTATATATAATAATATAATAAGATAAATAAGCATGCCAAAAAATTGCCTGAAAAATATTGGAATGTGATGATCATACTAGACTTTATATTTCTTTGGAAAATGAGCTACCCATGAAACACTCTTAAGAAAACAATTGCAAGAAAATACATTTCTGCTATTTTTTAATATCAAGGGAAAAGTGAAATATTTGTGCTAAAATGGTACTGAAATAGTGGTCTCCAGTTTACTTCAGACTGAGAATCCAGGGGCTTCATTTTACCATATTGAAATTAGCACAAATAATGACAAAATGTAATGTTCTAATCAAATCAAATATTCTTCTCCATATTCATTTTAGATCTTTCTCTATAAGATAAATAATGATCCTATTTGAAATTTTTCTGATCAATTGAGGTTGGTTTTTTTGTCTCATGTCTTCTAGGTTGGATATGAGGCAGTCCATATAAGGAAATACCAGGAGTGGAAAGAGAGGAAACAGAATGTATATGTTGTATTCGCTTATGACACCATGCATACTAATGTATGTGCTCCTGATTTTTTCACCAGTTAACAATAACTAATCATCTAGGTGAGGAGATGAAAGACAAGTACTATTTATACTGAAGGTTTTGTGTTGGTCGTTAATTAGTCAGTATTCTCAATAAATTTGTAGGGTTTGATATTTAATTGTCTAGACCAAGATTTAAATAAGAATGAGTAATACAAAATGACATTTTATTAAGCAATGAACTTTTTATAGGCAGTAAATTTGTCTTGTCTTGTGGTTGTTATTATATTATTATCATGCATTAATAGATATTAATGCATAGACATTAAAAGATAAGTATTATACTAAGAAACTCAAGTTTATGTATTTGAGTGCTTTTTGATACAAACTTATTAATAATTCATCGTGTTTCTAAATTAACTCTCAAACTTTGGATAAATAAAATTAAGATAATTAAGTCTATTGTTCAATGAGAGAAATCTAGAACTGTGTTTCAGAACTTTTTGCTAAACTTAATAACAAAAGACTGTGCAGTATCCAGGAATAAAAAGTGGGATTATGTTTTTCCAACCACTTCTTATTCATGATTCCATCCTTCGCTGTCTCCTCCAGTTTGAGGGAAAGTAGTGGGGAAGAATAAAGTACATTCAATAAGCTCATTCAAGGCATACTGACTTAATATATGTGAAAATATTATTCCTTCAAATAGCAATAAAATATCCCTTTAAAAATGATACATAAATATGATGTATGATTTGAAGAGTCCCTTAAGTTTCTAGAAAACAAGTATTTCAGTACTCCATGCTCTGCTTCGTATCCTCATCTTGATATTTCTGATCACTTATAATAAAAAGGCTGACTGACCCTGACTTCATCACAGCTTGGAGTTGTTTCCTTGACAGATTCTTATCCAAACCCCATGCAAAAATAATTAGGAATCCTGCCTTAGACAAAATAATGAAACACCTTTTCTTGAACTCATGCTTTATCATAACTCTTGGCATTCCAGTTTATTTTCCCCTCTAGACTCCATGCAGCTTGTTGTGAGGGACTAAATCTAGCTCACAATCAAATTCCCAGTGCTAGAGGGACAAGATGGCCAACAACTAGATGCAGCCAGAAAATGCTGCTCCCATCAAGAGAGATCAAAAGGTAAACCAACATAATTTGGATGGATCTTCAGAGAGAAAACACCAAGAATATATGGAACCATGACACAGACACTGAGTCTGAAGAAGGAGGAAGCTGGGAACACTGTGCAACATACCCAAATGCTAATGCTAGTTCCCAGCCCTGAATGGTTCCTGGGGAGGAGAGCCTGTCCAGAAATGGTGTGGCCTATCTTCCTGCCCCAGCCTCTGCTCAAGGAAATACACCCCAGAATATCCACTTTTGGAGCAAAATAAATTCCCAAGCACAGTGCCAGTGATCCGAGGGTACTTCCCCAATGCCCAGGAGCATACCTGGTGAGAGTGTAACCTCTCTCCCCCACCTCACTGCAGAGAACAGCTGCAAACCCAGGAATTACAAAGGAGCCACATGGTTGAGTAAGAACTTAACTATTGGCAGTTACCCTAGATAGCCATCTGCTGGATAGTTGCCCAAACTACAACACCAAAAATATTTTGCTAATATACTGACCCATGAAACCAAGGGTAAGAATTCAGCCATAAATAAAGACCACATACAGAGCTTTAGCCCTCTAGAAACATCCATAAACAAAGCCAACTGACTGTAATTAAATTACACCACAATTAAAGGAACAACAACCCTCCAAGATGAGAAAGAATTAGCACAAGAACTTAGGCGGTTCAAAAGGCCAGAGTGTTCCCTTAATCCAAGTTTACCAGAACATCATCAATGGTCTGTAAGTAGTCTAAAATGGCAGACAGAATACAGAATCTGGAGGGCAAAAAATTTAATGGAGATTCAGGAGAAAGTTGAAACCCAATCCAAAGAAATCAAGAAATTCAGTAAAATGATCCAAGAGCTGAAATAGCCATTTCAAGAAAGAAGCAAACTGAACTTATACAGCTGAAAAATTCAATACAATCATTTTATAATTCAATCAGAAGTATTAATGGCAGAAGAGACAATCTGAGAAAAGAATCTCAGGAGCTTGAAGACTAGTTCCTGGAATCAACTCATTCTGACAAAATAAAGAAAAAAGAATTTAAAAAAATGAATAAAACCTCTGAAAATACGAAATTTTGTAAAGAGAATAATCTATGACTCATTGACATTATTGACAGAGAAGGAAAGAGAATAAGCAATTTGGAAAATATATTTGAGGAGATAGTCCATAAAACTTTTCTAATCTCTCTAGAGAGAATGACATGAAAATTCAGGAAATACAGAAAACCACAACTAGATGTTATACAAGATTACTATAACAAAGGCACATAGTCATCAGATTCACTAAGGTCAGTGGAAAAAAAAATTAAAGGCAGCTAGAAGGAAGGAGCAGGTTACTTACAGAGGGAACTCCATCAGGCTAGTAGAAGACCTCTCAGCAGAAACCTTATAAGCCAGAAGAGATTGGGGGCCTATTTTCAGTTGTCCTTGAAGAAAAGAAATTCAGTCAAGAATGTCATATCCTGCCAAGCTAAGCTTTGGAAGTGAAAGATAAATAAAATTGTTTTAAGACAAACAAATTCTGAGGGAATTTACTTCAACTAGACCATCCTTACCAGAAGTTTTTAAAGAAGTCTTAAATATGGAATTGATAGAAGGATACCTGCTACCACAAAATCATACTTAAGCACATAGCACACAAACAAAGCAACTACATGATCAAGCCTACATAACAACCAGCTAACAACATGACAGAATCAAAATCTCACATATCAATACTAACGCTGAATGCAAATGGGCTAAATGCCCCCCTTCAAAGACAAAATAGCAAGCTGAATCAAAAGACAAGACCTCACCATCTGCCGTCTTCAAGAGACATATTTCACATGTATTGATACCCGCAGGCTCAAAATAAAGGGATGAAAAAAGATCTATTATGCAAATGAAAAACAGAAAAAAGCAGGAATTGCTATTTTTATATAAGATAAACAGACTAAAAATGAATAACACTTTAGAAGGAAAAGGAAGGATATTACAAAATGATAAAGTGTACAATTAACAAGAATACTTAACTATCCTAAATCTATACACACCGAATATTGGAGCACTCAGATACATAAAGCAATTTTTTTGATGTATGAAAAGGCTTAGACAGCCAACAACAATAGTGGGAAACTTCAACACTCCACTTACAGCATTAGACATATCATTGAGGCAGAAAAGTAACAAAGAAGCTCTGGACTTAAACTTGGCACTTTCTAATACACATCTACAGAACATTCCACCCAACAACTATAGAGTTTGAATTATTTTTGTTTGCATATGGAACAAATTCTGAGACTGACCACATGCCCAATCATAAAGCAAGTGTCAATAAATTCAAATTTTGTAATTGTACCAATCAAACTCTTGGACCACAGTGCAATAAAAACAGAAATCAATATCAAGAAGATCTTTCAAAACTACATATGGAAATTAAACAACTTGCTACTGAATAACTTCTGGGTGTACATAAAAATTAAAGCAGAAATTTTAAAAAAACTTTGTGAAATTAGTGAAAATACTAACAAACGCAAGACAGCTTACCAAAATCGCTGGGATACAGCTAAAGTGATGTGAGGAGGAAAGTTTAAAAGACTAAATGCCATCATCAAGAAGTTAGAAAGATCTCAAAGTAACAATCTAACTTGCATCTCAAGAAACTAGAGAGAAAAAAAAAAGAACAGACCAACCCCAAAGCAAGCAAAAGAAAAGGAATAACTTAAATGGGAGAAGAACTAAATGAAATTCAGGTGCAAAAATCCATATAAAGAACCAATAAAATCGAAATGTTTTTTCAAAAGAACAAATAAGATTGATGGACTACTAGCTAGATTAACAAAAAAAGAAGATCCAAATAAGTACAATCAGAAATGACAAAGATAACATTATAACTGATTCAACAGAAATGCAAAAGGTCCTCAGAGACCACTATGCACATGAATTAGAAAATCTAGAAAAAATGGACAAATTCCAGGAAACACACGGTCTCTCGTGATTGTATCAGAAAGTGATTGAAACCCTAAATAGACCAATATCAAGTTCTGAAATTGAATAAGTAACATAATACCTGCCAACCAAAAGAAAGCCTGGATGAAACGGATTCACAGCCAAATTCTACCAGATGTATGAAAAAGAACCGGTACTAATCCTACTGAAACTATCCCAAAAAATCAAGGACAGGCTCCTCCTTAATGCATTTTGTGAAGCCAGTGTTAGCCTGACAACAAAATCTGCAGCACTGCAATGAAAAAAGAAACCTTCAGGGCAATATCCATGATGAACATAGATATGAAAATCCTTCACAAAATACTAGCAAACTATAGCCAGAAGCACATCGAAAAGTTAACTCACCATGATCAAGTAGGTGTTATTCCTGAAATTCAAGGTTGGCTCAACACACATAAATCAATACATGTAATTAACCTCATAAACAGGATTAAAAGCAAAAAACATAGAATTGTCTCAGTAGACACAGAAAAAGCTTTTGATAAAATCCAACACCCCTTTATAATAAAAACTCTCAACACATTAAATATCAAAGGAACATATCTCAAAATAATAAGAGCCATTTATAACAAATCCATAGCCAACATTACACTGAACAAGCAAAGGCTGGAATCATTACCCCTAAGAACTGGAACAAGACAAGGATGACCATTCTCACAACTATTTAACATAGTACTAAATGTCCTAGTCAGAGAAATCAAGCAAGAGAAAAAATAAAAGGCATCTAAATATGAAAAGAAGAAATCAAATTTTCTTTGCTGATGAGATGACTCTGTATCTCAAACACTGAAGAGTCCACCAAAAGGCTCCTAGAACTGACAAACACCTTTAGCAAAGTTTCAGAATACAAAATCAATGTACAAAACTGAGTAGCATTTCTATCCACCAATAATGTCCAGGCTGAAAGTCAAATCAACAGTATGAACCCATTTACACTAGCCACAAAGAAAATGAAATACCTAGGAATACAGCTAACCAAGGAGGTGAAAGATCTCTACCAGGAGGACTATACAAAACACTGCTGAAAGAAATCAGAGACAATGCAAATAAATGCCAAAACATTCCATGCTCATGGATTGAAAACATCAATATTGTAAAAATAGCCATCCTGCTCAAAACAATGTACAGATTCAATGCTATTCCTATCAAACTACCTCAATCCTTTTTCACAGAATTAGACAAAACTACCAAAATCCATATAGAACCAAAAAGGAACCCAAATAGCCAAAGAAATCTTTAAAAACAAAGCCAGAGGCATCACATTACCTGAATTCAAACTACGTTATTATGCTACTGTAACCAAAACAGCATGGTACTGGTACAAAAATAAACAAATAAGCCAGTAGAACAAAACAGAAAACTCAGCTATAAAGCTACATACCCACAGCCACATAATCCTCAAAATGGATGACAAATAAAAGCAATGGGGAATGGAGTCTGTATTTAATAAATGGTGCTGGAATAACTGGCTAGCCATATTCAGAAGAATGAAACTGGACCTCTACCCTTCACCATACACAAAAATTAACTAAAGATGAGTTAAAGATTTAAATGTAAGACCGCAAGCTATAAAAATCCTAGAAGAAATCTTAGTAAATATCCTTCGCAACATCAACCTTGGCTAATAATTTTTGGCAAAGTCCCCAGAAGCAATTGCAACAAAAACAAAAGTTGACAAGTGGGGCCTATTAAACTAAAGAACTTCTTCACACCAAAAGAAACTATAAACAGAACAGACAACCTACAGAATGGAAGAACATATTTGCCAACTGTACATTCAACAAAAGTCTAATACCCAAAATCTATACAAACTTTAAAAAGCAACAAGCAAAAAATAACCCTTTTAAAAAATGGGCAAAGGACTTTTGAGCAGAAATTTCTCCACATAAGACATACAGATTGCCAATGAACATGTGAAAAAGTGGTCATGCTCACTAATCATCAGAGAAATGCAAACCGAAACAACAGTAAGATACCATTTAGCAGCAGTCAGAATGGTTATTATTAAAAACTCAAAAAAAATTCTGATGCAAGCAAGGCTGCAGAGCAAAGGGAATGCTTATATGCTGTTGGTGGAAATGTAAATTAGTTCACACAGGAAAGCCATTTGGAGATTTCTCAGAGAACTTAAAACACAGCTACTGTTTAACCCAGGATTCAACCCAAAGGAAAACTAATCATTATACCAAAAAGACACATGTACTCACATGTTCATCATCGTGCTGTTCACAATAGTAAAGACATGGAATCAACTTAGGTGCCCATCAATGATGTATTGGATGAAGAAAAATGTGGTACATATTCACCATAGAATACTATAATATGTAGCCATAAAAAAGAATGAAATCATGTCTTTTTTAGAAACATGGATGGAGCTAGAGGCCATAATCCTAAGTGAATTAACACAGAAACAGGAAACAAAATACTTTATGTTCTCACTTACAAGAGGGAGCTAAACTTTGAGCACATATGGACATAAACATTGGGACAATAGACACTAAAGACTACTAGAGAGTGAAGGGAGAGCGACATGGGTTGAAAATTACTATTGGGTACTGTGCTCACTAGCTGAGTGATGGGATTTTTACCTTAAACCTCAATATCACATAATGTGCTCTTATAAGAAAACTGTCAGATAGGTAGACTGCAAAAATTTTCCCTCATTCTGTAGGTTGCCTGTTCACTCTGATTTTAGTTTCTTTTGCTATGCAGAAACTCTTTAATTAGATCCCATTTGTCAATTTTGACTTTTGTTGCGATTGCTTTTGGCATTTTCATCAGGAAGTCTTTACCCATGCCTATGTCCTGAGTGGTATTGCCTAGGTTTTCTTCTAGGGTTTTTATGGTTTTGGGTTTTACATTTAAGTCTTTAATCCATCTTGAGTTAATTTTTGTATAAGGTGTAAGGAAAGGGTCCAGTTTCAGTTTTCTTCATATGGCTAGCCAGTTTTCCCAACACCATTTATTGAACAGGAAATCCTTTTCCCATTGCTTATTTCTGTCAGGTTTGTTGAAGATCAGATGGTTGTAGATGTCTGGTGTTATTTCTGAGGTCTCTCTTCTGTTCCATTGGTCTATACATCTGTTTTGGTACCAGTACCATGCTGTTTTGGTTACTGTTGCCTTGTAGTATACTTTGAAGTCAGGTAGCATGATGCCTCCAGCTTTGCTCTAATATCCGGAATCTACAAGAAACTAACAAATTTACAAGAAAAAAAACCAAACAACTCCATCAAAAAGTGGGCAAATCATATGAACAGACACTTCTCAAAATAAGACATTTACATCACCAACAGAAATATGAAAAAAAGCTCAACATCACTAATCATTAAAGAAATCCAAATCAAAACCACAATGAGATACCATCTCATGCCAGTCAGAATGGTGATTATTAAAAAGGCAAGAAATAGTAGATGCTGGTGAGGCTGTGGAGAAATAGGAATGCTTTTACACAGTTGATGGGAATGTAAATTATTTCACCCATGTGGAAGACGGTGTGGCAATTCCCCAAGGATTAGAACCAGCAATACCATTTGACCCATCAATTCCATTACAGAGTATATACTCAAAGGAATATAAATCATTCTGCTATAAAGACACATGCACATGCATGTTTACTGCAGCACTATTTACAATAGCAAAGATATGGAACCAACCCAAATGCCCATCAACGATAGACTAGATAAGGAAAATGTGATACATATATACCATAATACTATGCAGCCATAAAAAGGAATGAGATCATGTCCTTTGCAAGGACATAGATGAAGCTGGAAGCCATTATCCTCAGCAAACTAACAAGAAGCAGAAAACCAAACACTGCATGTTCTCACTCATAAGTGGGAGTTGAGAATACATGGACACATGGGGGGAAACAACACACAACAGGGCCTGTTTGGGGTTGGGGGGTGAACAGAGGGAACTTAGAGGATGGGTCAATAGGTGCAGCAAACCACCATGGCACATGTATACCTATGTAACAAACCTGCACGTTCTGCATATGTATCCTGTAAAATAAAAAATAAAATAAATAAAAAATAAATAAATAATAAAAAAGAAACAAGCACATGTGCCACCTGTATCTGAAATAAAAGTTGAAATTTAAAAAAAAAGATTTTCAGTGCAGACATATTATCCAAATATAGTAAATGCTCCATAAACAGTTGGTGTATAAATGGAACTCCTGCTAAGTGAGGGAAGTTGTTGACAATTAGGAATTAGAAATCACCATTGAACCTAATTAACTTGCATAAGTTTGTTTTTTTTTCCCCTGAAGAGTATTTCAACTCAACTTTTATTTCCTCTTGCTTTTTTTTCTTAATGTATTATATTCTAACTTCTATTGGTTTCAAAAGAAAAACCAACAGAAATCTCAATAACTTAAGAGTAACAACTAAAAAGCTTTTGAAAGGAACATTTTTTGATGTTTAATTACTGGACCAAATAATAACTGAAAGACATCCGAGCAGCTAACATTTTAAGAGACTGTGTCTTCAAGAAGATGCTGGTTTTTATATACAGAACTTCAATGTCATGTGGTTGCAAAGAATGTTGTACGTGGAGTCAAGGCTGGAGGTAGGGAAGGATACAAGTGCCCATTTGTATTACTTAGGATTGTCCAGAGCAGCAGTACCAGTAGAAAATGTATATATAGATAAGAGAGTTATTTTAAGGAAATGACTCATGTGATTATGAAGACTGGAAAATCCAAAATATGCAGGGTGTGTCAGCAGGCTAGAGAACCAGAGAAGAGCCAGTGCTGCAGTTCAAGTCAAAAGGCAGTCTGCTGCAGAATTCCCTCCTATTTGGGAGAAGTCAGTCTTATGTTCTATTTATTACAGGTCTTTAGCTCATTGGATGAGTCCTTACCACATCATGAAGGACAATCTGCTTTACTCAAAGCCCACAAGTTTAAATGTTTATCACATCTGAAAACCTTCATAGAAACACCAAGACAAATATTTGTTTACAAATCTGGGAGCCATGGCCTGGACAAGTTGATACATCAAATTAACCATCCCACTGATAAAGTATGTTAATATAATTATTTGTACTTTATTTTGAGAGTAATTGGTTGGTTTTTGCAAACAAGCAGGTGTTAAGATTTGCATTTTAGAAAAGTCTTATTGGTAGTAACAATGAAGGCCAGAGGCCAGAAGGAAGTTGGATGACAGTTAAAAGCATTGCTTTAGTTCGAGGAAAAAGCAACAAGAAACTGAATTAGGGTTGATGGAGGAGCAAAGGAGAGAGATATTTACTAGACTGAATAGAAAAACGTGGTGAATATTTATATAAGGGAGGTGAGAAATAGTGAAGAATTTGTTACTCTGTATTGAGTAACTGAAGAGAAAGTTGTTCTCATAAAAATAACTAAGAGAAAAAGGTTTTATGACACATTATGAGCTCAGTGTCATTTATATTTAAATCACAGTAATTCATTTTTTGTATGATCTAATTCAAGAGAAAGATGAAAAGAGTAAATTTGACCAGGGCAAGCCAGGTGGTTGGTTATAATGCCTAGAAATAAAAACTAATCACTAAAAATTAGCCATTTATAATGTGTAGACAACTTATATTCCTCTCTAGAGATTAAAATAAACTAATTAGAGCAATTTTTCATCCATTCTTCATGAACTGAAAGGGTCTTTGTTCTGATCTTTCAAAAGATAATACAGTCTAGCCTTTAAAGCTGTCTAGAATATAGTTGAGGGTTATTTTTAGTCAACACATTAGACACATTGCTGGAGTCTGCATTTCTCATCAAAGAATATGAATAGGCAGTAAATTCAAAGCACAAAAACTGCCATGAAAGAGAAGACTAATAAGGAAGAATTGTCATTTACTTTCAAATCCACATGGTTTATTTTAAATGGAGCTAGAAAGTATTTGAATTAGGCAATAAAATACATATCTGTAATGCTACCTTTTTCAAAAACCCTTTTCTGTTTGGGTCTTTCTTCTTATTCCAATGTGTATATTTAACACAAATAAATAAATAAATAAATAAAATCCACAGTAAGCATTTTCAATGAACTCATTCTGAAATTTAAATTTTGTAAGTCACCTGAAATTATTTTAACAATATCTACTAGTGAAGTGTAAGACGATATTACACCAAGATTATGTAATTCTTCAGAATTCAATTTTTGAAAATTTAGGAAACTTTATTTCTTTACCAGAGTGATTGTGAGCAACAATGACTTGGGGAACTGGGAGGAAGTTTGGATTGGTTATCTGACTTGCTTGGGTTAAAAAAAAAATCACTAATTTCAATAATTGGTGATAGTACCATTTATGAAAGTATCACCTGTGGCCACATAAAATGCAATGGTCAAGGAGGACAATACTTTGAGAGACTAAGTGGCTACTACCATGAAAACCTATGAAAAGTATATCAACCTCAGCTTTTGCACTACGCATCTGTTCCCTTGCTTTGCTTTCTCGACAGAGTAATCATAGCAAAGGTTGCCTCGTACCTGAGACAATAGAAACAGGTTATTAATTTCTACTATCACTACAGCCACATATCACAGATCCCTGCAGATGGCACTGACTGGTGACGAGCCTGCATGCCTCTGGCCCAGCTCTTCTGGATTGCATTTACTCTGGAGAGGCTAAATGAGGTGATCTGGACTTGTGGGGAGGCAAGATCACTCCATGTGGGGCTGGAGGGAACCCAAGGATGAATTCTTCTTCTTTATTCCCTTCAGATTGATTGTTCTGAAATACAGTCATTCGGATGCCCCTATTAAGACTCATCCCACTCAGAGCAAGCAGTTATGCTTGCTGTCAATCTTCAGTGGGCACAGTAACACTCCCAGCCATATTTTCCCTCCTTACTTTCTTACATTGCTTTCTTCCTAGGATTATGCTCCCTAATAAAGTTTTAACACATAAGCTTTGCTTCAGGATCTGTTTTTTAGGGAATCTTGAGAAAGACAAAGAGGTTAAGAAATTCAAGTTCCCTGGTGTGAGATATTTGCTCCTAATATGACAAGTACCTCGGAGCTGTGCTCCAAGGTGAAAACAGGGGCAGTCCATAAATGTGCTCATAGTTTTCATTCTACTTAGGCTTAGACGAGCTGAAAACCAAACCAGCTTTTAGAATGTCAGGTTTTAGCATCAGCTGAATTCACAGCTTCCTCAAATCTCTTGTAAATCAAGGCTATTGATTCAGGAAACAGAGAATAATGGAATATGTGTGTCTAAAAATAACAAAAAGATGCACCGATCATGGAACCCACCACCTGCAGTGAGCATATCTTGCCAGATGAAGTAGTCTATTCTCTTAGTCTAAGAAGGCTGTCCCTCGTTTTCTTTAACAATCCTTAGTAATTTCACAAGTACAGATTGAGGTCTTTTGTTTTTTGTTTTTCAAAGAGCAGCCAGAATGTAAGAATTTGTGTGACCCACGTCAATTCTCTTCCAAATCTTCTCGCAGCTCCCATTGGATTGTTGTTTGCTCCACCACTGGAATAAAACCACCCTCCAAATGAGGAGCTCGGTGCAGGTGATGGAAACATGAACTGAGTCATGGAAAGGGAAATGAGACAATTTATCCTTCAAACTAAAACACTTCCAAGAGTATCGAAGACACCCCAGGTACTTCAAATGATTTCATTTCTAAATACCTATTTGTTAGTTCAAATTTTACTTCTATAGTGGACCTATAGAACAATGTTCAAAATTATCTTAGGTATAAAATTCTATCTATAAACAATACATGCATGCATATCCACACATAAGCACCCTCAGTAAAATAACATTAGCTGCTTATTTCTATCTAGTATGTAAACATTAAAAATGGCTGTGTTGGTACCTGCTTATGATTTCTTTTTTTCTTTCTTTTTTTTTTTTTTTTTGAGACCGAGTCTTGCTCTGTCACCCAGGCTGGAGTGTAGTGCCGCGATCTCGGCTCACTGCAAGCTCCGCCTCCTGGTTTCACGCCATTCTCCTGCCTCAGCCTCCCGAGTATCTGGGATTACAAGCGCCCGCCACCACGCCTGGCTAATTTTTTTATTTTTAGTACAGACGGGTTTTCACCATGTTAGCCAGGATGGTCTCGGTGTCAGACCTCGTGATCCGCCCGCCTGGGCCTCCCAAAGTGCTGGGATTACAGGCATGAGCCACCACGGCCGGCCTCATGGTTTCTATTGTGTGCTTTAATTTATATATATATATATATATTTTTTTTTTTCATAATATGCTACTGGTTTTATTTCTAGAAGTTTTTTCAATGTTTTTACTTTAATGTTTTTATAGAATAACCAATGGCATATTCTGGAAAGTTGCAGTATATGGTTGACAAATTATTTCCACATCTTATTATTTTCAACCAAGAAATATTCACTCTTCAGGCGCTGAGATGTGGTGAATGCAGGGCAAAGTTTATTAAATGGAAGATATTTTCAATTCTTTCTTTCTTTTTGCATCGAAATGGATGGATATATCAACCTAAATATTTTTCATAGTTGCTATTTTTTGCCTTTCTTCAGATAAACTTTCTTCAGCAAATATGAACGTAATGCCTAATTTAGATGCTGCAAACTCATAGGGCTTTCACAATTTCATTTCAGTCTGTTACAGAATATAAATTTGTCCTATTAAAAATGAGGGCTCTTTCAAAACAAAAACCCTCTCACAAGACAATATATTACAAAGCCAATTATAGGACTTCAGAATAAATCTTTTACACAGTTTGAGCTCCCTTTGTATAAATTATCCAAATTCTCTCATGCTTTTATAAGGGGAAATTTTTCAGTGTCTCCTTGTTTGCAATCTTTGTTTTCAATAATTGGTATTTATTTCCTATAAGTTTCAAAAGCTCAATGTTTGAGGTATTCTATTGAATTTTCTAATTCATTTACAGATTTCCAAGTAATGTTTAAAAATAATGATAAATAAGAATGAATTTATCTAGAAGTATGTTCAATAATATAATATATTTTTATTATTATTATATGTAGAGTATCCTTCACATTCTCAAACATAATCTAAGAGTCTATATTGCGATGCTAAAGGCTTTTTTTAATAAATTATCAACTTCATCACAAAAATACTGTAATTTGTTTAGTTTCATCATGTATGTAAGCATGTGTATACATACCCATGAATGAGTGATTTTTGTAGAAAATCAGTTTCAAATAATTAAGTGTATTATTTGAATTATTTGATTCTTAATCCAGTATAGATGATCTCATCTTTACAAACACTAAATTTTGTTTTTGTACTATAAATCCAGGAACAATTCAATTCAATTTTTAGTATTGTATTAGACTTACAGTATCATTTACGAAATATTAAAGGTTGTACTGTTGACTTTATGAACTTTCTAAATTTACTGTGATTCCATGAATTGGCTGTTTTATTTTAACTAACAAAACTGATTTCCTATTTTAAGCATCTGATGACACTGCTTAAAACATAATATCATTTAACTATTTGTAAATGCTTCTTTTGAACGTAATGAAGCCAACACATTAACCAATATTTATTAATGTTTATATATGCTTAAGAAAAACTTTGCAGGCTGGGAGCGGTGGCGCATGCCTGTAATCCCAGCTCTTTGGGAGGCCGAGGCAGGTGGATCACTTGAGGTCAGGAGTTCAAGACCAGCCTGGCCAAAAAGGTGAAACCCCGTCTCTACTAAAAATACAAAAAATTAGCTGGGTATGGTGGCACGTGCCTGTAATCTTAGCTACTCGTGAGGTTGAGGCAGGAGAATTGCTTGAACCCGGGAGGCAGAGGTTGCAGTGAGTTGAGATCACAGCACTGCACTCTAGCCGGGGGGATAGAGTGAGACTCCCTCTCAAAATATAAATAAAATAAAATATAAATAAAATAAAATAAAAATTGAAAACTAAATAAATAAAACATAATTTAAAAAACTTTGCATCAAAAATAATTGAAAATTAGAAAACTAGGTAAAACTTATTCTTCTAATACAATATGTAAAAGCATTTTTAGCAACTATTTGTTTCAAATTATCTTTCTGGGTATAAATTTTATTTCCTTTCTTTTTCCTTCTTTTCTATTTTCTTCTTCTTTTTTGTTGTTTCTTGGACTATTCAGGATTTTAATAGAATCTTGAACTAAATTTGTTAGATTATCAAGTGTGTAAGATATAAGCAAATATAAATATGTAAGTTCGCATTTGATCAATTGTCTTCCCTTAAAAATAATTCATTCTTCCTAGACTTGTAAGTATTCTCAGCTATGTATCTTCAAATATGTTGAAATATAATTTTTTAAATTTCCTAATCTGTAGGTAATTCCTCTTTCTCATTAATGACACCGTCATTGTACCATTGTTATTTTTCCTTCCTTCCTCCCTGTCCATTCCTTTCTTGCTCTCTTTTTCCCATTCTCTCTCTCTCTCTTTTTCTATTTCTCTTTCTCTCTTTAAAAAGTTTTCCAAAATATAATCTATATTTCTCATCTCATTCAGAAAAAGTCTGGATAACATTTATTATTAAATTTTATAATTCATACATGTTTATATTCAGTTATTAGAATGGTTCCTTTTTTTAATTTAGAATTTATTTACTTATTTTCTAGCTCCTTTGTACTGAATATTTCTTATATTTTAGAAGTTTTAGCACACGTGTGCTGTATGACAAAAAGCATATTAGATGCTGGGGAGGTCACAGATTTTAATGCTTAACTACAGATTTTCAAGTAGATGCTGATGCTTTTTCTGCAGATTTATGTCTCCCTACTGTCATTTGCTTAAATGACATGACTATAGCCTACTGGTGAATATTGTATGCAAGGCCTATGTTTATTCTTGTTGTCCTGAGAAGTAGAAAAATCAATACTTAATGTTTTCTTAAATACGACATTAAGCATCTTGCTATCAAGTTATTTCATTGCAAAATAAAAATGTATCTATAACGATAAAATAAATACCTGCAGATTTCCACTCTGTAATAAATAATAAATCCGTTGTAGCAAGATCACTCACATTACTTTCTGTAAGTTGTTCTGCAACACTGCGCAGACACTCTTCTCTGCTGATACATACATTGGAGATTTCCCATATGTCCTGCTGATCCTGCTTATGGGAAGACTTGTGGCTTGTAACTAAGCCATGATACAGCAGGCTGGAGCACCACGTGGCTGACAGGGGCAGCAATATCAAATAAACCTCCCAGACCACCCAAGTACCAAAAAGGTCTCATTTTCTGTTTTTTGTTTTGTTTTGTTTTTGTTTTTGTTTTTTGTTTTTAACTATAAGCATAATTTATTTTATCAATTATGCCCTTCATGCTATTCTTGAAAGGTTGGTGTTAGTTACTTTGCATCTGGGAAGTTATTACTGGAGACAATTCAAATTTATCATCCTGTTAGTAAAGTGTTCCACACAGCACTGGTCAAAACCATAACTCATGTTGGATACAATGGAACCTCAATAACCTACTAATGTTCTGAATGTTTCATTAAATAAGCACATTGAAGCTTATTGCTATCGAGTTATTTTGTCAGGTTATATAACATTTAATAACAATACTATTTTTTAAATTGGAAATAAATGTGTCAGAAGGCGACCAGGATGACAGGTGTAAACCATAATTGTTCTGAGCTATGCAGAGTGTATAGTCATCCTAGTAGTGAAACAGAGAAATAGAAACTTTGGCTAAAGTCTGCCTTTCAGTCAGGTGCAGACAAATATCTTTACCTTCTTCATGTATTTCTGTATATTGCCTTATGAACTACTTTATTGTGCATACATTTTTTAATTCAATTTCCTCTTTTGCCATATTTTTTGTTCACTGTTTCATCTAGGTAGACACTGTCTTTGTAGAGATTCATTTTTTTATACAACCCATTGGTTAGAGAATATTGAAATGAGAATTGATGTCACTCAGTTATTCTGCAACCTGGGATAATCCCTAAACAGATGGATGAGAATTTTAGTTGTTCTATGTTTGAGTTAAAAACATTTCTTGTTATTCAAATGAGAGTTCCATATATGTATATGTAGAAGTATTTATGTAATATTGGATAGTCAAACAGATGGACTTCAGCACATTTATTATATTTGTCACTGAAGCTTCTGACATCTTATATTTTATTTGGGTAATTTCCAACTTCTGAGACTTGGGGAGTGGGAAGTAAGCAATTTTGCCACTTTAGAAATAAAAAATATTAGAAGTTTCCCTTTCCAGACTTTCTTATAGCTAAGGAACCTGCACAGATGCTAGGCTTCATTCATCGGATGTATTGATAGATTTTATAACAGTACTCAGTGATTTAAAGAAACTGGAAAATAAAGATTTCTCATTCGCATCAACGGTCACTATAGCAAACTGTATTTCCTGATGAGTAGTGGCTAGGACCAATTCTACTGGGGAGGAAGCTGGAGGGTGTAACATTCAATGTTAGCAGCAGATCTATCCTGTATCTACCAGTTCTGTAGTAAACTTTTTGTCATAATTCTCCACTGGATTTTCTTCATGTCCAGCTCTCTGGCTCATCTAGCTACAGGTGACATACTCAGGTTATTTCAGCACACTTTTTCCTTTTTGAATAACATACAATTGATTCCTGTTGCATCTAACTAAGAATCCAGACACTACATACTTCAGTAGTTATTCTTAGAAATAAGACTCAAGAATATATGATGACTTTTGTCTATAATGCACAAACAATGTTACAAAGTCCTTTTTTCCTTAGATAACTGTTTTATAATGTTTTTGTCTCACTACAGGCTTAGAGGAAAAAACAATATCCCACTAGAGTAAGTTCTGTCTTTAAATACAATCTTTTAAATTCTGGGTAGAGCAGTCACCAGCCTTTGCATCAGCAAGGAATCACAAATAAATAGAGCGGTGTTGATTTATATGGTAAGTTATCCCTAAGAATCTATGATCAGGAATTTCACTTTGCACGTCACAAACAATTCTTCCCATAAATATAACCTAGACATTATTTATTCTCCCCAAAGATTCACACTTGAGCCACTATTAGAAATTTCCCAACTCCCTCAGTCAGGTGGTTGCCTTTTCGTGGAGCATGTGCTACCTACCCCAGGTGTTCTAGAACAGTTTTAGAGCAGGCACTTCAGATGACTTGCCACATGCATTTCCTTGGGAAGTGTTCCTTTCATTCCTATGTAAGAATATCTGGTGAACAAAACCTTTGTACCTTTATGTATCTCATTCTGGATACTATTGACACCTGTGTTTTCCTGATCCAGTGAACAAAATAGTGAACAAAAAAGAGGGATTGGTTTGCGAACCATAATGACTGGAGTCATTTTGATCTGCAAGTTACCATGAACCTAATTACATCTGCCCTTTATGTCTAACGCAATTACAGCAGGTTTTCTTAATTCCTTGCAGAGACAGAGAAACCCAGTGAAAACAAATTTTGAATATCAGTGAGCTATAAGATGTATTGTTGGTGGATTTTCCTCACCCAACTACTCAGAATAGTTCATAAAATTATTGGAAAATCTATCTCTTCTCCCTAGGAAATGTAAACATTTCACAAATAATCAGCCTCTATTGGAAGAGCTAACCCTATACCTAAGATAAGAAATTCATCATAAAATGTGTTATTTTTTGTTCCATTCATGAGATTGATTTAAATAAGTGGTAAACCACACTCAAATATATATCTTTTTCTTTGACTATTCCGACTCCAGTGATTACAGTGTTTGCTAAACAAATTCTCTGTTCATTCCATGCTGGCTTTTCCACTCTACATAATGTTCACAAGATTACAGGACAAATGTCATTTTCAGATATTTTTGGATTAGAATTGATTAGAGTATTAGTACCTTTATAAATGAATTACCTTTGGACCATGGCCTGTCTTGTCTGATTGCATCAATTTGTGTGACATTTTGCAAAGCAAATCCGTTATTAACCTTCCAGTCCAGTCTACTGTGTTAGGTAACCTGTAATAACCCTTTGCAAACATAAAATATAGTAATGGATTTATTAAAAACTGGAAGCCATATATAGAGAGGTGAGTTGCATAAGAATATGAAAACCAACTGAAATCACGTGGCACTAAATTTGATGTTATGATGCCTGTATTTATAGCAGCTATTTAGTATTCATTGTTCCTATAGCACTAGGAGTGTTGTGTCATGTGTCTCTGTGGGTACAGGCCTGGAAATGGAAAGTAAAGTTGAAAAGAAAATTTAAGAGATTTTACCTGCAAAATTAATGCTGCTGGTGTGTAATAACCATGGACCAGTGGGCCAAAATGAGAAAGTAGAAGACGCAAGCTAATTTAAATTTGGTTATGTGACTGTAGATACATGTGAATATTTTCAAATATTTATCTCTTAGTGGATTAGAAAGGATTCCTATAATTTAATTTGACAGTATCTTGTTGCTTTGTAACATTAACTTTTAATGTTTTCATGGTCTCTATATATTTAACTTTCTTCATAAATCTACTTTAGAATATTTTAATTGTTCATTCAATCTTCAGTATAAATACTCCAGTGTCTTATTTCTCTCAAAATTTTACCAGGTTTTTTCTCACTTACACGTTGCAAAAATTTTATTTTAATGTGAACCGAATTGTCTTCTGCCATCATCTTTTTTGTTACACCATGACAGTAAAAAAATCGCCAGCGGTGTCATTTTACATGTACTTTCTTTTAGATAAAATATTTTAAGCATTTTATTAAGATTATCTTCAAACATATGCAAAATATATAAAATATTACAGTGATCCCACATACTCAACACTCTGTTTCAACCATTACCAATATCTTCACTTGATATTAGCCAAAAGGCTGAGTAGCAATCACAATTACCAATATCTTAATGTTTTGTTGCATCACATACATTTAAGAAATATTTAACGTTTAAGAAATAAACCAAAATGCACTTGAGTAACAATTTTTATGATCCCTGTATATGAAAAATAAATACAATAATCCCTAATAAACATAAATTTAGTGTTAACTGTTTGCATATTCAAGTAACTATTTGTTACTATTCCTGTCTCAAGGGCAAGTGGTTTCTCTGTGGAGAACTGATATATGTATATTTATGTACATGTTATTCTACATTTCTCTATCTGTATATATGTTTAAGTCACTATATGAGAAAGTCATTAGAAGGCCTCAAATGAGTATATATAGACCAGAAAATACACATAAACAATGAAGGGGATATAGTTCTCCTCCCTGAAGAGGTCCTTCACATCCTTTGTAAGTTGTATCCCTAGGTATTTTATTTTCTTTGTAGCAATTGGTAAATAAGAGAGGACACAAACAACTGGAAAAACATTCCATGCTCATGGATAGAAAAATCAATATTGTGAAAATGGCCATACTGCCCAAAGTAATTTATAGATTCAGTGCTACTCCCATCAAGCTACTAATGACTTTCTTCACAAAACTAGAAAAAACTACTTTAAATTTCATATGGAACCAAAAAAGAGCCTGTATAGCCACGACAATCCTAAGCAAAAAGAAAAAGGTGGAGACATCATGCTACCCAACTTCAGACTATAACACAAGGCTACAGTAACTGAAACAGCATGGCATTGGTACCAAAACAGTTATATACACCAATGGAACAGAACAGAGGCCTCAGAAATAACACCACACATTTACAAACATCTGATTTTCAACAAACCTGACAAAAATAAACAATGGGGAAAGAGTTCCCTATTTAATAAATGGTACTGGGAAATCTGGCTAGCCATATGCAGAAAACTGAAACTGGACCCCTTCCTTACACCTTATACAAAAATTAACTCAAGATGGATTAAAGACTTAAATGTAAAACCTAAGACCATGAAAACCCTAGAAGAAAACCTAGGCAATACCATTCAGGACATAGCCATGGGCAAAGACTTCCTGATGAAAAATGGCAAAAGCAATTGCAACAAAAGCCAAAATTGACAAATGGGATCTAATTAAAGTAAAGAGCATCTGCACAGCAAAAGAAACTATCATCAGAGTGAACAGGCAACCTACAGAATAGGAGAAAATTTTGGCAATCTATCCATCTGATGAAGGGCTAATATCCAGAAATCTACAAGGAATTTAAACAAATGTACAAGAAAAAACAAACAACCCCAACAAAAAGTGGGCAAAGAATATGAACA
This sequence comes from Homo sapiens, assembly GCF_000001405.40. Lineage (NCBI taxonomy): Eukaryota > Metazoa > Chordata > Mammalia > Primates > Hominidae > Homo > Homo sapiens. The sequence goes on along the minus strand of NC_000021.9, from coordinate 18,821,727 downwards.
GATGGTTCTCAAAAGAAGACATTTATGCAGCCAACAAACATATATAAAAAAAAAGCTCATCATCACTGGTCATTTGAGAAATGCAAATCAAAACCACAATGAGACACCATCTCATGCCAGTTAGAATGGCAACCATTAAAAAGTCAGGAAACAACAGATGTTGGAGAGGATGTGGAGAAATAGGAATGCTTTTACACTGTTGGGAGTGTAAATTAGTTCAGCCATTGTGGAAGACAGTAAGTTTATTCCTCAAGGATCTAGAACCGGAAATACCTTTTGACCTAGCAATCCCATTACTGGGTATAGACACAAAGGAATATAAATCATTCTACTATAAAGACACATGCACATGTATGTTTACTGAAGCACTATTCACAATAGCAAAGACTTGGAATCAACCCAAATGCTTATCAATGATAAACTGGATAAAGAAAATGTGGCACATGTATACCATGGAATACTATGCAGCCATAAAAAGGATGAGATTATGTCCTTTACAGGGACATGGATGAAGCTGCAAACCATCATTCTCAGCAAACTAACACAGGAACAGAAAACCAAACACCACATGTTCTCTCTCATAAGTGGGAGTTGAACAATGAGAACACATGGACACAGGGAGGGGAACATCACACACCGGGATCTGTTGAGGGGTGAGGAACAAGGGGAAGGAGAGCATTAGGACAAATACCTAATGCATGTGGGGCTTAAAAGCTAGGTGATGGGTTGATGGGTGTGGCAAACCACCATGGCACATGCATACCTATGTAACAAACCTGCACTTTCTGCACATGTATCCCAGAACTTAAAGTATAATAAAAACATAATATTAATTTTTAAAAAAAGAATGAAAGGGATATAGGGGGACATATTTAAAGAAAATATAAAATTGGCCAGGCTCGGTGGCTCACGCCTGTAATCCCAGCACTTTGGGAGGCCGAGGTGGGCGGATCACAGGGTCAGGAGATCGAGACCATCCTGGCTAACCCGGTGAAACCCCATCTCTACTAAAAATACAAAAAATTAGCCAGGCGTGGTGGTGGGCACCTGTAGTCCCAGCTACTCGGGAGGCTGAGGCAGGAGAATGGCGTGAGACCAGGAGGCGGAGCTTGCAGTGAGCCGAGATAGCGCCACTGCACTCCGGCCTGGGCAAAAGAGCAAGACTCCGTCTCAAAAAAAAAAAAAGAAAAAAAAAGAAAATATAAAATTTAAAAACAAGTAAGATATGGTTGATTCTATAATGCACTGCCTGGGTCTGCCTCAGGACTGAAAGACTTGCCTTTGGCTATTAGGGATGCTAGCAGCTGACAGCCTCCAATGTGAGAAAGCTCTGGAAAGTGTTGCCTGGCCTAAGGCCAGATTCCCTTTTTTGGGGCAGCCCATATTTAATGATGAATGGATATAGTGGGAGTGTGAAGGCCCAGCCCCTTGGCCACAATGTGCAAGCTTCACTGTACTCAAGGGGCTGGCTGAAGACTTTGCTGAGTTTTCTTCACAGCCCACCTTTTCTCTTTCCCAATCCTGCTTCCTTTCCTTTCATTCCAAAGGAATCAATCCCAGGATCATACTCCATGAAACTACATTCATTTGAATACGCAATTCCAGTCTATTTTCAGGAAACACAATTTGCAAAATAAGAGTTGAGAAGTGATTAGGAGACTTCAAATCCATGGCCTTCAATTAGCAAAATAGAGACAAGATGGTTCTTTATGTTCTTGGGAGAAAAATAGATTTATTTAACTCAAAACCATGGCTTGTGTTTAAAAGGAAACACTTTTTTATTTTATTTTTTGTTCTATTCATGAGACTGATTTAAAATAAGTGGCAAACCACATTCAAATATATATCTTTTTCTTGACTATTCTGACTCCAGTGATTAGAGTGTTTGGTATAAAATTCATGAACAACCTGCATTAAGTTCTAATTCCTAGACCCTCTCAAATCTTTGTTTGTGTGTGTCAGGGGCAGAGGAGGCAGGGAGTTAGGATAGAAGAGAAATAGTGTGACCTTGAGTCTGCATATTTAAGAAGCTCCCTGGGAAATTGTACCCTGATGGAACACAAATCATTTGTAGCAAGTGAAGCAGAAGGGAAGACGATGCTTAGAGTCCATCAGATATTCTGGGAAGCTTCTTACTACAACTTTCATCTATATATTCATTCATTTATTGATATTTATTAGTCAGGTATTTATGTACTATCTATTTCATCTTTCATTACTGTTTTGAATGAGGTTGTGCTTTACATTTGAATTTAGTGTAAATAACAAGCCAAACAAACCATGGTCTATACCCACCAAAGAGGTTAATATGAAGACACAGATATGAAACTTGATGGGATTTTGTATCTCCTATTTTTGAAGAGATGAGAGGCTCTTCATTTGTATTATTTCTGGTAGCCCTAAGTGGGGAGAGGAACATGTAACTATTATATGAAAACTATAAACAAAGGAGGCAGAGTGAGCATATACAACCAAAGAAGAGAGAAAAATATTTGAGCCAGTCCGAAGACTGCTAAGTAGGGTTAACAATTTATACTCCAATAAAATCAAAACTAAATAAAACAAAACAACGGCAACAATAAAAACGGTTGAAAATTATTTGGTTCTCCTCTGATTCTGAAACTTGAAAAAGTTGAACAGGATGCAATATTAATTACTAAGCTTGCTTGAAGCAGGTCCACATATTAGCAGCCTGGTTTATTTAATCTCAAAAATCTTCCAATTTTTCTATCATCAGTTTTCAATGATTTAATATTATTTAAAAAATCAATACTTCTGTTTATAACCTCTATAATGTTTGACACCACAAGGGTATTTTTAAGGTCTGGAGGACAGGACTCAGTGAGTGCTCATATAAAACCAAAACAGTATTAGTTCTATAGCTGAAATGAATATTCCACATATTTTTTGTCTCCTTTAATTATCTCGAAAGTGTTAAGAACAACATTTTTTTCTGTCCCTCTAAAAGAACATAAACTAATGAGCACATAAACAAACAAGAAAAACAATTTTTAAAATCTTCAATTTGGGTGTATTTGTTGGTCATCTGAATATATTTTTAAACTTAGGATCAAAATAACAAAAATATAAATTCACCAGAAAAAATTATTTTCCTAAGCCAACTGAAATAATGTTGTCTTACATATATATGAACATTCCTAAAAATTAAAGAGGTACCTATGTATATTGATGACACGATTTCACCTCAACAACAACAAAAATTGACTTCTTTTGTAAATTCAAATTGTTTAAAGATTCTTGGGATGGAGATATTCTAAGATGGAGCTACAACAACAAAAAGGCTTACTACTTAGTGTCAGCGGTAAAATCAGTGAGAACTTATAAAGCACTCCAAAATTATATCATATATAAATGGGTTAATAGAATTCATTTTATGTGAGTCGTTTAAAACTTTAAAGTAGCTATTTCTAAAAAAAATTGTAGGTTTTAGTTTGTCCTCTCACTTCCTCAACTCATCAGCATTTGTTTCTTTTTCAAGAAATCCGCCACTGCCATTTTATTTTGACCTGCAAAAATAATCATCCTGAAGGTATATCCTATTCACAGCTTCGAATACTTTCTCACATTTTAATAAATACTTTTGTGAAAATTCCTCACTTTACACTTTCATTGTCTGAAAATAACTATTTTCTTATGACATTGACAGGCTGGTAAAGAAATACCTATGAGATGAAAATTATTAAGTAGCCTGACTTTAAAAAAAATTTAACCATGTAACAGAGATATTTGAATTTTTCTAACTGACCCAATCTTGCTAGTACATTGCAATTTTTTTTATCAAATAAGAAGGTGGGAGAAAAATTAGTTGCAAGGATAAAATTTTGACCAAGCAGTTAACAGAAAATATTTTGGTGAGTATTTTAGAGCTATCTTGGATTTATAAGCAAATGACTAGTGTGCAGTTGAACATTACTATCAGTTCAGTATATCACTGCTAAACTGAAAAAACAAAACAGAAAAAACAAAGGCTTTACTACTAACAATTGCCATCTTCAGGTATTACGTTTTGTGATAATGTACAAAGACATATTTCAAATTACCCATTTTTTTCTAAAAGATGTACTCCTATTTGAGAAGGAAAGACAGGAAATAAAACATCTACAAGTATTAAAGTTAATGAAGTATGCTATTACTGCTTTTATTCATACTATGCTTTAAAATCTTTTTCCTTGGAATTCACTTCTGGAAAGATGCTCCAAGAAATATAGGTCCCATAGTCAAATAAGTTTGGGCTATACCACATAATGTATTTCTTAGTGAATACTTAGGGAGCATTTCTGTGTTTTAAAGAAAGTTAAGTCTTATACCAAAGAAAACTACTTGTGCTTAACCCAGTGACATGCAATTTTATTTGAAACAAAACCTTGTTTTTAAATATTCCTGATATTACATAAACTAGTTTATGAAATATTTATTTATAAAGCCTGATATACCATATTTTGCACGATTGACATTTTCTACATAGCAATTCATATTTCTCCTATAATAATGAAAGCAAATGTTAGCTTGTGGCATCTATAATTAAATAAAAAGCAAAGCTATTTTTTCTGACTGGTTTCAAATGTTAATATACAAAATTATTTTAATATCACATGTTCCTGGGAATCTTGAAGTATACTGCTTAAAGATGCCTAAAAGGCTTGAAAAATCATGACTACAAGCAGCCTCTTTCAAAGATGAAGTACTTCATGAAGATGAAGTCTCCCGATTTGGCTCGACTGAAATGCTGCCTTCCACAGGAAATATTGAAATGATGTGATTAAATGGAACAGAATTCATTGGCTAGTGTGAATTTCATAAGAGTTGAATAAGAAATCCCATCCTGCTTTCAGATTGCTCATTGGTATTCGATGTTATGCTCTTACATGAAAACTTTAACTTAAAAACACCGGTGGATTTTCACTACTTCCATGAAAACTGAGTGCGTGTAACATATAATCAATCAATTACTGGAGATAAAATCTGGGGTTGAATTAAAAAAATTAATCAAAGTTTAGGTAGAGAGAACTTATCCAAAAATCATTTAAAAGACTGCCTGAGAAAGTTTTGCTGGGATTAAGAAGTGGGATTAAAGAAAAAGTAAAAATCGCCTCCTGAATTAATGTACAGTAAGATAAAACAGTGTAACTTATTGTATATTGATATATTAATTTTATGTGTAATAAAATTTGCTTTGCTTAAAAAAAAAAAAAAAAGACTGCCTGAGTTTGCCTGTCAGTGATAGAAGACCAAAAGTAGAGTTAAAATTGAGACATTTAGTTTCGGTGTAAGAGAACTTTATAACTTTTTGAATTATGAGGACTAAAACAACTTGAAGAGCTTATCCCTGCTCCCATTTCTTCTTCGCTTTTATTTGTATTTTCCCCTTTGTTCCCGGTATTGTACCCTGCAAAGAATTGAGACTGTCAAAGGTGTTGAATTAGGGATCTCAGAAATGGGGGCATGATTCTATGAAAACAGCCCTTTAGAAACGTCAGTTTTATTAGGACAAGCCTATTTCCAAGTAATAGACCTAGCACCTAAAATTCAGGAGCGCCACATGGCAAATAGATGAGGGAAAATAAAATTGCAGTAGATTAAGATTTATAGGCAAGTAATTTTCTACCTGATTTGTGTTGTATTGTCTTGAGCTGGAGTATTTTCTGTATATTTGCAGGTAATTTCAGCAACAGATTTATGTGTTCATCTAATTTAAACGTATGCCTTCATAAAATGTCCACTTACTTTATCTTCCTATAAATAGTGGCATTTTCTCCACTTCTTTATGAAGGAGTAGGTTAAAAAATAACATTTTTTTCATAAAATATATGTCTATTTAAGACTACTGCCATCCAGAGAGAGCAAAATCGTTCATAATAAGATCACAGAGATAAAGTTCAATCAATAACCAACCATAAGGATAAATGACACGTGGAGATTACAATTTGAGATGAGATTTGGGTGGGGACACAGAGCCAAACCATTCAATCTATTTTTGCATCCTGTTTCCATTCCTCTCTTTGTAACCTATCTTCATGCTACTCCATTTAGTAGATATTTTACCTGATATGTTAAGATCAGGTAACACATTTCATTGCTCTCTTGTCTGTTACATTTTTCGTTTTGGATTATTTGAAGCTGTATGGCACAGTTAAAATAGTTCTGAACCATGGGTCTAGAGATCAGGATCTGAGTAGGTTCTGCCCCTTTTCCAGATCTCTTGCTTCTCTGTATAAAATAGAGAGTATAGGGCTAGAGCTGAAGATGCTATAGACTTCCTCCACCTCTGATATGTCAGGGCCCTTATACAGCTGTGCGCTGGCCGAGTATTTATGCTAGGGATATTTTATTTAGAGGAATTATTTTCTGATGTATGTTAATAGTCCCTGAAAAAGCATGGATATTCAGATAATTTGAAAGGCAGGAATTCTTATATACATCTGCCTGTCTTGGCTCCAACTGCACATACACACACATATATACACACATGCACAACATACACATACACACACGTGCACACACATACACACACTCACAAATGCAGGTAGAAAGAATTCGAATAAATGAAACAAAAAAGCCCTTAGTTTTTAATGATGATTTCTTAGCATTTTCAGCTCACTATTTTCAAAGTTAACATTTTAAACTCAGTTTAGAGATAATTTTAATATTCAGTTTTCATTTTCAGTAGAATCCACAGATTTTCATTTTGTTTTATATGATGAACTTAAGAAACACTCTTGATTAAACTCTAATCTGTCTGCTGAATACATGGTGTTCTTGCATCCACTTTCATCATTGTCTTACTGATTATATATCTGAAGAGCAGAATGCAAGCGCATCTAGCCATTTGGATACAGCTTGAAATAGTATTTATAATAATAATAATTACTATGATGTGTTTCGTATTTACTGTGTACTATGTACCAGGTAATATTGTAAATATTGTACATATTCAATTTCTTTCACCCACAGAGGCCTAAAGTATAGATATTCTCATTTTAACAATGAAGAAAGAAACTAAAGTACAGAGATGTAAAATAATTTGCATGCCACTATGCATCTATACCTCATATAATTTAGGACAGCATCTTGATATTCAGACAATCTGCCTTCACATCTCCTGCCTGTGGAAGAATGAATTGGGATTTAGTCATATTCAAAAGTACAACAAATGCATTAAACAGAGCTCTTTGAAATGAAATAAAATAGACATTATTGCATGACTATTTGCAACCTGCTAGTGAAGGTGACTGTAATATGGAAAAAGAGAGCAAAGTTGAAAGGAATCTACCATTAATTCTGTTGAACTATGGGGCGTTCAAGCTTCAGTTTGTTCAGATGGTTGCTTCTGTGGGGGCAGCAAAAAGCTTAGATCATACAACTTTAGATGGCAGAAATGGCTGTAAAATGCATCATTGCATTCAAAGTGGCCTTTTACAATAATATGTTTTTAGTGCTTATCAATGTTATGAACTCAAAGTTTGAAAAAATCAAACAATGTTAAAAGGCTATAACCAAAGATAAGTATGTGCCCTTTCTCATGCCAACACCTCCCCAAAGGCAAATATTTTTGATACTTTATCTGTTCCTACTGTGATTTAACTTCAATTGTTTAAAGACCATGTCTCTTAAATAAGTGACTCAGATACTACCGATTGTGCACTTTCCATTACAGTATATAGAAATTTAGCTCTGCTACACACCCCACTTTTCTCTGTTCTCTTTCCCTAGTAACCATTTACTCATTCACTGTTTCATACATTTATTCATCTATTCAACAGAGTTCATTATTGACCACCTACTATCTACCAGTCATTTTCTAGGACCTAAGATTAGTGTCATGGAAATACAATTCTATCGGGAAAAGGCAGGCAATAAATAATCAAATAAATGAGTCAAGTATTGATATGTGCTAAAAGAAAAATAAAGTAGGATAAGAGAATACAGAATAACAAGGTGGTTGTTTAGGCAAAGACTTGCATTTGAACAGAGGCTTTATGAAGTGAGGAAGAGTCTATGTGGAGATCAGGAGAAAGTATACTAGGCAGAAGGAGCAAAAGTTTGACATTTTTTAAGGCAGGAGTGTGCTTGGCATTTCCTAGAAATGGCTAAGGAACCAAGACAGCCAGGCCTACATATTGAGAAGGCAAGTCATAGAGCACAATGTTAGAGAGATATTAGGGACCAGATCACTTCGGGCTTTGGAGGGCTCTCGGTACTGCCAGGCAAGAGGCAGACTATTTATCCTCCCAGTGACTCCCAGCCCTTCCTCTAACAGTCATACCATATGACCTTGCTTCCTACTTGTTTCCTGCTTTACTAGAAAATTGAAATTAATCAGCAGTGTCTTTCACATACTCTTTTTTCCCACTTGCTGTAGCAGATGACATTTCCTTGCTCTTACACAAAGTACATCCTTCCACTTAAGTACTAACTTATTACTTCTTACTTGCTCAGGGCACTTCCCTGGCAACTCTTCTTTTTCTGTCATACATCATAAATTTTGCTGTCTATTGAATTATTCCTATAAACATCCAAATAAACTGTTATTTCTTCAATTTTAAAAATGAATAGAATACCAACTACAATAATAACACTTCTGCTGATTCTATTTCTTCTTCTAGCTACTGCCCCAGTCCTTGCTTTCTTTGTAGTAAAACTCTTTGGAATATCTGTGTATTAGTACATTTTCACACTGCTATTAAGAAATACCCGAGGCCCAATACAGGCTCAAGTCTGTAATTCCAGCACTCTGGGAGGCCAAGGTGGGTGGATCACTTAAGGTCAGGACTTTGCGACCAGCCTGACCAAAATGGTGAAACTCTGTCTCTATAAAAATACAAAAATTGGCCAGGCCAGGTAGTGGACAACTGTAATCCCAGGTACTTGGGAGGCTGAGGCAGGAGAATCACTTGATTTCGGGAGACAGGGAGACAGACTGCACTCCAGCCTGGAATGCAAAGAGAGACTCTGTCTTAGAAAAAAAGAAAGAAAGAAAAAAGAAATAGCCAAGACTGGATAATTTATCAAGGAAAGAGTTTTAATTGACTGATAGTTCTGCATGGCTGGGAGACCTCAGGAAACTTAACAATCATGGTAGAAAAGGAAGCAGGCACCTTCTTCATAAGGCAGCAGGAGAGAAAGCATGTGAAAAAGGAACTGTCAAACACTTATGAAACCATCATATCTCATGAGAACTCACTCACCATCACAAGAAAAGCGTGGGGGAAACCGCCCACATGATGCAGCCCCCTCCTTCCCTTGACATGTGGAGATTACAAGTCCCTCCCTTGACACATGGGGATTACAATTTGAGGTGAGATTAAACCACATCGATCTATTTTTGCATCCGGTTTCCAATTCTTCCGTTTGTAACCTATCTTTGAAACATTCATTTAGTAGATATTTTACCTGATATGTTAAGATTAAGTAACACATTCCGTTGCTCTCTTCTCTTTGTTACTATTTTTTTTTCCACTAGGCTTGTAGAGTACCACAATGTCTTGATTTTCTCCCAAGATCACTGGTCACTTCTTAGCCTCCACTGCTGATTTCTCTGTCACTTCCCCAAGTCCTGCCCATTTATTTTTGTCAATTCTTTTTCAGTACTCTTCAATTATTTGGTCCACTTTCTCTTTCCTTTTGAATTAATACTTATTCCCTTGATAATGTATTCCATCCTCATGATTTTGAATACAGGCCATATGCTGAAGACTACTGAATTAATCTCTCTAAGTCAGAACTCTCTCTTGATTTCCACATGTCCAACTGCCTCCTCAATTTGAATGTGTAACAGAAATCTTAAACTCACATATCCAACTGTCTTCTCAAATTTAGATGTCAGATAGACATTTCAGACACAACCAAAATTGAATTCTGATATCCCCTCATAAACCTGCTTCACCTGCAGCCTGCCACTATCCATGGATAGCAGCTTACTCTTCAAGTTGCTGAGCAAGATCTTTGGAATCATAACTTGACCTATCATTTCTCTCACGTCCAGTATCCAGTATGTCAGGACATGTACCCAATGGCTAACCCCTCCTCACTTCCTCAGTTGGCACCTTTTTTGAGTTACTAGTCATCTTGAACTGCTGTGAACACACTCCCAAGTCGTCTTTCTTTATTTAGCTTTCCCATGTTGTTAGACAATTCTCATCAGATCATCTAGAATGACTGATTTGAAACTAAATTTAAAATGGGCCAGTCTATGCTCATAATTCTTCAAGGTCTCCCCATTTCACTCAGAGTAAAAATCAAATATCTTAATGTGGCATAAATCATGGAAATAATTATATGATAATTGTGGCATAACATATTGATACAATTTGTATATTTGTCCCCACCTAAGGTCTCATGATGAATTATAATCCTCAGTGTTGGAGGTGGGGCCTGGTAGAAGTGATTGGATCATGGGGGTGAGTTTCTCATGAATGTTTTAGCACCACCGCCCTGGTGCTATTCTCAAAATACTGAGTGGGTTATCATGAGATCTGCTGATTTAAAAGTGTTTGTGGCACTTCTCCCTAGCCCTGCCCTGCACCGCACCCACTGTCTCTCTCACGCTCCTGCTTTCACCAAGTGGCATGCCTGCTCTCTCTTCACCTTCTACCGTGATTGTAAGTTGCCTGAGACCTCCCAAGAAGCCAGGCAGATGCCAGTATCATTATTTCTGTAAATCCTGCAGTACTGGGAGCCAATTAAACCTCTTTTCTTTATAAATTACCCTCTCTCAGATATTTCTTCATAGAAATACAAGAGCAGTCTAGTAAAGAAAATTGGTATTGAGGATCGAGCCTTTGCTATAAAGATATCTGAAAATGTGGAAGCAGCTTTGGAACTGGGTAATGAGCTATGTTTGAAAGAGTTTGGAGAGCTTTGAAGAAGACAGGAAGATGAGGAAAAGTTAGAAATGTCTTAGAGACTGGTTAAATGGTTGTGATCAAAATACTTATAGTGATACGGAGACCGAATTCCAGGCTGCTGAGGTCTCAGATAGAAATAACTTATTGAGAGCTGGAGCAAAAGTCATGTGTGTTATACCTTAGTAAAAACCCTGGATGCATTCTGTTCATGCCCTGAGGATCTTTGGAAGTTTGAACTTCATGGGGATGATTTAGGGTACCTGGTGGAGGAAATTTCTAAGCAGAAAAGCATTCAAAATGTGGCCTGGCAGCTTCTAACAACCTATGCTCAGATTTAGGAACAAAGGAATGACTTAAAGTTAGAACCTATATTTAAAAGGGAAGCAGACAACAAAAGTTTTCAAAATTTGCAGCCTGGCCATGTGGCAGAGGAAGAAAAAAACCTTTCTGGGGAGAGGAATTCAGGCAGGCTGTGAAGAAACGACTTGCTAGAGAAGTATGCATGACTAAAAAGGGAGCCAAGTGCTGATAGCCAAGACAATGAGGAGGATGCTTGGAAAGCATTTCAGAGACTTCATGGCAGCCCCTTCCATGACAAGTCCTGAGGCCTAGTAGGAAACAATGGTTTCCATGGCCAGGCCCAGGGCTTTGCTGCCCTGTGTAGTCTTGAAATACTGTTCCCCACGTCTAGGCAACTCCGGCTCCAGCCTTGGCTCAAAACCTCCCACATACTCTTCATGTTGCTGCTCAGGAAAGTACAAACTGCCATAAGCCTTGGTGTCTTCTATGTACTGTTAAGCCTGCAAGTGCACAGAGTGTAAGAATGAATAAGTCTTGGCACCTTCTGCGTAGATTTCCAAGGATGTATGAAAAGCCTGGGTGTCCAGGCAGAAGCCTACTTCAGAAACAGAACCCCCACAGATAACTTCTAGGGTAGTATCAAGGGAAAATGAAGGGTTCAAGTCCCCACACAGAGCCTTCACCGGAACACTGCCTAATGGAGCTGTGAGAAGTGGGCCATCACCTTGTAGACCCAATAATAGTATATCCACTGGCAGCTTATGCCCTGCACCTGGAAAAGCCATGGGCATTCAACAGCCTGTTAGAGCAGGTGTATCAGTCAGGGTTCTCTAGAGGGATAGAACTAATAAGACATATACACACACCTACATATGGGAGTTTATTAAGTAGTATTAACTCACACAATCACAAGGTCCCACAATAGGCTGTCTGTAAACTGAGGAGCAAGGAAGCCACTGTGAGTCCCAAAGCTGAAAAACATGGAGCCTGATGTTTGAGGGCAGGAAGCATCCAGCATGGGAGAAAGATGTAGGCTGGGAGGCTAAGCCAGTCTAGCCTTTTCACATTTTTCTGCCTGCTTTATATTCAGGTCGTGCTGACAGATGATTAGATCATGCCAACCCAGATTAAGAGTGGGTCTTCCTTTCCCAGCCCACTGACTCAAATGTTAATCTCCTTTGACAACAACCTCACAAACACACCCAGGATCAATACTTTGTATTATTCAATCCAATCAAGTTGACACTCAGTATTAACCATTACAAGTCCACCCATGGTCAACTTGAACCCATATACATCTCCTGAGATTATACATAATCTCCAAATAAAGACAATAATAAGGTCATAATTACACTTAACATAATATGAGTATCTTTTGTACAATCGGAAATGCATCAATCCCCAACCCAAATGCTATTACATAAAGTTAAGAATACTTAAATGCCGATATGAAGTCAATAAATATTATGTCACATGATTAAAAAATGAAATAGAATAAAGATATTTTCTTAGTACAAGTGTATACATGCACAAACATGTTTTTAACAGCAAAAAAGGAGGAAACACTCATGACAATTACAGTCCTTGTTTCTGCAGCTGGTCACATGGTCATGGCTCATATTTGTGACTACCTTCTTCTACTACTCATTCTGTATTTCCTTTGTCTTCAGCAAGCACCTTGGCAGGTCGTGGGTTTTTTCCCGGTGGAGCCACACAAACCTTCATTTCTGAAGGGTCTGGGCCATTTGTAGTCCTCCCTGGATTGAGCTGTTGTAGTTTCCCATTGACCTTAATCACAGGGCATGGTAATATTAAGAGACGCCCTAATGGATCTCCTTTATTCCATGCATGCTCTTCCTTACCTCCATTGTGGAGTAGTAGATTGATTTTATCTTGACAGTCCAGGTCACTTACCCCAGCCAACACTTTACTCCCTTCCTAGCCTGTTGACGTAAAAGTAAAAGGAGACCAAAGTGTCCAGGTGGTAATCTGAACTTCCAGTTTAATGGAATTGTTGTTGTGTCTCCTGGTGGCAGAGTTCCTCCCTCTGGAACTAAGACCTCTAGGCCAGCAGGACGTAATGTCACAGGAACAGAAAGCAAAAATTTTGCTAGTGGGTCACTAGGGGTAATTATAATCCCCAACGTTGAAAGTGGGGCCTGGTGGGAGGTGTTTGGATTATGGGGTCAGATTTCTCATGAATGGTTTAGCATTATCACTTTCGTGCTGTTTTTGTGATAGTGAATGAGTTCTAATGAAATCTGGTGGTTTAGAAGGGTGTAGCACCTACACCCCCATTCTCTTGCTCCTGTTTTCTCCATGTGACCTACCTGCTCTTTTTTTTGCTTTCTGCCATGATTGTAAGTTTCCTGAAGTCTTCCTAGAAGCTGAGCAGATGGAAGCACCATGCTCTCTGTGGAACTTGCAGAACCATAAGCCAATTAAACCTCTCTTCTTTATAAATTACCCAGTCTCAGGTAATTCTTTATAGCAATGTAAGAACAGCCTAACACACAAGTGAATTCAGTAAATAATGGAGTCCTCTTTTACCTTGGACATTCTCCTCTAGTAATTTCCTCCTCATTTACTCTATTCCGCTTGGACTAGCTACTGCCTGGAAGACTCTTCTTTCTCTTGTCAATGCCTATCTTGACCACTTTCTATTGCCACTTTACTAAAATACGCCCATACACAATCTGGCATTCACAATCCTTTTTACTTTCTTTATTCATTTTTTCTTTTTCTTTTTCTGTAGCAACAATTGGGTTGTAACCAAGTGTGTAATGTACTTATTTAATATATTTACTATTCATTTTGTCTTAAAGGGGATGGCAGAAAGACCAGTTAAGAGGCCACTAAATTTTTTTAGTTGAGAGATGCTCGGAGGTTGACCCAGGGTGGCATTAGTGAAGGACGGGGTCACTACGTCATATTTGGAAAATGCTTAAGAAGAGAGCATAAAAAGATCCCCTTAATACTTAGAGTAAATGTTCTTCAGATACTGAAATTGACATAAATGGGAAGAGCTACTGGGGGAAGGGTAATTTTATTTTAGACATGTTAATTTTCATATAATCATAGACGTTCAAGTACGCAGTTGGATTTTTTAGGTCCAATATTCAGAAGAGGGAAGTTATAAGAGATTGTGTGTGTGTGTGTGTGTGCATGCATGTGTGTGTGTACTGTTAGATATCACCACCTAACAAGTGAAATAAAGAGAGGAAGGGCTCAGAGCTAATCTCTGAGACATTCTAAAAAATTGTGTTATGACAGATGATAATAATCCAGCAAAAGAGTGAACAGAATGACCATTGTATTAGTAGAAAATCTGAGTAACAGTGATATCGGGAGGATCAAGGCAAGAAGAGAGAGATGTACTATGTCATAAGTTACTTATAGATCAGCGAAGATACAAAGAATTTAACCTGGCAATGTGAAAGACATCTGAAGCATTGATAAGACAATTTCTCATGAGTGATGGAGATAAAGGCTTTACTCTAGTGGGTTAATAGTGAGAGGATAGAATGAGAGGAGTGGAGACCATCGATTTTTATGAAGTTTTCAGTGAAAAGAAGAAATAAGACAGTCGATGGAGAAGAACGTAGTTTGAGGAAAAATTTCTTTTATTTTTATTGTTTTAAGATGGAGGGTATTGCCACATGTCTTTATATTTGGGAGGTGTGAGTGGGACACTTGTATGTAGGAGAAATAATGTTGTATGGAAAGAAAGGCAATTTCCAGGTCAAAGGAAGGTAGGTATAGGCAACAGAGGATAGCAAGAATAGAAGAACCAGCAGTCATGTCATAGATATCTATTTTTTTTATATAAAAAAGAAGGCAACTGTGGGGCAAGGGGTCTCTTTAATGTAGTGATATCACAGTAAAAACTGTTGTTTAATTAAAAACCTGCATTTATATTTGTAGCACGATGTTAAGTTGGAAATACTTATTAAGAAACCAGCATAATATTAACATGAAATGTTATAGTGAGCTGACAAAAATTAATGCAAAAATGTAAAAGTTGGTGTGTCAGAAGTTGCTAGAATGATCTAAAACCCACAAGTAGATTGCACAGAAATCAAGAGAATCAAGGTGGAGGAAGGATTTTGGAATTATAAGAATTATTATTATTATTATTTTTACCATGACCTGAACAATTCTGGGATTCGTTAACTTTTCACTTTGAAGTCGGGGAAGAACTTCTCCCAAAGAACAAATTTATGGAAATTATTACAGATAAACTAAACAGATGGATGAAGTGGTTATACATCATGAGATTTGCTTCTCCAATACAAGGTGTCATTTTTGTAAGTGTGAAACTTTGGCCATTGCCCTGGCCATGTCATTTTATTATTTCTTCGTACAACTTTTCTTCCTAGCACTGATAGTAGACCCATGTTTTTCATCTACTTGATTGCCTTTATCTTTGTAAATAAATATTTTACCATGTATCCTCAAGCATCTCAATACAGTTTTTCAGGAGCCAATTCTTTCATATATACTGCCTTTAAAAAAATTTCCATAGCTTTTGGGGTACAAGTGGTTTTTGGTTACATAGATGAATTACATAATGGTGAATTCTGAGGTTTCAGTGCACCCATCACCCAAGTGGTATACCTTGTACACACCGTGTAGTTTTTTATTACTAGTACCTCTCTCACCCTCCCCATTCTGAGACTCGAAAGTCCATTATATCACTCTGCATGCCTTTCTGTACTCATAACTTAGTCCCCATGTATAAGTGAGAACTTATGGGTTTTGGTTTTCCACTCCTGTGTTACTTCAATTAGAATAATGGCCCCCAGCTCCATTCAAGTTGTTGCAAAAGACATTTCATTCCTTTTAATGGCTGAGTAGTATTCCATGGTGTATGTCTACCACATGTTCTTTATCCACTCATTAGTTGATAGGCATTTAGGATGGTTCCAAATCTTTGCATTTGTGAGTTGTGCTACTATAGACATATGCATATACACTGTTTTGTTCCCTCCATTTCCCAGCTCAAGAAGTCACTGCTTTCTTGATAACTGCCACCCTGGGATTTTTCTTTACTTTTGTGATTTTCTGTCATTCCCTTCCTGTGTGAGATACCCTGTGTCCTCCATCTTGTTCTTTTTTCTTTTTAAATTTGGTCCTTCTTTTGGTTAAACACACCCTTTTCTATTTTTCTCAGTTTGAGTGCATTGGGAGAAAATTATTTTAAACATCACATTTGAAAATGTCTTTATCTTCTCTTCCACAACGGTGTTATATTTTAACTGTTTATCAAACTCAGGTTGGACATTTTCTCCTCATAATGGCAGTAGCCATTGCTCCATTGCCTCCCAGCTGCTATTGAGAAGTCTGATGCCAATTTTATTCCAAAACTTACATAATTCATGTTTTCCCTCTCTTTCTCTGTCTTTAAAACTCCATCTTTATCTCAAGTATTGTTAAAGTTTATGACAATGTGCTTGAAATTTTATTGAGGAAACTTAACTTGCATTCTGTGAATCACCTCTTTGTGGGTATAAAGGTTTGACTTTAATCTGCAATGTTAGTTATTATTCTATGTTATTGGTATTCAATCAATTGATATTGGTATAGCTATCTTCAAATTTTATTAAAAATAGCTATTTTTTCTCAAATATTTGCTTTTGACTTCTTTCTTGGAGCATGCGTTGAGCTGAAACTATATCAAATCAAACATGGGACCAAGAAAGTAGCCTCTAAAAAGATCTTTTTCAGGTCAAGGAGAATCTATAGTGATCCAGAAACAGTATGACCATCACTATGTCAAGTTCAGCACTTCCCTAGGATCATATTTTTTTTCCTATGGTGTGACTGTTCTCCTCCCTATCTTCTCGTTCTTTTCCCAAATTAATGCCCTCAGTTCCCACGTACTTTTGATGGTTCTGTTAGGAATAACGCTCAAAATCTTAAGGAAACTGAACACTCGAACAAAGGATTCTTAGCAAAGCAATTTTACTTCTGCGCAGAGGGGTGCCTCCTTGGCCAGTTGCCAGGACAGCATACCTGAAGAAATGGGCACGAGAGCCTTTATTCCTGATGCAAGTCCTGCCCCTGTACCCTTTCCCCATTGGCTGGGGTCAGGTCATACAATCTAAACTAATTCTGGTTGGCTAAACATTTGATTTTTTTTAGATAAGTTGGGCACGTAAATGAAAGCAGAGAGGAAAGGGGAAGGGATGTCTGTAATGAGCTAGAAAGTTAGTTTTCTTTCTAAATAAGGAAAGGAACGTGAGCTGGTACTGATAATGCCTGGTACTGTGGCGTGCCTGGGCATCTAACAAAGGCAAAAAGGAAAAAAAGGAGAAAAAGGGAAAACGGTGGGAGGGACTATGAATTAAAGAATAAAAGATTGATTGGGTTATTTGAAGAGAAACCTCATCATATCCCACAGTTCTATTAATGTGCATCATTCAAATGAGGACATACCTTGAAAATCTAAGGGTCCACATATTTGACCGTAGAATGTAAACTAAAAATTAAATTCCAAGCCTCCCAACTGACTGAACAGATTATCTCATTGCAAAGAGGAACCCAGAGTAACCCTGAAAACTGAATTCTTGGCTACAATAGGATGGGTGTCAGTCATACTTCATTAAACCCCTTCCCTTGCTAACCATGAGTAGGTTTTTCTCCCTATGTGCTTGACAAAAACCAGGCCTTTCAAAAGACTCTACCACTAACGTCAATCAACCACCTGACACCCCTCTATTTTTGTCTAATAAGAGACTACCAACCACAGAGTGGTTCTGGCCAGTCTAGAGAGAATGCACAGTAAGGGTTTTTGTGTCCTCTGCTTCACCTTTTGATATCAAAACATCCAACACCTCTACCCACAGATCATGCCAATGCCACCGTTTTTTGTACATGGGAACCATGAAGGAGTATGAAGCTGAACTGCACATGGGCAGAGATCTCTTTTCATAAATATTCACAATTCCTCCTGTAGCTTATTGAATAAGTATATTTGGCAAACTTGCTCAGTATAAATTACTATTCTCTTTGCCCCTCCCTCAAAGTGTCTGTTACTGGCTTCCAGCCAAGGCTGTGCTTTCCAGCCTGTCTGAATGGCCACCCTGCAGGCTGCAGCCATTTATGAGAAATAAAGCTGTCCTTATAAAATTTATGACCTTGACATTCTTCAAAATAAGTTTTATTTTTATATAATAAATATGTATGTTTGTTCACTCTTTCATTTACTTCATCATTATAATGTTTCTAACATTGTTGCTCTTTGACCTTTTAATAATCTTTTTTCATTATTCTCTAAGCCCCTTCACTACTACTAAATGCATTTATCTTCTTTCAAATTACTAAGCCCTGAAGGAAGTAAATTGCTATGATAATAACTTCTCTGTGTTTGTTCCATTAAATAACATATAACAGTCTCCAGCTTTAAGCACACTTTTTCCACTTAATGCACTGGGTTGCTCAAATAAATACCAATTTCTCATGTAGAAGTTGGCTTTGTAAATAAATGTATCTTACTCTGTGGGCAATTTTGGACATTGGTAAAACAATAATTATAATTTGAAAAAGCAACCTTTTGACACAAAAATATATTGTAGAAACAGAGGCAAATTACATATTAATATATTTTATTTTTCCCACTAGCTAAGAATACATGTTATAAACTTCAACAATTTATTTTCTTCCCCAGATACCACATAATATCCTATATTGAAAAATGCTCAACTATCATTATCAAAGCTTTTTTTTTTTCTGTTCTTTTTTTGGCTCACTTGTTTGAATATTTACTTTTAGGCATATTGAAATAGAATGAAATAAGTTTACCTGTGTATATAGGAATATTTGGATGAGTTAGGGTTAGTAATTCAAAGTTAAAGTCCTTAATATAATGACAAGTAAAAGAATGATGAAGATTTTGCAATTTAAAGGAACACTTGATTTGTGATTACATATTTATCTGATATTAAAATGTCTTTCCTTATATTATGTCCTTTATGAAAGGTCTGCCTTTTGGGACTCTTTCTATCCATTTCTCAAATATTTCAATGACAAGCTAAAGTCATATGCTGTCAGAAGTTGTTCCTCACCTTCTTATTCTAGGAGACTGCCTCCTCCCTATAGAAGTCTTGGCCTTATAATATTATATCTGCTATTTATTTATCCTGCTCATACCACCAACTGCATCAATGAAAATCATGCTTAATCATCTAACATGTGTATTCAAATTATGTCTTTGCCTTTTCAAATTACCTTCATGCCTAAAAAGCATTTATTTCAATTGCAGCTACCTGACAAAGAGTGTTCAACAAAATCATTGCTCCCTGGAAAGAGTCAAACCATCAAACCAATCATAGAATGAAACTAACTTTTTAGTAACCTGTTATCAGTGAACAATCAGGAATTTTAAGGTCTAATCACAGAACACACTGTTAGACAACAAAAATTTTTAAGCAGCACCAAAAATATATAATGGTTCACTTTTAATATTTTTCCTTTATTTGAAAGTATGGTAGGCCAGGCACAGTGGCTAGCGCCTCTAATCCCAGTGCTTTGGGAGGCCGAAGCGGGCAGATCACCTAAGTTCAGGAGTTTGAGACCAGCCTGGCCAACATGGTAAAACCCTGTCTCTACTAAAAAAATACAAAAAATTAGCCAGGCATGGTGACAAGTGCCTGTAACCCCAGCTACTCGGGAGGCTGAGACAAGAGAATTGCTTGAACCTGGGAGGCAGAGGTTGCAGTGAGCTGAGATTGTGCCACTGCACTCCAGCCTGGGCGACAAAGTGAGACTCTGTCTTGGAAAAAAAAAAAAAAAAGAAAAAGAAAAAGAAATATGCTAAATATGTAATTAATTATTCAGCCACCATATAACCAAAGCTTTAACTACAGCAACCCTTTCTATTCCAAGGTACTCCTATGCCACCTAGGGGCTGGCACTAACAGTCCTATTAACCCACTTACCTCAACTATTTAATAGTGGGAAGTAGTAATACCAAGTATGCTTATCTGAATAACCTCAGGATCTCCATTCTTACTCTGCCTGGAACCTCTTGGTTTGGTCTTCTTTAACATCTCAGTACCTCATACATCTCTCATACTCACATCTCAACTTTGCTCTGTGTTGATCTATCCGGAACACATTTACTCTTCCTCTCATTACTAAATCTATGTTTGTTTCCTGTGGAATTCTCACATCATAACTAATACATTCCCTAATATCAGTAAAATATTTAGCAGTTATCTCTTATAAATATGAACTTCTTTAAAATATGTATTATTTTTCTTCAGTTCTTTCTAATCCTACCAGAGTATCAAAATAAAGGTTGTTCATTTTTCCATATCTCATCAACCTCAAAGTTATCTGCCTCACTCTGAACGGTTGCTTCCAAATTTCACCATTTCGTGTCACACTCCATTTTTTAAAAGTAAACTCCTCACGCCTATAATCCCAGCACTTTGGGAGGCCGAGGCGGGTGGATCACGAAGTCAAGAGATGGAGACCATCCTGGCCAACATGGTGAAACCCCGTCTCTACTAAAAATACAAAAATTAGCCGGGCATGGTGGCGGGTGCCTGTAGTCCCAGCTACTCGGGAGGATGAGGCAGGAGAATCACGAACCCGGGAGGCGGAGCTTGCAGTGAGCCGAGATAGCGCCGCTGCACTCCAGCCTGGTGACAGAGCGAGACTCCGTCTCAAAAAAAAAAAAAAAAAAAAAGTAAACTCTATTTGGTGTACTAATATTGACAACTTCTCTGTTTCTGGCTACTCATCTTTTTGGCATCCCCATGTATGTATTGAAGACTATGGTACTTGCCTAACCAGATTACTCAGTATTCAAAGCTGGTCTAAAACCTCCAGTGAATTTAATGTTAATGTACTTAGAAATGGTTCTAATTCACTAAATTTCAATGCTTTGATTTAATGTTTGCAATGGCAATATTTTCTATTTTCTTTTATACTTCTACACCTTTAGCTCAACATGAAGCTTCTTGTCTTCAACAGATCCACTTTTTAAATGACAAATTAATAGAAACTGACGGACCATAACATCATTTCTTACAATTTATGTGGTTAATTGTACTCAAGATCCAAGTTTTCCACCCCCAATACATACCGTCCTTCTATGTATCCCTATCGTTGACAAATCCCATATTTATTTTTCTAAATATAGGTAGCATGTCCTTCCAAATAGAATAATTTTTCTCATACAGGATTAATCCAATTATTTTTATCTTTGTGGACACACTTAAGATGTTGAGTGGTGCTAGAGACAAACACTAAGTCATTTAGATTAAATTCATTGTCACCAACTTCAAGCAGACCCTCAGTATTTCTCATCAACCCTACTGTATTTTTTCCAATCAGTACTCTCTAGTTCTCAATAACTCTTTATTCTACACTCACCGTATGATTCAAAATTTTCAAACTTCTTCAATACTATTGGGAGATGACTTTGCCTTCACCAGAAAGGGCTTAAATAACTGGGAAGAAATGCTCTTCTCTTCACATAAACAAAACCAATACCTGATGAATGAACTTACATCATGTACAAGGTTTTTCCTCCACTCAGTTTCTATATCTGATCTACTGCCATCTCAAAAGCGACTCAATTCATTATTTTTCTCCTTTCCAGTGTCTTCAGTATTTCCCATTTCTAAAACTTATTTCCATGAGTATTCAAAAATTTTCAAATATCTCTGAAACTGCCCTCTCTTACCACCAAACTCTCTTCCGTCGATTGCCATGGGTCTCCCATTTTCCTCAAAGCCTACGTCTTTGAAAATGATGCTCATAGTAGTTATTTCCATTTTCTTAGCTTTATTCACTTCTTATCCAATTCCCATGAAGATTCTTACTTATTCCACTGAAATTACTTTCAAAATATTCAAATAGAATGCCAATGTCACTGTGTTTTATAAACATTATATACTGAATATTGTTCAAATTATTGCAGTAGTTAATACTATTTGCCACTTTATCTTTCTGAAAACACAGATGCCTGTATTAGTCTGTTTTCACACTGCTGATGAAGACATACCTGAGACTGGGCAATTTAAAAAGGAAAGAGGTTTAATGGAGAACTCACAGTTCCACATGGCTGGGGAAGCCTCACAATTATGGCAGAAGGGAAGGAGGAGCAAGTTGCATCTGACTTGGATAGCGGCAGGAAAAACAGAAAGCCTGTGCAGAGAAAACCCCTTTGTAAAAACCACTGGATTCATGAGACACATTCACTATCATGAGAGCAGCACAGGAAAGACCCGCCCCCATGATTCAATCATCTCCCACTGGGTCCCTCTCACAGCATGTGGGAAGTATGGGTGCTACAAGATGAGATTTGGTTGGGGACACAGAGCCAAACCATATCATTCTGCTCCTAACCCTTTCCAAATCTCATATCTTCACATTTCAAAACCAATTGTGCCTTCCCAACAGTCCCCAAAAGTCTCAACTTATTTCAGCATTAACTCAAAAGTGCAAAGTCTCATCTGAGACAAGACAAGCCGCTTCCACCTATGAGCCTGTAAAATCAAAAGCAAGTTAGTTACTTCCTAGATACAATGGAGGTACAGGCATTGGATAAACACAGCCATTCCAAATGGGAGAAATTGGCCAAAACAAAGGGGCTACAGTCCCCACGCAAGTCTGAAATCCAGTGGGGCAGTCAAATTTTAAAGCTCCAAAGTAATCTCCTCTGACTCCATGTCTCACATTCAGGTCATGCTGATGCAAGAGGTGGGTTTCCATAGTCTTGGGCAGCTCTGCCCCTGTGGCTTTGCAGGGTACAGCCTCCCTTCAAGCTGCTTTCATGGGCTGGCATTGAATGTCCGCGGCTTTTTCAGGCACATGCACGATGCAAGCTGTCGGTGGATCTATCATCCTGTGGTCTGGAGGAGGGTGGCGCTCTTCTCACAGATCCACTAGGTGGTGCCCCATTAGGGACTCTGTGTGGGGGCTCCAATCCCACATTTCCCTTTCTCACTGCCATAGCAGAGATTCTCCATGAGGGCCTCATCCCTGCAGCAAACCTCTGCCTGGGTATCCAGGCATTTCCATACATCTGAAATCTAGGCAGAGGTTCCCAAACCCAATTCTTGACTTCTGTGTACTGGCAGGCTCAACACCACGTGGAAGCTGCCAAGGCTTGGGGCCTCCACCCTCTGAAGCCATGGCCTGAGCTCTAGGTTGGCCCCTTTCAGCCACAGCTGGAGCAGCTGGGATGGAGAGCACCAAGTCCCTAGGCTGAACACAGCATGGGGACCCAGGGCCTGGCCTCTGAAATCACTTTTTCCTCCTAGGCCTCCAGACCTTTGATAGGATGGGGTGCCATGAAGACCTCTGACATGCCCTGGAGACATTTTTCCCATTGTCTTGGAGATTAACATTCCGCTCCTCTGCAGCCAGCTTGAATTTCTTCTCAGAAAATAGAATTTTCCTTTCTATTGCATTGTCAGGTTGCCAATTTTCTGAACTTTATGTTCTGCTTCCCTTATAAAACCGAATGCCTTTGGCAGCACCCAAGTCACCTCTTGAATGCTTTGCTGCTTAGAAATTTCTTCCCCCAGATTCCCTAAATCATCTCTCTCAAGTTCAAAGTTCCACAAATCTTTAGGGCTGGGGCAAAATGCTGCCAGTCTCTTTGCTACAACATCACAAGAGTCACTTTTACTCCAGTTCCCAACACGTTTCTCATCTTCATTTGAGACCACCTCATCCTGGACTTTATTGTCCGTATCACTATCAGCATTTTGGGCAAAGCCATTCTACAAGTCTCTAGGAAGTCCCAAACTTTCCCACATTTTTCTGTCTTCTTCTGAGCCCTCCAAACTGTTCCAGCCTCTGCCTGTTACTCAGTTCCAAAGTCACTTCCACATTTTCAGGTATCTTTTCAATAGTGCCCCATTCTACTGGTACCAATTTACTGTATTAGTTCATTTTCATACTGCCAATAAAGACATACTCAAGACTGGACAATTTACAAAGGAAAGGGGTTTAATGGGGAACTCCCAGCTCCACGTGGCTGGGGAAGCCTCACAATCATGGCAGAAGGGAAGGAGGAGCAAGTCATATCTTGAATGGATTGTGGCAGGCAAAAAGAGAGCTTGTGCAGGGAAACTACCGTTTTTAAAACCATAAGATCTCGTAAAATCCATTCACTATCATGAGAACAGAATGGGAAAGACTCCTCTTCATGATTCAATCATCTCCCACTGGTCTCTCCCACAACACATGGGAATTATGGGAGCTACAGGATGAGATTTGTGTGAGGACACAGAGCCAAACCATATCACTACCTTTGTTCTCATGGCTCCACACTGTCCTGGTCTTTATCTTGTATTGAGTAACTCTATTTCACTGCCCTCTGCAAACTCTCTTCTTCAGCTCTTACCTTCATTGATATCCCTCAGAGCTTAATGCTAATCTCTTCTTATTATTCTGAAGATTTCCACTTTCATTACTTTAGAATCTAAATGTATAGCCAGTGGTTACTTTCCTACCTCTCTGCCAACATTGCCAAATGCTTATTGCATTTCCATAATTTACAGTAACCTAAAACTCAAACATCTTCCTACACAGGATGCACCATCTTTTCACCACAACATTTTTCACATTTTTCCTGTGTTTCTATGCCTTCAGTGCATGGCCTCACAATGCAATACAAATAGTTGTCCAGTCAGGATTATGGGAGTTAGCAATTTTCTTTTCTCATTCTCAGACCAACTTCCAGCCAATCACTAAATTATAGTCCATTTTTTTTAATTTGGTGAGACTTTTGTGTCTGTGTGTGTGTGTGTGTATGTGTGTGTGTGTGTGTGTGTGTGCTCTGTCACGCAGGCTGTAGTGCAGTGGTGCGATCTCAGCTCACTGCAACCTCCACCTCCCAGTTTCAAGCAATTCTCCTGTCTCAGCCTCCCGAGTAGCTGGGACTACAGGTGCCCACCATTACGCCCAGCTAAGTTTTGTATTTTTAGTAGAGACAGAGTTTCACTATATTGGTCAGGCTGGTCTTGAACTCCTGACCTTAGATGATCCACCTGCCTTAGCATCTCAAAGTGCTGGGATTACAGGCATGGGCCACTGCTCCTGGCCTTTTTTTTTTTTTTTTTTTTTAATGTCCAACATGTAGTTTTTTCCACCTTCCAGACACGCTCAATATTCTAGGTTACTATCTTCTGAAACATTGAATTTTTTACTTCCAGTTTAGATCCTTCATTCTTCTCTCAATATTAAACCATAATGATCTTTCAAAAACACAGATCTGCTCATATAATTTCTCTGATGAACCTTTTCCTGACTTGTCACCATCTTGGGTAAATTATGAATTTTTAATGACCACAAAGCCCTTTATTATCAGGCCTCTGCTACCTTGTTCCTCCAATCTGTAAAAAGAAAAACCTTAGACAAACTAATTTAGCAGAGTTTAATTGAACAAAATATGATTTACAAATTGGGCAGCCCCTGAACCAGAACAGGTTCAGAGAGGCTGCAACCCTGCTGCAGGGTTGATTTATGGACAGAAAAAGGAAAGTGATGCACAGAAAATGGAAGTGAGGTGCAGAAACAGCTGGATTGGTTACAGCTTGGCAGTTAGAACAGTTGGCCACCTTTGATTGCCTGAAACTCTGTGACTGACACAACAGTAGGTTACAGTCTTTTTATACATTAGGTTGAGTTACAGTTCACTATGTATGGAGAAATCTTTAGGCCAAACATATATAAGGAAGCAGCTTTTGGCTAAATTTAAAAAATCCAATTGAACTTGCTTCTAGCTTTCTCTACTTATAACAGTAAAGTACATTTTTAATCCTAATTACTTATGGTAGGAAGAAAGGAAAACTAAAAATTAATGATCAAAAGATCCACTGTACTAGTTAGACAAATAACAATAAAATGATCTTTGGAATAAATATAAATATGTAAATATTAAAGTTATACCCTAGAATTAAAACAAAAGATATTAAAAATACAGTAGAAGAGATCAAGAAACAAAAGTTGGATCTTGGAAAACCAAAAAAGAAATGAAAAAACATTTTAAAAATGATTTAAATCACACTAAAAAGACAACATAAATAAACAATATTAGAAATAGAAAATACTGAGAGCTTATGTATGTCATAATTATAAATGGTGTAGATATTTAAAAGGTAAATAAAAAGAAATAATACGTTTATGTCAGTAGATTTGACTGTTGTTTATGTATGTAAAAATCACAACTTTTTCTAAACAAAGACGACATAAAAACTCTTAATTATCTTATAAGATTAAATACTTTGTATCAGCAATCACAAATCACCCATAAGGAACAATTCCATAGCCAGATAATCTTACCATGCAGTTCTGTTAAGCATTAAAGACTTAAGTAGCTCTAAATTCACAAAATTAACCCCCCCCAAAAAAAAGAAATAAAATTCTCCAACTCATTTTATGTTAGCATAACTTTTAACTCTATACAAGAAAAACAGAACTTGAGAAAAAATTAAAAGCACTTTGTACATACTCATCAAAATTAATGCCACAAAATTAATGCCTCTGAATATATTAGCTAATAAAATCTAAAAATGTATTTCAAAAGATAATATTATGACCAAATGGGATAGTTCCAGAAATGCAAGGTTTGTACATTAAAAAAAGTAGTATGATTCATAATATTTATAAGTTAATGGAGAAAAATCTAATGATTACCTCAATAGATGCCAAAAAGTCATGTAAAAGTAAAATATCTTAATTATGGTAAAATTTTTAGAAACTAGAATTAGAAAGGA
This sequence comes from Homo sapiens, assembly GCF_000001405.40. NCBI lineage: Eukaryota > Metazoa > Chordata > Mammalia > Primates > Hominidae > Homo > Homo sapiens. The sequence goes on along the minus strand of NC_000021.9, from coordinate 18,794,819 downwards.
ATTCAGTCAATATCATAAGTTGTGGCTACAAAAAACAACAATAACAAAAGCAATAATGACAAAAACATCACATTTAATGGTGAAATATTGCAGGAATTCTGTTGATACTGCCTATATATGTAAGTGTGTTTGTCATTTTCACATCTATGGAACATTTTCTGGGATACCACTGCAAGCACAAGACATGAAAAAGTTATGAAATGAGTGAAAAGGAATACCTGATACTTATACATATTTCATAGATGTTATAATCATTCACATAAAAATTAAAAATAATCTATAAGTAAATAATTAGAAACAATTAGGAATCTGGAAAGGAGTCTGAGTAATAAGATCTAACAAGCAAATTTGTTGCATTTATATGTACCTGTCACAGATGAAAAATAAAACTATTATTAAAATAGAAAAATGTAATTATAGTCAAGCATTACCTAACAATGGGGATATGTCCTGAGAAATGCATTGCTATTGTGCAAACATTGTGGAATGTACATAAGCAAACCTAAATGCTTTCGTGTACTATACACCTAGGCTACATGGCATAGCCTATTGCACCTAGGCTACAAACTTGAACAGCATGTTACTGTACTGAATATTGGAGGAAATTTTAACACAATGGTAAGTATTTGTGTATCTAAATATAGTTAAACAAAAAAGTACACTAAAAATATGGTATATAAAATAAAAAACAGTACACCTGTGTAAGGCACTTACCATAAATGTAGCTTGCAGAACTGGAAATTGACCTGAATAAGTCAGTGAGTGGTGAGTGACTGTGAAGGCTTAGGACATTACCGTACACCGTGGTAGACTCTGTAATCACTGTACACTTGGGCTACCCAAAATTTATTTTAAAAACTTCTTTCTTCAATAATAAATTAACCTTAGCTTACTGTAACATTTTTACTTACGAACCTTTTACTTTTTTTTAACTTTTCGACTCTATTACAATAACAGCTTAAAACAAAAACACAGTCGGGTGTGGTGGCTCACGCCTGTAATCCCAGCACTTTGGGAGGCCGAGACAGGAGGATCACGAGGTCAAGAGATCGAGACCAGCCTGGCCAACATAGTGAAAATCCCGTTTCTACTAAGAATACAAAACTTAGCTGGGTGTGGTGGCACGTGCCTGTAATTGTAGCTACTTGGGAGGCTGAGGCAGGAGAATCACTTGAACTCGGGAGGTGGAGGTTGCAGTGAGCCGAGATCAGGCCACTGCACTCCAGCCTGGTGACAGAGCAAGAATCCATCTCAAAAAAAAAAAAATAAAATAAAATAAACACATTGTACAGCTGTACAAAAATATTTTATTTCTTTATATGCAAATTCTATTTTTTATATTTTTAATCTTTGTTTTACTTTTAAAACTTTCTTGTTTAAAAAGAAGACAAATACAAATACAATAACTTAGGCCTACCCAGAGTGAGAGGGTGAGAATCATCAATACTACTGTCTTCTACCTCCACAAATTGTCCCACTGGAAGCTCTTCACAGATAATAACAGGCATGAAACTGTCATCTCCTGTGATAATGCCTTCTTCTGGAATACCTCCTGAAGGATCTACCTGATGCTGTTTTACAGTCAACTTTTTTTTTAATAAGTAAGGGAACACTCTAAAACTAACAATAAAAAGTATACCATGGTAAATACATAAACCAGTAACATAGTTGTTGGTTTTCAAGTATTATGTACTGAACATAATTATATGTGCTAAACTTTTATGTAACTGGCAGCACAGTAGGTTTGTATCCACCAGGATTAACATAAACACAATGCTTTGTGCTAAGACACTATGAGAGCTACGACATTAGTAGGCAATGAGAATTTCTCAGCTTGGTTATAATCTTATGGAACCACCATCATATATGCAGTTATGCAGCACAAGACAGGTATTAATTTATCACGAAATATTTTAAAAACAATTAGAAAAACATATAAAATTTTTCTACTTTAGAAGATGTAATTAAATAGAAGGATATACATCTTCATGTACTGTATTACTATATGAAAGTTTTCTCCAAACTGACATGTAGACTCAGTGAGATTTCAACTGAATTTCAACTTAATACTGACAGTGTGTGTGTGTGTCTGTGTGTGAGAGAGTTTCTTAATAAGATAATTCTAAAATTGATGTGGAAGTGCCTTTGACAAGCTATATCTGAAACATACTTCAAGAAGAAAAAGAAGACAATAAGTCTTTGTAAGTTATTTCAATGTCAGTTATCAAAACTCATTGTAAAGCTATATGCAGCTATAAATAGTATATATGGTATTTATACTATATAAATAGTATACTATATAGTATACTACACAGTAATATACTGTATATAAGTATAAATAGACTAATGGAACACAATAAGAAGTCCAGAAACATACGTGTACTTGATCAATAACACAGGAATATTTTATATTTGTAGTGAAAGGGCAGATTTTTCTTAGTCTTGGGAAAATGGGCTAATATGGAAATAAATTAATTTCGATTCATACTTTATACCATAGTCAAAAATCAATTAAAGGGATATTCAATACACTAATGCAAAATACCACATTAAGAACATTTTTTAAAAACACAAGAAAATATTTTCAAATCTTTAGTGTAGGAAATAATATCTTAAATGTGACTCTGAAAATGCAAATTATAAAGGAAAAGTGAATAAATAATTACAGAAATCTACATATTGCACAAATGTTTCCTAGGCAAATGCTTCAATAGTACCATTAAAATTTAAAGTAAAATTGATTTGAGCATAAAGTTACAATTTTTTTTTAAATAAAATTCATTACAGGCCGGGCACGGTGGCTCGTGCCTGTAATCCCAGCACTTTGGGAGGCTGAGGCGGGCAGAACACGAGATCAGGAGATCGAGACCATGCTGGCTAACACGGTGAAACCCCGTCTCTAGGGAGGCTGAGGGAGGAGAATAGCGTGAACCCGGGAGGCGGAGTTAGCAGTGAGCGAAGATCGCGCCACTGCATTCCAGCCTGGCGGCAGAGCGAGACTGTCTCCAAAAAAAAAAAAAAAAGCTTTACAATGGAATACTTTAAAAATATTAAATTAGGAGAAGATGTTTTTGATCTACATCACAATGTACTTACACCAAGAATATGTAAAGTATTGCTATGATTAATAAGAAAGAAAACTCAGCTTTAAAAAATAAAATTTTTAAAAGTATCATACATGTATTAAATCATAAAATGATGTGATAAAAATGAATTTCTGTTCAATTAAATTGAGAGATTCATTTTAAAATTCTGAGATACAATTTTATTATGTTATTCAACACGTTTTAAAGATCTAGGTATTTGTTCTCATGCTGCTAATAAGGACATACTTGAGACTGTGTAATTTACAAAGGAAACAGGTTTAATTGACTCACAGTTCAGCATGGTGGGGGAGGCCTCAGGAAACTTACAATCATGGTGGAAAAGGAAGCAACCATGTCCTTCACATGGCAGCAACAAAGAGAAGTGCAGAGCAAAAGGGGGAAAAGCCTGCTATAAAACCATCAGATCTCCTGAGAACTCACTATCACCAGAACAGCAGCATGGGAGTAACGGACCTCATGATTCAATCACCTCACACTGCGTCCCTCCCACTACATTTGCGGATTATGGGAACTACAATTCAAGATGAGATTTGGCTGGGAACGCAGCCAAACCATATCAATCTACAATATTAAATTTCAGGTTGGTGCAAAAGTAATGCATTTTTTGCCATTGCAGATAACAGCAAAAACCACAATTACTTTTGCACCAACCTAATATTCACAAGTAAGCACAGCAAGGAGAGCTTTTATACACAGCTATGTAAAGAGTAGGCTAGGAAATGTTCTTGGAATAATACTTTAACAACTCTTAGTAAAGTGGAGCAATTCCATTTATAAGTATTTGGTTGAGATAAATTTATGCATGTGTATTCTGTTGAAAGCACAATATAATTCATAGTGCCATTGTTTATCTTAGTAACATACTGAGGATATCCCAATATCCATCAAGACTAGAATGAGAAGACATTTTGGCTATATTGATACAGTAGAGTAGTATTCAGAACTGAAAATGAACTATATAAAACTATACAGAGCAACAAGGTGAAAATAACAGAATACATAAAGTATGATTGAACTTACACAAAATTTAAAGCCATGCCATACCTAACAATGAATGCCTCAGAAAAAAATGCATGAGTGAAAAACTGAAAAAAATCAGAATGATTAAAGGAAAAAGAAGGATAGTGTTTAACCCTGGTGAGGAGGAAGAATATATTATCAGAGAAAGGGACTGACATCAACATAAGGGATCTCTTAATTTGGATGAGGAATTCCTTGGTGTTCATTTTATTCTTATTAACAACACTAGGTTTTATATAGCTGTGTGTGTGTGTGTGTGTGTGTGTGTGTGTGTTTAGTGTGTTTACCATCATTATAGACTTGGCCAAGTTAAAAAGACCGCTTTCCAAAAGAGTTAGAATCAGACAATGCTCAATTTTAGTAGCACCTTTGGTTGTCCATTTTCAAATATATGCTGCAGAATTAAATTATACTATGTATTCTCTTAATGAAGATGGGGTGAAGAAGCTCAATCATATATTGATTTTTTTCTTTGTATTTCTTTGATCTTCCTATTGGCAGGACTTGGAACTAATAGCTTTAGGGATGGAAGAACACAATTTGGCAAACGTAACACTTACTCAAATATCATAGATTTGGAGTTTAAAATTGAACTCACGCATATCGAGGTTCAAGTTCCATTTGTTAGTAGAGAAAATCAATTTCTCGTTCAAGAGACGAGGCTTATTTTTGCTAAGATTTCAAAAGGATTTAACACATTCTGTGTGAAAAATAAATATTTGAGTAATTGAGTTAGTAAATACTCAAATATTGATAAAATTACTCAATAATTAATAATTCCTCAAATAAGGAAAAAATAAAAGTATTCTCCAATTTTAAAGTACCCAATGCATCTCTCATACTACTAAGGACTTATGATCTGATTAAAGTCCAGCAGTCAGTTGCCTATACCTTAATGAAGACCACTGGCATTGGAGGAAAGTAAAAATGGACATTTTAGATTGTAATTTTCATTTCCAAGCTCTAGCCCCCAAATCATCAAATATTAAAAGAATATAATATATCTCAAATGTATCTAAAATACCATTTTATATATCTCATTATATCTCAAATGGTATTTTGGATACATTTGAGATATATTTGAGACATATTGTATTCCAAACACAAAAGAAAAGCATCTTGTAATTTAATATTCAACAAAAATATTCAATTGTTGAGGCAATTGAACACAGAAAGTAGCTACTTTTATTATTATTATTATACTTTAAGTTTTAGGATGCATGTGCACAATGTGCAGGTTTGGTACATATGTATACATGTGCCATGTTGCTGTGCTGCACCCATTAACTCATCATTTAGCATTAGGTATATCCCCTAATGCTATCCCTCCCCACTCCCCCCACCCCACAACAGTCCCTGGAGTGTGATGTTCCCCTTCCTGTGTCCATGTGTTCTCATTGTTCAGTTCCCACCTATGAGTGAGAACATGCGGTGTTTGGTTTTTAGTCCTTGCGATAGTTTGCGAGAATGATGGTTTCCAGTTTCATCCATGTCCCTAAAAAGGACATGAACTCTTCATTTTTTATGGCTGCATAGTATTCCATGGTGTATATGTGCTACATTTTCTTAATCCAGTCTATCGTTGTTAGACATTTGGGTTGGTTCCAAGTCTTTGCTATTGTGAATAGTGCCGCAATAAACATACGTGTGCATGTGTCTTTATAGCAGCATGATTTATAATCCTTTGGGTATACACCCAGTAATGGGATGGCTGGGTCAAATGGTATTTCTAGTTCTAGATCCCTGAGGAATCACCACACTGACTTCCACAATGGTTGAACTAGTTTACAGTCCCACCAACAGTGTAAAAGTGTTCCTATTTCTCCACATCCTCTCCAGCACCTGTTGTTTCCTGGCTTTTTAATGATCACCATTCTAACTGGTGTGAGATACAAGCAATGGGGAAAGGATTCCCTATTTAACAAATGGTGCTGGGAAAACTGTTTAGCCATATGTAGAAAGCTGAAACTGGATCCCTTCCTTAAACCTTATACAAAAATTAATTCAAGATGGATTAAAGACTTACATGTTAGACCTAAAACCATAAAAACCCTAGAAGAAAACCTAGGCAATACCATTCAGGACATAGGCATGGGCAAGGACTTCATGTCTAAAACACCAAAAGCAATGGCAACAAAAGCCAAAATTGACAAATGGGATCTAATTAAACTAAAGAGCTTCTGCACAGCAAAAGAAACTATCATCAGAGTGAACAGGCAACCTACAAAATGGGAGAAAATTTTCGCAACCTACTCATCTGACAAAGGGCTAATATCCAGAATCTACAATGAACTCAAACAAATTTACAAGAAAAAAACAAACAACCCCATCAACAATTGGGCGAAGGATATGAACAGGCACTTCTCAAAAGAAGACATTTATGCAGCCAAAAAACACATGAAAAAATGCTCATCATCACTGGCCATCAGAGAAATGCAAATAAAAACCACAATGAAAGTAACTATTTTTAATTCAAAAGTAAAATTAGTAAGCAATTCAAAAAACATTTAAGTCATTCTTAGGAGTGCATAACAAATAAGAAATTCAAAGTTGTCACTCTTTTCCCATAGAAAACTATGTAGTTCTAATAATTATGTTTATTTCTCCAGTATGTTCTTCTGTGCTTTACAATGTTTTCAATATTAAAGCCTCTCAAAGGCTTTAAACAATGACTTTTGTGCTCACAAACTTAGGATATTGAATTCTTATTAATACCACTTAGATGTATCTATAGGGTACTTACCCAAAGAAATCATTCATGGCTATAACCTAAGGACTGAAGAAACATTTCAGCCTAGAAAAAAAAAAGAAATGGTCAAGATCCGTGAAGGAGGGAAACTGAACAGCAGCTCAAACCTGAAAATTCAATTTCTAAAACCTTAAGATAGAAAACTGATCTAGGGAAAGTATTTTAAAGCATAAAATCTCAGCAAGTTAAGACTGTAGAAAAATTAATATTCTTAAACCCTAGGCACTTGACTCAGGAAAAACCCAGATAGCTATAAGACAGGGGGTTAAATCTGATATCAAGTATTAATAATATAAAATTGAATGAGTCCCTTGATCAACAATCATTTAGTGATTGTCTCCTAGTGCAATGGATTATGTTAAACTTAGGGATTCTAAGGACAAAATTCAAACTTTGCCCTCAAAAGAATGATGGATTTTTTTTGGTAAATAATTTCCCCCATTCACAATATAGAAACTAATAGAACTAATAAGAACTAATATGCAGAGTGATTTAAAAATATAAATCAAAGCTCTAACTCATTCTGAGCTAGAGGGTTAAAAATAAAAATATGAGCCTCGAAGTACAAGTATAATGGTGTCCACAGGTAAGACATGAAAATTATTACTGCTACTGCTAAGAGTATCCACAAAGGACAAGAAGGTAGAAGAAAAAGTAGCCAGGAATGGGTCATTAAGAGAAAGGGGGAAACATTTGGGAACATGACAGATGATAAGCCTAAAATTATAGGACCAAAATATAAAGGTTTTGTTTGAAATGTTACAGGCTTTTACGTTTATTTGGAAAGCAATGTGAAATTCCTGAATACATCTATGTAAGGAGAGAAAATGATTTGATTATGATATTAAAGAGATGACTCTGTCAGCAATATGGATATCCAGTTTGTACTTAGGAAGACTCTAAGATGGAGAAAATATTTACAGCTGTTCCCAGCAAGAAATAATGTGGTCTTCAGAAAAAGATGGAAATAAACACATTTTAAAATAAATTTTGAAGGCAAAATCAATAAGATCTAGTAAAATTTTTAATATGGGGAAAGAGACAATATAAAGTGAAGGATGATTTCAGGTTTGTGACTTACTTGTTAAGAAAGTTAAACATATTTCCCCTAACCCTGTCCCACTCAATTTAATACATGGTCCAATACACAGGAGTTCACTCAGTGAAGTATACAATTTGATAGAATAGGAGAATTACAACTTACAGCCAAATCGATGCAGCATATTCTGTGATTCACAGAAACACATTATTAAAGTTATCAGCATGTTACCGGCCTTGCAGGTATTTAGACTAATGTGCTGTCAATGAGAGCAGACCCAAATATTCTAGAGTTTCATTCCCTGTGATATAAATTGAAATAGGTAGCACATATTATGCCCTTATTGTGTGCCATAAACTATTCTAATCTCTTTACATCCATTAACATATTTAATTCTCTACACATCCCTACTAGGTAAGTACTATTATCTTCTCCATTTGATACATGAAGTAACTAAGACATAATGAAATTACAAAGTCTTCCAAAAGCATGTGACTGCTACCAGAATTCAAGCCTAGCCAACCAGTCTGCAGTGTTTTTTCCTTGCTCTTCATACTTAGTTCCTTTGATTTGCATGCATATATATATGTGTTTCTTTGTCTAAGAGAATTTTAATGAGTAAAAGTGATAAATTCACAGTGATAAAGATAGTAAGGAATGTCATGACTCCTGAACTATCAGCCACAGCTTTAAATTTCTTTTTCATTTCAGTTTATTGATGAAATTGTTACTCAGTAGATAAATGCAGTTTAAGTATCATCAGACAAACAGTGCATAATAATCTCACTTATATGTGAAAGTAGAACTCACAGAAGTGGAGGGTAGAAAAGTGGTTATCAGGGACTGGGGGAGTGGAGAATGGGAAATGCAGAAGATTTTGGTTAAAGGATACGAAATTTATTCATTTATTTATTTTGATACAAAGTCTCACTCTGTGACACAGGCTGGAGTGCTGTGGCATGATCTTGGCTCACTGCAGCCTCCACCTCTCGGGATCAAGCAATTCTCGTGCCATAGCCTCCCGAGTAGCAGGGATTACAGGTGTGCACCACCATGCCCAGCTAATTTTTGTATTTTTAGTAGAGATAGAGTTTTGCTATATTGTCCAGGCTGGTCTTGAATTCTTGGCCTCATGTGATCCTGCCTTGGCCTTCCAAAGTGCTGGGATTGTAGGCATGAGCCACCGTGCCTGGCCAAAAGACATAAAATTTAAATTAGAGAGGAGGAGTAAGTTCACGAGATCTATTGTGCAACATGATAACTATAGTTAATAGAAATGTATTGTGTATTTAAAGATTGCTCATAGTAGATCTCAAATGTTCTCATTACAAAAATAAAATGATAGTTGTCAGGTACTAAATATGCTAACTAGCTTGATTTCACCATCCATAATATAAACATGTATCAAAACATACATATTTATGTATATATCATAACTATATAAAATTTCCTTTTTCAATTAAAAAAATAAATATTTAAAAAGTATAACCAGAAAATCTGAAGCTGAACACCTTTCCCATTCTAAGTGGCAAGGAAAGATAGAAAAGACCACTTGTGTTTAAAGAAATACACTTGCAAAAACTGGAAAAGTCAATAATTGCTAGATGTTACAAAAGTATCCAAATTTAAGTGAATTTCACACCATGGAAAGCCATTTTCCACTAGGTGACAAAGTGGTTCTGCTATGGTTATATTTGTATAAATCAAAATTCAGTAACAATTGACAACCCTAGGGACACGGAATATTTCTTTTTGCTTTTGCAACAGAGGCATCACAAATTACATGTATTTTATCTAATTTGAGGTGAATTCTTGCAGACTTGATACAGCAGTCTTGGAATGTTTGCAGATTTATTCCAATTATATTTCTGCCCTGGAGTAGGAAGATGTCTTAAAAAATAGATGGTAGCATCATGTTGGAAAATGTGATATTGGTTTTAAAAAGTTAAGAAATTTGATTTTTTTTTTTACCTTGTATTATTGGGAATAGCCCTGAAAAAGCCTTGTGCCTGAATTTCCAATCTTCAGAAATCATTTGTCATTCAGTTTTCAGTCGTACTTTCAAAGAAAGAAAATGTTAATAAATCACTAGAAACTTTCAGATTAGTGCTAACAAATGCTTCTCCTTCACTTCTCAGCAAAAATGATGCAAACTTCTTAGGTGATTTAATTTCATTATTGCAAAGAGATAGTTTTAATCCACTTCTGAGAGGGATGGGAATATTGATACGATGCAAAAGATAGAAACGTAGTGGAGAACTATGATAGCCACAGGGAAAAGCTGCCGCAGGGCCATTTGTGCTTCCACTGAATCCAACGCTCTTAGACTGAAGTCAGTGTCTTAATTAATTCAGTAGCATGTGGCAATTCAGCCTCTAAGAAGGCTGATTCTGAATCTGTATCTGATAAAATAAACCCAGAGGCTGGCTGCACTCTTCTTGAAAAAAAAAAGATGGTTTTAGGAATCATTGCAATCTTAAGTAGATTTGAGAAATTCCAGCTTAAAATTATCAAAGTTATACCAGTTTTACTTAGCATGTTCTGGAGAAGCCTGGCATAATAAATAAATAGCATAATTTCATGTTGTTTATAACTTCTAGTAAGCAATTTGAGATCTGTGACAACAGATGTTTAGCAAAAATCACAATGACTTTTGTACCAACCAAATATATAGTCTTAATAAATATCAATTTTTTAAGAGGCCATTTTGCCATTTTTGAGGTCTCCACAGATAATCAGAGCTACTAGCTGCAAAATATTATTAGTTTCTTGCTCTCCTTAATACTTAAAAAAGATAGGTTTCTTTTTCATACCAACAATGACAACTGGATAAAACATTAAACATTGTTTATGTATTCTTTTCCTAGGATATAACCCTACATCCTAAATCACAATAAATAAATTTGGTTTATACTTCATTGAGCCAAGAACATTGTGATATGGTTTGGCTTTGTCCCTAACCAAATTATCATCTTCAATTGTGGTTCCCATAATCCCCACATGTCACGGGATGGTCCCCATGGGTGGTAGTTGAATCATGGGGGTGGTTCCCCCCATGTTGTTCTCATGATAGTGAGTTCTCACGAGATCTGATGGTTTTATAAAGGACTTTCCACCTTTTGCTTGGCACTTCTATCTCCTGCCACCTTCTGACGAAGGACATGTTTACTTTCCCTTCCACCATGATTGTAAGTTTCCTGAGGCCTCCACAGCCATGCAGAACTGTGAGTCAATTAAACCTCTTTCCTTTATATTACCCAGTCTTGGGTATGTCTTCATTAGCAGTGTGAGAACGGATTAATATATATTCCTTGAACACTCTGTCTTTCTCCATCTCCACATTCAAATGTTTTGTTTCTCAAAATCTGTGTTTATCAAAGAATGATACCATTTTGGAACTGGAGATAATAAAGAGACCAACATTAGAAGATGCTTTTAGAGTTACTGTTGGCAAAACTGTACTGAAATTTTGGGTAAAATAATATCTCAAAGAAATAAAAATCAGTGGCCTCCTTCAGACATTCTCTTTGTAAGAGGATTCCATTTTCTTACAAAATAAAGAAATATAGTCTGCCTTTTAACTAAAGAGAATTATTTCACTCATTGTTCAAGGGACTTTTAACAAATAAGTCTTATTTATTATAGAAGACTGTGCACAGTACTACAAAATTATAAGAAAATAAAAACTTTTCTACAATGGTAATCAAGTAAAAAAGATGATTTTAATACACAAAATAATAATTAAATTACAAAATAGAATATAAATGGCATTAAAGCATAGAACTAAAAGTTCTATGAATGTCTCAAAAAGGAACAATAGCTCTTGGGGTCTTTCCCAAGGTAATACCTGTATTGAATTTGCCCTTCAAAATTCAGGGAAAAGCATTCCAGGACAAAGTAATAAATTAAAACAGAGGTTTGTGTACCAGAAAAACAAAGATAAGAGGTCTTTAAACTTTGCTCGTTTATCACAGTGGGTGTGTGTTTATCACATAAGGAATGTGAAGGGAATGTTTATATCAGAGAGTTAGTAAGAGTATGAAGAATTTGAAATTAACAAGAAATGAAAAGCCACTGTATGTGTGTTTTTATGTGTACATATATATCTATGCTGAGTGGTGAAGAGGCTTGATAAAGGTTATAATACTAAGAAGTACCAAGCATTAATTTGGTAAATATATAGATCAAATTAGATGAGAGGTAACAGACAAGAACATATCAAGGAAGCTATGTCATAATAATAATTAGTATAATAACAATGAATTTGACAAAGGAAAAAAAGTCAAGAGAGCCATAATGGATGTGGAGAGCCAGAGGAAAAAGTACATGTTTGATGAGATGGGAATAGTGAAGTATTGCTCAAATATTATGTTTTAACTTGACATTAAGTCATCACTTTTTTATAAATATAAAGCTTTTAAACATATGACTATAGGCACATAAAGAGAAATCCATATGTACAGTGAAGCTTAAAATAATACTGTCTATAAGATTGCATTATTAGTTACATTTGTTCTCCATTACTGACATTAATTAGGTTTTGACTAAATCATTAGAACTATTATATTTACGTATGACTACTAGAGAATATTAGAAAAAAAGTATTCCCCCATGATTTTAGTCTTACTCACTGTTTCCAATTTAAAATCATCACAGGTCAAACTGTATGGAAATAGTCAACCTTCCCCCTCAAGTCAGCAATAGTATTAGAATCAGAAAATTGACATCACCTAGTGAATAGGGTCAAGTGCTGCAGTAGCAGCAAATTTAACACATATATTCAAACTCTAGATGTCAATGGTACAAAAATATCATCAACCAAGCTGTCTTCTTTTACAAATAAGATAACTGCTAGTTTTTTTTAATTACTATTCTTTGGTGGCCTTATATAACAAGTTCAATGACCTAAGTTCTGACCTTACAATTCAGACACACTGCAGAAGGAAGATACCAAAGACATACAACAGTTTCCAGACATAAAATTCACTTTCACCTTAAATTAACAGGATATGGAGGACATTAACCAGTATGTGACCCTGAGATAATGATTTGATATCACTTATGCTTGCTTTATGAAAATATATTAGGGAACAGCTAGAATGTCTTATCAACCTCTGAGCAAATAAAGAGAAGGTTCTCAGGGAAGACTATTTCAACCTAGTGTTGAAAAGCAATTTGAAGTTAATCGCCCAATCTTGAGACAGGATTACTAGTTCCTCAGTCTCCAGGGCAGAAGTCGAATCTTAATGGAGAAGGGATATTACTCCAGAAGGAAGTATAATGACTGTCCTTGGTGAGTCTGTGATTGCGGAAGCAATGATCGGTTAAGTGACGCGTAATCCTCCAGAGAGGAACTCTCTGATCCAGAACTTCGTAATGAAAGTTAGATCAGGGACAGAACCATCTAAGTTCCCTCCCTTGCTAATATTTCTAAAGCTCAGAGAAGATTCAGAAACAGGTGTTCTTCAAGCTGAAGAAATTCTCATAATGAATGAGCACAATCACCACAAGGACATGATACAATGGGCTAAGTAGAAGCAAGTATCCACAAAGGGCTATCAGGTTTGTAGTTGACCCTTGAACAACATGGGTGAACATGCTGACCTCCACACCATCAAAAATATGCATATAACTTTTAAGTCCTCCCAAACTTCACTATTAATAGCCTATCATTGACCAGAAGCCTAACCTATACTATAAACAGCATATTAACAAATATTTTATATGTTATATGTATTGTATACTGTATTCTTATAATAAAGTAAGCTAGAGAAAAGAAAATGTTATTAAGACAATCATAAGCAAGAGAAAATATACTTACTGTTCACTAAATTAAAGGGAATCACCCTAAAGGTATTCATCCTCATTGTGATTAGTCTGAAGAGGAGGAGGAAAAGGAAGGATTTATCTTGGTGACTCAGGGATGGCAGAGAAAAAAAATCACACATAATGGTACCTGTGCAATTCAAACCTGTGTTCTTCAAGCATCTACTATATATTTATATGTATGTAAACTATACATATTTTATATATATGTTAAATATATTTAATCAATCCAGTGGGAGCAGAAGCCAGTGACATTTTGGATACATAGGAAATATTGTATAATTGCATGCTACGTAACAGTAAATGAACTTTAAGAAAGTTTCATTTTGATGCACTGTTGCTAATATGTGTTGAAGTTTTGCTTGGTTTTAATTCTGTTTCTTGCCTGCTGCCATGTAAGATGTGCCTTTCACCTTCCGTCATGATTGTGAGGAAGGTGAAAGATTACAGGAAAGTCATCTTGACCCAGAACCCAAGAGAGGGTTCTTGTATCTCGTGCAAGAAAGAATTCAGGTGAGTCCACAGTGCAAAGCAAAAGCAAGTTTATTAAGAACATCAAGTCGTGAAAGTACAGCTACTCCATAGACAGAGTAGGGCATTCCCAAAGTCAGAGGAGGAACGCATCCACCTTAAGTACAATACTAGATTATATATCAAACAAAAAAAGATCATGGGGAGATGTGCTTTGCTACAAGGGTTTGTAATAAAGGATTCATTTTCTTTTCTTTTCTTTTTTTGAGATGAAGTCTCACTCTGTCACCCAGGCTGGAGCGCAGTGGCGCGATCTCGGCTCACTGCAACCTCTGTCACCCAGGCCGGAGAGCAGTGGCACGATCTTGGCTCACTGCAACCTCTGCCTCCTGAGTTTAAGTGATTCTCCTGCCTCAGTTTCCCAAGTAGCTGGGATTACAGGCAAGCACCACCATGCCTGGCTAATTTTTGTATTTTGTGTAGAGATGGGGTTTCACCATGTTGGCCAGGCTGGTCTTGAACTCCTGACCTCAAGTGATCCACCCACCTTGGCCTCCCAAAGTGCTGGGATTACAGGTGCGAGCCAAGGCACCCAGCCAATTTTCTTAATTACTGTATTTTGCAAGAATTGATGTTATTATCTCTAAAGCAAAATTAGGAATGCTTCTGTTCTCAAGATATCGGGATATCTGGACACTCTGTTTAGTAAACGTTATCAATCTTCTCCCTGAACCGTAAACATCTAGAGGCTAGAAATATCTAAGTTTCTGGGAATGCAGCCCAGCGAGTCTCAGCCTCATTTTCCTAGCCCTCACTCAATATGGAGTCACTCTGATTCCAACATTTCTGACAATTTTACCTCTTCTCTTTTTCTAAGATTAGTTGACTCAATTTATGTGAGTTTATTCTTGGATTCTCCATTTTGTTCCAATAAACTTTTGTCTATTCTTCCACCAATAACACATTGTCTTCTTTACTGTAGCTTTATCATTACTTATAATTTTGACAAATATTTTTCAGCACTTACTGTGAGACAGGTATTATAATATGAGTTTTTGGTAACACTGGAGGCAAAATCAGACAAGCACTTTGAACTCATGGATATAAAAATTCAGTTGGGAAAATAGATATTAATCAACAAATCTTACAAGTGAAGTAAAAAAACTCACATTGAAGAAGTGCTACCAAAAATTGTGAGAGCGGGGAAGGGGAAAATTGCATTATTCAAATATTTGAGTTAGTTATTATTAACCAGAGATCAAAATGAAGAATATTTTTAACAATGTATAGGAGAATGATGTGGATAAAATTAGAAATAATTTCTAGACAGCACATGTTCAGGCTTTGTGTAGGAGGAAACATGATGTAATTGAGGAACAAATCGAAAACCTGGGCAAGCCAATGGGACAATGGGATACAGAGGGCAAGGTAAAACTGAACACAAAATCTTGTTGTAAGTAGACAGTGATCAGAGCAAGAGAACTTTATATTCATGTTAAGGACTTTTATATTTATATTGAAAGCTTTTTATATTTACACTAAGGATCAATGGTAAGCTACTTTGAAGTTTTAAGCAAGGTGTGGGTACGGGGATGAGGTGAATTTGAACATATTGTTCATTTTAAATATATCTCTATGATATAAGCTTTCAAAGGAGTGCTTGAAGGTGAGGGCAAGGAGAGATGTTTGGAAAGAACTAAGAGGTTACTGTAGTAGTTCAAATGGGAGATTATGACAATGTATAGAACAGAATGGTGGTGAAAAGAGAAAAGTGGGT
Organism: Homo sapiens; assembly: GCF_000001405.40. NCBI lineage: Eukaryota > Metazoa > Chordata > Mammalia > Primates > Hominidae > Homo > Homo sapiens. Next base: position 18,778,830 of record NC_000021.9, on the reverse strand, counting down.
AGATCCAAGACATGGTAAGAAGGTCAAACAGGTGGAGATTTGCAAAGAATTGTGGGGTAAAGTGGATTTCAGTTGTCTGATTTATATGACTGCTTAAATGGTCATGGCATTACACATGAAGTTTGGGACCACCAAGAGGAAGGTAAAGCTTAGAAGGTAATATAATGGTTGTGATTTCTGTCATCTTACATTTGAGAAAATCTTGAGAAATTTAAGGGTGCCAAGCTATCTTTGGAAATAGGGGAATAAAGAAATAAAACAAAATACTGGGAGACTGAGGCGGGCAGATCACTTGAGGCTAGGAGTTCAAGAACAGCCTGGCCAACATGGTGAAACCTCATCTCTACTAAAAATACAAAAATTAGCCAGGTGTGGTGGCAGGCACCTGTAATCCCAGCTATTCAGGTGGCTGAGGCAGGAGAATCACTTGAACCTGGGAGGTGGAGGTTGCAGTGAGCTGAGATTGCACCACTGCCCTCCTGCCTGGGAGACAGAGCAAGATGCTGTCTCAAAAAAAATAAAATGCTATTAATAAGCTAGGGAAATAGTTCTTTACGGATAATTTTGATTACATTTCCATTGGGCCTAGATGGAGATAACATTAAATAAATCAATGTGAATACTGATAAATAAGAATCTATAAATAGTGGATACCATTCTAAGAAGAGAGACCACTATGCTTATGGAATGATTAGCAGAAACGGCTTTGCAGAAATAGGGGACAATTTATCTTGAAAGGGCCAGTTAAAGTCAGCATTTGTTAAGAATTCAATACAATGCCTGGTTATTATTCCATAGAGACTAGAGTCATAATGTTTGTTAAACAATGGAAGGAAAAATATCAGATTAGTATTTCACAGAGATAATTGTACCTGTAGTGTAGAACAACAGTTCCCAAATTGTGGACTGTAGACTTGTGAGTATCTGAAAACTTTCAAAGGATCTGCAAGGTCAAAATTACTGTAAGATGTTTCTTGCCTTTTTCACTGTGTTAATATTTGCAGTAATGTTGCAAAAGCAATGATGAATAAAACTGCTTGTGCCTTAACATGAATCAAAGCGGTTGCACTAAATTATATGAGTAGCCATTATATTCTTCCTCATTATAAATGCTTAGTAGGAAAAAACAGAAACAAAAGCTGCCATTTTACCTGAAAAGTTCCTAAAAGCAGCAGAAATAAATTATTAATTTTATTTAATCTCAACTTTGGGTACACATCTTTGAATGTTACGTGTCACAAAATGAGAAGTATGTGTAAAGTACAGGGTGCAGACCAATATATCACTGTTGTATTGAGAAAAAGCACCTGTATATAACTTTTTAGTTGTAAGATGGATTAGCTGCTTGTGCAGGAAAGCAATAATACATACGGCAGATCTGACTACTTTTCCTTAGAAAGGTCTGCTTGCAATGCTGGCCCTTGGATGCCATCTGGGAACTTGAATTTAGTCTATGTTCCCACCATTCCCCAAATCTTTGTACAAACAATGTGATTTATGCTGTACTCTTGATTTCACTCTGGGCATCCGGAATTTTGATACGTGCTAGGCAGAAGTTGCCTACATAACCAGCTCCCAATAAAAACCTCGGGTGTTGAGACTGAATGAGCTTTTCTGGTAGACAACACTTCCCACATGTCACAGCTCATTACTGGAGGACTTAAGTACATCCTGGCAGCTTTTGCCTGGTCTCCTCCAGATTTTGCTTCTTGAGCCTTCCCCCTTGGCTGACTTTGCTTTGTTTCCTTTTGCTGGAATGCATCTTAGCATTGAATATGACTATATGCTAATTTCTGTAAATCACAAACTTAGGGGTAATCTTGGGGACTCCTGACACTTTACTGTTTTTATAAAATACCCTTTACTAGAAAGAACGACTGACAAACTATGATAGTTCAAATATGGCCATTCTGAAGAACACTTTCTCAAAAATAAGTGATACTGTAACTTTGAAGTAAACAACTTAAAGTATTTGTTGCTAATAATAACATTTGAGCTTTCAAGTGAAAAAAATTGGAAAATTAGTATTCACCACCAAGAACGTGACATTTCTCATACTTAATACTTTTCTGATCATATTGTTATTGAACTTAATAAAAATGAACCTGATTTTGATATTGTATAATAAAACATTTCAATATTTGGGATATCTACACAACTCAGGGAACCAGCATTTTCTAAATACCCGTGTATAATGCAGCAAATTCACAGGCAGGTAAGAGTCAAAGCACAGATGTATCAACAGATCCTAATGTAAGAGGGTAAATGTTTGTTGATCTGCTTTCTAATTCCACATTGCAAATAATTATTAGCAAACTACCACTTATTGAGTTTTGATGTTATATCAAAGAAGAATATTGACAGTAATCTGAAAAGGATATTAAAAAGGAAAAACAGCTTTTCAAACTAGGTATTTGTGTAGAGCCATACATGATATCCTTAAGTGGAACACAGAAGCATATATGAGAATCCATTTTTCCTCTAAGTAAAAATGTTTAAGTAATACCTCTCTTCTCCTCATGTTTTGTATTAAACATATAGTTATTTTATAAAAATATGATATCATGTTTATATGTAATGGAATTTTAATGTCTATTTTAAGATAAATTAATATAAATAGATATTTCTTAGTTATTCTCTCTAATGCAGCATATATCAGTGGGTGGAATCTACATTTAAAAAGCTCTTTGAGGTCTTTAATAGCTTATAAGATTATAAATGAGTCCTGAGACCAAAAAGATGGGAATTATTGGTAACAAAGACTAGAAATACTGGTATCTGGAAGGGAAGTTAAGGGATTATTACAATATTCCCAATGGTGACAAAGAGGAATTTAAATTAGGGAATCATAATAAGCTAGGAAAGAAAAACTGATTTAGAACATTCCATAGTTAAAAATAACCAACCTAGATAACTGAATAAATGTCTGAGTAGAAGAAAAGGGAAAAGTTGAACAAGGCCAAGTTTGTGAGTCTGTGTGATGAAGTGGATTTCATCAGCATTGTTATGTGACAAAGAGAGACATGTTTAAGGTCAAAACAAGGAGCTATTAATGGATAACAGAATGTATGGAGTCACTGTACATTCTTTCTAAGTACTTTCATCACAGAACTTGGAAACTTTGTCATTATTCTCTACTTCAAAGATTGATTTTTTATTACAGCCATCAGTCATCAACTTTTATAATTATATTAGGTAAATTATCATTGCAAGGGTAAGCAGGAAGTTTGAACAAAATGGTTATGTATGACTGACTATACTACTTATTGCTCTTGAGCTTGGACCCCCAATCCAGTCAATCATTAAAGTTAGTTCCCATCTGGTAAATATTATTGGTGTATTTTTTTGTTATTTTTAGAAATAACTGGTGATACATCATCACTGAAACACTGTTGATTATGATTAATTAATACTTGTAGCTCAAGGCAATTCTAACCATAGGAGTTAAGTATTTTTCTATCCCTGGAAACAAGGCTTTCACAAAGCCTAGTTTTACTTTTTAAGTCCAAATGGCTGAAAGTTATTTGTGCATAAAATTGCATCAATAAATATGGACAGACCCGGGTAATTTTTGGAGTGTCAGGATCACAAATAATCTCTTTTAAGAAACATCAGTAATGGAGGATTTTTGGGGGGCTGCTTCACCAGCTGGAGACCTCTGCTGCCAGCAGTGCCCCTGCTCAGGCCTCCCATTGCTCCAGGAGCAGGAGGGAGGGTTATAGTGTTATAGCCCTTTTCACACCTGTGGGTCCTGAGTTTTTGTCCTGTATCCAAGAAGAATGAATTTACGTGGACAACTGGAGGGTCAGCAAGGCAAAGAGTTTTATTGAGCCACAGAACAGCTCTCAGTAGAGAGGGGAGCTAAAGTGGCAGTACCCTAGCTGAAGACAGGTGGTCCTCCACCTGAAGGCAGGTAGTCCCCTAAGTGTGGCTGAGTCCAGGGTTTTTACGGGCTCTGAATGGGGGAGTGCATGGTGATTGGTTTGTGAGTAAGCAAAAATGGCTAAAAAAATGTACCACTCAAAGATGGGCATGGCAATGTAGAAAATCAATTAGGGAAGGGTAGGTATATGTAAAATCGGTGAAGGGAGGGGATCAATCAGAGGAAAATGCACCAAATGGGAAGAGAGGTTCTCAGTTCAGTCCATGGATTTTTTTCTAGACTTGTAGCTTGGTTTTTAGGTTTTCCACTGTTTTTGCCTTGAAAGTTGGGTTTCACTGGGGGCCTGTCCCTATATGCCTAGGAATTTGTGTGCCTCCTGTCACTATCATCACATCATAAGATTTCTTAAAGTTCACATGCCTTGCGATTATATGTGAAGCTATAGAAGAGTTTTTAAAAAGTTGTTTTTGTTAACACATGATGTGCTATAACTTCCAGTACCTTAGAAAGTGCCTATAGATATTTTGTCTATATGCCTACCAATCTTGTCATCTTGATTGATGTATAAAATTAAAAGAATTGGGAGGGAGTAGATTGCTAGAAATAAGAAAGATCAATAAATTAAAATATACTGCTCTAATATAAACTTTATGGAATGCCATTAGCATTTCTATCATTATTCAATAAAACTGTCATCTTAAATATTGTATCTTTGGAATAATAATTAAAAACTAATATAGTAAGCAGTTCAAAATGTTTTTTGCTAATTTCTGTGTAACATGATTTAGTGGATCATGTAACGTTATTACAACAGATTATTATTACAATTTAAAGTAAACAACCCTTAAAACAATTGCTGACTGTGTGTGCACACCAGTACATACATAGATAGTAGTGCCCCCTTATTTATATATGTTCCAAGACCTCCAGTGGATGCCTGAAACTAAGGATAGTACTGAACCATATATATACTATGCACTCATTTATTTTTCCTTCTTCACAGTTTCAGGGATAAAAGATTTGTTCTTACCACAGGTGCTAGCAACCTCTGCATACAATTTTTTTCTTTTCTTATTAAGTTAAGAACTTCCACCTTTTCACTTAAAGAAAGCACTTTAGGGCTTCTCTTTGACATATCCAGATGCTGGCCTCACTACTCTTGTGTTCAGGGGCATTAGTAAGTAAAATAAGGGTGACTTGAACACAAGCACTGGCATATCAGTTGATCTGATCACCAAGATGGCTTCCAAGAGAATAATGAGTGGGTAGCATAAACAGTGTGGACATGCTGGACATAGGAATGACTCGCCTCCCCAGCAAGACAGAACAGGAAAATACAAGACTTCATCACACTACTTGTAACAGCAGCAATTTAAAATTTTATACATTGTTTAGTCCTGGAATTTTCTGTTTAATATTTTTGAATTACGGTTAACACAAAGTAACTGAAACTTCAGAAAGTGAAATAGCCAGTAAGGAGCAACTAACATTTCTCTGTTCTAAATGCCATTTTTTAATGCCTGCATTTCATGGATAAAAATTCAGTCATTAAAGTCATATACACACCTTAAAACATTAATATAGTGATAACATATTTATTTAAGTTGTATAATATAGTGATAACATATTTATTTAAGTTATTTAAATATTTATTTTAAATAAATACTAGCATAAAACATCAAAAACACATCAAATTCCATGTAAAAATCAAGGTCTATAAAATTACGGAAGTGGTGAATTTTCTCTTTAGAAGTAAATTTCTAATATTATAAATATTACTGATGAGTAAGCCAACCTCAGAATCCCAGAATTACTTATTACCTAATAATTGACAAAACATAAAATTATATTCTTGGCACAGTCAAAGACATTGTGTTTAATCTGAAGTGAACTTCAGCTGCTATGGCAATACTTGTCAACTTTACTCTGAGAAAATTCAATAAAGAGTCATTAGTGAGTATAAACGGGCATTCAACTTTTTCAAATTACTTAAGATTCTTAAATGCCAACTGACATAAACCTAACTCAAACTAATTTGGGGAGAAAAATGAAGAACATTTCTTCAGAGAATTCAATGAAAATGTAACAACCAAAATACAGATGGCAGAGATGGAACAAATTTATGAACAACTGGACCAGGGACAAAAATGCAATCAGAACTCTCTTGGTACTAATTTATTTTTCTTTCAATATGCTGGCTTTACTGTCTTTCACTTTAAAGCTGTTTTCTCTAAATAGCAGGAAACATAACCAGTGAACATGCCAGTGTTTTTATGACTTATAACTTTCGTCACCATAAAGAAATTGCTTTTCTTCTAGGGTAGCATTTGAAAAACCTCAGGCAAGAACTCTGACTCAGGTAATTTGGCCAGTGCCCACTTTCAAATTAATCAAGTGTGATATGATATTCTCTCATTAGCCTCGGTTGGATCATGGAGTAAGAGACACACTTACTTATGTTTCAATGAGCTTTTCTCAGAGGCAGTAGCATTGGGGGTCCATTAATTTGAATTAGAGGCCATTGCAGAGAAGAGGGGGAAAAATGTCTTGAAGCCATTAGAATAGATATTTACTGCTTCTATATTTTTCTAATGTTTCAGAGACTTGGGCAAAATTATGTTGACACAGGCTGTCACACACCAAACATTTCTCTGGGTTTATTACGACCTGCTTTTTCAAAGATCTTATCATCTTAAAATAATACCTTAATAGTTTTTTGAAATTCCAAGGTATAACTTACGTGCACTCCATGAACTAGTTTGCTCAGTGTTCAAATAAAACCCACAATATCTTCCTTTACTTTTTAAGTTATCTTTGATGATATCGCCCCTATCCAAAGCAGTAGTTATGGCATCATTTCCTGCCAAAAGCCTCCCTGTCTGCTAGAAGAATGAATGTAGCTACTAAAGTCTTTTAACATTATTGCAAAACTTCCCGTAGTCTTGTAGAGGATGCAATATCTGTCCCATAGTGTCACATCTACCATCTCAGGCAAAGCTGCTTTGCATCAAAGCTGGTAATGCCCATCACTGTCAATATCTAATGCTGGAAAGGTGAGGATTACTCTTAGTAGTAGAGCACTAGAAGAACTTTATGTTTGACTTTAGCAGATAGAGAAAGAGGGCGTGGGAAACAAAGCAAGTGCCAGGAAAAATTCTTAGGAAAACAAAAATTCATTTAAGAAATGACAAATATAAAGCTAACTAACTGAGATATTTTGTAACTGCCAATATATAGAATGAGAAAGTAGAAAGAACCTTCAGGACTCTATGGCTTCAGAAAGGAATTGCATTTTCACAATCCTAATAAGTTAAATGATGATTTTTATTTTATTCTCAAACACTATCTCACAAAGCACAAAGATTTAAAATTAACATGGAAAATAGGTATTAATTACTTTTAAATGTAAAATAATGGCATAAATGATGGAAAATGGACGGCAGCTGGTAGAAAGAACATGAGAATAGGAGCCAAAATTTGCTTATCTAACAAAATTAAAAGTTGTAATATTATGCAGAAAATAAAAAATAAATATATTTGCATATAGTCTGGAGAAAAGAATATGGAGAAGATGTGTAGTTTAATTTAGTCTCTGATATTTCCCAACAGGCAGCTAGAATATATTATTCAAAGAAAATACACAAAAAAAGTTAATCTGAAGCAATTCTATTAAAGATATTGTGATAACAAAAGGTTGAGTTGCTGAATTTGATAGTTACTAGGAGCAGGAGCAGAGAATTGCTTGAGTATGAGTCTGTCTCTCAGTGTGTAGATTATTTTTTTTTACACAGTGTGTTTTATTTATGCACATTTCTATATTGTAAAATATAATTTAAAATTTTATGGTATAATTTACCATCAGTGGGTTTCAGCATTAAATAAACGTGACAGCAAGATAATGCAACTGCCCCATTAACTTAGCAGCTGTGCATGAACTTGCTTGAACTCCAGATCAGCAAAATCCAAGTTTATTCAAGAACTTTTGTTACACACACCTGGGAAAAGAGAGATAGACTTTCTTTGTAAGCCTTCTAATTTCTTTACATGCCTTGAACATTGATACTGCTGATGAAACTGTCACTTTATTCAATATTTGGTACCATTTATTAGTCCCTTATTTTATGCCAACATATTCCCAATTATATACTTCATATTTTATTTCATCCCCAGATCAAAGCTCTGCATACTTCCGGTGCAGAAATCTAAGCTAATATTTACTTATTTCTCTAACAAGTAGTATATTCCCTTGCAAATAAAAGACAATAGCCATCTATGGAATGTGATGGTGAAATCCAGAGAACTAGACAAAAAATGCAGTTACAGAATAATTTACATTTTCTGGCATGTTTTTATTGAAAGAATGAAGCATAATTTTCATATAGGAAAAAACTAGGAAGCTTTCAGCATTCTTGGAATCCATTCTTGATTTGTTAAATGTCTTCACCAGGAAAAAAAATGAAAATAAACATTAAGAATATAATGAAGGGAAGGGGAGGAAGAGGAGAGAATTTTAAGAGAGGAGTTGAAGTGGGAGGAGAGTAGATAAGGCACAAGAAAGCAGGAGTGAACAGTGTCAAGAGATTTGGAGAAATGGGTTACTTACCATTATATCAATACCCACTCGACACTGATCTCTCCCTCTAGAATCATTGTTACAACATACTTAACCATGCAGAAGAGTTGTATCATCCTCCAGACTTGATTTTGCTTTATTCCTACATGCCTTATTTAACTACATTATAACCTTTGTTTAATGGCAATTTTCAGAATTGTAGGACAGAAACATCATCCAAAATTCTATCGGATAGTACCACAACAAGGCCAACATAAACCTTCCATCTAGAGACTGGAGTGGTTTGAAATATCACAAGGAAATCAAGGATCACAGGGAAATCAACAACAGTGAGCTTCAGAGTCAGTGAGGGAGAGGTGCAGTCATGAATAAAAGCAACTTCGGAGCCCTTTTTTTCCTTTCATCTCCTCCCCTCCAATTTCTGACCACAGAAACATATATATATATATGGCCATTTATGCTGCCTGTGGAACTCTAATAACTGCTCCACTTAGGTGTCCTAGGGAGCTGGAGGTAGAAAATAATGACTGTCAGGCAGAAGATGTCATCCAGAAGGTCAGAGTGCAGCTTGCAAGGATTCTGCATGGGAGTGAAATGCCATCCAGTCTAGCTGCTGAGGTGCATTTAATCTAGCACCAAAGTAATTTGTCTCTAAGCAGCTTCTGCTGAAGTAAAGAAGTGCACATTATGGTACTCATGACTGAGATAGGTTCAAAGGGGAGGTGATCAAATTGCAGTTACAAACTTCCCATGAATTCCCAGCTCTCGAAATAAAACTACAGATTATGAATGGCAGGTTCATTCTATTTGTTTTTTCTTTACAAAGTCATAAACAACTGTAAAATATGTTAATGTATTACCTTCTAGGTTTATATATCATGTTATTAAAATGGTAATGTTTACAACACTTAAAATTCCTCCAACTTAAATCTAAGTGAAGGAATGCATAATGAAGAAATCAGAATGAGTGGGGTTTACACACTGATTGCCTTATGGATTTTGGTATTCTTTTTATATTAATTATATCTAATTGAAAACTACTATGTGTTAATTTGTTTTCTATTGGTATAACTGAATACTCATGGCTGAGTAACTTATAAAGAAAATAAATACATTTCTTACAGTTCTGGATGCTGGGAAGTCCATGATCGAGGGGTTGTATCTGATGAGAACCTTCTTGCGAATGGTGACTCTGCAGAGTCCCTTGGTGGTGTAAGGCATTGATTACATGGCAAGAACAGCTCACAAGAGATGGCCAAACTTGCTTACCCATTTTCATGATAACTAACCCACTCCCTCAGTACCCAGTAATCCATGAATGGATTAACCCATTTAAGAGAGCAGAGCCCTCAAAACTCATTGCCTCCTAAAAGTTCCATCTCTCAGCACTGCTGCACTGGGTACCAATTTATAACACAGGAACTTTGGGGAACAAATTCAAAACATAGCACAATATAAAATAGGTTTCTTTGTTTAGTTGACTTAGATGAGAATTCACAAATCTACTGTCATGATGTATTGATCATTAGTTTATGTGCATCTAATATCAGGTATCGATTTTCTTTTAAGATATGAGAACATTACTCTCTCAAGGGCAAAAATTAAAAAGCCTCATCCACGTATTATTTGTCTCCTTCAGTCACATAAGCAATGACTCTCTTATCTACTCCTTAGCCCCTAGCTGCTATTGGCACATGCAAATAATTGTTGTTTAAGTCTGTTACACTTAGGACAGTCAGTGGGCAAGCTTAAAGATGAAGAGTAAAGAGACGAAATAATTGGCTATGCATGTGTCTATATGAGTAGAAGTAATGCCCTTTAATAGCATCATTTCTAAATAATGTTAGTAAAATTGCAGAGAGAAAAATTGTGATTACCTAATTTTTTTTGAAAATTTTTGTATATGTATCGGCTTTATTGATTTCAGTGATTGAAAAGCACCAGATGTCTTTTGTAAAACCAGAAATAAAATTATTTGGGACTGTATCTAATAATAATAGGAATAAAAATAATAAAAGGATACAATATGTGACATTTATTAAGTGCACACAATATCCCACACATTCCTAAGTGTTTTACTTGTATTAACATTTAGGTCTACCAATGATCCTGTAAGATAGATACAATTATTAGACCCATTTATAGATGAAAAAAGTGAGGCTTATAAAACCTAAGATTAAATAACTTGCCAAAGATACCTCTGGTGTGACTACTGAGCCAGGCTATTTAATTCTGCAGTTAACTACTTCTCTTAGCAGTGATCTTAAGCCCATCACAATATTGCCACAGAGATGACACCTGTAACCCTTTGTTAAGCCTGTTATATATCATTTCATCATTTATAATTTATATATTGTCACAAATTAACATATTAATAAAGAAGATAGGCATGTGCTTTGTCAATCTAGACAAAATATGATAGCAATATTACAGATTGATATATCTATTTCAATACGTGAAGTCAAAGCTTATCATTTCACTGAGCATATAAAAATTCCAATAATGTATGAAGGCCCAATAATTGATTTAAATTAAATCCCATAGATGAGTATTTAGGCTGTTTTTGATCTTTTGCCTTTTATACATGATGTTTATTTATTTAAAAAGACTACATACATATATATTTATGCACTTGTGGATTCATTTATAAGCCACACAGCTTTTCCAGGGTTGCAATTCTAGCATCCATTTTTATTAAATACTTCAAAATGTGATTGCGGTATGTTCTATAACTAATATTTCTCATGAATAACTACTATGTGATGATTTCTTCAGCTCTTTTAGTTCAGATTATATCCTTTTAGGATTGTTATGAACTAAGTTGTATCCTTCCCAAAATTCATAGGTTGAAGTCCTAACCCACAATGTGACTGTTTTTGGAAATAGGGACTTTAAGGAATTAATCAAGTTTAAATGAGGTCATAAGGGGTGGACCCTCATCCAATAGGACTAGTGTCCTTATCAGAAAAATAAAAATATAAAACAGACATCAGGAGCACATACACAGAGAAAGACCAAGTGAGGACACAGTGAGAAGGTGGCCACCTGCAAGTCAGGAAGGAAGCCCTCACCTAGAATCCAACCTTGCCATCACCTTGACCTTGGACTTCCAACCTCCAGAACTGTGAGGCAATACATTTGTGTAAGTTACTCAGTCTAAAGTATTCTGTTATGGCATCCTTAGAAGATGAATACAAGTGACTTAGGTCCTTTCTGATAAATATTCCATATTTCTGATAAATATTCCATATTTAATATGTCTTACATTTCCCCATTTATTTTCCAAAAGGTGATCTCACATACTGGGAAATGAGAAATAGAAACTTACACAATTTGTTTCCTACAAGAAAATGATGGGGACTCATGACCTGCTATCTATCTGGCTTTGACTTTGAGTGGTCTGTTGAATCCATTTCTTGCCTGCTGAGGCAGACTGCTGAGGTTCAGTAGCTGCCTGTCCTCATTTGGGGATGTGGCTAATTGTCCAAAATTTCACTGTCTTCAGTGTTGTCTGTACCTCCAGGTCTCCTGATCATGATATGTGGGAACTTCCAGATCCTAGATTTGGTTGAGTCATACCTGCTGCTCCAGGCTACTGTTTCAAATCACCTGTTCTCTAACCCTGTTGTATTGCTTCTGGGCCATATTTTTCAAGAGGTGTGGTCTACTCTTAGGGAATCTGGTTACCAGTTCTGATTTCCTTATGTTTCTTCTTGCAAATATAGCAGTTTCTAGCACACCTATACCTCTGAGTTTTTACTTATTGTTGGGCTAGAGTAAGACACGGTTGTGTATCTCCCCTTTTATCTTCTTCTCTTGTGTCCTTGTCACTTATCCTAAGCAGGAAGGGCAAGATTTTGCAATTCTTTCTATGCGCCTGAAGCAGCCCTATACTATTTTTATGTTATGGCTTACAGTAAAATTTTATGACTCTGTCTTTCAGGCCTTTTTTTGATGAGAGCTAAAATAATTTTTACTAAAACATACTACTTTTCTGCCATAAAAAAAAAAAAACCTGACTTTAAGGATTATTTTTGTTGTTGATGATGACACAGACCAAAAGAAAAAAAAATTAATGTATGTATTCAAGATTGACTAAGCACTTATTTCTTTTTGAATTCTTACCCAAACTATCCTGAAGCAAGTAAATAAGTCTAGAGGAATAGAAAAAGGGAAGTGTGAGAAATTATGTACTAATATAAAGCAAATTTGGAAGCACATTTTAACTTGTCTAAAGATACTATCTTTACACACACATGAATTTCTCAACATTGACTTTATAACAGTGAATGAAATAATAGTTCAATTCTTAGGGAGATTAGAAAACACTGAGAAAACTTTTTAAATGCACTCAAAAATACTTACTTGAAATTTTTCTAAGTGCTAAAAAGGAGAAGTGAGGCATACCATAAGAGTGAATAAAAGGGTCATCTGGGAAATCTCCCCTGAAGAAATGATACCTAGACTGAAAATCAAAGAAGCAACAACAATTGCGAAGGCCTTAGGGAGAGTGAGGGATTGGTGGGCATACAGAATAGCAGTGTCCAGGAAGGAGCATGCTCCTTGGAAGGGATGAAGGGAAGAGGGCAAGGGTAATGCCCAAAAGAGAAAATAGCACCCAATTAACACTTAAGCAAGAGGTGGGACTTTTCTAGGAGAGTTACTATGGGGTCAATAAAAACAATAATGTGAGCACAGGGATGGTGTGTGCAGACATCTTCTAGATTATTTGGTGAATGCCAGGAAATGGTCATAGTTGGGAACAGATAGAGGAAGGCCGCGTAAAACACTGTCACAGTCATTGGCTCTGCTTGATGTACTGTACACCACAGAGATTCAGGCGAAGGTGTTAGGTAATGAAGTGGTATTGAAACCGGAAAGGTTCCCTTGTCCCCCTCGCAGGGTGTGTGATGGGGATGTGGCTCGTTTCTTCCCTGCTCAAACCTCTGAGGAGAGCATGTGGATGGGCAGGCTGTGGGGCTCCGACCCCACGGCAGTGTCTAGGTGTGAATGTTTACAGCTCCAGAAGCCCCAGTGGGCGTGTGTTACAGGGTGCTCTTTTAGTTTAGCCATCCATAGGTGGCTTGTGTTAGCTCAGTTAGCCCTCCTTCCTTATCACAAGGACAGAGGGATTTCTGTATCCCCGGGTTTCTTGCCTTGGTATACCAGAAGAATCAGATCACACATGGGCTTGGAGAATGTGTGCAAGTTTTAGAGTGGAAGTAGCTCTCAGGAGATGGGGGAGCCAGAAGAGAGATGGTTTTCCCTTGGAGTCGGGCTGCTCAGTGTGAGTGGAAGTAGTTCTCAGCAGGTGGGGGAGCCAGAAGGAAGATGGTTTTCCCGTGGAGTCCTGCCGCTCAGAGGCCCGGGCTCTCCTCCAACCTCCCTGGCCAAATTCCGCGTCATTCCACCGGTTGATGGCCTGCCGCCTGCCAGCTCTATCGGTGTGCTCTTACAGCGGCATGCTCCCCTCAACATCCAGCCACTTGTGTCTTCTTCCGCTGACGTGTTCCTCTCGATGTCCAGTCGGCCTGCTAGGATCTTGGGGTTTTTATAGGCACAGGATGGGGGCATGGCGGGCCAGGGTGGTTTGGGAAATGCAACATTTGGCCATGAAGGCAGGAGTGCCTGTCCTCACCTAGGTCCATGGGCACAGGCTGGAGGGTAGAGCGCTCATCAGGGACCCACTCTTCTCCTCCCAGCACTTCTCTGCCCTCCTCCCATATCAGTATGGTCAGGGTGTATTAGAGAAATACTTCTAACTATAGTTTAGGCTGTTGTTTGAATGTTTGTCACTTCCAAAACCTATGTCAAAATTTCATTGCCATTGTAACATTATCAGAAAATGAGATACTTAAAAAGTGATTAAACCACGAGAGTTCTGTCCTCAAAGGTGGGACTGGTGCCATTATAAAGGACAAAGTTGGCCCTCTCTTTGCCCTTCCACCTTCTTTCATAGGATGGCACCAAAAGAAGACCCTTCTGAGATGCCTGAACCTCGATCTCGTACTTCCTAACCTCCAGAACTGCGAGCCAATACATTTCTGTTTGTTGTGAATTGCCCAGTCTGCAGTATTCTGTTACAGCATCATGAAATGGATTGAGACAGAAAATTACTACTGGACAAAGGGTGTTGCTGTAACAAATACCTGAATACTTGCAAGTGGTTTTGGAACTGGGTAGTGGGTTGAGGCTGGAAGAATTTGGAAGAGCAAGCTACAAAAACCTAAATTACTATTAAAGGAGCATTAAGGACAAACCTAGTGAGGGCTCAGAAGAGGACGTTCCATTGTAAGGAAAGTCTGGTACTTCTTAGAGATTATCTACATTGTCATAATCAGAATGTTGTTAAAAATATGGACGGTAAAGGCCACCCTGATGACATCTTAGATGGAAGAAATGAATTAGGTATTGTAAACTGTAGAAAAGGCCAACCCTGTTGTAAGGGGAGAAAGAATCTTGCGGAATAATGTCTATGCCCAAAGGCTTTATGAAAGGCAGAATTTAAGTGATGAACTAGGATATCTGGCAGAAGAAATGTCTAAGCAGCAAAGCATTCAAGGTGCTATGTGGCTTCTTTTAACAGCATACAGTAAAACGTGAAAACGGAGACATCATTTAAAATCATCACTGATAATTAAAATGGGAACAGAGTTTAGAGATTTGGAGAATTCTCAACCTGGCCATTTCGTGGAAAATGAAAGAGCATTTTCCAGGACAGGAAAATGAGTGTGGTGAAGGGAACATTTGATAAGAAAATTAGTATAAAAAGAACAAAGCCAGAGAAGATTACCAGAACAATGGGAGAATGACCACAAAGGCACTCTCGAGATTACTTGTGTCACAACTCCCATCACAGACCCATAGTGCCAAGGCCTGAGGGAAGGAAATATATCAAAAGAGAGGCCTAGGGTGTCCTCAGGACCATGAGGGCTACACAGGGCTGCCTCAATGTTTGTTTCCAGCATTCTGTGTGTTCTGATGCAACCCTCAGCTGCCCAAGATATGACTCCAGCAGACTCAGGTGTGGCTATAACTGCTGCTCTAGAAAGTTCAATCTGTAAACCGTGGCAGCATCCACAGGGTGCTAATTCTCCAGGTGCAAAAAAATGCAAAAGTTGTGAGAGCATGGCTTTCTCTACCTAGATTTCAAAGGATGCTGTGGACAGTGTGGAGGTTCAGGCAGAGATTTGTG
This sequence comes from Homo sapiens, assembly GCF_000001405.40. NCBI lineage: Eukaryota > Metazoa > Chordata > Mammalia > Primates > Hominidae > Homo > Homo sapiens. The sequence continues at coordinate 18,763,179 of NC_000021.9, read as the reverse complement.
TCAGGGGCAGAGCTGCTACAGAGTCCCCACTAGGGCTGCACCTATTACAGCCATGGGAGCACAGCCACCCCTAAGACCCTGGAACTGTAGAGCTACCAGCATGCAACGTCAGCCTGGGAGAGATGCAGATATAAGACTCTAACCTGTGGGAGCTGTTGTATGAGCTAATACCTGCAAACCCATAGGGGCAGAACCGCCTGGGTCCTAAAGGGACCCAGCACCACCTCAATGTGTCCCTAAAGCAGGATATAGTCTAAAAAGGGTATTCTCAAGATTTAGGGTTTAGTATTGTTTACTTTGTTGGGTTTTGCACTTGCTTGGGACCTGTTTTTCCTTTTTTCTTTCTTATTTCTCCCTTTTGGAATGGAAATGTCTATTTATGCCTGTTCTACCATCGTGTTTTGGAAGCACATAACTTGATTAATTTCACAAACTCATAGCTAAAAAGAAACTTGCCTCAGGATGAATCAACCCTTGGGTCTCACCCATATATAATTTAGATGAGACTCCAGACATTGAAATTTTGAGTTGATACTGGAACACTTGGGGCTATAGAAATGGAATGAATGTATTTTTGTATGTGAGAAGAACATTAGTTTTTGTGAGCCAGGGCAGAATGATATGGCTTGAATATTTGTCCCATCAGAAACTCTTGTTAAAATTTAATTGCTATTATAACAGTATTACAAGGTGGGAGTTTTGAGTGATGATGAGGTCATGAGGGTTCCACCTGCCCTCATGGGTAGGATTGGTGTCATTATAAAAAGGCAAGTTTGGCCCTCTGTGTGCCCTTCCACCCTCCACCATGAGATGACACAACAAGAAAACCTCACAAGGTGCCAGTCGCTTGATGTAGGACTTCCCAGGCTCCAGAGCTGTCAGCCAATACATTTCTGTTATAAATTACCCAGTCTCAGGTATTCTGTTATAGCAGCACAAAATGAACTAAGACAGTATGCAGTAAATTAAATGTGAGAGGAAATTTATACTGAAGTTAAGGAAACTAGGTGAAAAAAATTTTAACAGTCTTGACAAGACATAAGGGGAATTTAAATTCAGGCATTGGTGATAGGAAAGATGAGAAAAACAAATAGTCTAGAAATGCTTGGGATTTTAAATAGGCTGGATTTCATTACTGCTTTGGATGAAATGGTTGAAATAAAAAATAATTTACAATAATATATTTCTGCCTGGAGTGCCTGAGGGGATGACATATTTTATTATATTATTTTTTGAGACAGAGTCTTGCTCTGTCACCTAGGCTGGAGTGCAGTGTTGGGATTATTACTCACTGCAGCCTTGAATTTCTGGGCTCAAGCAATCCTCCCACCTCAGCCTCCAGAATAGCTAGGACTACAGGCAAGTGACACCATACTCAGCTAATTTAAAAAAAAATTTGTAGCGCTGGGATCTCACTGAGTTACCCATGCTGATCTCAAACTCTGGCCTTAAGTGATCTTCCTTCTTGGGCCTCCCACAGTGCTGAGATTACAGGCATGAGCCACTAAGCCTGTTGATGACATTTTTAATTTGAGAGTAGAAATATAAGAAGAGTCACTGGTTTTAAGAGAGAGATGATGTTGAGGAGTTTACTTTTGTTATTTAACTTTTTTTGATAATTAAGTTTTCAATTGAATTATTATTTGCAATCTTTAGATAGTCATTTCACAATTAATATAACCAGGGCAATTTTGTTACCTTAACAAAAGAACCTCATTTCTAAAGTACTGATATTTTGAAAGAGGACACTTTTAGAATTTTCTTTCAAAAATATCAACAAGTGAATTTGTATATTACTTCTCTCCTACTGTTATAACAGACTTCAACTTTGCTATGCAAAATCTTTAGCATTTCTTATTTCCTCTACAAGAAAGCCTAAGTGAGTAAGGCTAATAAACATTTTTTTTTTAATTTTTTCATTTGGGGTTCTAAATTTGTATCACTTTCAACATAATGATGTCCGTAATAAGATATGGTCTTCCGGGAGTTATTGTAAAATTGCACATAGCTGAAATTTAGCAGTCTCAGAATAAGAAAAGGTCTACATAAAATTACATTTAAGTTTGCATATTATATTTAATTATTTTAATAACTTGTCTTGACTTTTATTTCTAAGAACTATAATCTTACACATTCTGTGGTCAAATACACACACACACGGATAATAAAATAAAAAAACTAGTGCTATATATTTTAAATAATACAAGATATTTCATTTATTTAACAGTGAGAAAAACGTGATGATACTTTGTTAGTCTGAAAATTATAAATGATATTGAAGCTAGGATGTAAGATTGCTAATGCTAAAAATATCATCTATTTTATTCTGAGTAACATTTGCATTTAACCCTCTTCATTTTCAAATCCTTTTCTCTTTTTGCACTCCTATCATATGGGTTGAATATTCCTTATTTGAAATGTTTGGGACCAGAAATGTTTGGAATTTGGGAAGATTTACATATACAGGATGAGATATCTTAAGAATGAAACCCAAGTCTAAACACAAAATTCATTTATATTTCATATATATTGATACATATAGCTTAAAGGTAATTTTATATAATGTCTTCAATAACTTTGTGCAAATGAAGCTTCGACTGCTTTTTCACTGTGCCTAGTCACATGAGGTTATGAGAGACAGGACTAGCTGGCTTTCATAGGCCGACTAAGAATCCTTAAGCCTAGCTGGGAAGGTGACCGCATCCACTTTTAAACACGGCACTTGCAACTTAGCTCACATCTAACCAGTTAGACAGCTCACTAAAATGCTAATTAGGCAAAAACAGGAGGTAAAGAAATAGCCAATCATCTATTGCCTGAGAGCACAGCATGAGGGACAAGGATCAGGATATAAACCCAGGCATTCAAGCCTGCAACGGCAACCCCCTTTGGGTCTCCTCCCTTTGTATGGGAGCTCTGTTTTCACTCTATTTCACTCTATTAAATCTTGCAACTGCACTCTTCTGGTCCATGTTTGTTACAGCTCGAGCTGAGCTTTCACTCACCGTCCACCACTGCTGTTTGCTGCCGTCGCAGACCTGCCGCTGACTCCCATCCCTCCGGATCCGGCAGGGTGTCCACTGTGCTTCTGATCCAGCGAGGCGCCCATTGCTGCTCCTGATTGGGCTAAAGGCTTGCCGTTGTTCCTGCACGGCTAAGTGCCCGGGTTCGTCCTAATCAAGCTAAACAGTAGTCACTGGGTTCCACGGTTCTCTTCCGTGACCCACGGCTTCTGACAGAGCTATAACACTCACCACATGGCCCAAGATTCCATTCCTTGGAATCTGTGAGGCCAAGAACCCCAGGTTAGAGAACCTGAGGCTTGCCACCATCTTAGAAGCGGCTTGCCACCATCTTGGAAGTGGCTCGCCACCATTTTGGCAACCAGGAAGGGACCTCCAAAGCGGTGAGTAATACTGGACCACTTTCACTTGCTCTTCTGTCCTATCCTTCCTTAGAATTGAAGGAAAATACCGGGCACTTGTCAGCCAGTTAAAAATGATTAGCGTGGCCGCCAGAGTTAAGACCCAGGTGTGAGGCTATCTGGGGAAGGGCTTTCTAACAACCCCCAACCCTTCTGGGTTGGGGACATTGGACAATCTGGAGGTAGCTTCCACTTTCAATTTTCTTGGGGAAGTCGAGGGCCAACTAGAGGCAGAAAGCTGTAGTCCCGAGCTCCCGGCGGTAGCCGGTTGAGATCATGGTGCAGCCAGAAGTCTCTTTAACAGTCTCCCATGCATGTGCCTCTTACCTTTCCTTCTGACCCATACCTCCTGGGTCCCAACCACGACTTTCTTGAAAGTGTAGCCCCAATATTCTCCTTACCTCTGAATCTACGTCCTCTGATCCCTGCCTCCTAGGTACTGATGGTTCAGACTTTTAATTCCTCTAGCAAGTTGTATCTCCAAAGGGATCTAAGGAAGCTCTACTCTGCGTCCTTAAGCACCTAGGCTATAACCGAGGGAGTCTTATCCCTGGTGTCCCTTCTGATTTAGGTATACAGCTCTCAACATGGGCAGTTACGTGGGACCCGTTCCACACCATCCTTGCCAGGGCCCCAAGTTTGTAATGGCTAAGAGAGAGAGAGAGAGACGGAGAGAGAGAGAGACAGAGAGACAGAAAGAGAGACGGAGAGAGAGAGAGATAAAGAAGGAGTCAAAGAGAAAAAGAAAGAAAAAGATAGAAATAGTAAAAAAAAAAAAAAAAAAAGTAAAGAAAAAAAAAAAACCAGTGTGCCCTATTCCTTTAAAAGCCAGGGTAAATTTAAAATCTATAATTGGTAATTGAAGGTCTTCTGCGTGACCCTATAACACTGCAATACTACCTTGTTGTCAGTGTAAACAAGGGCGTAGCCTGAAATCACTGAGACCACTGACAACCCGTAGCTTTCCTATCAAAAATCCTTAACCCAGTAACCCGCAGATGCATTCGATCTGTAGCAGCAACTGCTTTGCTAAAAGTAGAAAAATAACTTTTAGAGGAAACCTCATTGTGAGAACACCTCGCCAGTTTTCTAAGTCGAAAAAGCAAAAAGGATAGCTTACTAACTCAAAAATCTTAAAGTATGGGGCTATCCTGTTAGAAAAGGGTAATGTAACTCCAACCACTGATAATTCCCTTAACCCAGCAGATTTCCTAACAGAGGATTTAAATCTTAATTACCACACAAAGGTCCGACCAGACCTAGGAGGAACTCCCTTCAGGACAGGACGATAGATGGTTCCTCCCAGGTGACTGAGGAAAAAAACCACAATGGGTATTCAGTAATTGATACAGAGACTCTTGTGGAAGCAGTTAGAAAAATTGCCTAAAAATTTGTCTCCTTAAACATGCCAGCTGTTTCCACTCAGACAAGCCTTAAAATACTTACAGAATCAAAAAGACTTCTCAATCCTTACTCAAAAGGTTACCTATGCCCTCTTTGAAATAAATTTTCATAAGAACTGCTTTTATAGGAATGCATCTTAATGGGGCAGCTAGGTGGTTATGAAATGCTCAGGAACCCAGCCAAGCTCTAGGACTCACCCCTGGTCGCAAAGGCAATGTTGGGCATGCTGGTAAAGGACCACTAGAATCCAGCAGCCCGGACCCCTTTCTTTGTGGTCAAGGGAGGCGGGAAAACAGGTGCAGGACTGCTACATCGGTGAGCATAACTAATCCGATAAGCAGAGGTCCATGGGTGGTTACTCACCCTGGAAAAGAATAAGCATTAGGCCCTTAGAGGACGCTCTAGGGCTAATGCTCATCGGAAAATGACTAGGGGTGCTGGCATCCCTATGTTCTTTTTTCAGATGGGAAACGTTCCCCCCACCCCAAGGCAAAAACGCCCCTAAGATGTATTCTGGAGAATTAGGACCAATTTGACCCTCAGACGCTAAGAAAGAAATGACTTATATTCTTCTGCAGTACCGCCTGGCCACGATACCCTCTTCAAGGGGGAGAAACCTGGCCTCCTGAGAGAAGTATAAATTATAACAACATCTTACTGCTAGATCTCTTCTGTAGAAAGGAGGGCAAATGTAGTGAAGTGCCATAGGTGCAAACTTTATTTTCATTAAGAGACAACTCGCAATTATGTAAAAAGTGTGGTTTATGCCCTACAGGAAGCCCTCAGAGTCTACCTGCCTATCCCAGCATGCCCCCGACTCCTTCCCCAACCAATAAGGACCCCCTGTTACCCAAGTGGTCCAAAGGAGATAGACAAAGGGATGAACAATGAACCAAACAGTGCCAATATTCCCTGATTATGTCCCCTCCAAGCAGTGGTAGGAAGAGAATTCAGCCCAGCCAGAGTGCATGTACCTTTTTCTCTCTCAGACTTAAAGCAAATTAAAATAGACCTAGGTAAATTCTCAGATAATCCTGATGGCTATATTGATGTTTTACAAGGGTTAGGACAATCCTTTGATCTGCAATGGAGAGATATAATGTTACTGCTAAATCAGACACTAACCCCAAATGAGAGAAGTGCCACCATAACTGCAGCCCGAGAGTTTGACGATCTCTGGTATCTCAGTCAGGTCAATGATAGGATGACAACAGAGGAAAGAGAACGATTCCCCACAGGCCAGCAGGCAGTTCCCAGTGTAGATCCTCACTGGGACACAGAATCAGAACATGGTACTGCAGACATTAGCTAACTTACGTGCTAGAAGGACTAAGGAAAACTAGGAAGAAGCCTATGAATTATTCAATGATGTCCACTATAACACAGGGAAAGGAAGAAAATCCTACTGCCTTTCTGGAGACACTAAGGGGGGCATTGAGGAAGCATACCTCTCTGTCACCTGACTCTATTGAAGGCCAATTAATCTTAAAGGATAAGTTTATCACTCAGTCAGCTTCAGACATCAGAAAAAAAGCTTCAAAAGTCCACCTTAGGCCTGGAGCAAAACTTAGAAACCCTATTGATCTTGGCAACCTCTGTTTTTTATAATAGAGATCAGGAGGAGTAGGCGGAACGGGACAAATGGGATAAAAAAAAAGACCACCGCTTTAGTCATGGTCCTCAGGCAAGTGGACTTTGGAGGCTCTGGAAAAGGGAAAAGCTGGGCAAATCGAATGCCTAATAGGGCTTGCTTCCAGTGCGGTGTACAAGGACACTTTAAAAAAAGATTGTCCAAGTAGAAGTAAGCTCCCCCCTCGTCCATGCCCCTTCTGTCAAAGGAATCACTGGAAGGTCCACTGCCCCAGGGGATGAAGCTCCTCTGAGTCAGAAGCCACTAACTAGATGATTCAGCAGCAGGACTGAGGGTGCCTGGGGCAAGTGCCAGCCCATGCTGTCACCCTCACAGGGCCCCAGATATGCTTGACCATTGAGGGCCAGGAGGTTAACTGTCTCCTGGACACTGGCACGGCCTTCTCAGTCTTACTCTCCTGTCCCAGACAACTGTCCTCCAGATCTGTCACTATCTGAGGAGTCCTAGGACAGCCAGTCACTAGATACTTCTCCCAGCCACTAAGCTGTGACTGTGGAGCTTTACTCTTTTCACATGCTTTTCTAATTATGCCTGAAAGCCCCACTCCCTTATTAAGGAGAGACATTCTAGCAAAAGCAAGGGCCATTATACACCTGAACATAGGAGAAGGAACACCCATTTGTTGTCCCCTGCTTGAGGAAGGAATTAATCCTGAAGTCTAGGCAACGGAGGGACAATATAGATGAGCAAAGAATGCCCATCCTGTTCAAGTTAAACTAAAGGATTCCACCTCCTTTCCCTACCAAAGGCAGTACCCCTTAGACCCAAGGCCCAACAAGGACTCCAAAAGATTGTTAAGGACCTAAAAGCCCAAGGCCTAGTAAAAGCATGCAGTAGCACCTGCAATACTCCAATTTTATGAGTACAGAAACCCAACGGACAGTGGAGGTTAGTGCAAGATCTCAGGGTTATCAATGAGGCCGTTGTCCCTCTATACCCAGCTGTACCTCACCCTTATACTCTGCTTTCCCAAATACTAGAGGAAGCAGAGTGGTTTACAGTTCTGGACCTTAAAGATGCCTTTTTCTGCATCCCTGTACATCCTAACTCTCAATTCTTGTTTGCCTTTGAGGATTCTTCGAACCCAACGTCTCAATTCACCTGGACTGTTTTACCCCAAAAGTTCAAGGATAGCCCCCATCTATTTGGCCAGGCATTAGCCCATGACTTGAGCCAATTCTCACACCTGGACACTCTTCCTTTGGTACAGGGATGATTTAATTTTAGCCACCCGTTCAGAAACCTTGTGCCATCAAGCCACCCAAGCACTCTTTAATTTCCTCGCTACCTGTGGCTACAAGGTTTCCAAATGAAAGGCTCAGCTCTGCTCACAGCAGGTTAAATATTTAGGGCTAAAATTATCCAAAGGCACCAGGGCCCTCAGTGAGGAACGTATCCAGCCTATACTGGCTTATCCTCATCCCAAAACCCTAAAGCAACTAAGAGGGTTCCTTGGCATAACAGTTTTCTGCCGAATATGGATTCCTAAGTACTGCGAAATAGCCAGACCATTATATACACTAATTAAGGAAACTCAGAAAGCCAATACCCATTTAGTAAGATGGACACCTGAAGCAGAAGCGGCTTTCCAGGCCCTAAAGAAGGCCCTAACCCAAGCCCCAGTGTTGAGCTTGCCAACCGGGCAAGACTTTTCTTTATATGTCACAGAAAAAACAGGAATAGCTCTAGGAGTCCTTACACGGGTCCAAAGGATGAGCTTGCAACCTGTGGCATAGCTAAGTAAGGAAATAGATGTAGTGGCAAAGGGTTGGCCTCATTGTTTACGGGTAGTGGCAGCAGTAGCAGTCTTAGTGTCTGAAGCAGTTAAAATAATACAGGGAAGGGATCTTACTGTGTGAACATCTCATGATGTGAATGGCATACTCACTGCTAAAGGAGACTCGTGGCTGTCAGACAACCATTTACTTAAATATCAGGCTCTATTACTTAAAGGGCCAGTGCTGCGACTGCGCACTTGTGCAACTCTTAACCCAGCCACATTTCTTTCAGACAATGAAGAAAAGTTAGAACATAACTGTCAACAAGTAATTGCTCAAACCTATGCCACTAGAGGGGACCTTTTAGTTTCCCTTGACTGATCCTGACCTCAACTTGTATACTGATTGAAGTCCTTTTTCTACAAGGAAACTTCTAAAAGTGAGCTATGCAGTGGTCAGTGATAATGGAATACTTAAAAGTAATCCCCTCACTCCAAGAACTAGTGCTCAGCTGGCAGAACTAATAGCCCTCACTTGGGCACTAGAATTAGGAGAAAGAAAAAAGGTAAATATATATACAGCCTCTAAGCATGCTTACCTACTCCTCCATGCCCATGCAACAATGTAGAGAGAAAAGGAATTCCTAACTTCCGAAGGAACACGTATCAAACATCAGGAAGCCATTAGGAGATTATTATTGGCTGTACAGAAACCTAAAGAGGTAACAATCTTACACTGCCAAGGTCATCAGAAAGGAAAAGAAAGGAAAATAGAAAGGAACCACCAAGCGGATACTCAAGTCAAAAGAGCCGCAAGGCAGGACCCTCCATTAGAAATGCTTATAGAAGGACCCCTAGTATAGGGTAATCCCCTCCAGGAAACCAAGCCCCAGCATTCAGCAGGAAAAATAGAATAGGGAACCTCACAAGGACATACTTTCCTCCCCTCCAGATGGCTAGCCACTGAAGAAGGAGAAATACTTTTGTCTGCAGCTAACCAATAGAAATTACTTATCACCAAACCTTCCACTTAGGCATTGATAGCACCCATCAGATGGCCAAATTATTATTTACTGGACCAGGCCTTTTCAAAACTATCAAGCAGATAGTCAGGGCCTGTGAAGTATGCCAAAGAAATAATCCCCTGCACTGCAGGCCATACATTTCAATCCCTGTATCTTTAACCTCCTTGTTAAGTTTGTCTCTTCCAGAATCAAAACTGTAAAACTACAAATAGTTCTTCAAATGGGGCCCCAGATGCAGTCCATGACTAAGATCCACCGCGGGCCCCTAGACTGGCCTGCTAGCCCATGCTCCGATATTAATGACATCGAAGGCACCCCTCCCAAGGAAATCACAACTGCCCAACCCCTACTATGCCCCAATTCAGCAGGAAGCAGTTAGAGCTGTCATTGGCCAACCTCCCCAACAGCACTTGGGTTTTCCTGTTGAGGGCGGGTACTGAGAGACAGGACTAGCTGGATTTCCTAGGCTGACTAAGAATCCCTAAGCCTAGCTGGGAAGGTGACCGCATCCACTTTTAAACATGGGGCTCGCAACTTAGCTCACACCCAACCAGTCAGAGAGCTCACTAAAATGCTAATTAGGCAAAAACAGGAGGTAAAGAAATAGCCAATCATCTATTGCCTGAGAGCACAGCAGGAGGGACAAGGATCAGGATGTAAACCCAGGCATTCAAGCTGGCAACGGCAACCCCCTTTGGGTCCCCTGCCTTTGTATGGGAGCTCTGTTTTCACTCTATTTCACTCTACTAAATCTTGCAACTGCATTCTTCTGGTCCATGTTTGTTACGGCTCGAGCTGAGCTTTCGCTCGCTTTCCACCACTGCTGTTTGCCGCTGTCGCAGACCTGCCACTGACTCCCATCCCTCCGGATCCGGCAGGCTGTCCGCTGTGCTCCTGAACCAGCGAGGCACCCATTGCCAATCCTGATTGGGCTAAAGGCTTGCCGTTGTTCCTGCACGGCTAAGTGCCCAGGTTCATCCTAATTGAGCTGAACACTAGTCACTGGGTTCCACGGTTCTCTTCCATGACCCATGGCTTCTAATAGAGCTATAACACTCACCGCACGGCCCAAGATTCCATTCCTTGGAATCTGTGAGGCCAAGAACCCCAGGTCAGAGAACACGAGGCTAGCCACCATCTTGGAAGTGGCCTACCACCATCTTGGAAGTGGCTCGCCACCATCTGAGGAGCTCTGTGAGCAAGGACCCCCGGTAAGAGTTAGGGGTAGAATTTTCCACCCGTGGTATCATGTTGGTGCTCAGAAAATTTCAGAATTAGGAATATTTCAAATTATGAATTTCCAGATTGGTAATGCTCAACCTGTAGCTGGTATCAATCCCATTTTCTCTGTTCTTATTCACTGTTTACCCTACTTTATCTTTCTTTGAGTAATTAATGGAAAACCTTAAACATGAGCAAGGTAACATGTCAAAATAGATACTAAAAATAAATTATTAAACCATCTTTTGAAAGAGATGGATCATGGAAGGTGTAAAGAAAATATTGAGAAGAAATTACGTGTAAAAACAGAAAGCATAGCAAACAGCAGATCCTAAAATAATTCTAACACAGAAAAAAAATTTAAGTGCTGAATAAAATATATTTTAATGAATTTTTAAACATATGGATGACCTAGTAATATCCGGCCAGCATGAGACAAAGGACTCCAGAGAGATAGGAAGTTACTGGTGCCAGGGGCTGCCCTGAGGGTGTGAGCCTCACCCAGTCATTGGAGGCATTGTTTCAGTGGCCATGTGGGGAAAGGAAACAGAGCCTCGGGTCTTTGCATCAAGCGGAGGCCCTTGAGTGTTGAAACTTCAGGGTAAATAAGCTCTTCATACAAAGAGAAACGGCAGAGAAACTTGTGTGTTTTACCTATTGTGCTCGATGGAAAGAGGAGAAAAAAAAATGTCTCCTTAGAACTCTCCTAAGAAGACACTTTTAGAAACACCCTGGTCTATACAGAACTCAATTACATTCCCACTTGCTCTGATGGCCCAAAAGCTAATTAATTTTCAGCAGTCAGCAATTTCAAGCATCATTATCCAAGTAAAGGATATTTTCAAAAAGCAGATATCTGGCCGGGCGCGGTGGCTCACGCCTGTAATCCCAGCACTTTGGGAGGCGGAGGCGGGGGGATCACGAGGTCAGGACATCGAGACCATCCTGGCTAACACGGTGAAACCCCGTCTCTACTAAAAATACAAAAAATTAGCCGGGCGTGGTGGTGGGCGCCTGTAATCCCAGCTACTCGGGAGGCTGAGGCAGGAGAATGGCATGAACCCAAGAGGCGGAGCTTGCAGTGAGCCGGGATAGCGCCACTGCAGTCCAGCTTGGGCGAAAGAGTGAGACTCCGTCTCAAAAAAAAAAAAAAAAAAAAAAAAAGCAGATATCTGTGAAAGAAAAATAACTCTTGGGACCCCAAAGTCACTAAGCTAAAGGGAAAAGTAAAGCTGAGAACTGCTTAGGGCAAACCTGCCTCCCATTCTGTTCAAAGTCATCCTTCTGCACACTGAGATAAATGTATATCTGATTGCTTCCTTTGGAAAGGCTCATCAAAAACTCAGAAGAATGAAATTATTTGCCTCTTATCTACCTATGACCTGGAAGCCCCCTCCCCACTTCAAGTTGTCTGACCTTTCTGGACTGAACCAATGTACATCTTGCATGTATTGATCGATGTCTTATGCTTCCCTAAAATGTATAAACCAGGTGTGCCCCAGCCACCTTGGACACTTGTGAGAAGCTCCTGAAGCTGTGTCACAGGGACGCACCCTTAACTTTGGCAAAATAAAGTTCCCAAATTGACTAAGACCTGTCTCAGATATTTGAGGTTCACATTTCAATTAATTAGTGAATTGTGATGTGTTTGTAGCATGCCATTAAGATAGTAAATACTTTCTGGCAAGATGCCTACATCACATTGATTTAATATGGCTAATACCATATACCTACTAATATAATGTAATAGGAAGTGTTACAGGATCCTTGGGATGTCAACTTCACCAGCCAGAAACCTCTGTGGCCAGTGGCACCTGTGCCCAAGTTTTGCTCAGGCCCACTGGGCTCACTTGGCCTGGAAGGCTGTGCTCAGCTCACGTTACTGGCCTGGATCCTATGCATCCAAGGGTGAGCACAGCGGTAAGGGCAAGCAAGCATGTGTGAGCAAGCAAGCGTGGGTCTGGCCACTGTGCACAGCCAAGCGTGCTGGCTGCAGTGGCATGGGCACCAGCTCCCTGTGAGGCTTCAGCTGGACCAGGAATAGAGCAAGCAGCTTCCACAGCTGGCACTGGGGAAGGCGGTGGCACCTGGAAGCTTGGAGACACCCAGAAGCTTGGAGATGCCTTGGAGCCCCAAGAGGGTATCACAGCCCTGGCTCAGGGAACTCGTAAGTCTGGGCTCCTCAAAGGGCCATAGCTCTTCTCTCCTTCTTGTCATCTGCAACATGGTGACCAAGGGGCATATTTCAACCCTGTTTGTGTTGCGCTCTTTTAGCGCCCCCATTCAGTGAGTCCTGAGTTCTTGTCCTGTGCCTAGGAAGAATGAGGCACATGGACAAAAGGAGGGTGAGCAAGGTAAAAAGGAGATTTATTGAGTGATAGAACAGCTCAGAGGAGACCCACAGTAGGTAGATTTTTCTCTGCAGCCAGGGTGTCCTGATGAGTGTCCCGCTCTCATTAGAGAGGAGACACTGGAGTGGGTAGCTCCTCTCTGCAGGCAGGTTGTCCTGTCATCCTCTCAGCTTTGAGCAGAGAGGAGACCCTGGAGTGGATAGCTCCTCTCAACAGTTGGTCATCCTTTCTCTTTTTGAGCCTGGCTAAGTCTGGGGATTTTTATATGCTTCAGAGGAGAGGAAGTGCATGCTGATTGGTCCATGAGTGGCCATGGGTGGGCTCAGATAAAGCACTATAAGTTCCCACTCTGGTCCACCGAGCTGGCAGCCCAGTCCCCAGAATTCAGGCCTTCCGTTGCTTGAAGATGGGGCTTCATTGGGGACCCACCCCTTCCCACCCAGGAGCCTGTCTGCCTCCTGCTGCAGTTCGTGGCACCCAGGCTGGTCATGCCAAGAGGTGCCTTCAGGCAAGCACTGAGTGGCCCTCAGCCCTCCTTGGCCTCCCTCCTGTGCTTGTCAGCTCCTGAAGGCAAGATTTTTCCGTGTTTCTAAAATAATAACTATATTAAAATTGTCACAACTAAGAAACCATTGTGAAAAAAAATAAAATCTCAGGACCCCAAAGTCACCATTCCAAAGGTAAAAGTTAAGCTAAGGGACTGAGTCATCGAAAAAAAACTGAGTTCCTTTTTTCAACAGATAGCTGTAATTACACATACTTATTTTATCTTATGTAAAATGTAGACCTATCGAGTGCTAGATGAATGCATAATTAATTTATTCCCCCACTTCTTTCTTTTCACATGTGAAATTACACATTATTCTTCCCCAAAATAATAATTATAAGAATTAGTCCCCAGACTAAATTTTACAAAAATCATAATTCTTCAGACCAATTTTAAGAAAAACATCAGAGAAACTTAAATTGAGAAACATGTAAAATGTGGATTCAGTGAGCATTAATCAAAGCCTCTCAAGAATGTATTTGCTGACCTCACTACCTACCCTTCTCTCCATTTTTCTTCCCTCTTTGCCTTCCTGCTGCTCTTTCCCATTTAAATATTGAGCTCCTTAAAACTCTTTTTGGAAAAAGTGCATCCCACAGATCCCACTGTAAATTTTGTCTCTTTTTCCCTGGTCACATCCTCAATCTTGGAAAAATAAACCTCTAAATTGATTGAGACCTGTCTCAGGCACTTTTAGGTTGACACCATCATTAGTACATTACCATTAACTGAACTCCTATTCTTTGATTTCACAAGTTTTTCCACTAATGTTCTTTCACTATCCCAGAACTGAGTTCAGGATGCCACATTTCATTTTACTGTGATGCCCCCTTAATCTTATCTGGTCTGTGACTATTTCTTAGTCTTTTTTGTTTTTATACCCTTCACAGTTTTGAGGAGTACTGGTCAGGTATTCTGTAAAGTGTTTCTCAATTTGAGTTGCTCTGATGTTTTCTTAAAATTCATCTGTGGACTGCTTATTTTCTTAAAATTAGTCTGAGGACAAATCTCACAATTATACTTTTAGAGAATAATAACATAGGTGAAGTATCCTTCTGCTGGCAGCGGTGACCTATCTGGAGCAACTGTTGCCATGATGCCAGCTAAAGTTGGGGAGGCGCAGCCAGGGCTGTGTGCTCCACTGAGCCAGTGGGATCCAGGAACAGGCAGAAGCCTAGCCCCTTCTAAGCTGGCAGAGCAGGAGCCTCGTGCTACCTGCATGCAGCCACAGCCACCCAGCCATGGCTGTGGACCCAGGCATCCCTGTGCTCTTGGGGTCCAGGAGAAGACAGGACCCCCACCCTCCTAGGCACAGCTGCAGCCACCGAAGCTGTGGCTGTGGAACTGGGTATCTCTGTACTCTCAGGGGCCCAGGAGGACACTCCCTGCCCCCACAGGCTCAGAAGTATCTGCCTCCACTGCCTGACTTTATTAAAAATTTACTAAAAATTTTTAATAAATAATTTTGCCTTAAACATTTATTAAAAATAAAACTTTTTGGCTGGGCTCGGTGGCTTATGCCTGTAATCCCAGCACTTTGGGAGACTAAGGCGGGTGGATCACCTGAGATCAGGAGTTTGAGACCAGCCTGTCCAACATGGTGAAACTCCATCTCTACTAAAAATACAAAACATTAACCGAGCGTGGTGGCATGTGACAGTAATCCCAGTTACTCGGGAGGCTGAGGCAGGAGAATTGCTTGAACCCAGGAGGTAGAGGTTGCAGTGAGCCGAGATCGTGCCATTGCACTCCAGCCTGGGTGACAGAATGAGATTCTGTCTCAAAAAAATAAAAATAAAAATAAAACTGTTTGATTACAATCAAATTCAAAATTTCTGTTCTTCTAAAATCCAATAAATAAAGTAAAATGCTACAAAATGGGAAGGATAGTTTGAACATTTTTAACCCACAAACCCTTGGTATCCAAAACATATGATTAATTGTTAACAATTAGTAGAAATTAGACAATGTAATACAAAATGAATAAAAGATATCAAACATTTTACAAAGAAATCCCTTATATGAGTCATGAAGGTTTATGTAAAGATGCTTAACTTCATTACTTAACAGGAAAATAAAAATTAAAACCAGAATTATACACAATTTGGCTTTAGCACATTGGTGAGAAAATATTGTAGCTGCATTGTAGCAAGATTTGATGAGGATCTGGAGTCTCAGGAGATCATATTCTGCTCATGGGAGGGTTCAACAGAATATGGAATAATTTGGCCAGAAAATTGGTATTTTCTATAACACATGCATACCCCCTTCTACAGCAAATTTTTTTTCTGAGGAAGTACCCTATATATTAATCAATTAGAAGTTCAACATGAGACAGAAGAGGTTTCCTAGCAGAATCATTTGTAAATGCAAACATATATAAACAAGTAAATTTTCAACCAAGAGGAGAATGGATGAATAAATTTGGCTATTCATTAAACTGAATACTGTATAGCCGTGAAACTGGACTATAGCCACACACAGAAACATAGGTAACTTCTACAACATAATATTAGTCAACAAAATATAAACCATGTTAGGATTCATACAGTGTGATACCATTTGTATAATGTACAAAAACAGGCAAATAAGTCCATTTGTAAAACTCAGTAGAAAGCAAGGTAACATGAAATAGACATTCAAAAATATGGATAGCTCTGGGTGTTAGATACAAAATGTGATCATGAAAAGGTTTCAAAGTTATCATTAATGTTTGATATTTTAAACTAGGTGGTAATATATAGTGTTTATTTTTGCTTTTTTCTAAAAGCCCCCTACTCATTATCCATGTTGTGTATATATGAATGAGATTTTAATACCACAGTAGGATAAAAGAAAAATCAGCTACACATGTGTTATACTTTTAAAATTACAAGCAATTCAGAAAAATAACTATTTTGATCAAAATGTAAAAGAAAGGAGAACATAGTGCTTTACATAGAAGATCAAAGATGAGAGGGATAATTAGGAACTGATTTATTAAGAAAAAAACCCAAGATTCATAGGTTAGTGTTTTCTTCAGTTGTGGAAATGAATCATCGCATAGAAGATGCTGGCAGTGTCAGTGAAATGTATCTCTCCTAGCTGTAGCTAGATTATAACCAGTCTTTTATAAGGTTCTGGCTCAAACTGAAAAAGAAAATCCTTCAAACACTTTGCAAATTTAGGACATATTTTTTAAAAAGTCTAGATAAAGTTTTAAAAGTGGTGAGCATGGTAATAGTCAATTAAAGTTTTACCTTTTGTGCCCATGAGTTTCACATGGCTTAAGGCTCATCATGGAAAAAAAAATGATGATGATGGTGATGATAATAGTAATATAACTAGACCCATATGCCTCTGGTACTAAGCTGATTGGTACTTTAATATATGAGAACTGAGATAAGTTTGCAACTTCGATTTAAAATATGTATATGTGTATATATATATAAATTTAAATATATATACACATATATAAATTTAAATATATATACACATATATTTCAACTTCAGATTTAAAATATGTATGTGTATATATATAAATTTACGTGTATATATGTATATATGTGTATATATGTTTATATGTGTGTATATATGTATATATGTGTATATATGTGCATATATGTGTATATATAAATTTATATATAATATATACACATATATATACACATATTATATATGTGTCATAAAGATTTATGTGAAAATGCTTAACTTCATTAATAGGAAAATAAAAATTAAAACCAGAATTATACACAATTTGGCCTTATCCTATTGGAAAATATTGGAGCTGCATTATAGCAATTATATGCATAATATATTACATATAATATATAATTATATATACTGTATATTACATTATATAATTATATGCATTATATAATATATGATTATATATAAGATCTATATATAATTATAATTATATGTAATATATATAAAATTATATATAATTACATTACATATACGTAATACATATGTAAATTAAATGTGTAATGTATATATTATTATAATTAATTGATATATAATGCATTATATATTTACTGCAAGGAATTTAATATATATGTCTGTAGATACACATACGTATTTATATATAATGTGTGTATATGTTTACACACACATTACATATAAATGTATATAGACACACATACATTTTATATATATACATATAATATACATAATTTCTGCAAGGAATTTAATTAAGGGATTCTTTAGGTAAAGGCATGAGCAATGAACCATATCATAGATAGCTTTTACATAATATCAAGTAGATTTTTTTAAAGCACAATGAGAAGTTTCTTTAAAAGTTTCAAGCCATGGCATCTCATGATCAACTATGCATTTCGATGCTATGTGAAGGATAAGTTGGAGGGAGTTTTGTTAGCCATCATCTAGACAAGAAATAATGTTTGCCTTGACTGAGATGGCATCAGTGGACTAGAGAAGAGTGCAAACTCAAGAAATATTCGGAAAGTTAACTTGAGAGGACTTGGTAGTTCACTGTGTCTGGAGAGATCGAAGAGTCAAAGATTCCTTCAGAATACTGGTTTCTGCAACCGGCTGAAATCGAGTCACTGACTGCGTTAGTTTGTGAATTGAAGAGGAGACAGACCACTTTCAACATACGGAGTATAAGCTGCCTGATGAAAATTCTTTGTGGAACTATCCAGAAAATAAACCTTCAGAAATGGAGAGGATGATTCAAAGTAGTGACCTAAATATGGACCTACCTCCAAATACTATAAATAGTGAAGCCATTAGTATAATTGCCAAGGATGCATGTGTGGAGTGGGAAGAACACAGCATGAAGTCAGACGTCTGAGAAGCCCAGCACTTAAGGTAAGGGAAATCTTGACTGAGGAATGAGAAAGGCCTAGTTAAACAGTCCTGATGGTAATTAAGAATGTCAAATAGATCAAAGGGGAGGAAGTTTCAGATGTTTCCAGCAATTAAGCAAGGCTCAGAGAGTTTTTTTAACAAGAAATTAATCCATGATCATAAAAGAAGGGGTCTCAGTGTAGTCGTGGGATGTGAGTGGTTAAAATAAACTGAAAGTAAGTGGAAGATAAGCAAATAGTAACAGAGTATATAGAACTTTTGTTCAATATGATTGTGTTCTAAAGAAGAGAGATTTTTGACCTACCTTGCATTGTATGTAAGTAAAGGTAGAGGACTCTTATTTAGAGGACAGAATTCTAACAAACCCATTATTCCACTTCTGAGATATGTGTGAAACTTTGGGTGACAGCAAGGAAAACAATTTCTAATGAATATAAAAGGGACTTTGATATTTTTATTCCGATCATTTATTTTGTGTCTCATTTTAGTCTTAACAACTGGTTTGGAAGAAACAAATATATTTGAGTAGTTCTATTTATAATCACAGTGAAATATGAGAGAGTACTAAAATGTATATAATCGTTACAAAAAATGTGCCTATGAATATTGTATTTGTTGAGTATTTTGCAATTGTCATATATTTAATAGGACTATACAGTAATAATTTTAATTATATTTCAATATCTGTGTATGCCTGTTTGTCCCTTGGTATTACATTTTTTAGTAATACATTCTTTAATAAATCTGTTTTATAACACCTATTTGAATGGATTTTTATGTCCTTGCTTTGCCATGTGGCAGTTCATCAGAGTAAAAGTGGCTTCATTTAAAGTTGCATAGTATTTCACAGATTTAGAAAGTGTCCTATTAGACATGCTATGTAATTTTCAACAGATAAACATAGAAAAATATTCTAGTGGTGATGACGAAGTTCAGGTTATTTTCCATGTTTTGTGCCCTAAGAACTTGTTTGAACAATGGGGATTTCTCTATGTTTGTAGAGATTAATTTCTCAGCACAGAGGCTTGAGGGCAGTGTTTTCTTGCACAAATCCACTTTTTTTACAAAACTGAGAAATTCATCCCCTGGAATATTTTGTTTTAGCCTGGGAGCATATGCTAATAAATAGCTGAAATCATTAAGAACTACAGAAAGGGACTCTGGGGAAATGTTAAACATATTCACTTGAAAACATAAATAACAATTCCAAACAAAGTACAATTGACCTATTCTTCACTCAAGAAGTGACTTATATATAGCTTGTTAGGAAATAAATTATTGCTTTCCCTGCTATTTCATCATCCAGCAGGTTTCACATTCTCGGTTTCCTAAGCACAGACAGCTCAATAGGATCTATATGTATTTGGGCCTCTGGCAAATGATATGAGTAATAAAAGGTAAAATATTTTTTAAACTATTTTAAGAAATATGTTTCTTATTACTGGCTAAAAATGTGTTGATTACAGACTATCTAGAAAATGTTGCTCAGCAAGGAAGAACATTAAAATCATCTGGAGCCTTATGCCCCCAGCCAGAGGTGAACACCCATACAATTAATGATATTTTATTAGGTTGACATCAAATTATTTAAACTTTTTCCTCCATTAAAACATCTTTCTTATGTGTATATATGTGTAATAAATATCTGTGAAACATATGCAAGCTTTTTAAAGATAACATAAAGAATTTACAGTGTTGTAATCTGATTTATCACTACATTTAGCTTTTTAAAGAAAATATTTCAAATATTCACTGTAGAAAATAGGTTGAAGTGAATATTAGTTTGTATTTTATTTGAATTTAATGATACTGATAGGGAACTAGATGCTGTTATATTACTGAATGGCAAACACCAGGGTTAATTTTTTTTTAATGTTTTATTATGCCCTGTGATTATCAGTTACAGATGTCAATTTGAGTGAATTAAAACTGTTCCTCAAACAATGTGAGGGTTTCATCAACTTCTCAGTGGATATTACCTTACTCTTTGATTAAATGATTCTGTACTCATTCTGAATACATAGCAAGAGTGAGATATCATACTTAGCAGTAGCAGTAAAATGCCCTGTTTTTAGTTATTAGTAAACCTACAAGAAAGCAGTTTTCTGTACTAGAAAATGGTATGACTTGGTCAGATCATTCATAAATAAAATTCAAAACAGACTTCACAGAATGGAAAGGATATAATACATTTTTTCTCAAAATTATGGCTTAAGTGCCCAAACTTTCATGGTCAGAAAATATCAAATCACTTTGTAGATACAAGTTGTATTTGGAAATGCCATTGTATTGCAATACAAGTTAATTCACATTGAGCTAATTTTATACTTCATAGGGTCTATCCTGCTCACAAGTTTACATTCATTGTGGGAAATTTTCCTCTCTCCACCCCCCTCCCCTGAATATCCACAAAAAACACACCCATGCACTGTTTGTAATATACTAAAAAATTATTGTTTATCTGAAATTCAAATTTTACTATGTGTCTTGAGTTTTATCTAGAAATCCTCCACCTAACCCAAAATGAGACAGTTTAAGAGATGGTTTCTCAAATATGTTAATCTTTAAAGGAAAATAAAAAGGAATAGGGTGGTTGAAGTGAAAAAAATGTTTAGGTAAGAAAGAGTTGCATGTTTCTGTAACTGAAATATGTTTTTTCTGAATGTAACATCTATTGGGAGGCAAGAATTAAGTAGAAAATGACAAGAGATGAATCAACATCTAGCATACGAAAAGGAATTTTAAGGAAGAATGAGTACAAGGGTAAGTAAGCTTGAAGAGATAGAGAGGAGAGAAATAGCGGTAGAGACCTAGGGGTAGAGCCACTATTTCTTAATGGTCATATGGAAAGCATACATTTTGCAAGAAGCATGAGTCAGCCATTTTGTATTCCTACGAATTTTGGATTCATATTTTTATCCCCTTAGGTCATAAATAAAGGATAATGGAGACTTCTGTTGATGTATAAACATCTCAAAAAGATGTTTCCGCTACCTAATTATTTATATCAATGAAATAGGCTCAGCTGACTGAAATGCGCATTCAGGCAAAAAACAGTATTTGTATATTGTATAGGAACTAGATTAAGAAAATGGGCTAGCCTTTTGACAGACCATTTCAGTGACAGACTGAAATGTGAATTTCTGTAAAAAAAAAAAAAAAAGGAGGGAGTATTTGTACTTGTGCAAGGACTAGGTTAAAGTATGAGTATGGCTTGAAATAGAATACGAATATTTTATTGGTTTGTGATTTAGAACAAGAGAACATTATCTTTCCATAATATGGTGTGTGTGTGTGCGTGTGTGTGTGTGTGTGTGTGTGTGTGTTTGAAGACCTGAAGGTGTGGGACCATAATGCTATCGTTTTTCATAAAATGATTTTGGCAATCTATATTCTTTCATTGAATCTACATTGAATAGAACATGCCATTTTTCGAAGAGCCTTGTAACTTAAAGAGTTGTTTACATACAGAAAGGCATTCCTTGGAGAACCATGAGATTTTCCCCTATAAATATCCATACATCATTCTTCTAGCTGGTTCCTATATAAGCTACATTTTGACTTACATAGAAAAACAGAAGTATAAGTGACAATAGGGCACACGCTTACTCAGTTTATATATTTTTGTACATTACATTTTTGGTAGTTTTTCCTGATTAGGGAAAGACAAAGTCATTTTATAGCCTAGTCGTCTGCATTTTGTACACTCTTAAGCCTATTAACACTGGAAATGCTCAGACCATAAATATTGACTTCCTTCTTGTGTCAATGCTTTTTCTAGTAAGCCAGATTTGCATGGCAAAAGAAAACAAATCTTATACTTGTTAAAACAAATCAGCAGAACTTATTGAGCTTCTGCTTGTGGCAGAACATTCTACATGGTTAAGAAAGTTCTATGAAAGATGAGAAAAGTAAACCAAATTATTAACTCCACAAAACACCCCAATTTCTATCAATTTTATGGACTTGGCATTTCTATTGTTGGTAATTATTAATTAAATTAGGCAAAAACCATGAATTTTTAATGGAAATTATAGGAAAAGGCACAATTGATAATAAGTGGAAAGTGGTTGAATTTTTAGGAGTGAATATTGTTCTGACAGTCAAGCCTATTACAAATTCAAAACGTGCCGACAGATAAAATTTGGAAATCAAACAGATGGAGATTAAATACCAGCTTCTTTACTAATAAAATAATATAGAACATGACTTAAACGTGAGGCCTATTGGGCTTCAAAATGAACTTTCCTTCCCCTCTACCTAAATTTTATTAATTCTCTGAGCAACAAGATAATCTGGACTCCTTAAGGACCCCGACATTGCAATAAAAGAAAACGGTGTTTAAGTCGTGAGCACAGCTGTTTGCAAAGGACAACCCGTAATTGTGCAATTTTCCAAAAGTCCTTAAGGAAAGAGTGACTGACCCAGTGGGTGACTTGTGATCAGAGGATAGCAATATTCTTCTAGTATCTTTCCCTCCTGAAAAGTAGGTGACAATGGCATGCTCAGCCCCTCTAAGAGAAGAAAAAAGTTTGCTCTTCACATCTGTAACTTCATAGACAACTAGAAAGCTCTGTCATTCTCTAAAATGTGTGAGGGTTTACCAGAGTTTCACTATTACCCCATTATATATTTAATCACTGCTTATATACAACTTTCTGCCTCACAGCCAGTAACAGTATTTGTTAATCAGGGGAGAAAATTTTCACTTTGGCACATTGAAATTGTACCTTTCAAACTCTTTTACTAATTTGAAGAAGAAACGAAAATAGAAGAACTCATTTTATTAAAAAAGAAAAATGTTCTGGTGCTTGTTGGGGGGTTTTAGTTATCAGATACTGTTCTCTCTCCATTCTTCCTGTCTTTATTCATTGACCATTTACTCTAATTCAAACCCAGAAGATTCAATGGTATAGAGATCTCTTCAAAAGTAAGCTGGAAGATGACATGCTATCTATTTATGGTCCTTGATTCTGCTAATTTTCTAAGCAGAATAGACTCCGAATAGCAGATATTTTAGCAAGAGTATCATTCCCATTTCTGGAGACCTGTATGAAAATGCAAGGAATCTAAAGTTTGGTTGGGTTATAAAATTTCAGGTGGCCCAGCCTATGAAATAGGAAACAGAATAGTGTGCAATGTTGGATAAGTTTGTTCTTCTTTAAGATGTTTCCTATTTTCCCAATAGCTGCATAGGGTTTATCCCTCAAAGACATAAAGTTTTTCATAGATTTAAAGAAAAATACAACTAAAATTTCCATGCACTTTTATACCACATAAAATACATTCCTCTAAGCAGCTTTCTGCCAAAAGGAATGCATTTCGTTCCTTAGTGATAAATTTCTACTCCACTGCCTTCAGCTAACATTAGGGATGCTCTTTCTAAATTGGATACAGGGCTTAGCTATCAGAATCCCCAGATGTACCAAATCCTTGAAAAATGATGAGAACTTGGGAAGAAGTGGCAGGACCTAACTCTTTCTTTACTGGTTAATTACTCTGGCTTCTAAATTCCCGAAAATGCCAAACTTCTTACATTCTGCTAATTTAACTTTTCTCCACAATCATTCTCCAGCAATTTGCCATGTTTTTAGATATTTGTGTATGTCTTTGTTTTCTAGGAGTTATTAGTATTGTTTCTAATAATCATATAGTTTATTTTATTTTGGCCATTCATATTTTCAGCTTATAATAGTCAGTGAGCACACCAAGAAGAGGATTAAAACATAGCTAAACAACTTATTACCTTCCATATCTGCTGAATGATGCCAAATATTGATCCCAAAGTATTTCTATAACTTTGGTGAAAGTAAGTCTTCATAAGCTGGGCAAAAGTATGTTTGTTTGGAATATTGTGTCCACAAAAATTCTCTATCTGCTTGCATTTTTCCAAACATGAGTAAGTATAAATAGGTTCAAACTCAAATAAATTATTATATCAATATATATAGTGACTTCCTTAGTTTCGCCTTTCTATAATTTCTTCCCTACGTGTACTTCAGACAATGGCCCCTAAAATCAGAATAGGAGGTCATTAATAATTGTTGAACTAAACAGAAAAGTTTTTGTTTTTTTGGCTATTTTCTTTTTAAATATTTTATGCCTAATGTATGTTTATCTGTTGTCTCTACCTGAAACAAAATTTATAATTTCCATACTTTTTATGACTGTTCATAATTTTGACTATCTTTTCTTCGTCTTGCTGGACTACCTGTTGCATTTGCTTTGTCCACCCCCATGTATTACACAAGTCTTGGAAAATTCTTTCTTGACTTCCTTGACACTACACTGTCTTGGATCTGCCCATACCCCTGCATCAATCAAGATCTTGGAAGAGACACATATCCCCTTCCAATGGGATCATCTGGAAACTTGCTCATTCCATCAGCTGGGGCCAATAAGAACAACCACCAACCAAATGTAACAAGTCAAAAAGGATGCCACAGAAACAAATTTTCTGACTTCCTTCTCCTTCCTCCATCTGATCTCTAGTGGCTGAAGCCAAAGAGAAACCAGAGAGTCCTGGTTTGGATAGCCATATAATCTACAGTTAAAATAAGGACTATTTTTATAATAAGAAAGTGTGTCATTCATAATTAAACTGGGACAGCAGGCATAAACTTGTCACCAGACTTTGATCCTGAAGCATGGGGCAGTGTGGAGTTGGGTGGAAAGAGGATCTAAAGGATCAGATAGAAAATATTCAGTTCAAATTCCCATTTATCTTTTATTTCCCCATGAGTTTCTTTTAATATATATATTTATAAAACTTCGATATTTCCAAAAATCTATTCCTGACCAACATTTTACCACACTCTATATCTCTCCTAGAATAATTTAGCCATTTCATAGACATTATGATATTTTGCTATGATCTTCGGACTCATAGACATCTGATTAAAAATGTTGTGTTTGATAATCTCACAGGTTTACAGATGCTTCATCACTTCCATGTAAATCCTAGCCTTCTTTTATAAGGTATAAATCTGTTTTGATTCACAGGGAGAAAGCATTTATGGTGAGGAGAAAAGCAGCTGGTATCACACTCTACCCAAGTCCCAAAAGCAGGTTCACATAACTCCTGTCTTCATTATCTGATATCCGGTGAGTCACTGAATTCCTTCATCTAGGTAATCAATCAGTCAATCATCAATTGATTTGATTTTGCCACTTAAATATTTCTAAAATGTGTTTTGTCCTTTCTCTTTCTGCTACCCAAGTGGTTTTTCATGCGTCATTGCTTCCAGAAGGCTTTATGGTCAATTGTGTCATATGCATAGAGGTCAAAGATCATGAATACTGGCAGAGTCTTGGTTTTGGTGTTATGGAGGCCTCTGCGGATCTATGAAAGGCTAGTCCAGTGCCTTGAGCCTTATTAACAAATGGCTGGTGAAGACTTTAACAGAAGTGACAGGATTCTAAGGCGATAAAAGCAGAGAAAGTTCAGCTTGATGCAGTAGAACTTTAGAAGGGAGTTTTATCTTTGTATATGCTGTTTCCTTTTTTTATTTTTTAGAATATATGAAACTTATAAATAGTTGGATTTATGATAAGTAGTCATAGTTGAGAAAGCATTGATGGTGAGGAGGAAAACAGCATTGATACCAATTGTGAAGGGGGATTGTGGAGTATGGAATTAAGAAGTGGACCTGGGAAATTTAAAGTTTAGTCTGCATTTTTTCTGAGATGAAAATATATGGAAAACACAAAATTTTCAAGGTGGAGAAGAAGAAAATGAAATGCATTAATGATAATTTGCACATTTAGATATTATTCCATGATGCAGATTTTAAATGTAATTTATTTACGTAGTCCTTGATATTGCATGTTTGGACATATACTGTATTTGTATGCTTTTATTCCTTTTTTTGGCTATTATGAGAAATGCAGTAATAAATATAATTATACATAAAGCCTCACAGAAATAAATTCAGCTCCAAGAGATAGAGTAATTGAATGCAACGGACAGGCAAAAAAAGTGTGTGTGCAGTTTTAATTTTAATATTTATTTTTAAATGCTTTGCCAAAGTTTGAAACTATTCACATTTTCATCAATAGAGAGACTTGAAGTCAAACAGAATGTATGTGTTACAGATGTGACACAGTTTTACTCCAGAGATGTGGCCACATATGCCCACACAATTTATAAAAATTAACTGTCCTTTCCTATGAATTAAAATATTACCTGTTTTATATGTTACATTCTCATATACACTTAGACCTATTTCTGAATTATCTGTGTTGCGCACTGATCTAGCCACCTGAGCTTGTTACTACAATACTAATTTGATTATGATGGCATTAGAATATGTTACTAATGGAATAATTACTGAGATGATTCCTATTGTATCACTTTATTTTCCATTATTTCTTCACTGTTCTAAAATAGTTTATATTATTCCCCTTATAAAAAGAGAATATTAGTTAGAATTTTAAAATCATGCATTGATTCTGAAAGAATAGGTACTTTTAAACATATATCTTCTTGCCCAATATTATGGTACTTCTTTCTATTGTTCAGATTTCCTATTATGTTCTTTTGTGAGGTTTTGTAGCTTCTCTATTTAGAAGGTAAAACATTTTACGTATGATTAAGTGAATCATAGTTTTAGCCTTTTTCTTTTCTTTTCGTTATTTGTTTTTTTGAGACAGGGTCTCATTCCTGTTGCCCAGGCTGGGGTGCAGTGGTGCAATTTCAGCTCACTGCAGCCTTGGCTTTCTGGGTTCAGTTGATCCTTCCAACTCAGCCTTCCAAGGTGCTGGGACTACAGGCATGTACCACCATGCCTGGCTAATTTTTTTGTTTTTTGTTTTTTTTCAGTAGAAAGTGGGTTTTGCCATGTTTCCCAGGCTGGTCCCCAACTCCTGGGCTCAAGCAAACTGCCCTCTTCCCAAATTGCTAGCATTACAGGTGTGAGACACCATGTATGGGCTATCCTTCTTTTAAAAAGCATATTTCCTTATTTTTTTCCTAAATTCTTGATACTATAGAAATAAACATATCAATATGTTATCTTTTTAGATATTCTTCTTAATGCTAATAATGCTTAAAAGCTATGCTTATTTTAATAATTGTAGATGAAATACAAAAAATACACATCTTAACTGAAAGCCTTTCCTCTAAGGTCTGGATGATAAGGTTGCCCATTTTTATTCTCTGGGGCATTGATCTGATATTCAACAAGTACTGTGAAGTCCTATGTTGAATAACAATGAAGGAAATCAAAGGCATCCAAATGGAAAATGAAAAATAAAATTATCATTGTTTGCAGATGATATGATACTATATTTGGAAAAACCTAAAGTCACCACCAAAATACTATTAGAACTGATAAACAAATTCAGTAAAGTTGCAGGACACAAAACAACATACAAAAATCAGGAGTATTTTTATGTGCCAAAAGTAAACAATCTGAAAAATAAATCAGAAAAGTAATCCATTTACAATAGCTATAAAT
Source organism: Homo sapiens (assembly GCF_000001405.40). Taxonomy (NCBI): domain Eukaryota; kingdom Metazoa; phylum Chordata; class Mammalia; order Primates; family Hominidae; genus Homo; species Homo sapiens. The sequence continues at coordinate 18,735,569 of NC_000021.9, read as the reverse complement.
AAAATGAAATACCTAGGAATTAACCAAAGAAGTCAAAGATCTCTCTAATAAAAACCATAAAACACTGTTGAAGGAAATTGAAGAGGACACCAAAAAAGGGAAAGATACCCCACGTTCATGGATTAGAAGAGTCAATATTGTTAAAACATCCACATTACCCAAAATAATCTACAGATTCAATGTAATATCTATCAAAATACCAATGGCACTTTTCAGAGAAATAGAAAAAAAAAACCTAAAATTTATATGAAACCAAAAAAGACCAAGAATGGCTAAAGCTATTCTAAGTGAAAAAAACAGAACAAAACAGAAGAAACTGCATTACCTGACTTCAAATCACACTGCAGTTATAGTAACCCAAAGAACACGGTACTGGCATAGAAACAGACAGACCAGTGGAATGGAATAGAGAAACCGAAAACAAATCCACACCTGTACAGTGAACTCATTTTCAAGAAAGGTGCCAAGAACACACACTGGGGAAGAGAGTCTCTTCGATAAATGGTGCTGGGAAAACTGATAATCCATATACAGAAGAATGAAACTAGATTATCACCATATACAAAAATCAAGTCAAAATGGATTAAAAGCTTATATCTAAGACTTCAAACTATGAAACTACCCCAAGCAATCACCGAGGAAACTCTCCAGGCATTGGTCTGGGCAAAAACTTTATTGAATACTACTCCATAAGCACAGGGCACCAAAGCAAACATGGACAAATGGGTTCACCTCAAGTTAAAAACCTTCTGCATAGCAAAGGACACAATCAACAAAGTAAAGAGACAACCCATAGAATGGTAGAAAATGTTTGTAAACTACCCATCTGGCAATTTAGTAACCAGTATATATAAGGAGCTCAAGCAACTTTATAAGAAAAAAAATCAAATAATCTGATTTAAAAGTGGGTAATAAACAGACATTTCTGAAAAGAAGTTATATAAATGGTAAATAGGTATATAAAATATGCTCAACATTATTGATCATCAGAGAAATGCAAATCAAAACTACAATGAAATATCATCTCACCCTAGTTAACATGGCTTTTATCCAAAAGACAGGCAATAGCAAATACCAGTGAAGATGTAAAAAGGGAACCCTTGTACACTTGTGGTGGGAATATAAATTAGTACAATCATTCTGAAGAACAGTTTTGAGGTTCCACAAAAAAACTAAAAATAGAGATACCATATAATCCAGCGGTACCTGGATTATACATTCAAAAGAAAGGAAATCAGTATATGGAAGATACATCTTCACCCCTATGTTTGTTGCAGCACTGTTTATAATAGCCAAGATTTGGAAACTGTATTAGTCCATTTTCACACTGCTGATAAGGACATATCAGAGATTGGGTAATTTATAAAGAAAAACAGGTTTAGTGGACTCACAGTTCTATCTGGTGGGGGAGGCCTTACAATTACGGCAGAGATGAAAGGCACTACTTGGCAAGAGAGAGAAAGAGCCAAGCAAAAGAGGTTTCCCTTTATAAAACCATCAGATTTTATGAGACTTATTCACTACCACAAGGACAGTATTGGGAAAACCACCCCCATGATTCAATTATCTGCCCCCGGGCCCCTCCTACAACACGTGGGAATTATGGGAGCTACAAATCAAGATGAAATTTGGGTGAAGATACAGGCAAACCATATTATTCCACCCCTGGCCCCTCCCAAATCTCATGTGCTCTCATTTCAATACACAATCATGCCTTCCCAACAATCTCCCAAAGGCTTAACTCATTTCAGCATTAACTCAAAAGTCCACCGTCCAAAGTCTCGTCTGAGATAAGGCAAGTCCCTTCTGCCTACAAGCCTGTAAAATCAAAAGCAAGTTATTTACTTCCTAGATAAAATGGGGGTGCAGGCATTGGGTAAATAACCCATTCCAAAAGGAAAAAATTGACCAAAATGACAGCACTACAGGCCCCATGCAATTCCAAAATCCAGTAGGGTAGTCAAATTTTAAAGCTCCAAAATGATCTCCTTTGACTCCCTGTCTTACAGTCACACTGATGCGAGAGGTGGGTTCTCATGATCTTGGGCAGCTCCACCCCTGTGGCTTTGCAGGGTACAGCCTCCCTCCCAGCTGCTCTCACGGGCTGGGGTTGAGTGTCTGCAGCTTTTCCAGGGGCACCTTGCAAGCTGTTGGTGGATCTATGATTCTGGGGTCTGGAGGATGGTGGCCCTCTTCTCACAGCTCCACTAGGCAGTGCCACAGTAGGGACTCTGTGTTAGGGGCTTCCCCTCCATATTTCCCTTCCACACTGCCCTAGCAGAGGTTCTCCATGAGGGCTCTTCCCCTGCAACAAACTTCTGCCTGGACATCCAGATGTTGCCATATATCCTCTGAAATCTAGATGGAGGTTCCCAAACCTCAGTTCTTGACTTCTGTGCCCCCACAGACTCAATGCCACATGGAAGCTGCCAAGACTTGGGGGTTGCACCCTCTAAAGCCCTGACTGGAGCTGTACCTTGGCCCCTTTTAGCCATGGCTAGAGCATCTGGGATGCAGGGCACCAAGTCCCTAGGCTGCACACAGCAGTGGGATCCTGTGCCCAGCCCAGAGAACCATTTTTTCCTTTTAGGCCTCTGGGCATCTGATGGGAGGGGCTTCTGCAAAGGTCTCTGACATGCCCTGGAGACATTTTTCTCATTGTCTTTGGAATTAACATTTGGCTCCTGGTTACTTGTGCAAATTTCTACAGTTGGCTTGAATTTCTCCTCAGAAAATGGAATTTTCTTTTCTATCCCATCACCAGGCTGCAAATTTTCTAAACTTTTATGCCCTGTTTGCTTTTTAAAACTGAATGCTTTTAACAGCATCCAAGTCACGTCTTGAATGCTTTGCTCCTTAGAAATTTCTTCCACCAGATGCCCTAAATCATCTCCCTCGAGTTCAAAGTTCCACAAATCTCTAGTGCAGGGGCAAAATGTCACTTGTCTATTTGCTAAAACATAGCAAGAGTCACCTTTACTCCAGTTCCCAACAAGTTTCTCCTCTTCATCTGAGACCACCTCAGCTTGAATTTCATTGTCCATATAATTATCAGCATTTTGGTCAAAGCCATTCAACAAGTCTCTAGTAAGTTTTAAACTTTGCTACATTTTCTTGTCTTCTTCTGAGCCCTCCAAACTTACTGTATTAGTCCGTTTTCATCTTGCTGATAAAGACAAACCCAAGACTGGTAATTTGTAAAGAAAAAGAGGTTTAATGGACTCACAGTTCCATGTGGTGGGGGAGGCCTCACAATCATGGCAGAAGGTGAAAGGCTCTTCCTATATGGTGGTGGGAGTAAAGAGAGCCAAGTGAAAGGGGTTTCCCCTTATAAAAACCATCAGATCTTGTGAGACTTATTCACTACCTTGAGAACAGCATGGGGGAACTGCCCCCATGATTCAATTATCTCCCCCTGAGTCCCTCCCACAACGTGGGAATTATGGGAGCTACAATTCAAGGTGAAATTTGGGTGGGAACAGAGCCAAACCATATCAGAAACAGATAAATAGATAAAGAAAATATTATCATTATACACAATGGAATACTATTTGGTTATAAAAAGAATGGGATCCTGTCATTTGCAACAGCATGAATGGAACTGCAGGTCATTATGTCATGTTAAATAAGCCAGACACAGAAATACAAACACTGCATGTGCTCACTTATTTGTGGAATCTAAAAGTCAAAACAGTTGGACTCATGGAGACAGAGAGTAAGATGGTTATCAGAGGCTTGGAAGGGTATTGGGGGCAGGTAGAGGGGAGATGGGGATGGTTAATGGGTACACACAAAAAATAGAATAAGAGTTAGTTTTGGATTGCACAACAGAGTGACTATAGTAAATAATTTAATTGTACATATTAAAATAACTGAAAGTATAATTGGAATGTTGGTAACACAAAGGATAAATGCTTGAGCGGCGGACACCTCATTTTTCATGATGTGCTTATTACACATTGCATACCTGTATCCAAACATCTCACATACCCCATAAATATATACACCTACTATGTACTCTCAAAAATTAAAAATTAAAAAACAAAACCTATACATTTTTAAAAGTATGAATGTATAGATCCAAATTAACACACGGTGTTTGATGCAACATTAAACTTTTAGAGATATCTTGTAATTATTCGGTTTTTGTTTTAGTTAATTATTTAGTATCATGTCTTAATCGTCTCAACCTCAAGACTGTCATAATAAATATAAAACTAAATTATTTTTCTAATTTATTTTTTGTATTCAAACATAGCTAATATGTTTTTTAGGTCTACCAGTTTTCAAAGAAATTGCATAATTTTTTTAACCTTTTAAAAATCAAAGCATTTGGCAAATATAACAAGATCTCATTTTCTAAATGATAGAACAAAGTTTAAGGAAGTTAAAATATTTGTTCTTGCTCATTCAATTAATGTTTGAACTTGGTTTATAGTACATCTCTAAGTATAAATGCAGTGAACTTCCTATGACATCCTATACTTTCAAGTTTTTATCTTTATGAATACATTTTATGTCTCCTCCCAACATGTATTGCCTGGAAGCAGAAAATGAATTTTACTCTATCATCCATGTTTAATAAAGTTATGATTTATTTCAGAAACGAAATAACTTATAGAATTTGAAAATAAAACTTCGAGGATTTTTTAACATGTCCATCTGTCATTAATAGGAACCATTTTTGATAGGATTCTGCCAATATATTTTTATTTTAATGATTTTTCTTTTTAAAGTAAGACCATATTTTATAACAAAAGAAGTTGCTATTGCTAGAAAAAAATCATAGCGTTTATCTTGGTCTAAATGATAAAAAAAATCTTGAAAAAACAATTTTCATTTAAAATAGCCCCAGGTGTTTCTTAACTCAATGAAGACATCTTAAAGGACAAACTTATAAATGAGCACTGAGATCTGTTCATTTTTAGTCATTCTTCTATTTGAAATCCTATTTTGTATATTATTTTCCCTGGAGTTGTATTTGAAAGAATATAAAATATGGAAGGTATATAATGGACATACTAATGATGAGCACTGGATTGAGCATCTAGGACTTTCAAAAGAAAGTGCAGCATTATGAAAAGTACATGAATTGTGGAGATGGATAAGTTGAGTTTTTAAACATGGACTTGACAATTTAGATTTGGCCATGCTAGATATATAACTTTCTAAGCCACCATGCCTATGTTAAGCGTAAGTTCAGCTACATACTACAAATATATCATCAAAACAATAAAATGGGTTAAACAAAATGAAGGATTGTTTTTCTTAAAATGTATAGAGGCGTGCATTTCAAGCACTGTGGCTGGGTTCCAGTGGGGAAGAAGGGCTGGTAAAAGGATAAGTTCAAGACAAGGATAAACATTATATCTTTGAAAAGACAAAAACCCCAAATTTATCTACCCATATCTGACAGGTAAGAACCTTCTTGTCAGGGGCCACCACACACTGTAAGAGAAGCTGGGATTCCACGTCTTCCAGTTGGCACTTTGCTGCTCCATCCAAATGAGGTTGCTCTAAGGAAGAAGAGAATGACTATTAGTTGAGCACCATTCAGAGTCTGCCTTATCCATAATCTTCTACTGTCAATTAGGGATACAAATTTCTGACTCATTACAAGGATATGAGAATTGTTTAAGCAAAAAGTCTTAATTCCCTATGTATATAAAAACATTTTAAACTTGTAAGTATTTACCCATTATAGGATATATCTCAGATATTTGCAAGGGGCAAAAGCTAGTTGCAGTGAAAGCTTAAAAACTTATATCACTAAATTGAAATGGTTTGGAATTTTAGGATTTACTTATTCATCTCACAATTATTTATTGTCGATATATGCTAGGCCCTGAAGACATAGCATTGACCAAAATAGAAAATAATCCTTGCACTTGCTGATCATGTATTCTAGAAAGTTATTCTCACACTATTTAGCAAATAATCATTTTTTCTCAAAATATTGTACAATTCAACATAAATTCCTAAGTGTACCTGGTTAAGTATCTGGATGTTATTAAATCATATGAATCTTAGACAACTTTCCTTAGATCCACAGACATATCTTATGTTTTAAACAGTGAGAAAAATTATTATATTCCAAAATTACTTTGTTGTTATAGATAACAATTATAGATAATTAGCCTTCTGTGCTATCGATATGTATGTTTGTACCCATTAACCAACCTTGCTTCTTCCACTTCCCCACCCTTTCTACACACTTGTGACTATCATTCTAATCTCTACCTCCACAAGATACACTTCTTTAGCTCCCACATATGAGCTAGAATGTGTGATATCTCTCTGAGCCTGGCTTATTTTACTTTATACATAATGACCTCCAGTTCTATCCACGTTACTGCAAATGACAGGATTCCATTCTTTTTTATAGCTAAATACTATTCAACCATATACATGCACAGAGAGAGAGAGCGCTTTCTATAAATGTTATATATACTATGTTTTATTTTATACCATAAAGTTATAACTTTTTTTATTTATTTGTTCATTGATGGATACTGAGGTTGTTTCCTATCTTTGTTATTGTGAGTAGTGCTCCACAAAACATTGGGGTGCGGGTATTACTCTGATATACTGATTTATTTTCCTTTGGATAAATACATAGTATTGAAATTGCTAGATTATATTGTAATTCTATTTTCAGTTTTTGAGAACTCTCCACACTGTATTTCATAATGGCTATACTAATTTACATTCCACCAATAGTCTATAAGAGTTCCCTGTTCTCTGCATCCTTGCCAGCATTTGCTATATTTTGTGTTTTTGAGAGTAGCCATTCTAACTGGGATGAGGTGATAGCTTATTGTAGTTTTGATCTGCATTTTCTTGATCATTAGTAATGTTGAACTTATTTTCATGTATCTGTTGGCTATTTATACTGGTCTTCTTTTGAAAAATGTTCTTTTTTCACTTTTTAATGGGATTCTATTATTATTTTGCAGTTCAATTGTTTGGGTTCCTGATATATTCTGGATATTAGTCCCTTCTTGGATGATTAGTTTGCAAATATTTTCTCCCATTGTACAGGTTGTCTCTCACTCTGCTGACTTTTTCCTTTGCTATGCAGAGCTTTTTAATTTAATAGTCCCATTTATCTATTTTTGCTTTTGTTGCCTGAGCTTATGAGGTCTTTGTCATAAATTCTCTTTGCCTAAATCAATGTCCATGTGAGTATTGCCTAGGTTTTCTTCTAGTATTTTTATAGTTTCAGGTCTTATAGTGAAGTATTTAATTCATTTTGAGTTAATTTTTTATACAGCAAGAGATAGGAATATAGTTTCATTCTTTTTGCATAATAGATATTCAGGTTTCCTAGAACCATTTATTGAAGAGGGTGTCCTTTCACCAATGTATATTTTTGGGCTCTTTATCAAAAAATCAGTTGGCTGTAAATATTTGGATTTATTTCTGGGTTTTGTATTCTGTACCATTGGTCTTGTTTGTTTTCATGTTAGTACCTTGATGTTTTGGTTATTACAGCTTTGGAGTATATTTTGAAGTCAAGTAGTGTGATGGCTTCCAGTTTGGTTCTTTGGTTCAGATTGCTTTGGTTATTCAGGTCTTTTATAGTGTCATACAAATTTTAGAATTTTTGTTTCTATTTCTGCAAAGAATGCCATTGTTACTTTGATCAAGATTACATTGAATCTGTAGATCACTTTGGGTGGTATAGACATTTAAGCAATATTAATGCTTCCATTCCATGAGCAGAAGATTTTTGCTATTTATCTGTATCCTCCTCAATTTCTTTCATCAGTGTTTTGTAGTTTTCCTTGCAGAGGTCTTTTGACTTCTTGGTTAAATTTATTTCTAGATATTTTTTTTTCTAGCTTTTATAAAAGGGATTGCCTTTTAAATTTCTTTTTCAGCTAATTTGTTTTTGGTGTGTGGAAATGTTAGTGATTTTTATATATTGAAATTGTATCCTGCAACTTTACTGAATTCATTTATTAGTTCTAAATGGTTTTTTTTTTTTTGGTGGAGTCTTAGTGTTTTGTTTGTTTTTAAATATATAAGATCATCTTATCTGCAAAGAGATACATTTTGACTTCTTTTTTCCAGTTTGAATTCCTTTTATTTCTTCCCCTTGCCTGCCTGTTCTGGCCAGAACTTCTAATACTATGTTGAATAACAGCGGTGAAAGTGGGCATTCTTATCTTTCTCTAGTTTTTAGGGGAAAAGATTTCAGCTTTTCCCCATCCAATATGATGTTAGCTATGGGTCAGCAATATATTTTCTTTACTATGTTGAGCTATGTTCCTTCCGTGCCTAATATCTTGAGAGTTTTTATCATAAAGGATTCGGAATTTTATCAGGTGCTTTTTATGTATTTATTGAGGTGATATTACAATTTTTGTCCTTCATTCTGTTCATGTGATGTATTACATTTATCCATTTACATATGTGGAACCATACTTGTGTCCCTTTGATAAATCCCACTAGATCATGGTGTATTTTGCTATGTTGTTTGATTTGTTTTACTAGTATTTTGTTGAGGAATTTTGCATCTATGTTATTCAGGAGTATTGGCCTGTGGTTTTCTATTTTTGTTATGCCTTTCCTGGATTTGGTATCAGGGCAATGCTGGCCTCATAGAGGGCTCATCTTAAATTTTTTTTGAATAGTTTCAGAGAAATTCATTTTAGTTCTTCTTGATAAATTTGATAAAATTCAGCAGTTAAGCCATCAGGTTCTGGGCTTTTCTTTGATGGGAGACTTATTACTGCTTCAATTTTGTTACTTCTTATTGATCTGTTCAAATTTTTAATTTCTTTATGCAATCCTGGTAGGTTATGTGTATCTAGGAATTTATCCATTTTCTTTAGATTTTCCAATTTGTTAGCATATAGTGCTTCATAACAGTTTTTAATGATATTTTTTATTTTTCTGATACCAGTTTAATGTCTCCTTTTTAATTTTTACTTTTACTTTTTTATGTCTTCTCTCTCTTTTTCTTGGTTAGTCAAACTATCAGTTTATTGATCTTGTTTATCTTTTTTCAAAAAAACACTTTTTGTTTCATGGATACTTTGTAAATTTTTAGTCTCTATTTTATCCAGTTCTGCTCTGATTTTTATGATTTATTTTCTTCTACTAATTTTGAGTTTGGGTTGAGTGCAGTGGCTGTCACCTATAATCACAGTGCTTTGGGAGGCCAAAACGGGAGGATCACTTGAGGGCCAGCCTGGACAACAGAGGGAGACCCAGTCTCTAAAAAATAACTAAATTAAATAAAAATTTAAATTTAAAAAATTAATAATTTTGAGTTTGATTATTTGCTTTTTTTGTTTGTTTTCCTAGCTTTTTGAGGTGGCAAGTAATCAGGTTGTTTATTTGAAATATTTCTACTCTTTGTGAGGTAGGTATTTATAACTACAAACTTCCATCTTACCACTGCCTTTGCTCTACCCCCTAGGTTTTGGTATTTGTGTTTCTATTTTCATTTGTTTCAAAAAATGTTTTAATTTATTTTTAATTTCTTTATTGAACCAGTGGTCACTCAGGAGCATGTTGCTTAATTTCCATGTATTTGTACAGTTTCCAAAGTTCTACTTGGTATTGATTTCTAATTTTACTCTATTATGATGTGGGAAGATGTTTGATATGATTTTAATTTATTTAAATTTATGAAGATTCATTTTTCGGCCCCTAGACAGCATGCTTGGGTGCTAATGGAGATGGCAATGGGCAGGGCAGAACTGTTTTCAGGCCCCCCGGTGGTATTCATGTGCACTGCTGCAGGAAGGTGAGGGTGGGGCAGGCCAGTCCTCCAGTCTCCTGATTGTGTGAGCTGGCACTGGCAGCAGCAGGACAGTATACTTGAATTTTCACGCCCCCAGACAGCATGCAAGGGTGCCAATGGTGGTAGGTTGAGTTGTCCTCAGGCTCCCAAATGGCATGCACGGTGCTAGGGTCACTAGGCAAGATTGGAATATTCTTTTTTCTTTTTTTTTTCAATTTTTTATTTTTTATTTGTTTCTTTATTATACTTTAAATTTTAGAGTACATGTGCACAATGTGCAGGTTAGTTACATATGTATACATGTGCCATGTTGGTGTGCTGCACCCATTAACTCGTCATTTAACATTAGGTATATCTCCTAATGCTATCCCTCCCCCCTCCCCCCACCCCACAACAGGCCCCGGTGTGTGATGTTCCCCTTCCTGTGTCCATGTGTTCTCATTGTTCAATTCCCACCTATGAGTGAGAACATGTGGTGTTTGGTTTTTTGTCCTTGCGACAGTTTGCATGGATAAAGCTGGAAACCATCATTCTCAGCAAACTATCGCAAGAATTGGAATATTCTTAAACCCCAGATGGTTTCTGGGCAGGTTGGCCCCTGGGCCCCCTGAAGGCACATGCAGATGAGCAGTGGTCCTGCTGCTTGGAGTGGGAGGTTAGTGTCTGTGACAGTGGCCCTGGGCAGGGTCTCTCAGACTCTGGGCATCAAATGCTTTGGCTTCCTTTGTCTTGTTCCACGGGCAGACTCCCTGGTGTGATGCATGCACTTTTCCCAGGCTGTAGGACACTGCGAAGTCTAGAGTCCTGGGGACCTGGCAACAGTGACAGGTTCAGTCTGTGTCCTGATACTGCAGATCTCTGAGTGGATCTAGGGAGATGTCAGCAGGGGTCTCAAGGGAAGGGGAAAAACAGTGGCTATTGGGTCCCAGGGAAGGATATAGTCTGGTAGCTGATGGGCTCTCAAAATGGTACCCTCCTGTAGCTGCTTGAGTCTAGCATGGGGTGGCAAGGAGGTTGATATGATCCAGCATGAACTCCCACTTTGGAACAATACAATCATATGGACTCTATACGGCTTCCTATACTGGTCTCAGGGCCTGCAAGGGCCAAGGGGCTTCTCCGCTTGCAGATAGCAGACGTTCATGGTGGAAATGAGGACCGCAGGTGATCTCTCATTTACCTTTTTCCTACGCTGGGAAGTTTCTCTCTCCTGAGGCTCCCAGCCAATCCTGACCAGTGAACTGCTTTGCTTCTCTCTTCTGTGTGTATCTCAGAGCTTTCCTGTGATTTCTCTGCTGAATTCTACTGTTCTCTCTCAGACACTCTATTCAACGTGTGATTATTTATTTGCTGTTTTGGTCCTTCTTTGTGGAGAAGGCAAGTGTCAGGTCCCTCTAGTCAGCCATCTTCAAGCCCCAAAGTTGTCCCTTTGATATTAATACAAATCTTAAGTCAAATAACATGCATCTAAAACAAAGATTCTGAACCTCAGCACAACTGACATTTTTGGCCACTTCTATGTTGTAAAAGCTGCCACTTGAATTTTAGGATGTTCAGCAGCATCTGTGATCTCTGTTCACTAGTTGCCAATAGTAGTGTCTTCCTTGTTTTATCACAACCCAAACTCTCTCCAGACATTGCCAAATGCCTCCTAAGAAATCTTCCTGGGAGAAAATCATTGTCTTTGAGAACCACTGATCTAGAAAGTAGAGCTTTGTCATACTAAACAAGGAACTTAGAGTAAAAAATATGATACAACTCTGTTAAATAAGAGGTTACTTACATAATTTATGCTATTATTTTCAGGTTACTGAAAGTGAAAGCCAGCATGTCTTATTTCCTGGCACTACTTTAAAAAATATTGTAAAGGCTTAAAGGAATTATTGATTTTAAACCTTGCTGTCCTTAATTTACATCTTTGAGGGTTGTGGCTATTTATGAAGTGATATACTAAATAAAAAATAATGTTCTGAAAATTTGAGGCAAGATTGTGTTTCAGGGTAAAAATTAATGACTAGCAGTGTTAATTATTTCATACTTTAAATTAAAATATCTATTGAAAGAAATAATAGATTATGTACAATTTCACAAAACATAGATCAACAATTTCACAGAACATAAATTATGTACAATTTCACAAAACAAAAAATTGTGAAATCATAAATTTCACAAAACATAAATCAATTTCACAAAACATAAACCTAAACAAAAATGGTACCTATTTTAATAATCTATTGGATCGTTGTTCAATAAATTTGTTTTTCTATCTGAATATGTAATTTTTCTCTGCTTCAACTTTTCTGTCCAGAACCCTCCAAAGAGCCATATCCTTACCCTTTTTCTGTTACTTGTCATTCTTCCCTATGGGATGAGGTATGACTTCCCTGATTACTAGGGAGCAAATTACAGTCTGAGCAAATCAGCCCCTTCTTTCTTCACTCTTCAGGTGATCTTCCTACCAGCAAGCATAGACTTTGTTCCCCACACTGCAAAATCTACACAGTACTCCGGTAGAGTTGTGATTATCTAGCTGTGCTAGATTAGCTGGATATGTACCTAGTTCAGAGGTGACATATTTGTAATTCCACATTTCTATCCAGAAAAAAAGTCAAAATTTTCACTTCCACCTGGCCGTAACCTGTGTTTGTGTTTTTAACAGGAGTTACTGAAAACAGAGTGCTCTTCATTGAGTTTTAAGAGTTTTCATCCAAATAGGAGCTACCTGATGGGAAACACTCTATGCATTTTTCTTAATTTAAGGAGAGGAAACAGGATTGCATATGGCAAATAAATTAAAATAACACTTTCTGTCACTGTATCTTTGGAGGAGTTGAAATAACATTTTTCAAATAAGAATATGGTAATATATGCTGCCATATTAAAGTGGATTTTTGCTTTAAATCAAGGAATTTGTACATCAGCAATTATGAACCACACTGGCTTTTCTAACTATACATTTTTCATATAAATAAATTATTGTTTGCTAGAAAAAATGGAAAATACATATTTATAATTCCATTGTTTTTGCTAATATATTCAAATACAAGTCTGTATCTCTTAATATTATAAAGTCATTTTATGCAGTTTGCATTTAACTTTATTGTCTTTCAACATTTCCTTTCTGGTAGTAATAAGCTGGATAATTTTCATGGATAGATTAATAATAATAATATTGATAATAATAAAAGCAATTATAGAATCCTTACAATGTGCCTTTCACAATTCCGTTTACTAGGCATCTATTTGTTCAATTAATATTTGCACCAGCCTTGTAAAGTAAGTATTATTGTTATACCCACAAGAAAACAGTGGCACTGAGAAAAACTGCATAATTTAAACCCAGAAGTATAAGGAAATGTGTCTCTAATACCAAATTGAAGTATGCATTGTCAACACAAGATGGCAATGTGTTGAACTGTCAGCCCACTCAGGTAAAATATGAACATTTCTATATGCACTTAAAGAAAAGCATCACTGCACTGAGCAGGAGACACTGTAGTCCTCCCATTTGGAGGGGCAAGTTACTTGATGCAGGATATCTTACTGAGTACACATTCAGAGTGGATTTCTACTCTTAATGAGCTAAAAGTATAACCACCTAATGGGTTCTTTTTGCCCACTGCCCAGACAGAGCCAATTTATCAAGATGGGGAATTGCAAAGGGAAAGAGTTATATTAATATGAGTAGAGCCAGCTAAACTAGAGACCACAGTTTTATTACTACTGAAATCCACCTCCCAAAAAATTTGGAGGCTAGAGCTTTTCAAGGATAGTTTGGTGGGCAGGAGCCTAGGTAATGGAGGCTGACTGGTTGGGGATGCAAAAGTAGGGTTGTGGAAAATAGTCCTAGTGCACTGAATCTGCTTCTGGGTGGGGGCCACAAAGGAGTCTTTGGTCTAGGTGTGGCCATCGGTCTTCAGAAATGCAAAAGCCTAAGAAGACATCTCAAACAGCCAATTTTAGGTTCTACAATAGGAATGTTTGTTACAGGAGTAATTGGGGAAGTTGCAAATCTTGTGACCTCTGGAATAATGGCTGGTAATTACTTAACTATGCCTACATCTTAGCAGAATTTAGGCCCCTCTCATTCTCCCAACCTGGTTTCTTTTCATTGGTTTTACAAAGGTGGTTTAGTTTTTGAAAGAGCTATTATCTCTTAAACTATAAACTAAATTTCTTCCAAACTTAACTTGGTCCATGCTCAGGAACAGCTAAGGGTAGTTTGAAGGTTAAAGAAAAGATGGAGTTGGTTAGGTCTGATCTCTTTCACTGCCATAATTTTCTTACTATTATAATTTTTGCAAGGGCAGTTTAAAAGTTACCTTTCTCACTTATGTATTAAGTAAAAGAGTTAAACAAGGACTTTGTCTTCAACACACCTGGCTCAAATTTAACATATTTCACCCACATGACTGTGCCTTATACTAATTTAAAGAAAACTGATGGCATAAAGATCCCAGTCTAGTGATTATAAAGACTTTAATTTTTGCACACATTCACAAGCAGTAGCTAATTGAAAATAGTAAATTTTAAAATCTGTTTATGTTGGTAAATACATAATTTCATTGAAACCCCAAAAAAAATCGCAACTGAAAGGAGCTGGAATTTTACATAAAACATAGATGCTAGCTCTATTTCTCTATACTATGTGAATATTACCGATATAATTTAAACTTTACTCTTCTTTGTAAATAAAAAGTTATGAAAATGCCCATTTTAATATCTACGAGCATAGCATTAGGTTAAAATTAAATTGAGAATTGGATTTCACTATGATCCAGAAATTACATATTACAGGATTTATTTATGTGCACTGTCAAACTAATTCAAATTTGTTTCTATACCATATTGATGTCAAGATAAAGTTAAACAGTCTTTCAAATTATTTCTAGTAATGATTAATTTATCCTATTTTTTCCTGTCTATCTAGTTTGGCAACATGAAGAAACAGAACATCCCAAATACCAAACAGAGTGTTTGAATAATTTTTTAAGAAAAAAATTATCATATTAAATGAAGAATAAGTTTGATTTAATCAAGTTCATAATTACTTTACCACAAACCGTCAGAAGAATTGTTAAGAACGTTTATCAGTAGCTAAATTTTTCCTATAAATATATTTGTTAAAATTATATTAAGCAAAGAGAGACTTTGGTTTGCTAATAGTGCCATCTTCGTATTCGCTAGGTCAGAAATGTGCTGTTGTCATGTAATAAATCATTAGCAGGTGTCATGCAGTGTTCAAAGTATTTTCATATTGTGTGTGTGTGTGTGTGAGATTAATTGAAAGCAGTCGTATAAGAGAGGTATTATTCTATTATTCTCTAAAGACCAGGCAAATTAAATGATTCCCTGGTATGAAATGACTGCTAAGTGACTGATATCTAAAGTCTAACGTGTCAGCCTTCACAGGGTATCTGTCTTTAAAGCAAATCACAGGACTTCATGGATATTTGACAAGTAAATTATGTAATTATGAAACTGAACACAACCAAATTCGGAATGGCCTTCTCAATGTTGATTTTGACATAACACTTCTTAGATGTACTTAACTGATATTGGATCTCCCCCTTATTTTATCCCTTTTCCAGTTTGTCACTCCCTCCTTACATTCACTAATGCTGACGCACTAACCAGAGTTACATAATATTTGAGGATGGTCAGGCATGGGCAGTGTCCTGCTGACATTCTGAAAATTCAAGAGTGAATATCTAGAAATATGGGTGTTACACATTTGATTTGTGTAACACATGCTGTGTATTTTGTTTAGTGGGGTTGGACATAAGTATTAAATAACTCAAAAAGGTTTCCATCCCTTTTCAAAACCTAGACCTGTCCTGGGCTTTAGTTTACATAGAGATTCAATAGGCCTTTCATGCCACGCTAGAATGGATTGATCTCCACAGAGAAGCAAAGGAAAGACTCAGCATTCAGAAGAAAAATGATGGTACCCCAACTGGGTGCCCTACAATTCAATTTACCTCTGACGCTACCTAGCCAGAATGAAAGCAGCCTCCAGGCAGTTAGGGTTTGATTTCACAGCCCAGTATGTAGCAAAGTTAGAGAGAATTGTGGGTTACCTGGAGGTCTATCAAGAGTCAATGGCAAGACTCCAATTTCAAATATTGGTCTCCAGGTTACCCACACTTCTCTCTAACTTTACTACAAATCAGGGGTTCCCACAACCTCCCCCCAACCCTTCATGTTTGATAATTTGCTAGAATGACTCACGGAACTCAGGAAATGATTTTACTTACTATTAATGGTTTATTATAAGGGATACAACTCAGGAACAGCCAAATGGAAGAAATGTGTAGGGCGAGGTAGTGGGAGGTGAAGAGGTGCCGAGTTTCCATGCTGCCTTCCCAGTACCTCAGTGTGTTCACCCACCTGGAAACTCTCCAATCCCCATCATTTAGGGATTTTTATGAGCTTCCACTATGTAGACATGATTGATTAAATCATTGGCCACTGGTGCTTGAACTCAATCCAGCCTTTCTCCCTTCTCTGAGGTTGAGGGGGTGCAGCTGAAAGTTCCAAACTTCTAACAAAGGGTTGGTCTTTCTGGAGACTCAGCTTCCAGTGGAGTGCTGTGCCAGAAACCAGAAGAGAAGACCAAATACGTTTTTATGGTACCGCAATTATAAAAATAATTTTACCGGGTTCTTCTTATTTTTGATGTGACTGCTAGATGACTTAAAATTCCATATGTGGATAACATTTTATGTATATTTGATGGCACTGCCCTATATCTTCCAAATATTTTTTTTCAGGCACATGTCCTATTAATTTCTGTGGTTTTATTCCTTGCAAGTGATAGCTATACACGTACTATCTCAGAAAAAAGGAAAAACATTGGTTTTCTTTAAAACTGAAAATACTTTTTGAAACCTTCTTTTAAAAAAAATCCCTGAGAAATAATTTCCATTTTGAAAATATAATTTCATGTAATATTATGCTAGTCATATTATATTGCCTAAATTGTAAATAGAGTACATTCAAGGTATAAAGTTAAAATACACAGGCATATGTGAGTTCTGAAACCTTCTGCCGGACTAAAAAAATTACATAAATTAGTACTGATAATTACTCTCCAAAGGGCAATGTCAAAATGCTAGATGGATAATTCTGAGTATTGAATGTTCTCTGTCAAGCATAGAAGAATGAATCAGATCAATATACCCAGAGTGATTTTTGATGTACCTAATGTTTTCATCAATATTTTTCTCTGAGCTTTTCCTTCTCTTTGGTTTCCTTTTTATGATAATCATTCATATAAATAACTCACCATATCTGCTGATTGTTAAAGTAATTTTGGAATAATCTTCATGAAAAGGAAATGAAAAAGGAATAGCATCATTAATTAGCATCATATTTAAACTATAATCATTGTGTACAATCTTTTGTTTCTTTCCATTCAACTCATCTTTGTTTTTTAAGCAAAGTACAAATAAAATATTGACCATATCAAGTATGTTTTAACCCTTGCTTTTTATATACTTATCAGTGAATACTTTCAATCAATATTTCCTGAGTATTGGTCATCTTTTTATGGAAGACAAATGATGATCTTTTACTTCTGAACAAAATTATGATACCAATTAATTTATAATAACTAAAATATGGATTACAGGTCTCCTGGCTGGCAGAGGTTAGGTCCGCTTAAGTGACTGTAGAGGAAGCAAGTATTGACTCCTCTTCCTAATGGCTGTGGGATAAACCCCAGTCTCTTATTTCTCTATATTTCTAAACTAAGAAATATAGTCCAGAAGTTAGGCCCAACAAACAACATATTAAAGAGGCAATAATTTAGTCCAAGAGTTACAATGACACACATGAGTGATTTATCTAGATGAAAAATCAATTCCAGATAAATAACCCACCAGAAAGTCAACAAGAAGAAAGATTGGCAGAATTCCATAATACATCTTTGAGTTGGTAATTGGGTTTCAGAATTCTCTGTATTATGTGGTTTATAGGGGGGGAGTTGGTATAATGTGACATACTGAATAGGTGCTTAAGGAAACGTAAGTGGTATAGACAGTCTTTTACTAACAGCAGGCCAGAGACAGGATGAAGAAAGCAAAAAAGGAAGAGGTTCACAGAGTACTAGGAGGGCTGGATGCAGGGAACAATAGACTGAATGTTTATGTTCCTAAAAAATTCATACGTTAAAGTCTTAACCCTGAAGGTGATGCTATTAGGAGGTGGGCCCTTTGGTGAGTGATTAGGTCATAAGAGCAGAGCCTTTTTGAACAGGATTTTAGTGCCCTTATGAAAGACATGCCATAGAGCTGCCTTGCCCCAGTCACCATGAGAGGGCACAACAAGAAGTTGCCATCTGCAACTCAGAAGAGAGCCTTTAGAATTAAACCATAATGGCACTCTCATCTGAGACTTCCAGTTTCCAGAACTACGAGAAATAAATTCTTATTGTTTATATGCCACTCAGTCTATGGTAATTTGTTATACCAACCTGACTGGACTAAGACATGAGAGAAACTATTAGCAAGTGCATGGGGGAAGAAAAAATAATCAAAAATATCTAAAGGAGTATGAGAAAATTTTCTCCATTATTACTGTAGTTTTTATAGTTCTTTAACAAATACCAATTTATTCATTCAAATCATGTTTATTGAGCATGTATTATTGACTCTTCCCACCCTACTGTTCTTACTGTTAGGGAGAAATATAATTGGGAGAGAATTCTTCTCTGGAAACATAAAGTCTTATTGACTTACATTCAAAGAAATCCGTATGTGTGCTCAGTTGTTAATTGCTCACTTCCCTAGAGTAATTACTTATTTCAGTTTCCTTATGTGGTTGATTTAACGTCATGAAGTATTTGCTTGCCTACAGCTGCTTTAAAAAATACACACAGTTTCACCAAATGAGGCCATGTCTCATGGCACTAATGTGACAGTCGTTGTACACTTCTGACTTTGGTACTTGATTGTTTTCACCCAACTCACTGATTTTAAGTTGACAACAACGATATTTAAGTTTACTTTCTGCAAATTGTGAAGGTTTGTTTAGCTTGGCAATGAGCCAAACGTCTGAGGGTACATGTTGCTTATTTCTTAGGTTAGGTTCTTTCTTCCTTTCTTTCTTAGTTTCTTCCTTCCTTCCTTCCTTCTTCTGTTCTTGTTTTTATTTTTTAAAGGCTTATTCCATTCAGTTGTTTAGTAAAATCAATGTAGGTCTGTAATGATGAAAAGAATCACACAAATGGCTAACCAGATGTAGTCCATTGATTGATAGGCATAGTTCCTTTAGAAAATGACAAATATGTTTCCAATTTGGAGTGGTTTTTTACATAAAGTTCTAGATTTCAAAGATCAGTATCATTAGAAATATTTTTTAAATTTTCTTCTGAAATTAGATTATCATTAATATTATGCTGAACTTTGGATATACAGTATTCTGCTAATTTTTTTTTCTCTCTCTCTCTATCCCACACACACACATACACACACAAACATACACACCCATACATACACAGAAGGCCTTCAGGAAATTCTATTTCATTCTTTAAGTATTGAAAAACTAAATGATTTATGAACTCACTTTTTGAAGAGTGTATTTTTCCTTTGGGCATCTGTGATGATGGAAAACATTTTCAAGATTTTTTTTTAGGATTAAAGTCTAAGATTGTTGACAAAATGTGGGAGATTTTAAAGTCATTCTCAGAAGTATTAGGCTCAACTCTTTATATAAAAATACTGTATGAATAAATTCATTTGACTATTTGAAAGAGCATTTTCTCTAAATATTGTATGCTGCTCTAGAGAAATAGAAACATTCTTTTGCCCTATTTGATCTTTTGGAGAATATTCTCTATGGCCCAATTGATTTCTCAAGATCTTTTCTTTTTTAGAAGAATATGTCAGCTCTCAAGTGTCCAGTAGTTCTTTTTATCTGATGTGGCCTCTTTAAAAGCCGCAAGCATGTCTGGGTTATCAGATCTCCTTTAAAATGCTGCCATTCATGTGTTCAATTTAATGCTTGCTTAGGAGGGAGTTGCTGTATCGACTAAGGGCTATGCCACACTGCAGCTAGGAAAATGGGAAAAGAAAGAAAGGCAGGCCCAAGCTAAGTATACTGTTAACTCTGCCTAAGACTGTGATACATCAATAGAGCGTTAGACCTAATCATGTTTTATACAGTTAGTCAACCACAGGAAAGAATAATCAGAGATATTTATTTGGAAAGGAACACTGTTTAGTCTTTTAAGCATCTGCTGTTCCTTTCTCCCTTGAAAATGATGTGTAGTGATTAGTTTTCATCCGAACAGGCATTTTCTCCTTCTTAAAAATTAAAGCATGCCCTATTTTGAAGAGCAGAAATCAAGAAGAAAGATACAGCTTTTGTCTGTACAATGCTGAAAGGGTGCTTATTAAACAGAATATAAATAGACTAAGGCCATTCTTACTGGCAGATAATATTTTTGTGTTATATATATATTGACAGAGCAGGAGTGAAAATATGGTCCCTTTTCAATGTTCTATTGAATGAACCTACTTTGTACTCATTAATACCTAGTTGGGTCTCAGGGAAGTAAAGCTTGATTTTAATTTACAGTCAGCTTAGTAATCTACTGGTGTTCTGTTTGCTTTAGAAAGTGATTCAACTTCCTTAAAAGGAAAGTTACCCAAATTAAGAATTTTGTTTTTTAAAAAAGGAAAGAAAATATAAACAAAGGAAGGAAAGAAAAAAAGAAGCAAGAAAGAAAAAGAAAAGAAGGAAGAAAGAAGCCTAAAGTGTAATTTATGCTGGGAAGTAGTAAGTATTAGTGAAAAGATCATAGAAGCAACCTCCCAAGTCTGAGTGATTGATTTCTTTACTACTTTGGGGGAAGACAATCTGTGATAAGCCATTTCTTTTTGGCCACATTCTATTACAGTAGGAAACTGAAGGAATAATACCGATGTCAACAGATTGTTAAAAAAATACATATATATATCTGTGTATATATATACATATATACACACACACACACATATATGTAGTTTATTAAGTATAAATTGCTATGCAGCAATTTTCAACTACTGTTTCCAGAAAATACAAGAATACCATGAGCTGAGGTGAGTGAGTTGTTTTCTCACAAAAATAGCCTAACCTAAGGATAATATCTTTATAATTCTCAGAAATAATCAGTGGATATGTTTTCCATTTTAAGCTTTCAAATCATCTTTTAATACAATTAACAGTTACTACCTCTATGCAAATAAATTTCTAAAAACTAATAGAATATTTTGAAATTGACAGTCTCAGAACATAATTGCAACCCCTCCTTTCCTGTTTCAAATGACAGAAATTATAGAAACCATATAAAAAACTGTTTAACACATAACTTGATTTTGTATCAACGATGCAGGATGCTCCCACTTGCTTCAGACACAGACACATACCCTTACACAAATTTTTTTTAGAGACAGAGTCTCACTCTGTCACCAGGCTGGAGTGCAGCGGCATGATCTCAGTTCACTGCAATCTCCACCTCCCAGGTTCAAGCGATTCTCCTGCCTCAGCCTCCCGAGTAGTTGGGACTACAGGTGCATGCCACCTCACACAGCTAATTTTTTTGTACTTTTAGTAGAGAAGGGGTTTCACCATGTTGGGCAGGAATGTCTTGATCTCTTGACCTTGTGATCCTCCTGCCTTGGCGTCACAAAGTGCTGGGATTACAGGCATGAGCTACTGCATCCAGCCCCTGTGAACACATTTTAACATTAAATCAAAGGTATACCTAACAAAGAAAACACCCTGGTTCAGGAAACAAAGAATAAATTCAAAATGATAAAATTCAAGAAGACTTGAGGTCTAAAGAGTCATAAAGGAAGCAGAGATGCAGATACAAGTTTATGCTTAAAACCTGGAGTATGCAGATGAAAGTGTGTGAGGAAGAGCCTGGTCTCTAGTACTTGGAAATGAAACTAAGCTCCTCAAATAGCAGGGAGTCACTAAAGGCAAGAAAAATCCTCCTCAGATCATTTTAGGGGAACAGCAAACATATTTGTGATCAATCCCTCTGTATTAGTCCATTCTCATGCTGCTATGAAGACATACTTGTGACTGGGTAATTTAGAAAGGAAAGAGGCTTAATTGACTCACAGTTTAGCATGGCTGGGGAGGCCTCAAGAAACTTACAACTAAGGCAGAAGGCACCTCTTCAGAGGGTGGTGGGAGAGAGAATGAGGGCCTGCAGGGGAAATGCTGGATGCTTATAAAACCATCAGATCTCATGATAACTCACTCACTATCACGAGAACAGCACTGGGGAAACTACTCCCATGATTCAATTACCTCCTACCAGGTCCCTCCAATGACACATGGGGATTAAAATTCAAGATGGGATTTGGGTTAGGACACAACCAAACCACATCATTCTGCCTCTGGCACCTCCCAAATCTCATGTCCTCAAATTTCAAAACCAATCATGCCTTCTCAACAGTCATGGAAAGTCTTAACTCATTTCAGCATTAACCCAAAAGAACACGGTCCAAAGTCTCATCTGAGACAAGGCAAGTCCCTTCTGCCTATAAGCCTGTAAAATCAAAAGCAAGTTAGTTACTTCCTAGATACAGTGGGGGTACAGGCATTGGGTAAATACAGCTGTTCCAAAGGAGAGACAAATTGGCCAAAACCAAGGGGCTGCAGGCCCTATGAAAGTCTGAAATCCAGTGGGGCAGTCAAATCTTAAAGCTCCAAAATGATCTCTTTTGATTCCATATCTTACATCCAGGTCACGCTGATGAAACAGTTAGGTTCCCGTGGTCTTGGGCATCTCTGCCCCTGTGGCTCTGCAGGGTATAGCCCAGCTCCTGGCTGCTTTCATAGGCTGACATTGACTGTCAGATTTTTCCAGGCACACGGTGCAAGCTGTTGGTGGATCTACCATTTTGGGGTCTGGAGAATGGTGGCTGTCTTCTCACAACTCCATTAGGCAGTGCCCCAGAGGGGACTCTGTGTGGGAGCACCAACCCTACATTTCTTTTCTGCACTTCCCTAGCAGAGGTTCTCCATGAAGTCCCCACCCCTGCAGCAAACTTCTGTCTGAATCTCCAGGCATTTCCATACATCCTCTGAAATCTAGGCGGAGGTTCCCAAACCTCAGTTGTTGACTTCTGTCTACCCATAGGCTCAACACCACTTGGAAGCCATCAAGGCTTGGAGCTGGCACCCTCTGAAGCAATGGCTCAAGCTGTACGTTGACCCCTTTTAGCTACAGCTAGCGCTGAAGCAGCTGGGATTCAGGCCATCATGTCCCAAGGCTGCACAGAGCAGGGGGCCCTGGCCAGTCCATGAAACCACAGGCCTCTGGGCCTGTGATGTGAGGGGCTGCAGTGAAGGTCTCTGAAATGTCTTGGAGACATTTTCCCCATTATCTTGGTGAATAACGTTGGGCTCCTCATTGCTTATGCACATTTCTGTAGCTGGCTTGAATTTCTCCCCAGAAAATGAGATTTTCTTTTCTATCACATCACCAGCCTGCAAATTTTCCAAACTTTTATGCTCTGCTTCCTCTTGAACACTTTGCCACTTAGAAATTTCTGTCCACCAGATACCATAAATCATCTTTCTCAAGTTCACAGTTCCACAGATCTCTAGGAGAGTTGCAGTATGCCACTAGTCTCTTTGCTAAAGCATAGCAAGAATCACTTCTATTCAAGTTCCCAACAAGTCCCTCACCTCCATCTGAGACCACCTCAGCCTGGAATTCATTGTCCATATTATTCTAAGCATTTTGTTCAAAGCCATTCAACAAGTCCCTAGGAAGTTTGAAACTTTCCCCACATCTTTCAATCTTCTGAACCCTTCAAGTCTCTAGGAAGTTCCAAACTTTTGCACATTTTTCTGTCGTCTTCTTCTGATTCCTCCAAATTGTTCCAACTTCTGCCTGTAATTCAGTTCCAAAGTCAATTCCACACTTTTGGGTATCTTTACAGCAGCATACACACCTCACTCCTGGTACCAATTTACTGTATTAGTCCATTCTCATGCTATTATGAAGAAATATTTGAGACTAGGTAATTTATAAAAAAAGAAATTTAATTGATGCCTAGTTCTGCAGGTGTGGGGAGGCCCCAGGAAACTTACAATCATGGCAGAAGGCAACTCTTCACAGGGTGGCAGGAGAGAGAATGAGTGCCAGCAGGGGAAATGCCATATGCTTATGAAACCATCAGATCTCATAAGAACTCATTCACTATCATGAGAACAGCATGAGAGAAACCAACCCCATTATTCAGTAACTCCCGCTGGGTCTTTCCCTAGAAACATGGGGATTACAATTCAAGATAAGATTTGGGTGGGGACACAGCCAAACCATATCACCTTCAAAGTATAGAAATTAGGAAAAAAGACGTTTGCAATAATTAGGAAATACATCATTCATTGTCCATGGGTGTGAGGCCTGAATTGATGATATCCCAGTAATCAGCAACTGTAATGCATATAGAGTTTATTTGTGCTTATACTGCAACTTAACGGCTCAGATTTATTTTTTTCTACATATTTGGTCAATTATGCCATCACAATTGATTAAATAGACTCTTTTCTAAACAGAATAGAAGCACCTATTTTCTTATTTATACTCAGGAAAATATATATTTTCCTGAGTTCATGACTCCCTTGTAGTTATTTACTTATCTAATTATATTATTTAAGCATGCTGTGCTGATCCTAGTAACTTTGTAGTGCATTCTAATATATGCTAATGATTTCTCAATTTGTTATTTTTCAAAACTCTCTTAACTATTGAATATTTATTTTTTATATCTAACTTTAGGTCATTTTATCCTATAAACTCAAATTCTTATTGGAATTTTAGTTCACTTATATATTTATTTGTTAAAGAATTGGCATTTTCATTACTCGAACTCTTCCTATCCAAGAACATGGGAATACCTTTCTATGTATTCAGGACATCCTATGAGTCTTTTATCTTTTGAAACATTTCCCAGTGTCTATATTTTTGTGAATGGTATACTTTCCCATTTCCAATTAAAAGTGTTTCAGGTTGGTAGGGAGATAAGTTATTGATTTTTTCTGCCTTTTATGAAAGCATACATTTCATTATTCATTATTAATAATTTCATTATTAATTTACTAGGGTCTCTTCCGTGTTGTAGACATTTACTAGAATTTCTTCCATGTAGGTGTGTAATTACATGACAACATGAGACAATTTTATTCCTTTTTGTATTACAAAATATTGAAAAGTATTTTATTTTTCTCTATATTTCCTTTGACCTCAAAGGTGTAGAATAGTTAAGTTGACATCAGACAAAAAGATTCTTTCTTTAGGAATTTATAAAAATAAATTTTGAGGTTTACCATTTAGAATAAACACTGCTATTGGTTTTACCAAATTATTGTGTATTCATTTAAAGTTTTCTTCTATTTATAATTTTTTTGAAAGTGGCTTCTATATTTTATTAAATGTCTTTTAGCATCAATGAATATAATCATTTGATTTTCTACTTTACTTACATATTATATTCATAAATATGTTGGTATAAAATCAGCTTCATATTACTGAAGAATATCTCTACTTGGCCAAATAATTTTGAGAATGATTGTTAGATTCTTCTTGTCAATATTTTGCTTTAGATTTAATTTTTTTATTTTTTAAGTAGCATTTTATTTCTAATTGACATGTAATAATTATACATATTTATTTATTACTGTGTGATGTTTGGATACATGTAATACATTCTTGAAATGATCAAATCAGAGCATTTAGCTTCTCCATCATTTCAATCATTTATTATGTCATTGTGATGATAACATTTGAAATCCTCTCTTCTAGATATTTTGAAATATACAATACAATAAGTGCTCATAAATAAATGCTCATAAATAAGATTGGTCAATATGTGCCTTTTATGGTAGTCTCTCATAAATAGAATTCTGCTTTTTCTAACTGATGGTAGTCATGCTAAATAGAACTTGAAGCACTTGCTTACAATTTTGATATTTGTGGCAGAGATTTTTGGTCATTGAACTTAAAAGAACAGTAGCATTTATTGAGATTGCAGAAGAAAAACTGGACAAGGAGGGTGTCTGAGGAGGAAAGTAAAAGGCTTGGCTTACAAATTGTTTAGTTCGAAATAACCATTCTACATTCAAGTTGGTTGTCTCAGGGTTTCTCATGAGGTCTTTATCAAGATTTGGAAGCAGACATCGTTTTTTTGTGTGAAAATGTGTATTGCAACTGACAGTTGAATTTACAATCTGAATTTCAGGGCAACGATCGGGGTGGAGATAGAAATGTAAGAGTTACAACTTCATAAATGACATTTAAAGTCAAGGAACCTGAACTTTCAATTAGGAAGTGGATGTAAATACAAAAGAGGTTGAAGGATTGAGCTCTGAAGTGCTTTAGCATTCTGATTTAGGCAAGAATTTGATCAAAACAAATAGTAGCATGCAATGGGAAAACCAAGGCAGTATGGTTGCCTTCACTTACTATAGTTACAATGATAGAATGAAATATAAAACTCTGTATGTTTCATATATAGAGAGCGATAGATACACACATCCATATATACACATATTTTTTATTAAGCTGTGTTATATACTTATTTAAATTATTGGTAATTTAAGAAATAAATACTACATACAGCCATCTTCAGAGATCATAAATATAATTCCACAGATTAATTGCTCAAATTTAACAATATACAAACCCACATGCAAATACCATGCATTCATTGACAATGAACTACATATTTTCATTGTGTTGCATTTCATTTGAATCTGCATAGCCCCTAAAAAAATGGATCAGTATATATCAATGAGAACATTCTTTGTATTTGGATTTACACAATAACTCTTTGTATGGACTATGTATTCTAAGAGGTTGACCATTCCTAGCCCACACTCAATAAATGTCAGTAGCATCTTCCAGTTACTCTAACAATCATATAGGTCCCCACCCATTGTTAAATACCCCATTTGTGACTGTACTGATCTTAAATTGATAACCTTTGAAGTTTGTACTAATATTTTAGTGCCAGAAATATTTTTAGTATTCAATATATTTATTAAATGTAATTAATAAAGCATAAAAATTAATAAGTATAAAATTGCGCTCAACCTGCGCATGTGTGACTATATAACAAAATTTCAATGACACAATAAATTTAAAATTATTTTAGATATCTAGGAAGAAAATTTATGTGATGATACATTCAAAATTAAATGGCATTGCATCATTGAAAGAATATGCAATTTGAATAATTAATAACTTGAAAGGCCAATAATGACAAATATTATTTTAACTAGTATTTATAGTGTGTTGATATTCAATCGACATACTGATATTATTATCAATATTAATATCAATTTAGTAATATTTTTTGTCTGTTTAAAGATACATTGGTTAGTTCTTGCATCCTGGTTGCCCTTCCCACCCAAGATGCCCCTGCTGAATCTCTAATTTCTGAGATTTGTACACAGTCCATGAACTGAAAAATTAATCCCTGGTCCATCAGGGCACCTTCAGGACTCTGCCCTAACTTTAATTCGAATTAGTTGCATTATACCAGTTGTTAAATAACTTTTCTGTATACCTTCCTCATTCTAGTAAGGATGAAAATAACCTAATAACTTTATTTTTGAAGCATATACAATTGATTTGAAGTAAACTAGGGAAACCTTGTGCTCTCATGTCTTTTTTATTGCTGCTACCAGGAATCTTCTTGTTCTCTAAATTCATTGTTTCCCATGGTCTCCATAATCTTGACAGATGCTAAAAAGTCATGTGATAAAATATAACACCAATTTTGTTTAAAAACAAATACAGAAACTAAAATCTTCCAATGTTGGACACTATATAATATTTTCTGAAAATCAGAGGCAAATTTTTCATAAAAACTAATGTTAAAATATTTAACATGATTTCATGATTTCAATTCATTTCAACATGGTAGATGTGTGACTATAGAAAGCTATAACATGTTAAATGAATATATATAAAAGAATCAGGAAAAGATTAATAGATATAACTGCATAAAATAATAAAAATAATTGAAGTAATATTTGCACAAATAATGAACAAAGAACAGCACAAATCAATTGACTTGACAAAAATAGTTCTAAAATATTGTTTTATAATACCTTAGAATAACAAGTAGTAATAAGAAAAAATACGATAGGAATGTGGGTAGAACATATGAGCAGGCATTTTGTAGAAAAATACATTAAAATGTCAAATAGCATTAAATAAATAAATGTGCATAACTTTATGTTTTTATTCTATATGTGTATAATTAGAAGTAAAATATTTGGCTTTATTATTGATAAAATCGATTGTATAGTTGATCCTTGAACAATGTGGGGGTTGGGGACACCAACCCCTGTGCAGTCTACTAACAGCCTACTGTTGACCAGAAGCCTTACAGAAAACGTAACAATTGAGTAACACATATTTTGTATGTTATATGTTTTATATACTCTATTGTTACAATAAAACAAACTAGAGAAAAAATATTATTAAGAAAATTATAAGGAAGCGAAAATATGGCCAGGTGCAGTGGCTCATGCCTGTAATCCCAGCACTTTAGGAGGCTGAGGCAGGTGGTATGCCTGAGCTCAGGAGTTTGAGACCAGCCTGGGCAACATGGTGAAACCCAGTCTCTACTAAAAATTTAAAAATTAGCACGATGTTCCTGCAATCCCAGCTATTTGGGAGGCTGAGGCAGAAAAATCGCTTGAACCCAGGAGGCGGAGGTTGCAGAGAGCCATGATTGTGCCACTGCACTCAAGCCTGGGCAACAGAGTGAGACTCTGTCAAAAAAAAAATAGAAGAAGAAAAAGGAGAAGGAGAGGGAGAGGGAAAAGGGGAAAAGGGGGAAGAGGGGGAAGACGGAGAAGAGGGTGAACAGGGGGAAGAGGGGCAGGAGGAAGAAGACGAGGACGGGGAGGGGAAGGAGGAACAAGAATATTTACTACTTGTTAAGTGGAAGTAGATTATCATAAAGGTCTTCATCCTCATCATGTTCATGTTGAGTAGGCTGAGGAGAGGGGAAAAGGAGGGGTTGGTCTTGCTGTCTCAGGGGTGGCAGAAGCAGAATAAAGTCTGCAAAAAAGTGAACCTGTGCTATTCAAACGTGTGGTGTTCAATGGCCAATTGTATCTTATCATTACAATATATATATTTTAAGACTTGCTTACATCATCCAATACTACATTTTTAAATGTTACTTATGTTGGACATATAAATACATTTAACTCTCATATAGTATTTTATTTTATGAGCAAACTAATATATATTCTTTATTTTAATAATGGCAAAATCAAGGGTGACTTTATTAATCCATTTTCATGCTGCTGATAAAGACATACCTGAGACTGGGCAATTTACAAAAGAAAGAGGTTTATTAGACTTACAGTTCCACGTGGCTGGGAAGGCCTCACAATTATGGCAGTAGATGAAAAGCATGTCTCACATGGTGGCAGACAACAGAAGAAGGAATTTGAGCAGGGCAACTCTCCCTTGTAAAACCATCAGATCTCCCGAGACAAACTATCATGAGAACAAAACAGGAAAGAACTGTTCCCATGATTCAATTACCTCCCACCGGGTCCCCCACATAACACGTGGGAATTCCAGATGAGATTTGGATTGGCACACAGCCAAACCATATCACTATTCTTTACTTATTACAATCAATGCTATCATAAACATCCTTAGCAACATTTGCACATATCCTGTTAACCTAGAAGTTGAATCAGTGTGTCATTGTATATTATTCTCAGCTCTACTAGTAAATGTCAAATTGTTCTCCAAATTGACTAACAATTTCCATTCCCAACACCAGTATCTAAGAGTTCCAGTTTCCCCAGTACACAGGATTCAGTGTTTTCAGACCTCTTAATTTTTATCCCTTTGACAACTATAAAATAGTTTCATTGTTTTGACTTGAATCTTCCCTATTACTGCTTAGATTGATACTTTATTATTTTTACTAGTTATTCTGTTTTTTTTTTTCCGTACTAATATATAGTCATTCTTTATGTATTCTCATTAGTTTTGTTTCTTCATTGTTTGTTTTAAAAATATATTTTCCCAGTTTTTGGCTTACTTTTTAATTTTATTACATCTTCCTGTGCCATTTAAAAATAATATAGTCATATTTATTAATCTCACATAGTTTGTGCTTTTGCCTTATTTAAGAAATTCATCTATACCCAAAATACATTTTCATCAACATCTAGATGTGTTAAGGTATTATTTTTTATATTTAGATTTCAAATTCAGACAAAATGCTATGTTGCATCATGTGAAACATGAATCTAGATGAATCCTTCTTCATACGGGCAACATGTATACAGGTACCAATTACACCTGAGCTATTTCTGTGTTGTTCATTCCAATTTATTGATCTATTTGTCTAATTTGACACAAATACCAAATTGACCAAATTACTCACATTTTATAATAACCCTCAATAAACCTTCAATATTATGAGGTAAAACTAGCCATACATTTTACTTCGAAATTGTCAGCTTCTTTTGGCTGACAATCTTTATATGTGTTTATTGACCTCACATATTTCATGAAATATTATTGTATAATGGTATTTTTATTGGAATTGCACTAAATTTATTGATTAATTTGGGAAGAATTTTCATGTTCACCATAATAACTTCATCCATAAACATGTTCTAACATCCATCACTTATTCAAGTGTACTGTTATTTTTTAAATGTTTTATTATTTTTTCACAAAGATATTTTAAAATATGATATATTCCTACATATCTTATAATTTTGTGCTACTGTGAGAATATATGAGTCGGGATTCTTCACAGAAACAGAACCGATAGGCAATGGGAGAGACAGAGAAAAAAAGAGAGAGGGAGAGAGATTTACAATAAGAAATTTCCTCATGCAATTATGGAAGCTAGGAAGTTTAAAATTTACAGTGTGGGCTGGCAGCCTGGAGACCCAGGAGAGCCGACAGTGCAGTTGACGTCTGAAAAATTGTTCTCTTACTCAGAAAGGCTGGTTTCTGTTCTATTCAAGTCTTTAACTGATTGGATGAAGCCCACTCACATTATGGGGAGCAATCTGCTTTAATCGAAGTTCACTGATTTAAATATTAAACTCATTCAAAACATCTTCCAAGTTGACACTTAAAATTAACCATTACAGCGAATAGTATAATATTTAATATATCAATACATTTTAAATGTGTTCTATTTTACATACTTAAATGTATTTAATATATTTGAAATTTTAAAATATAATATTTTAATTAAAATCAAAATTAAAATGTTCTTTTAAAATGCTTTGCTTGTTTTGTATGGAAATTGCTAATATACTCAGAAATACATAGAATGTAATAAATTATTAGGATGGCAAAAAAGTAATTGCGGTTTTGCCATGACTTAATGGTAAAAACTGCAGTTACTTTTGCGTCAACCTTATAGCAAACTTGCTGAATTTTCTAAATATTTCCAGTGGTTTGCAGACTCTCCTATACCTTTTCTATGAAGATAAGCCTATTGCATGAAAAGAAGAACACTGTTTTCTTTTTTGTTTCATGTTTTCTTCTTATAGGAAATTGGATAGTACTTCCATACGATGATGAATCGAAGATATAATAATGAGAATTCTTCTCTTATTCCTGACTCTTTATACAGTTGGCCCTCTCTATCCATGGGTTCTTCATTCATAGATTCAACCAACTGCAGATCAAAAATAGTTGAAAAAATAATGGTTGCACGAATAGTGAACACGTACAGACTTTTTCTTGTCATTATTCCCTAAACAATACAGTATGGTAAGTATTTACATGGTATTTATATTGTTTTGGTATTATAAGTAATCTAGAAATAATTTACAGTATACAAGAGGATGTGCATAGGTTATATACAAATAATATACCACTTTATATAAGGGACTTGAGCATCCATGGATTTTGGTATTCATGGGGGATCCTGAAATGAATTCCACATGGATGCTCAGAGATGACTATATATGAATATTTTACTATGAGTTTTAATGTTTACAGTATAAGTTACATTCTGGTATATCTTTGTAGGTATACATACACAATATTTATGTGTATATATACATAAATCACAAATTCAAATTTATAATGTGGCAAGTATAGTGCAAAAATCATTGGTTTTCTCAGCCATTTAAGATTGTTACTGATCTGATTCCTATTATCTCTGAACACTAAATTGCTGTCTCTTTCTAAATGCTCCTACATAATCACAACTGTCAAAATCAAGAAATTAATATTAATACATTACCACCATTGATCCCAGACTATATTCAAGCTTTGACAAGTGTTTAAATAATATAATTTATAGTAAAATGATCAAATTATGAATCATGCCTTGATCAGTCTGAAACAGCTTTTCCCATAGATTTTGTAAAACATACTTTAATTTTGGGGTTGTCTCATGTTTCCATATAATTAGATTCAAGTTATGTATCTTCAGCAGGAATTTAAGCAATGTTCTATTTTTCTGCTTTCTATGAAATTATATACTGTCTCCCAACGCCCCTACTCCCAACCATTGCTGATAACATTCAATGTGATCACTTGATTAAGCTTATGTCTTCTACACTTCTTTCTGACTAGGCTTCAACATCCACATAAGCTGCAGCCCTCATTCTGCTCAGATTCTGAAAACCCATGTGAAGACCTCCAGCCGTATTATACACCGCTCTGCACTCTGGGTTCTAATATCTTATCCAGGTCCCCCAGTATAGCCCTACATCATCCTGCTTAGGCTCCCAAATGGCATACATGGCCATATGTCTGAGGTTAATATCTTCCTCAACCTGCAGGGCTTCTGCAGTACATGAAGAGCTTCCCCACACTTTTGGAGCCCTTTTGTCCTGTTTTGTTACTGACATCCCATGGCTGAGGGCAGACATCACTTGATGCCCTCTTCATCTCACTCAGGCTGTGACACCTACTGTGGATGCCCTCTTTATCATGCTTTGCTTCTGACATCTCATGCCAAGACACTCTTTCCATGCTTTGCTTCAACTAAGTACTGTAGAACTGAATTGTTCAGGAAAACAAAAGGAAGAAAATAAGAAGTGGATTGCACTTTTCTAAAATATGAGACTTTTTTTTGTAGTTGATATTTAATTCGTTTACATGGATTGAAATTACACATGTATTTGGAATTTTTTCCATCATGTTTTAATTTACTATGATTTTTCAGGTTAACATGTTTAACCTCTATTTCCTTCTTAATATTATCCTAATCAGTTTTTCCAGATTCTTTCTGTGTGTTTGAAACATTACATATACTATTTTTATTATATGTAACATATATGTAATATAAAAATATAATCATCCTTATCCCAGCACCTTCAAAATAGGGCATGTTTTCATTTTTAAGAAGGAGAAAATGCCTGTTCGGATGAAAACTAATCACTACACATCATTTTCAAGGGAGAAAGGAATAGCAGATGCTTAAAAGACTAAACAATGTTCCTTTCTGAATAATTATCTCTGATTATCCTTTTCTGTGGTTGACTAACTGTATATAAAAAAGTAATAAAAATATGTAAAAATATTTTACATATATTTTTATTATTATATTAAAGATAAATCAAGACAAAATAAATAAGTCTTGAGATTGAAGTTTAATGAATTTAAGAAACCACCATGTAACCAAAACTCCTATCAAGATACAGAAAAAACTTCAATCACCCCAAAGAGTTTCCTTTTTCCCTCTTTCAGTCAATCCCCATCATCCATAATCATAGATAACATTATTTTGTCTTCCCTTGAACTTTATTTAAATTTGATTCCAAATAGTATAGATTGTTTGAGGTGGGTGAGAAGGAAGACTGAAGCTGACTTCTTTTCCTGGGACAGTTTTGCTGATCATGATTGTTATCAGTAATACATTTACAAGTTGGCTGATATAAGTTAGTTTTGGCTCTGGTGACTCAGCTGGGGTGACTCTTCTGCAAATGTCTATTATCCTTATTGTGGAGCTACTGGAGTAGAAGCTTATGTGCTTCTTATATCAAGGGCATAAAAAGGCCAAAGAGAAAATATAAAAGCCCCTTAATAACATAAATTGAAACTGGCACATTGTCTTTTTGGCCTTACTTTGTTGACTCAAACAGACCAAAGTTGATATTATGGTTTAAATATTTGTTCCCTCCAAAATTTATGTTTAAATTTAATTTCCACTGTAATAGTATTAGCAGGTGGGCCTATTTCGAGATGATTAAGCAACAAGGATTCTGTCCTCATGGATGGGTTTAATATCTTTCAAAAAGGGCTTTTGGGAGAGGGTTGTCTCTTGCCTTTCCAACTTCACCCATGAGATGACATCACAAGAAGGCCACCAAAAGATGCCTACTCTTCAGTCTTAAATTTAACAGCCTCCAAAATTGTGAGAAATAAATTTCCATTCATTATATATTACCATGTCTCAGGTATTCTGTTATAGCAGCACAAAATGGACTATGACAATTGAGGGCTCAAATTTAAAGAGTGGGAAATATATATCACATCCATACTAGGAAAAACTGCAGTCACCTAGCAAAAGATAAGCAGCAGACAAAATAAGCTGGAATTCTTAATGAAATTTGCTTGAGTCTTCCTCACAGTCACAGTTCCCTCCCACATACAAACTATAATCATCCTTATCCCAGCACCTTCAAAGTTTAGTTCAGTCATTATATCAAGCTCTTGATACAGAAATATATGAAATAAAGACAGCTCATCTGCTTCTTCAATTCCTCACATGCAGTAGGGCAACAAGAAGAAAATAACTGCAATAAATATCCTGTATGGAAAGAGAAGAAAAAAAACCACATACAATAGTCACTGTTCCATAGTACTTATAAAATCTTTCTGTAAAACATATTTCTCAGTTCTCTTGCTCCAGGGGTTCTCACTTAGTGGTGATTTTGCTCCCCAGGGGGCTTTTGGCAAGGGATGGTGTATTAGTCCATTCTCACATTGCTATAAAGAACTATCTGAGGCTGGGTAATTTATAAAGAAAAGAGGTTTAATTGACTCAAAGTTCCACAGGCTGTACAGGAAGCATTGCTGAGGAGACCTCAGGAAACTTACAATCATGATGGAAGGTGAAGAGGAAGGAGTCACATCTTATACGGCTGGAGCAGGAGGAAGTGCAGGGGAGAGATGACACACACTTTTAAACAACCGTATCTCATTAGAACTCACTCACTATCATGAGAACAACAAAGGGGAAGTGTGCCCCGTGAGCCAATCACCTTCAACCAGGACCCTCTTCCAACATTGGGGATTATAGCTCAATATAAGATGTGGTTGGGGACACAAATCCAAACCATATCATTTCACTCTAGCTCCACTCAAATTTTATGTTATTTTCACATTGCAAAATACAATCAACCCTTTTCAACAGTCCCCCAATGCCTTAACTCATTTCAGCATTAACTGAAAAGTCTGCAGCCCAAAAATCTCATCTGAGACAAAGCAAGTACTTTCTGCCCATGAGCCTGTAAAATAAATAAGTTAATTACTTCCAAGATATAATAGGAGTACAAGCATTGTCTAAATACTCCCATTCCAAGGGGGAGAAATCAGCCAAACAAGGGGGCTACAAACCCTGTGCAAGTCCAAACCCAGCAGGGCAGTCATTAAATCTTAAAGCTCCAAAATAATCTCCTTTGACTACATGTCTCACATCCAGATAACACCGATGCAATGGATGGGCTCCTACAGCCATGGGCAACTCTGCCCCTGTGGCTCTGCAGGGTGCAGCCCCTTTGGGTGCTTTCACCAGCTGGCATTGAATACCTGTGTCTTTTCCAGGTGCATGGTGCAAGCTGTTGGTGGATCTACCATTTTGCGTAATCCATTATAAACTGAAATTATCATAAGGAAAAAATGTGTTTGATATACATAACCTACTGAACATCATAGTTTAGCCTGGCCTACCTTAAACATGCTCAGAAAACTTACATTAATGTAAGTAAGTTGGGCAAAATCATCTCACCCAAAGCCTATTTTATAATAAAATGTTGAATATCTCATGCAATTTATTGAATACTGTATTGAAAGTGAAACACAAAATTGTTATATGGGTATTTAAAATACAGTTTCTACTGAAAGCTTATTGCTTTTGCACATGACAAAGTTGAAATAAGTCGAATCATAATTTGGAGACTATCTTGCTCTGTCTCTGTGTGTATACATATATAGAGAGGATGCTCTGATACCTTCATAGAAAAGGATTGGTATATTAAAAAGACCAAAAAGAACCTCCCTTATATTTTAAAAACTTGAAAATTTCAGATTATGAAATAATTGTATCATACAGACTTCTGTTTGTGTTAAAAGACTGGAAAAAGTTCTATGTGCATGTTATTATCTCTTAATAGGAATGGAGTCAATACTAGTCCATGGGCTGACTGTAGCTCATCTGATGGAAAAGATAGTAGAGTATATTGATTAGAAGTAGAGCTTGAGGGAGTGACATTTACAGTATAATGGATTAAGTTTAATGACAAGACTTACTACTAGTCAATACAAGACTTAACCTTATAGCCACATTAGTTAGGCATTATTGTCCAAAATAATTTGAAGTAGATTAAATGATTTATTGAATAAACATAAATGTCTGGTAGAAGATAAACATTAGTTTTCTTCTGATGCAGAATTGTTTTCAGGATCCTGAACACATTTCTGTGTTTTTTAGCTTTCACACAGCATAGAGTAAAATCAATTAATTAAACCATATATTAAAGTGTAACTACATTTTAATTTTAGGGTAATATATATCACAAACTATGTATTCATATGCTAAGTATTATTTTAAAATTTGTCCCACAAAGAGTTTATGACTTTTTTTTGAAAAGCCAGACATTTGATTAAAATATTTCAGCAAATTATTTTGAATATTGAAGTGCAAAAAGATGATACCAAGTAAGGTTATTGTTCTTCTATAAACATATTAGATACAAACAATTCAAGTGAAGATTTTTTAGGTTTAAAATGTCTCAAGTTTTTTTTTAAATTGATAAAGTTTATACTTTTCTCCAAACACTACCAAAGTTATTTAAAAATGAGAGACATGTAGATAAAAGTGGGAAACAGAACAAATGCATTAAAATATTAAATAAAAATATCGTACAAATACAAAAAAAAGAACTTCCATCTTATTTATACTAATATGTTATACCTTTCTAGCAAACAAAATTTACATTAATTCAGAGTTCAGCTTTACATTAGCCTCAAGGTGGGCAAAAACATCTAATCCAAAGCCTATTTATAATAAAATGTTGAATATCTCATGTAATCTTTGAATACTATTTTGAAAGAGAAACACGAAATGGTTATGAGTACTCAAAATGCAGTTTCTACCAAATACATACAGTTTCAATAGAGTTCAGCTTTCAGAGTTAAGCTTTCAAGATCAACTCTTTATTTCCATTTACTTAAAAATTTTTGACTTTTCCCTAAGCTTTAAAGTAAGAACATTATTAGCCTTATTTCTCAATTTTTCAAATTAAGGGAAATGGACTTCAATTTGTAGAATAGAGACCTGTGCTCTAGAAAAAATTCCACATGTTTTATTTACTCTCTCTGAAATCTCATTTTCTCTTCTAAAGAGTTTTGTTTTTTATGTTCATTTTTATTAAATAAAATTTGAATGCAGAAAAATGCATAGAACTCAACTGCAAAATATATTAACTATTGACAAATGTATATACTATTGTAAGCAATACCCAAATTATGGTATAAATTCCTTCACTGTAGAAATTTCCCACATGGCATTTTCTAGTTTTTTACCAACTCCTGGCTTAGGCCACCTCTTTTATGATTTCTAGCATAGATTGATTTAGTCAGTCTTTGAATCTCACCAAATGGGATCATACAGAATGTACTCTTTTGTGCCTGGCTAATTTCCTTCAACATAATGTTTTTGGTATTGAGCCATACTGTTGACAGAGCAATCATTTATTTATTTATTTATTTTGTTTTTACCGAGTTGTTTTCAATTCTACAAATAAACCAAAATTTGTTCAACAGATCTGCTGATGGACTTTTGAATTTTTTCCACTATTGTCTATAAAAAATAAAGATGTTATTAACATGCCTATACAATCATTTATAAACATAGGATTTAATTGTTTTGGAGTAAAATTGCTGGGTCATAAGGTAGGCATAACTTTTAAAGAAATTGAAAAACTCTTTTTTGAAATGGCTGGACTATTTAACATTTCTACAAGCAATATTTAAGAGACTCATTGCTTAAAATCTGTGCTAACAGCTGATACTGTTAGACTTCTAAATTTTAGCCATTCTACTAGGTGTGTAATGGTATCTCATTATGGTTTTAATTTGCAGTTTTGTGATAACTAGTGATGCTGCATTTTTTAATTTGTTTTGCTTTTGTTGTTATTCTCTGCCATTTATTTGTGTCCTTTGCAAATGTTTATTAGATTATTTTATCCACTTTTCACTGGATTTTTAAATATTTTTATTATTGAGTTAAAATTCTTCAGAGATTTTGGATATAAGTCTTCTTTTTAGATGTATATTTTGTGAATATCTTTTAGTCTGTGGCTTACCAATTTAGGTTTTCAATGAGGAGAAATTTTAAGTCTAGTAAAGTATAGTTTAGCAATTTTCCTGTCATGCCTACTGCATTCAGTTTGCTCTCTAAGAAAAATTTAAGGCATCATGATGTTGAAGGGATCCTGCTAAATTTTATTCTAGAAGGGTAACATATTTTACTTTTTCATTTAGTTCTACAATCTAGCTTAATTTCATCACCATATATATATGTATATACAGGTGTTCCTTGACTTACAATGGAGGTTACACCCTGATAAAGCCATTGCAAGTTGAAAAACTGTAAGTTGAACCATTGTTAGTCAGAAACTATCTTCATATACACATATAAAATTTTTATTATATTTAATGCATATACACACAGATACATAGATACATATGCATATGTATAATTATTACATATATTTTTAATTGTCTTATTAGTATTTGCTCAGAAGATTTTTCTTCTCATTAAATTTATTGGAGAATGACTTTATCATAAGTTAGTTTCTATTTTTACACCCTATTTTATACTTTTATTTTTTATTTATGTGTTGCCTATTTATATATTTTAAGTTAGTTTCTCAAAGAATATTTTATAAATTTCAGTGTACAGATTAATCACATCTTCTTTTTAAAGTTTTTCTAAGTACGTATTCCACATTTCCAGTTCTTCTCTTTTTTAAAATTTATTTATTTCCAGTGTATAGTATATCATTTGATTTTTTGGAAATGTTTGCTTTTTGTCTGGACCTCATTAAATTCACTTATTAGTTCTACTTTTGTTTATGTCAATTTTATCTAGTAATTCTCTTCTCACCATCTGTCAGTTATAAAGATCTGTTACATCACCTTCTAAACATGTTTCAACCAGCCTGAGCAATATGGGGAAACCCCATCTCTACAAAAACTGCACAAAAAAATTAGCTGGGCATGCTGTGAGCCTGTACTCCCAGTTACTTGGGAGGCTGAGGTGGGAGGATCACCTGAGCCCAGGATTTTAAGGCTGTAGTGAGCCATGATTGCACCATTGCACTCCAGCCTGGGTGATAGAGTGAGACCCTGACTCAAAAAATTAAATTAAATTAAATTAAAAGTAAAAGCAAAAAAAAGCATGTTTCAAGTCAATCTATTTATTTCTAACTTCATGACCTTCACAGCCTTCTATACCTCTAGTATCTCTCCCCATCCCCAGATTTATTGCAGTATAATTAACAAAAAATGTATATATTTAAGGTATTAAATGTGATGTTTTAATGTACATATACACTGTGAAGTGATTACCACAGTCAAGCTAATTAACATATTTATCACCTCACAAAGTCATCAATTGTGTGTGTGTACATGTAGTGAGAACACTTAATATCTTTTCCCTTATCAAACTTGAGGCATGCAATACTATATTATCAACTATAGTAGCCATGTTCTACATTAGCTTTCCAGAACTTATTCATCCTAAGTAACTGAAACTTTGTACCCTTTGATCAACAGCTCCCTGTTTTTCCTACCCCACAGCCTCTGGCAACCCCCATTCTACTCTCTGTTTGTGTGAGTTCAACTTTTTTAGATTCCACAATTAGAGAGATCATGCAGTATTTGTATTTCTGCATCTGATTTCACTTAGCCTAACATGCTACAGGTTCATACACAGAGTTGCAAATGGCAGGATTTTCTTTTTTAAGTCTGAAAAATATTCCTCTGTGTGTGTGTGTGTGTGTGTGTGTGTGTGTGGCATTTTCTTTATTCATTCATCTGTCAACACGTTTTCATATCTTCGCTATTGTGAATAATGCAGTAGTGAACATGAGATTGCAAATATCAAGATAATTATTTCATTTCCTTTGAGTATATATCTAGAAGTAGGATTATATAATAGTTATATTTTTAATATCTTTAAGAACCTGCCTACTGTTTTCCATAATGGCTGTACCAATTTACATTCCCATCAACAGTGTAGCAGTTAAGGGCTGAGAGGTGGGGTGAGTCAGCAAGTCTTTCTGTGACTTCGGAAATGTTTAGCATCCTCATCTTGAGATACAAGATCTTGAGTTATAATATCTTGTGTACCACACATACATAAATACAAATATATAAATATTAAACCTGATTTCTCTATTTGGCTTTAAATATAGTACCTTCAAGAAAATTATTTAAAATACAATGCATTAAAATGACTACTAAGAATATTGTGATGTCAAGAATTTAGAGTAACAGAATACTCCCTATTATTGCTGATATAATAAAAATTGGTCCAGGTACTCAGAAGAACAGAAGCCCACAAAATCTGGTAATGAAAAAGGTGTTCTAGCCCTAAGTCTTAGCAATTCCAGATTGATCATAGAAAAAGTTATTGTTTAATCCTCTGAGATACATATATAAAACTCTGTAAACCAACATTGTTTGTGACAGCTCAGTGCTGGATATAATGTAGAATTTTATGAACTGAGAATCCACAGAAATTATGACATTTTCACATAATATAATATCAAACTGCTGTGAAAACTAATGTAGTCTCCAAGTATGAAAATTACAATTAGGTTTTCAGAAAAATAAAGTTGCCAAAGAATTTGCATAGAATTTCATTTGCAAAACTTAAAAAATAAAACCACATTATATCATTTAAAAATATATAAGTATGCATGAAATTAAAAATTATGATATTCTTCAACTGGAAATAAGTAATCAGGAAGTTTCAACTGTACTGTTTGTGTTTATTTTAAGGTGGAGTGGATATATAACAAAACTCTTATTATTGTATACATGTATCTTCATATATATATAACTATTTTAGAGACCACGATTTTGACAATACATATTAAAGTTAATTTTAATTAAAGATAAATTGCATCAACAGAAAATACATTTTATAGAAAGGCTATGATATGGTTTGGCTCTGGGTCCTCACCCAAATCTCCTATTGTAGCTTCCATAATTCCCACGTGCAGTGGGAGGGACCCAGTGGGAGATAACTGAATCATGGGAGTGTTCGCATAATTGTGTATAAGTCTCACAAGATCTGATGGTTTTGAAAAAGGGAATTTCCCTGCACAAGCTTTCTCTCTTTGCCTGACACCATCCATGTAAGATGTGACTTGCTCCTCCTTGCCTTCCACCATGATTGTGACTCCTCCCCAGCCATGTGGAACTGTAAGTCCCTTAAACCTATTTTTCCTCCCAGTCTCAGATATGTCTTTATCAGCAGCATGAAATTGGACTAATACAGTAAATTGGTACCAGTAGAGTCAGGTGTTACTGAAAAGATACCTGAACATGTGGAAGTGACTTTGGAGCTGGGTAACAGGCAGAGGTTGGAAGAGTTTGGAGGGTTCAGAAGAAGACAGGAAAATGTGGGAAAGTTTGGAACTTTCTAGAGACTTGTTGAATGGCTTTGACCAAAATGCTGATAATGATAGACAAAGAAATCCAGGCTGAGGTGGTTTCAAATAGAGATGAGGAACTTGTTGGGAACTGGAGCAAAGGCGACTCTTGTTATGTTTTAGCAAAGAGACTGGCAGCATTTTGCCCCTTCCCTAGAGATTTCTGGAACTTTGAACTTGAGGGAGATAATTTAGGGTATCTGGTGCAAGAAATTTCTAAGCAACAAAGCATCCAAGATGTGACTTGGGTGGTGGTAAAGGCATTCAGTTTTAAAAGGGAAACAGAGCATAAAAGTTAGAAAATGTACAGCCTGACACTGCGATAGAAGAGAAAATATCATTTCTGAGTAAAAATTGAAGCTGCCTGCAGAAATTTGCATAAATAATGAGGAGCCAAATATTAATCTCCAAGACAGTGGGGAAAATGTCTCCAGGGCATGTCAGAGGTCTTCACAGAAGCTCCTCCGATCACAGGCCCAGAGGCTTAGGAAGAAAAAATAGTTTTGTGGGGCAGGTCCAGGGTCTCCATGCTGTGTGCAGTCTAGGGTCTTGGTGCTCTGTGCCCCAGCTGTTCCAGCTGTTACTAAAAGGGTCCAAGGTACAGATTGAGCTGTGGCTTCAGAGGGTGCAAGCCTCAAGCCTTGGTAGCTTCCACATGGTGTTGAGCCTGTGGATACACAGACACAGAAGTCAAGAATTGAGGTTTGGGAACCTCCTGCTAGATTTCAGAGGATGTATAGAAATGCCTGGATGCCCAGGCAGAAGTTCACTGCAGGGGCAGGGCTCTCATGGAGAACCTTTGCTAAGGCAGCTCAGAAGGAAAATGTAGGGTTGGAGCCCCCACACAGAGTCCCTACTGGGGTACCATCTAGTGGAGCTGTGAAAAGAGGGCCCTCCAAATCCCAGAATGGTAGATCCACTGACAGCTTGCACTGTGTGTGTGCCTGAAAAAGCCACAGACACTCCATGCCAGCTGGTAAAAGCAGCTGGGAGAGAGGATGTACCCTGCAAAGCCTTAAGGGTGGAGCTACTGAAGACCAAGGAAACTCACCTCTTGCATCAGTATGACTTGGATGTGAGACATGGAGTCAAAGAAGATCATTTTGGAGCTTTAAGATTTGACCTGTCCCACTGGATTTTGAGCTTGCATGGAACCTGTAGCCCCTTTGTTTTGGCCAATTTCTCTCATTTGGAATGGCTGTATTTACCCATTGGCTGTACCCCCATTGCACCTAAGAAGTAACTAACTTGCTTTTGATTTGATAGGCTCATAGGCAGAAGGGACTTGCCTTGTCTTAGATAGGACTTTGGACTGTGAACTTTTCAGTTAATCCTGAAATGAGTTAAGACTTTGGGAGACTGTTGGAAAGGCATGATTGGTTTTGAAATGTGAAAACATGAGATTTGGGAGGGGCCAGAGACAGAATGATATGGATTGGCTTTGTGTCCCCACCCAAATCTTATCTTGTAGCCCCCATAATTCCCACATGGTGGGAGGGACCCGTTGGGAGATAATTGAATCATGGTCTTTCTCATGCTGTTCGTGTGCTAGTGAATAAGTCTCATGAGATCTGACTGTTTTAAAAATGGAAGTTTCCAGGCATAAGCTCTCTCTCTTTGCCTGCCACCATCCATGTAAGACGTGATTTGCTCCTCCTTCCCTTCTGCCATGATTATGAGGCCTCTCCAGCCATGTGGAACTGTAAGTCCATGAAATCTCATTTTCTTCTTAGTTCCAGACATGTCTTTTTTTTTTTTTTTTTTTTTTTTTTTTTGACATGAAATCTCACTCTTGCCCAGGCTGGAGTGCAGTGGTGCGATCTCAGTTCACTGAAACCTCCACCTCCCAGGTTCAAGCAAATTCTCCTGCCTCAGCCTCCTGAGTAGCTGGGATCACAGCCTTCTGAGTAGCTGGATTACACCAAGCCCCATTAATTTTTGTGTTTTTAGTAGAGACAGGGTTTCCCCATTTTGGCCAGGCTGGTCTTGAATGCCTGACCTCATGATCCACCTGCTTCAGCCCCCCAAAGTGCTGGGATTACAAGCATGAGCCACTGCACCTGGCCTTGGGTATGTCTTTATCAGCAGTGTGAGTACAAACTAATACAGGCTACAATCAACAATCGTTCTAAGAAAATGTTAAAAATGACAATAAACGATCATATGTATCTGGGAAAATATTGTGTCAGGGAAAAACTGTCATAATCATTAGTATTTAGTTGACAGTGAATATGTTTCACAGTTCTGTAACTAGGAAATAAATAAAACAATTGTATTTATATACTGCAATATGGTTTTGTACTGGCACATTTTCTCTTCCCAAATGCAGTCACAATGACTGTAGAAAGTAAGAGTGATGTTGATCTAATTATCCCATCAAATGCATATCATGTGTGAAGGGAAGCAGAATACTCATTTTCTAGTTATTAATCCTGATCAACTGAGAAAAGTGAAGAATAAAAATGTCTTCCATTTTCTTTGCTACTTGAAATTGATAGGCTATATATGAGGAGAAGCATACGCTTTTTTTTTGGAATTTCTATGCAGTGGCTGTGTCCAGTATCTTTAAAGACCAAGAAATAAAGTCAATTACATGATTGTATATTTAGAAAACCCCATCGTCTCAGGAGGTTTTTCTTAAGCTGACAAGCAACTTCTTCAATGTGCAAAATCACAAGCATTCCTATACACAAATAACAGACAGAGAGCCAAATCATGAGTGAACTCCCATTCACAATTGTTACAAAGAAAATAAAGTACCTAGGAATACAACTTAAAAGGGATTGAAGAACCTCTTCAAGGAGAACTACAAACCACTGCTCAAGGAAATAAGAGA
The DNA here is from genome assembly GCF_000001405.40 of Homo sapiens. Taxonomy (NCBI): domain Eukaryota; kingdom Metazoa; phylum Chordata; class Mammalia; order Primates; family Hominidae; genus Homo; species Homo sapiens. The sequence continues at coordinate 18,691,047 of NC_000021.9, read as the reverse complement.
GGACACAAACAAATGGAAAAGCCTTCCATGCTCATGGATAGGAAGAATCAATATCATGAAAATGGCCATACTGCCCAAGGTAATTTATAGATTCAATGCCATCCCCATCAAGCTACCAATGACTTTCTTCACAGAATTGGAAAAAACTACTTTAAAGTTCATATGGAACCAAAAAAGAGCCCGCATCGCCAAGTCATAAAGGTGTACTGTGGTGTGGACTAAACTATAGCATAGGGCTGAAGAGTTGATATTCTCCTAAGGTATGAAAATAAAGGTGTATTGTGGTGTGGACTAAACTATAGCATAGGGCTGAAGAGTTAATATTCTCCTAAGATATGAAAATAAAGGTGTACTATGGTGTGGACTAAACTATAGCATAGGGCTGAAGAGTTAATATTCTCCTAAGGTATGAAAATAAAGGTGTACTGTGGTGTGAACTAAACTACAGCATAGGGCTGAAGAGTTAATATTCCCATAAGGTATGAAAATAAAGGTGTACTGTGGTGTGGACTAAACTATAGCATATGGCTGAAGAGTTAATATTCTCCTAAGGTATGAAAATAAAGGTGTATTGTGGTGTAGACTAAACTATAGCATAGGGCTGAAGAGTTAATATTCTCCTAAGATATGAAAATAAAGGTGTACTATGGTGTGGACTAAACTATAGCATAGGGCTGAAGAGTTAATATTCTCATAAGGTATGAAAATAAAGGTGTCCTGTGGTATGGACTAAACTACAGCATAGGGCTGAAGAGTTAATATTCTCCTAAGGTATGAAAATAAAGGTGTACTGTGGTGTGGACTAAACTATAGAATAGGGCTGAAGAGTTGATATTCTCCTAAGGTATGAAAATAAATGTGTATTGTGGTGTGGACTAAACTTTAGCATAGGGCTGAAGAGTTAATATTCTCCTGAGGTATGAAAATAAAGGCATATTGTGGTTTTGCAAGCTGAACGTAAACAGCTTTAGTGGACTCTACTAACAGGTGAAAAGGAAAAAGCACGTATTATATCAATAGCTGCATACCGGATACCAGGGCATGCGTTAATGCACTCAAGCAATGCAACTACATCTGGTACAACAGCTGTAATTGGTGTTACCACGTGGGTAAAGCTTATGATAATTCATTGTCATTCTCCAAGATCCATCTGTTTTCTGCACAAGCAAATAGGCAAGTTAAATGGGCATGTGGTGGATATCAGCACCCCTACATTCTGAGTTGGGAAAATAACCATAGGATGGGATCAGGGATCCACTGGACCAACTGCAAAATGCACCTTGGCTATAACTCCATTATTCAACTGACCTATAAGCCCCTACTCTGATATATTGCAGCAATGTTTTAGGTCTCCTGGAATCAGTTTGGATCCAATGTTCAGTATTGATTACTTGTTTTTCTCCTAATGCAAAGTCACCCTGACAAAAGGCTATACATCCCTTTTGGAAAGGATGGGGAAAGATTAATGATATAAATTTTTTTGGCAGTATAGCGAAGTCCTTCCTCAAGGGAACCTGGCCTCCCTTTCATTCAAGGAGTTCTGGATCAGTAATTGGCTCCATTCTGGGAATTGATAGAGGTGCGCTTTCTGCTTTTATGATTCAATTTAGACTCCTATTTCTTGACCTAGATCAATTAGACAAATAGTCCGACTCACAGATAACTTATGGAATTGGCTAATTGATCTTGGTGTCCCTAGGGGTAGAATAGATGGAGAGTGTGCTAAATTCTTACCTGATCTGTATAAGCTAAAGAAAGAGTTCTAGGTCAGGAATAAATAATCGGAAATTTTCAATTTCATTTGTAGTGTAGACCAGCTTTTGTTTGAACCAATCAACTAAACTGTTAGATCTTTTTCTAACCCCTCATGCTGCACTATTAAATGAAGGATCTCTGCTTAGCTGGCCTGTATCAATAAATTTAGCCAGATCCAACGTTATGTTCCTACTATCCCACAACCTTAATACTTATTTCTCACATATTCCCAGGGTTTCTGTGTGTATAAATTGAAAAAATTATGTAGTTCTTTTGGCTTCTGGCATATCTACTCATGGGGTACACTTCGACCTCAGCTTTCTGCTAGAACTTGAGTCTAGGTACAAGTCTAGAATAAAAGAGTCGTGGGAGGGGGGCGCTGAGGAGGATTAACAGCATCTTGCAAGGAAACTACCTGGGGACGGGGCATTACAGTTTCCTCAGTCAATGCAGGTTTAATCTCTAAATGATGGTGAAAGGGACACTTCTAAAATTCAGTAAAATTTAAGAGTACAATTCCCTTTTCTTCATTTATAGTATTTTCAGATGACCCATTCAAATTTTGAGGATCCCATTTCTTCCTTAATCCTTACTCTTAAGATCTTCAACAGATTGGGTGAGACTCACCCACGTTATGGAGGATATCTGTTTCATTTAAGGTCTACTGATCATCAATGTTAACCTCATCAGACAGCAACATCCAGACTGGTGTATTTAGATTAGTGTTTAACAGAAGTGGATACCATAGCCTAGGCAAGTTGACACACAAAAACTAACCATCACAATGTATGAAATATTCAGTATGGGTGTCTATTTTTATTTTTTCTTTTGGTGTATTTTTAATATTTAGGGAAGTTTATAATTTTGCTCTAGAAATTGCATGAATGATTTTACGTTTGTAAAATATCCTTTTTCTTCAATTCTTTTAAACACCATGAACATGAAGTTGTATAGTTTTCCTTTCCCCTTTCCAGGATACCATCACCCACATTTAATAGATATCAATAACTTTCGAGTGTTTTTCATTGTTTCCTTAAATAGACTTGATCTTTTACTATTTGATTTGTAGCTTTAAATAATACCCTTTGACATCTAGCAATTACGATGATGTAATCAGAAAACTAACTTTATTTTTTATCTTCTTATCAAAGCCATCTGTTCCGTTTTGTGTTAGATGAATTATTTCCACATTATCAGAGCATATACAATATATAATCTATTCTGTCAACTTTAGCCTTTCTTTCATTTATTTGTTAAATAGCAATTACTCCTTTCCACCTGGAGTTCATCCCCTCATAATGTTGTCAAGGAGGCTTCCGCAAACAGTATTCACAAAGTTTCTTGCATGTTCAAAATGTGTTTTGTTTTTAAACTTCAAGAGCACCTGCTTTGTCTGACTCTTTCTTTCCTAAATTATCATAGATTTTTCTACACTCTCTCTCCTGGGTAGAATGTGGTTGTGGTTGTGACTATTTCACATTATAAAATGATGACTGTATAAATTATTATACAAACTAGAAGGGGTTTTGGAGTGAAATGGGTCAATATCATGGTATAATAATTATACCAGCATCATAGGCATAAAATCTGACTGTTTTGCACCAACTGTAATAAATGGAGTTTTGTCCTGAGACCAGCATGATATGTGTTATTTTACATTATCCCTAGACAAGTTGATAACCACATGGGGAAATGAGACAGGACATGAGAGGAGTCCAAAAATGAGTATGATAATAGAAAAGTCCTGCAAAGAACAGCTTTTACTCAATCCTTCAAAAATAGTCTATTCCTGATTAGAGAAAAAGCGCTTGGAGTATTTAAGCCTCTACACACATCTCTCAATGTTTAAGAGCTGTTAGCAGGAGAACAAAAGTTCGGAGATAATAGTTCTCCAATTCTGTAGACAAATCTGATTCTGGCTACTTGTGCATAGTACATAGTACATGGTGCTAGAGAAGCAGGTACTTACTATGGGGAATAGAATTACATGGGGACTTTATGCAAACAAATGTTTAAGGAATCTGATATGATATGAGTGACACACTAACAGTACACCATAATGCAGGGGAGACTTACTAATATGGTTTGACTGCATCCCCACCCAAATCTCATCTTGAATTGTAGCTCCCATAATTCTCACGTGTTGTGGGAGGGACTCATGGCAGATAATTGAATCATGGAGATGGTTTCTCCTATACTGTTCTCCTGTTAGTGAATAAGTCTCACGAGATCTGAAGATTTATTTCCTCTTTCACTTGTCTGCCAAGACAATGTAGACTTGTCTGTCTACATTCTCTCTTGTCTGCCACCATGTAAGACGTGCCTTTAGCCTTCTCCATGTTCGTGAGTCCTCCCTAGCCACCTGGAACTGTGAGTCCATTAAACCTCTTCTTTTTTATAAAGTACACAGTCTTGGGTATGTCTTTATCAGCAGTATGAAAACTGACTAATACACTTCACTGTCAATCTCTAATTTTCAAATTGTGGCTAGTTACAATTTCTAGGGGAAAAAGTTATACGAAAAGTGTTAGTGGCAGGAAAAAAAGACTCCATCACTTGTTAGTCCAAAGGCCTTAATTGGTATTTTTATCTTACTCCTCTTCCATCTATTCTTGTATACCTCTTGTATATGAGCATGTGCAGACATGTTATAAGTTAAGGTTTCTTTTTTGTCTTTAAATATACTTACATTCCCTCTGGGATAAAATTGTTTAAAAGACTATAATTTTTCTCATTGAATAACCATGGAAATACTTTCAAAAATTTAAGCACATAAAAAATGACATGTTTCTGGATTTTCTATTCTGTTCCATTATCTATACATCCAGTTGTAAACCTCAGCCATACTACCTCTATGACTGGTGCCTAAAAGGAGTATATAGGGAGTCTTGGAAGAAAAAGGTGCTGCTCATCTAATTTTGTTCTTCTTCCTAGAAATCATTTTGTATATAATATGTCCTTTGGATTTCCATATAAAATTTAGAATTAGCTTAACAATTTCTACAAAGAACTTTGCTACAATTGTTTTTTAAATATGCATTGAACATATAGATCAATTTGGGGAGAGATACTATCATAACAACATTAAGCCTTCCAATCTGTAATCACATTATACATTGCAATATATTAGGTTAGTGCAAAAGTAATTGCAGTTTTTGCGTTACTTTCAATCGTAAAAACTGCAATTACTTTCACACCAATCTTAATATTTCGATCTTGTTTTATTTTTCTCAGCAAAGTTTTGAAGATTTCAGTAAACAGGTATGGCATACATTATGCTAAGTTTATTCCTGTGTTCATGTTTTTAACGTTGTTACTAATGGCATGTGTTGTATTAATTTTTATCTTTCTCATATTGCATTGGCAAGAATGTTGATGCAATATTGAATTTCAGTGGTTAGACTGGATATCTCTACTTTGTTCTAGAACTTAGAAGGAAATAATTCGTTTTGTTCATGTAGGGCCAGCTTCATGCACTGTACCTTGTACAGTCATACAAGATTTCATGCTCAGAAGTGCCCTGTTTTTGATTTAACACTCTCTTATTACTGCCTTAAATTTTTAAATAATTTTACCTCTGTGTTTTAAAAGTGCAGTATGATGGGACACTTGAGTACAAGTGTGAGCAGAGATGTCTGTGATATACATGTTCAGTTTCTTACTGTTCTATTCACATACAGCGTTTGTGATGCCACGTGAACGCAGAATTCTTGTGGACCCACAGTGCTTGAAAGTTCAGCAAGACTCTGAGTACAAGATAAGCATTTTATGTCTATAAATGAGTGAGCAAGGTTGACAACTCCAAGAGGCTACACTTTCCATTCAAAACCAGAACTCAATTCAATTGCAAACAAGCAGTGACTTTCCAATAAACACAAACAACCATGGAACCCTATTACATAATTTATTTTCTCTGTTACTTTACTGCATTATTTAACTACCTATGCTGAAAGTGACACAGAAGGAAAGGAAAAGAAAGAAGGAACAATAGTTCTTTTTTTTTGTCCTTGCTTATTACTTATTCCATCTATTTTTGTTGTTGCTTTTTACTTGCTCTTTGTCAGTCTTTTATTATTTTTGTATTTCATTTTAAATACTGTTAATCAACTATAACTATTTTTATGGTTGTTTTGTGTTCACAATATATATCCTTATGTTATTAGTTTATTTTAACATAATACTGTACCATATAAACACACAGTATAAGCAGCGTGTTATGTCCCAAAAACGGTTTCAGAAAATGAAAGGAAACTTCTACATTGGTAATCATTGTTTGATTATGTATACCTTAGCTTCCATCAAATAACAGCTTCCTTGCTTAAAAACTGTAATAGTTCATCTAGTTCAATTTAGTTAGTGATAAATTCCTCTAACTTTTGTTGTTGGGAAAAGTATCAGTTTTACCTTGATTTGTTGTAGATATTTTACTCTATATAAAATTCTAGATTGATGGTTATTTTTCCTTCCTACTTCAAAGATATTTTATTGTCTACTGCCTGGCATAGTTTCCTTTTTTTTCTTTCTTTTTGCTTTCTTTTCTTTTCTCTTCTTTCTTTCTTTTTTTTTTTTTTTGAGACAGAGTCTCAATCTCAGACAGGCTGAAGGGCAGCATCATGAACACAGCTCACTGCTTGACCTCTCACACTCAAGCCATCCTCCCACCTCAGCCTCCTGAGCAACCAAGACTACAGGCGCAAACCACAATGCCTGGCTATATATATAATTTTTTTTTTTTTTTTTTTTTTTTTTAGAGACTGGGACTCACTATATTGGCCAGGCTGGTCGCAAACACCTGGGGTCAAGCATTCCTCCTGTCTTGGCCTCCCAAAGTGCTGGGATTTCAGGCATGAGCCACCATGCCCCGTCCTGGCATACTTTCTAATGAGAAATCTGTGAACATAGTTATCTTTGATTTTCTATACACTATTACTAGATGTTCATCCACGGCATGTGTGGTTTACATTGTGCAACAGATTGAAGCAGATAAAAGCCATTGTCTGTACATCATACTTCTTTCTAATACATGCTCTGCAATTTTCCAGCCAAACCCACCTGTCTGAAATTCTATCTCTATCTCCTCATATCAAGGAGATTGTCATGCTGTGCTTTGGATACCTCTCTGCATCAAGTTCAAGAAAATCCCTTCAGACAGAAAGTCAGAGTAATAACCGAACTTACATCAATTTTCTCTCTTCTCTTAGAGTTCATAGTTCTGTGCTGCTTATGGTAAAATATCTGACAATTTATTAGTTCTACGTTTTATCCTGTTTCCTATTTTTGTAAGGCAAACAGACAAGTTCACATCTGGTTATTCTACCATAGTTAGAGGCTTTAAATTTTTATTTTAATACACTTACTATGGTGGCATTTTAGAGTTCTGTTTTTTTAAATTTTTGTCTTCTCCTCCTCCCTCTTCCACACCCTGCATTTCTGTTTGTCTACTCTTTGACTGATGCATTGTTCCAGCTCAGCTTTGAGCACGTTGGTTCCTACGCTATATGATGCCATCTTCTTCCTGGGAGCGCATTTTATTAGGTGATTTCTAAGTTCTCTTCCCTCCTTGTCTCTTTGTGTCATAGCAATGCAACACTTTGCCTGTTATGGATTGAATTGTGTGCCATCGGCGAAATTCATATGTTGGAGTCATAATCCTCAGTACCTCAGAAACTGACCTTATTTGGAGATAGGGTCTTACAGAGGTAATCAAGTTAAAATGAGATCATAAGTTCTGCCCTGATTTAATATGACTGAAAAGGGGGAAACTTGGAGAAACACACACACACACACACATACACACATCTCCATGTGAAGGAGTACACGGTGAAGATGGCCATCTAAAAGCCCAGGCATAAGGCCTGAAACAGATTCTTCCCTCAGAGCCCTCAGAAGAAATCAACACTGCTGAGACCTGATCTTAGACATCTAACATCCTGAACAGTGAGACAGTGAATTTCTGTTGCTTAAACTATTCAGGTTGTGATACCGTGTTACGATAGTCTTAGGACACTAATACATCCCCCTATAAATTTTAGAAGAGAAGCAGGAAAATTCAAAACTAAGCTACCATCATTTTTCTTCCAGAATATCTTATTATAAAATATATGAAAATTTTCACAACATAAAGCTTTACAGTGGATGAAGGCCAACCAAAACACATGCCTGCCCGTGCACATGTGCATACACACAGAAAACTTTGGGCATTACCTTAGAAATCTGATAAGTTTCTCACTTTAATATTCAACTCTTTGACTACTTTTTTCATGTGCATGTGCAACTAAATGTTATTGGAGCAAAACACCACATGCTGATTGCTCTCAATTTAAATGTGTGATTGTTAATTTCAGAACAGTTGGTCATCATTATTACTTAGAAATTAAATTACACGGCCGGGCACAGTGGCTCACGCCTGTAATCCCAGCACTTTGGGAGGCCGAGGCAGGTGGATCACGAGGTCAGGAGATCAAGACCATCCTGGATAACACGGTGAAACCCCGTCTCTACTAAAAATACAAAAAAAAAAAATTAGCCTGGCGTGGTGGTGGTCACCTGTAGTCCCAGCTACTCGGGAGGCTGAGGCAGGAGAATGGCGGGAACCTGGGAGGTGGAACTTGCAGTGAGCAGAGGTCGCGCCACTGCACTCCAGCCTGGGCGACAGAGCAAGACTCTGCCTCAAAAAAAAAAAGAACGAAAGAAAGAAAAGAAATTAAATTACACATTTCAATGAATTTTTCATTCCACTCTCCTAGAAAGCTATTTTAAACTTCCTTTTTCCACAAATATTCAGAACTACCACAGTTATCTTTACATCACCCAATGATCTCACTTCCCATGTTGCTAAGAAAATTGGATCAATCACAAGAGAACTTTAGGATCCACTACCACATGTACCCAGCGCCTGAGACCATGCCCAACTCCTTGCTTGCTTGTTCATGCGGATAAGCTATGAAACTCCTAGCTACCAACTCACTTTCATTTTTGTGCACTACATCCCTTTGCTTTACCTATAAAAATTTGGCTTTGATGTTTTATTCCTCTTTCTAAAGCATCTTCAAATTTTCCCTCTCTCCTGGATCTTACCATCAGTACATAAATGTGTCATTGTATCTGCATCCTATAATAAAAGCTCTCTTAATTTCAATTCTGTCTTCATCTACAGCCCCGTTTTTGTCTGCTTGTTTGATTGATTGGGTTTTGTTAACTTCCCTTTACAAGAGCATGCCTTGGAATACTAAAAGTAGCTTATACTAATTTTTTACTCTTTTTATTTTTTTTTGTCTCTTCAGCCCACTTCATCAATCTTTCATTGTAGCACTTTGGTATTCCTTTTATCAGTTTACCAATTAATTTCCCAGTGTTAAATCTAATGATTAATACTTAATCTTTAAGCTGATCTACCAATAGGATATAACATGTTTAAATATCTCCTGCTTTTTGGAAGAATGGCTTTATTTGGATTCCAGTCATCTATTTTTGCCTGGTTTTTCCCTACCCCTCTGACATCTGTCCAGTCTCATATGCTTGCTTGTCCTAATTTCCTGAACTTTTGGTGTTGGATATTATAGAACTCTATCTTTGATATTCTTCTTTTCTTTAGCTATGCAACCTCTTTTTGATCTCACATCACTATATGGCATCACTATCTACATGCCAATCCTTGGCAGACTGATGCACAGTGTATGTAGTACAGACCTCTCTGCTGAGTTTCTAGCACATGTATACAAATGACTACTTGTTATTTTAAAAATTGTATTAATGTATAACATCATAAGGCATAGGCAGTATAAATAGAGACTTAATGGTTAGCTTTTTCTAAACATCACACTGTATTAGTTTATAACATTATTTGTATATGGATTTACACAAAGTTATAACTCATTTAACTATGTTTTATATGTAACCCAGCATGAATTTTATAGATGTCATTGAGTTTGTGAGTAGAGGTTGTGCTATCCAAATTTTAGGATTTTAGGACTCCTATTTGTATTTCTTATTTATCTTTTTTATTATCTAGTACATTTCATAAGAATAAGAAGATATAAATGTTCTAGTTTATAATATTATTTGTATATGGATTTAAATAAAGTTATAACTCATTTAACTATATTTTATTTGTAACCCAGCATGAATTTTATAGATACCATTGAATTTGCGAAAGGGGGTTGGGCTATCCAAATTTTAGGACTCCTGTTTTTATTTTGTATTTCTCTTTTTTTTCTATCTAGTATATTTCATAAGAATAAGAAGATATACATGTTCTTGAGATAGAGATGCATTTTTTCCCTCTTCTCTAAGACTAAATTGTTGTCCAAGATGAACTAGAATAAATCAGGAGTGAGAACCCTCTTTAAATATGGCTATATCTAGACTGGATCTTAGAGAGAAACAGAGTCATCTTTCATTAGCCATTCTGACTGAGTAGAGAACTGAGCTTGGCCATGTTAGTGCGTGAACATGGAAAAAGACCAACAGTCGAGTCTCAAGAAAAGACTCAGGAAAGCACGTTGCCTGTTCTGTTATTAATGGTGTTAGTAAATCAAACACATATTTATGTAATGAGAATTCTGTATGAATTATTTTGTTTATATATAATAGACTCACACATGTATTATTTTATGGATGCTACATATACCTATATGATAAATAAGTAAAGCTAGTAGAGAGAGAGAATGATTGCATTATTTTTTCTTGTCAAAAAAGGAAAGACAGGTTAGGATATGAAAAATCACAAATGACCACAATGCTGAGACAGAGTGTATATGAAAAAAACTAAATTATGAAATTAACTCTCCATAATACTATAATGATAATTTAAATATAATACATATTAATACACATTGGTATGAAAACTTCTTTCTCACCTTCAAATAATTATCTAATTTGTGTAATTACGTCAACCAGAGTTGGAAATTCAGACTTAAAATACCTATATCTCACAGAAACAATAAAGCAATTTTAATTTTACAAATTAATGTGAATCACCCATGAAATAGGCAGTAAAGTCCTCCTATAATGCTCAAAACTGCTGCATGGGCCAAAAATAATAATTTCTGTTTCATGAGAAAAGTTTAGTGGCTGTACTGTAACATAAAATTCTGTCATGTTAAAGAATTTTAAGCATTTTAGGTGTGAAAAGATGTTGCCAACCTATACCTGTTTTATAAATAGTGAGAAATAGTGGTCTTTTGATAATATTTGTAGCATTATGCTGAGAGATTGAAAACAGGTTCATCACCTACAACTTGCAATAAGAAAGAACCTGTCTACATTGAATTTTATTCATTTAAGTCTCCTAGCAACATACCCAAAATATAACAGTAAATTAATGCATAAAATACATTTTTTCTCTGCCCAGAACAAAATTAATTTTCTGGAGTATTCATGGTATTCTGAAAAGATTTGACTTACCAGTGTTACATTTTTGGAAGATGACAGGTTATGTCACAGAACCCAGCACAAAATTAGAAAAAAATTGTTTCTATTTTAAGAGATAAGATTACAATAAAATTATGATTTTCTTTTTGTTGTAAATCCACTGGGTATTGCATAAATAGCTCAGTAATTAGTTTTAAACCATGTGTTCAAATGAATAGCTGTTACTCCTATATGTTAACAGTTGTCTCTTGAAATAATTACTATTTAGGTTTGTAAAGTATTCATTAAATGTCTGCCAAATTACTTAAAAATCATAATAGACATTTAATGGGTGCTTTAAAACCGAAATAGAAATTACATTTGATTATAAGTAACTATAGGTTTATAAAGCTATCATTATATGTCTATTAAGACCATTTAACTTGTGTTACATAATTAGAGAAGAGCCAGGATTTTAATTGCACATTTGCAAACTGCTAACTTGCTTTGCTAAATATTCATTTAATCCACTGCTGAAAAGTCTGAGTGAGGTATGAAGATTTCATCTCTTTTTTTTCTTAAGCAATTGTCACACTGTATTCTGTGGGATTAAATGATCTAACAAATGTATGTCGTGTGTAATAATGATGCCACATGTAAAAAATAAGAGATTTGTGTTTGATCATGTATCTTCAAACATAGGAGACATTTAACTTATTCTTCTCCCCCCTCAAATAAGTCCTCTTGGTGGGCCAAGAGATATTCTCTTCCCCATCTTTCAGATTACCGACTCATATTGGTGCTATGACCAAAATAGCTGAGATAGAAAATAATTAGTACCACATTATGATTCAGTGCTTCCTGTCTTGCTCTTCAGAAGTACATCCCAAGTTGCCAATAAAAAAGCATAATTTCCCATTAATTACCTTGCTAAGCAGTTGCTTGTTATCACAGAAGTTAAGTGGAGATTAAAAGGAAGGCTAAATTGCACTTTTATTTCTTGAAGTGTCAACTAATCCTGAAGTCAAGATCAGTGTACAAAATTGAAAGAGAAGAAAGATTGTAATTTGGTTGCACATTCAGTTCCGTAGCTAAATAAAGTATCTCAGACAGCAGGCTTTTAGAGGCACCAAAACTCCTTTCACAAAGGTATCCACTTTTAGTTCTTCCTTATATCTCCATTAGACACCTGAGGTTGCCTCTTGTAAACGTGAGCAAGAAAACATTCTGCTGAGAGGAACTTTATTTATATATCATTTCTTCTCTAAATGCTTCTTCTTCCTGGGAACATTTGCATTTAAACAAGCTTTTGATTTCTTTGGAATCCATCTGCCTACACTTACCCTATTTTTTACCCCTGAACAAACATCACCTGTGAAGTATGTCGTAAACACTGTTGCTGCTTTTCTTTCTTAACTTTGTATATTTCCATTTAAAATGACGGTACAGATACAGCTTGGCCCATTAAACATGAGGCACAGCATTAGGCTCCTCAGGTGGTCTTTCCATGGATTCCTAGTCATTCAAGCAATCTTCTGATAAAGACAGTGGCATTTATAACCCACTTAGTATCTTTGAATCCATTTCCGGGAAAACTAACAAAGATGAGGAGAGCTTAGGCCAAACATACTACAGACCTAATTGTTTTGTCAATCCACTGAATTTTTTCCATCTCATCAGAATTCCCTAAATCTAAGATATGTATCCAAGTCTCAACAAGTCCCCTATTTTGGTGGGGAAAGGAGTATCTTCTAATTTAAATCATTACAAACAAGGTAAAACGTTCAGGGCCAGCTCACTACTTATCTTTAGCCTCAACCTATGGCCGGGGTTAGTTTTAGGGCCATGTTTCACTAGTTCTATTTACATTTGTGTATATAAGGCTTGGGGAAAATCCCAGGTTCTATATTCAAAGGGAGATACTCAATAGTTTAAATTCAATGCTAATTTTTTAAAATGGGATATTTATAATGAAAATACAGATTTCTTTTGATTTGTTCAATAAGGGAAGAGTGAACAACAGTCAACTATGTGTAAGAAGTTGAGTGGATTTGAAATTTGGCTGTTTTCCATCATGCAAGGCAGAGTGGCATAGTTACATCATCCCCTATTATCTCTTCCATGAGAATGAGGTTGCAAGTTGCCATTTGTAATAACCCTTGCACTATAATTTCTTTAAACACACCCCATTTCATTTATTTACATTGCTTGCTCTTCCCCTAGAGGTGTCTCTTCTTTTTGACATCTGCTTTATGTGATTATCTCCTGGTTCTATCCATAGAACCAGAGATACCATTAAGGACTGGACTTACCATGAAGAAAAAGAAACAATTTTTCTTTCACTTATACTGATCCCAAAGAAGGGGCCCTAACAATGTATTCACATCATCCTATGTTTCAATAAAATTTTCATTCATAAGATGTATTTGCACTCTCCCTTTTTTTTTCTTGAAGACGTCCCAAAAAACTATGTAAGCTTCAGTCTTCACGGAACCTGGACCCACCACTGACTGTGTGATAATTACATTCCAAACACAGTCATCAGCAGAATGGAGTAAAATTTCTCTGACAGCTTGTTTCTTGCTTGTTTTTTAATTCCCAGGGAGGTAGTCTTTGCTAAATCTTATAAATTAAAGACAAGATGTTTTCATGGAAGAATTCGAAGAAAACTGAAATAGAGGTATCATTTGCCTACAAGACAAATTGTTTTTTGCTGCAGGTATAAAAATGTTAGTGCTAAAATCTTTGTCAATAACAAGTCAGAGATACGGTCTTACAGAAATCAGACATTAGATTTGTAAACAAAAGCATAATTCTGATGAATCCTGAATGGATACCCTCTGCTTCCACTTTGATTTTACTCATTAGCATTAATTTTTGTGGATACAGTTTGATGGGCAAGTGTATTTAAAGTATAGGTTAGCATTTTTTAAGGTACAGGAGGGAATTAACAAGATGAGATATCTATATAAAACCAGATAGAATCATTCTGACCAGTAAGTTTTAGAAATGATTTCTTAGCAGGTACTAATATTTACTCTTATAATGATTCAAATATATTCATTCATTTTTAAGTAGTACATTGATGTTCTGGGGTGTAAAAAAACAAGCCAAGAAAGAAAGAACTGAAGATGAGACTAATTTAGAAACTTGTTTTTTATTAAGTACCTTTTAACTTTTTGTCTATAGAGAGAAGTGCAGAAAAGTGAATAGCCTGTTAACTTGTCATGAGGTTAACACATCCATGTAACTACCACACAGTTTGCAGATTGGAACATTACCATCTGCTAGATGCCCCTTCCTTCTCCTTTTCAATTTACCCTTACTCTCTTGCCCACAGTAGTTACTATCCTGACTTGTGTTGATTTGTCAACTCTATCCTGATAGAGTTGACTTGCCTGTTTATCAAAATTGAATATAAAATTATGTATTTGCTTGAGTATGAGTGCAACATGAGTATACTTTCTTATAATTTTGGTGCATATGTGAACATTATTGTAAACAATATGTATGCTATATATTAAGTTGTGTGTACACCTACAACTTGATTTAATAATTTATAGTATGTGAATGCGTTCAAATTTGGTAGATAATTACAGGCAACTTTTCCAAAACAATTGTGCCAGTTTGTACTCCAAATAATCGTGTTACAAGAGTTCTAGTTGTTCTACATTCTAGCCTCCATTTGGTATTGCCCATTTTCTTTTTTTTGGATTTCCATTATTATTATTTATTTCTATTTTAGCTATTCCACTGAAGATGTAGTAGTACTAGATTCCGTTTCCATAATTACTAATAAAAATAAGTACATGAGCACGTTTATTAGCCATTTGAATATCATATATAGTGATGTGACTCTTGTTTTCAAATTATTTTGAAATAATTTTAACTTTATAAAAAAACTCAAAAACACAATAGAACAGGGTCTTTCCAAGTACCTTTCCCTCAACTTTCACTAATATTAACATCTTATACAATCATGGTACATTTATTAAAATTAAAAAAATACTATTGATACAATGATGTTGACAAAACCACAGACTTTACTCAAATGTCACCAGTTTTTTCACTAATGAATACTGAATGTTCTATCCAGTGATCCGTGAATTATGCGTTCAATGTGGTTGATGGAAACATACTATTCCCTGTTCTGCGTGAGTTCTGAGTACTATTCTCTGTAACCTGTCAGATATTTTCTCTCCCTCCCTGATCCTAGCCTTGAGTTGAGTATTTTTCTCATTATCGTACTTTCCTGAATAATATAGGGTGACTCTCTTCAGATCTCCAGTATTCATTCTCCTTCTCCTTTTCTCTCTCTCTGTTCTCTACAGTACTCAGCACTATGAACTGTAGGGGTTACAGTCTGTCTGGTATTTTAGCTCTGTGTCCCAAACTCAAGACATCCTCTAAGTTCTGTCTTAGATTTTCATTCTTCACAATACCCTGGAAACTATCAAGGCAGGAACACAGAATAATCATAAGGTTCCATTCATTTGTTTCCTGTCTCTCAAGATCACTATGCTAAGTTTGCTGGTAACTAATGTCTTGAAAACTCTTATGATATATTTTTTATATTGATTTAGGGCAGGAGCATAAATCCATTTCCTGTTACTCTTTCTTGGATAGAAGCAGAATGCCATTATCTCTTCACAGAGATTAGCTTTATTACTGTAATATTTAATTTGGTGACTATTTTCAAATATCATAGTTTATTTTTCCCTGAAAAAATGATAATTTAAATATCTCGGAGTTTTTTTCTAATTAAAGTTTAATGAAGAAAAATCACCAGTAGACTTCTGATTATCACTAGTTAGCTGTGTTATATGTTAAGAATAGGTTACTATTAGAATATGAAGGAGCATTTTTTTGGTCACACTAATCATTCTGGAAAGGCTACCTGAAAATTGTGATGCTTTAGCTAGATTTTGAAGGGTATTTAGAAAGAAACCAGACAAAGAAAAGAGAGCAATAAATTAAGTTGCGAAAATAGCATCTAGGATTCATGCACCACATTCAGTCAGAGGCCATTGCAAGTGATTTAACAGACTTGCAATGACAAATATCCAGAAAGTACCAACAGAAAAGCAACAGATATGTAAATCATCTTATTAAGAAAGTCAGTAGAGGAGATAAATTTAATGTTACCCAGAAAGGATATGTACATTAAAATTCCCATTCAATCCCCTGCCTTTCCATGTAGAATTTATCTGATGAAAGTATGTCTGACAAGTACCTCTGAACTATTGTCACTTAAATAACTTTCTATATACATATATTCCTAGAATATATATGTGTATATATATATTCCTAGAATATATATGTGTATATATATATTCCTAGAATATATATGTGTATATATATATTCCTAGAATATATATATGTATATATATACACATATATATATTCCTAGAAAAGTGTCATTTAGATGTAGAAAAAGTTTCATTATATAGCCTTAATAAAGAATATACAGCAACCTGCATTTTTGGTGAATATTGGAGGAAAAGATTAGCATAAATAGACACTTTCCATTTTAATGGCTCTGGGTTTGTGCTTTATTGCAATCTTTGTGAATTACCTGCTTTGAGTCCTTAAAAACAAAATGGGCAGGAGATTGTGATATATTAGTGGTTTTACTAAAATCTAAAATTTAAATAAACCAACAAAATCTTAGAATTTTCCCTAAGAAGCTTTCTGCTGTCTTCCAGTAATGAAATTGCTTTATTTTAAATTGCTTGCAGTACATTTTTGAATCCTATGGGCTACAGTTTTGTGTGTCTATAAATGGATATTGATTGCACTACTTAGAAATCATTTTTCAGTAGCGTATTCTAGTGTTATTTATCATAATCTCAGTTTTTATAACTTCCTTAGAGATAGTCTAGGTTAAGAACATGACTTCTGATATCTGAATTGACACAGAAAGACTAGAAATTGACTCCTGTAATGAATTGTGCAATACTTTCTTTTCACATGTCAACTCCATTTTTTAATACTGCAACTTATCCATCAAAACCAGTTCATCAGAAGAAAAATAAATTTTGCCTAAAAGTAAAGCAGTTTTATTATTCACTTGCAGAACATATTTGTATTTCTTTAAAGGAAACTGACAGAATATTTATTTTAAAAATAAGCCTAAATCCCACTCCTAGATAGTAATAATTGCTGATAAAGCTTTAATGTGTGTGTTGCGGGGGTACTGAGGTTTTGCTATTCTTTACCATACCTCTGCCGCATTTTAATATCTATATTATGGCTGTGGGAAATATTATGGCTAATTGAAACATAATGATAAAGAAAGAACATGGAACTATGTAGAAAAGATTAGAGAGTTTTCTGAACCACAGAATCCATAGTTATCAAGAAGTTATTAAATTGTCACATTGCATGACTATCTCAAAACATCTCATGTACCCCATAAATATATACACCTATTATGTACTCACAAAGTTTAACAAATTAAAATGTAAAAAAAATGCTATTAGATAATTCAGGAATACTTTTATGAAAGGAATGACCATCATGCCACCCCTTAGCAATTTTTGTTACATAATCTTTGTGATTCTATAGATTCTGTCATTATCCTTCTCAGGTTCTACTTTTTCAGACAAAATGGCGCCTTTTGAGCTTTTAAACTACAAATGCAACCCTGAGTATAAATTGCTTAAAAAGAGGATCCTCTTCAAACATATCCTGCCATACTAGTCACCTTCATTGGGGTAATAAATGAAATCCTAAATCTCAGTCTCTAATAATAAATATTTATTTATTTGTTATGTTACATACAAATTTCTGGCTAGTTTTTTCTGTCCTTCAGGCTAAGTGTCAACTGTGGGTCTGTTTCATTTAACTTCTTATTCTGGGACAAAAGCTATAGAGGCAGCTCCTAGGAGCTAAAACAAAGGGAATAATTGTCAAACAGGACTCATAAAAAAACTGAGTGATCTTAGTAAGCATCAAATTTGACCAACAGTCTTAGGTTACAGACAATCATGTTACTCAAATGAATAGAGGGGAATCAGGAAATAGGACATAGGCAGTGGCTTTAATACCAATTAGGGTTTTTTAAAAAACAATTATGGGTACATAGTAGGTGTATATATTTATGGGGTACATGAGATATTCTGATACATGCAAGCAATGTGTAATAATCACATTAGGATAAATGGGGTATCCATCACCTGAAGCATTTATCATTTGTGTTACAAGCATTCAAATTATATTATTTTAATTATTTAAAAAGGTACAATAAATTATTGTTGACTGCAGTCACCCTGTTCTGCTATGAAATACTAGATCTTACTCATTTTATCTAACTATATTTTTGTATGTAACCATCCCCACTGTCCCCTCTGCAACAATGATTCCCAGCCTCTGATAACCATCATTCTACTCTCTATCTCCCTGGATTCAACTGCTTTAATTTTTAGCTTTCACAGGTGAGTGGGAACATGTGAAGTTTGTCTTTCTGTTCCGGCTTATTTCACTTAATATAATGACCTCCAGTTCTATCCACGTTGTTGCAAATGACAGGATCTCATTCATTTTTATGGCAGAATAATACCATTCTGAACATATACTACCTTTTATTTAACCATTCACCTGCGGATGGACACTTAGGTTGCTTTCAAACCTTGCCTATTGTGAATAGTCTTGCAATAAACATAGGCGTGCAGGTATCTTGTCGATATACATCTTTTCTTTATTTGGGGTATATACCTAGAAGTAGGATTGCTGGATCACATCCTAGTTCTATTTTTACTTTTTTAAGGAACCTCCATACTGTTCTCCATAGTCATTGTACTAATTAATTTACATTCCCACCAGCAGTGTAAGAGTTTCCTTTTCTCCACAGCCTCGCCAGCATTTGTTATTGCCTGTCTTCTGGATAAAGGTCATTTTAACTGGGGTGAGATGATATCTCATTATAGTTTTCATTTGCATTTCTCTCAGGATCAATCATGTCAAGCACCTTTTCATATGCCTGTTTGCCATTTGCACATTTTCTTTTCAGAAATATCTACTCAGATCTTTTGCTCATTTTAAAATCAGATTATTAGCTTTTTCCTATTGAGTTGTTTGAGCTTCTTATAGTTTCTGGCTATTAATACCTTGTCAAGTTGTAGTTTACAAATGTTTTCTCCCATTCTGTTGCCTCTTCACTTTGTTGATTGCTTCTTTTTGCTGCACAGGTTTTTCACTTGAAGTGATCTCATTTGTTGAGGTTTGCTTTGGTTGCCTGTGCTTGTGGGGTATTACTCAACAAATCTTTGCCCAATGTTCTGGACAGTTTCTCCAGTGTTTTCTTGTAGATGTTTTATAGTTTGAAGTCTTAGATTTAAGTCTTTAATCCATTTAGATTTGATTTTTTGTATATGCTGAGAGATAGGCATCTAGTTTTATTCTTTTTCATATGAATGTACAGTTTTCCCAGCACTATTTTTTGGAAGAGGCTGTCCTTTCCCCAATGAATATTCTTGGCACCTTTGTTGAAAAGGAGCTCACTGTAGATGTAAAAATTTATTTCTGGTTTCTCTGTTCTGTCCCATTGGTCTCTCTGTCTGTTTCCATGTCAGTACCATGCTGTTTTTGTTACTATAGCTCTGTAGTATAATTCAAAGTCAGGTATGTGATTCCTCCAGTTTTGTTTTTGTTTCTGTTTTTGTTTCACTTAGGATGGCTTTGATTATTCTGGGTCTTTTGTGGTTCCATATTACTTCTAGAATTTTTTTTTTATTTCTGTGAAGAATGTCATGGACATTTTGATAGGGATTGCATTGAATCTGCAGATTGTTTTGAGTAGTGTGGACATTATAACAATATTGATTCTTCCAATTCATAACATGGAATATGTTTTAATTTTTGGTGTCCTCTTCAATCTCTGGAATAAATGTTATATAGTTTTCATTCCAGAAATCTTTCACTTATTTAGTTAAGTTCTAGGTATTTAATTTTATTTGTAGCTATTGTAAGTGGGATTACTTTCTTGATTTGTTTTTCCGATTGTTCATTGTTTACATAAAGAAATGCTACTGGCCAGGTGCAGTGGCTCACACCTGTAATCCCAGCACTTTGGGAGGCTGAGGCAGGCAGATCACCTGAGGTCAGGAGTTCAAGACCAGCCTGGCCAACATGGGGAAACCCCATCTCTACTGAAAATAAAAAATAAGCCAGGTATGATGAATTCTGTTTAGTAGTATTTTTGTTGAGAATTTTTGCATCAGTATTCATTTTTTTAAAATGTGTCTTTGTCTGGTTTTAGTATCAGGATAATACTGGCCTTGTGGAATTTGTTTAGAAGTATTCCCTCCTCCATTTTTTGGAGTAGTTTGAGTAGGATTGGTATTAGTTCTTTAAATGTTTGATAAAACTCAGCAGTGATGAAGTCAGGTCATGGAATTCTCTTTGCTGGGAAACTTTTTATGATCACTTTGATGTTGTTACTGTTCAGATTTTTTACTTCTTCATGGTTCAATCTTGGTAGGTTTTATGTGTCTAGAAATTTATCCATTTCTTCTAGATTTTCGCATTTTTTTGACATATAGTTGCTCACAGTATTCTCTAACGATCCTTGAATTTCTGCATGAAACTAATCAGGTTTGTTCTTCCTGTACACAGTAAACCAATCACTGTGATGACAGGTTTTGCAAAAGAGAAAAGGTTTATTCACAGTGTACCTCAACGAGCAGATGGAAGAACAGCTCTCAAATCTATTTTTTTGAAGATAAGCCTTAGGGATATTTATGGGTTATAGAAGAGCGGTTGCCTAATGCATGGGGAAAGGTGATTGGCAGTGTGAAAAAGTGAAGTAATTGGTGATCTACACAAATGCCATAAGGGTTCGTGACTCATCATAGGACACATATTCAGAAAATGGCAGCATTAGCATAAACTGAGGTGGAGTTTTTGGCCCTCTGAGGTCAAAAGACCAACTCTTGGGCATTTGTGCAGGCGCAGTTGAATGACTGGTGGTCTCAAATGCTTTAAGCTGCCCCCAGCTCCTGAAAAAGCAACTTAAGCCACTGTTACCACAGTGACACCTATGTCAGAAATATTATCTATAAGGAAGCCAGGGAAGTTTAAATTATAACATTTAGTGGTGTGGCTTTTAGCTATATGAGAAATAACAATAATAATAATAATAATAATAATAATAATAATAATAATAATAACAAAAAGCAAGTAGGACAGGTTAAGTTTGGTGGACCTAATCAGATTAACCTCTGGTTTCAGCTTTCCCAAACCTTTCTTCCTGCAGTGATAGATTTCCTAGACCTAAGTATTATTTGGAGTCTCTGAGTAACGTTTATATCTCTCCACAAAAAGGAGTCAATTGTGTTTAAGTAATGAACCAGCTCTATTTTGTACCATAAGAGTTGTATAGCTTACAAATCATTCTCTAAAAAGGCATATCTCATAGGTCCACAGATTCAGAGTTTAGTTACTATTAATACTCTTTTGGCCAGAAATAGCCTGCTAAAGACTGTGTAGATACAGTCTCTTTGCAAATATCATCAAGCTAGTTACCCAGCGGTCCCATTAACAGAGATTATACTAGATCACCTGACATTTTCCTCTTTCCTTGTGGTGTCAAATACTTCCTCCCCCGTACAAAAAAGAGAGGAAATGGATTAACGGCCAGATTTTCTTAGCTCCTCTCTACCAGGCTATTTAGACATTTCTTTTTTTTTTTTTTTTTTTTTTTCTTGAGACGGAGTCTCCCTCAGTCGCCCAGGCTGGAGTGCAGTGGCGTGATCTCGGCTCACTGCAAGCTCCGCCTCCCAGATTCACACCATTCTCCTGCCTCAGCCTCCCAAGTAGCCGGGACTACAGGCGCCCGCCACTACGCCCGGCTAATTTTTTGTATGTTTTAGTAGAGACAGGGTTTCACCATGTTAGCCAGGTTGGTCTTTGATCTCCTGACTTTGTGATCCGCCCGCCTCGGCCTCCCAAAGTGCTGGGATTACAGGCTTGAGCCACCGCACCCGGCCTAGATATTTCATTCTTATGATGTAAAAGAGAAGAAGAGAGAATATAACTGTATACTGTTTCATTAATTTGCCTATCTTTTTGCCAGTGCTACTCCATCTTGATTACTCTTATTGTATTTCAAGCCTGTTTTTTCTATTGTAGTTTCTTTACATCACTGTATAGTTTTTAAACTAAGTTTGTCCATTTTTGCCTTTCCACCACACATTTGCCTGCCCCCCCCAAAAAAAAAATCCTGCAGTGTTTTAATTTGAGATTTCATTGATTCTAAAGATCAAATTAGGAAATATTGACATTTTCATAATATCTAGTCTTCTAAGACCATGACACATATCTCTATTTTTCTTGTCCACTTTTTCTCAACAGTGTTTTAGTTTTTAATGCAGAAGGTCATCCTTAGTCCCTAGATTCCACTTTGTGATTCCAAGTGACTGTTCTGATGCTAGTCATGACAATAGCATTCCAGCTTTCAGGAAGGGAGAAATGAGAAAAAAAAAAAGATTACGTCTTCATAGCAATTGCTTGCACCACATTTGTTTGTAACCAATTGGCCAGAAATTACAGGCCCACAGCTATATATAAAGGAAACGAAGAAGTGCAGTCTATTCAGATAAGCACTTTTATGGGCATTACGGATGTTTATTAAAGTAGAATGGATGTTGTAAAATGACTGGTTGCCTCAGTAAAAATATTAAATGAATACATAGATTAAAATTTCTGTAACCTACCCGAATAAGAACCTTTATGTTGTGCATAATTTTCATAATGTTTTGAAATATGAAAATATTTATAATTTAAAATGGTATATAATAGCCCTTTCTTTGCATAAAATAATAAAAATTTGTCACTGATGGTGTCTTCATCATCACTCTTCTTCACATTTAAAATCTTGTTTAAGATGTTTATTCACTTAAGCTAGAAATCAGTAAGATCATTAAAAAGAAGTATTGCCTCCCATTATTCTAGAAGTTAACACAGTCCCTATGCAGAAAAACAGTTATTACAGACAAATATTTGACAGTTGAATGTTTCCAAACTGCATTGTGCTAAACACATTTATTAGGAGATATTATTTGCAGAGCGTGGTATATATATTCTATTTTTTCTATCCCATTATTTCTTGGATAACTTCACAGTACATACCATAGAAATACAAGCCATTATAGACTTTAATTGCATGTATTTTATGATTGCTGCCAACATTAAGGTAAAAAGATTAATCACTTTTGCACTTAGTGAGCATACTAGGACCTTTTAAATATTTCAATCTTGTTAATGTTTTCAAAAGTTTCATTTGAATTCACACAAGTACATTTTGATTGACTGCCTTCCCCACTATTTCAGTGGTCAAACTAAAAGCCAGTACATTTATAAATAAGAAGAAAAACTCACTTGGAATACAATACACCTGGGAGTAACATTATGGAATAAAACTAGTTGCAGTTGAAAGACTTTGCATTACTTTAAATAAAATGAGAAAGAAATATCCTATATTAAGTAAGGCAAATATCAATTTTTCCAAAAAGATACAGCTAAATATATATATTTAGAAACTACAAATGGGAGAGCATTAGAGGATGCATTGTGCCCTTAAGATGCCCTTGTGCCAAAGTGCAAAAGGTTTGTTCTATCAAAAGTTGAATTGAGTAGTAAGCAGATCTGTTGGTAGATCTTTAAAATTTTTTCTGTGCTCAATTCTCTGCTTGCATCTCTGACCCCTGGTTACCTTCTGTAGTTGCGATTTATCTTTGTTCTGGGACATTATTTTCTGTGCTGCTCAAAGTATTTTCAGTTTCTCTGGAGGGAAGTAGTATTACCAAACACAATGTCTGTTCTTGATGCTCTTTCCAGAATCTTAGTCAAAGCTTGACACCTGATCTTAGACTCTTTTCATTTAAAATAGACTCCAGGATTTCATTTCTGCTTTGTTCAGTTATGTCAAACCATACTTATTTCCAGGCTGCTAAATGGAAGAGCTTGAATTAGTTTATAGCACTGAGTGATCTATGGATGGGAAATGTAATCCTGTGACTAGAGAAAGCAATCCAATATGAAGGGTGCCACATTTGACAGATGAGATTAGTGTGTCATAGACCAAAGTCCTAGCTCTCTGAATTATACTGCCACAGAGCCCTGCTCTTTAAATACTTGCCCATTTTACGTGAAAATCTCAATCTTTCTAGCATTGTTGTTCCAGATTGCTGTAAGATTGTTTTCTTGCCTGAGAGAAAAAAAACAACAAAAAACCTCAAGTAGCACCACAGATTATCCAGTTTCTATCCCCAATAAAGGTATGGTTTAACCCATGAATCAAATATCAAAATCCCTTATTAGAAAAATAGACAATGGAACAAGTCCCTTGAAGGGTGGTAAATCTTAAGTGATATGAACATGAAGAGATATTAATCATTAATAATATGATTTGATAGATATTAATATATCAAATTAATATCCATTAAGAGATATTATCATCAATTAAGAGATATTATTATCAATCAATCAATAATAATTAATATCCATTAAGAGATATTAATGATTAATAACATTAATCATGAATAATATGATTTGATTGGTTTTTGACATATCAGTAAATTATCATTTGATAATGATTAAGCAAATGATTTTGTAGCCACTGAGGGGCTACTCCAAATTGTGAACATACTCTCTTTATTTCCAGCTTTATTTTCTCATGCTCATGCTCTTACAAATTTTGATGAACCTTGGAAATCTTCTCTGAGACTATATACCCTGATATCAACTTCATGAAAAAGCAAACTCTTCCCATAATCTGAAGTGACCCTCTTTTCTACAATTACAAACTTACATCCTGATGGACAGCATTATTTTGCAATCTTCATGGCCATTTGTTCAATCTGTGTTGCTGGAAGCTAGAACACACAGTTTCTGTCTCAACTAACTTTCATTGAAAAAGTAATTAATAAGTGCCCCCATAGTTGCCCATATATGATGGCAGACCTTCTATATGAGAAAAACATTTACAACAGAATCTTATTTAATCATGCTAGAAAATTTTCTGGTTAGCATTTTTAATAATTGGAGGGACCACCCATCCAACTGTGAAATTATTTCCACAGGCCACTCAGTAACTAGTGTCGCACTTGAATTTTCTTTTTAACTTGCCATTTCACTTACCTTCTGGAATGTCTGTTCCCTGAGTCATTGACCCGAGTTTCATAGACTCTCTAAAAGTCATGGACCCAGTGACCATATGTCTGCCCTTGCAGAATGTTTTAAAAAATGTATGGGTCATTTTGAAAAAAATATCTATTATCCCCAAACTCAATCTCATCATTTTCCTATTGAAGCACAAACGATGCATTTTTGCAACAGCACGTCACCACCTGCCACAACTATTTAGGGTTTAATATGGTGAGGACTGTCTTAATGATTTATTACATTTCTGTCTAGCCCAAATGTGTGTTCTCTAAATGCAACTTTCACTGCATCCTTGAGAAAAAAAAAATGGCTATTCAAAATACATACAGTTGTTTTGCATTGCATAGTAACCCTATATAGGTCACCAGCCAACCCAGAGTTAAACCTCCTTCACAAGTGGACTGTTACAAGGTCATCCTTACACCAGCAACAAACACTAGAATTGAATGAGAACATAAAGACAAGTGCTCCCATTGAGTGATTACTTTGAGTGCATATTGCTCTGGAAAGCATGTTAAGATCGCTCTAAGAGGTATGCCAAGTGGAAGGTGATTTTGAATTTATTGTGATCCAGGAATTCTCTTGTGTACAATATGAATAAATAAACATCACACATTTATACAAATAGGTGTCCTGTCATTTTGGAAATGCTGCCTCTTGGAAAAAATATTCATTTCAATATTATCAGAATAATTTAAAAAACCAGCATTATCGTCAGGGCGCGGTGGCTCACGCCTGTAATCCCAGCACTTTGGGAGGCCGAGGCAGGCGGATCATGAGGTCAGGAGATAGAGACCATCCTGGCTAACACGGTGAAACCTCGTCTCTACTAAAAATACAAAAAATTAGCCGGGCGTGGTGGTGGGCGCCTGTAGTCCCAGCTACTGGGGAGGCTGAGGCAGGAGAATGGCGTGAACCTGGGAGGCGGAGCTTGCAGTGAGAGGAGATTGTGCCACTGCACTTCAGCCTAGGCAACTGAGCAAGACTCCGTCTCAAAAAAAAAAAAAAAAAAAACCAGAAATATCCAAAATGAGTTTTCCTACAGTTTATAGCAACCAGAGACAGAAAATAGCCAGACTAATAGGCAAAATGGTTTTTATTTAAGTTGCTTTTATGAACAAGTATCACTGTATTTTTCTGTCCTTATTTTAAACTTGACAACTTCAATTTTATGTTAGTTTATAAACAAATATACTCAATTGTAAATTTGTGTACTTGTCAGAATTTTCCTAAATGAATAGTGACAACTATTTTTCAACATCTATTGCTATTATGGATTTTCCTTTTCTAGTGTTATATAATCTCTGACCTTTAATGAAAACTGCACGTTGCTATCTCACAAATATCTGCCACATGTTATTCTTTTCTATTTTTCTATTTCCATTTCAAACATAGCAACGAATAGGCTTATATTTTATCACCTTGTTCATAGTCAGAAAGTATCATGGAACAATATGTGAGGTTCTTCGATAGGAATAATAAAATATTTAGAAAGGCAAAGTTTGCATCTTTAGCTTTTCTAGTTTTAACAGTCTGAGTTGGCACCGTTTAAGTCACTTGGCTGCGTTTTGGGCAGCAAGTCAGTCAGAGAGATATGATGATGAAGAAAGCAGGAATGATTCAAAGCATGAGAGGGGACTGATCTTCCATTGCTGACTTTGAAGATGGGAAAAGGTGGGTGCTATGGTTTGAATGTTTTCCCCCATAAGATGTGTATTCAAAACTTAATACTCAATGCAACAGTGTTGAAAGAGGGGATCTTTAAGAGAAGTCTGGGTTGAGGGGCCCCAGCTTTATAAAAAGATTAATGCTTTTATTGCAGCAGTGTCCCTTATCATGGTTGTGGGTTTCTTATAGAAGGGGGAGTGTGGCCCCACTTGCCCTCCCTTTGTTGCCCTCTACTTGCCCTCCTGCAATCAGACGATGCAACAAGCCGGCCCTCACCAGATGCTGGCCCCTTGATCTTGGATGTCACAGCCTCCAGAATGGTGAGCCAATGAATTTCTGTTAAAATGAATTTCTGTTAAATTACCCAATCTGTAGTATTCTATTAGAGCAACCCAAAATGGACTGAGACAGAAAATTGGGGCCGGAGAGTGAGTGTTGCTGTAACAAATCCCTGCAAATGTGGAAGCACCTTTGGATGTGGGTAATGGGATGAGACTGAAAGAATTTAGAAGGGCACACTAGAAAAAGCCCATATTGTCACAGAAGAAGCACTAAGGGCAATTCTGGTGAGGACTCAGAAGAGAAGAACTGTAGGGAAAGTCTGGACCTTCTTAGACATGATTTAAGTGGTCATGACCAAAATATTGGTAGAAATATAGACAGTAAAGACCATTTTGAAGAGGGCTCAGATGTAAATGAGGAAGAAGATATTACAAACTGGAGAAAATACCATCCTTGTTTTATGTTGGCAAAGAGCTGGGCTGAATTGTATCAGTGTCCTAGGGCTTTATGAAAGACAGCATTTAAGTGTGATAAAGTAAGATATTTGGCAGAAGAAATAGCTAAGCAGCAAAGCATTCAGGATGCTGTGTGGCTTTTAATTGCATATAGTACTGTGTGAAAAAAATGATTTAAAGACAGAATTTTAACTAGAAGAAAAACAGAATTTAGGGTTGTGAAATATTTTCGGTCTGGCTATGTGATAGAGATTGAAGAAGCATTTTCAAGAGGGAAAATCAAGGGTGTGGCCAAGTGACCATTTGATAAGGAGATTGGGATGAATTAAATGAAACCAGAGGCTACTCATCAGGATAATAAAAGAATGATCCCAAAGGCACTTGGAAGAGCCTCTGTACTGCCCCTCCAATCACAGGCCCAGAGTGCCAAGGCCTGGGGGAAGAAAATATGTCAAAAGAGAGGCCTAGGGTGACCCAGGGAACCTCAGCATTTGCTGTGTTGCACTGCATCCAGTGTCTGCTTCATGCATTTCTATGCAGTGCTCCTCGGCTGCCTCACCAGAAGCCCAGGCAGGAACAGGTGCAGCTCAACCCACTGCTGTGGATGGTGCAAGCTGGAAACCTTGATGGGGTCTATGCAGTGCTACTTTTGCAGGTGCATAGAATGCAAAAGTTCTGAGGGCATGACTTATTCCACTTTATACAATAAACATATAAAATTATTGTGCATTCAAGACAAGCTAATACATTTTCCTATTTTTTTCTCCAAAGAAAAAGTGAGAGTCCTTTGCAATAGATGCCTAAAAGTCTGTTCTGATTCATATTCTTATATCACCATAGCCGTGTTGTAACCCCCACATTGACTACATCATTTTAGTCTGTGCCAACATACTGTTTTCATGTATTTAGTCTTCTTATTTCACCATCAGTTTATTAATTAAACAAAGCTCCTTTTATATGTTGATGAAAATAGTCAAACTCTAAAATATTTGAAGAGATTTATTCAGAGCCAAATATGAGTGACCATGGCCCATGACAGCCCTCAGGAGATCCTGAGAACACGTGCCCAAGGTGGTCGGGGCGCAGCTTGGTTTTATACATTTTAGGGAGGCATGAGATATCAATCAAATACATTTAAGAAATACATTGGTTTGATCCAGAAAGGTGGGACAGCTCAAAGCGGGGACTTCCAGCCTATAGGTAGACTTAAGAATGTTCCAGTTGAAAATGGGTTGAGTTTCTCTAAAGACCTGGGATCAATAGCAAGGAATGTCTGGGTTAAGACAAGAGGTTGCTGGGGAACAAAGTTCTTATTTGCAGAGGAAGCCTTCAGATAGCAGGCTTCAGAGAGAATAGGTTGTAAAATGTTTCTTATCAGACTTAAAGTCTGTGTTGATGTTAATGCTGGAGACACGTAATGAGGTAGGTCCAATACCCACTTCCCGTCATGGCCTGAAACTGTCTCTTCAGTTGCATTTTAAGAGTGCCCCTTGCTGACCAGGAAAAAACTTTAAAAGTAAATAAATAAATAAATAAAGTATGCTGCAAAAGAAAAGGAAAAAAGAAAATTCACTTTCCATGAACATTAAAATATTTTCTTTAAAAAACAAACAAACAAACAAAAGAGGGCCCTGGCTGAGGAGGAAGTCCATTCAGATGGTTGGGTGGTGGGGGGGGATGCTTAGAATTTTATTTTTGGTTTACATATATACAATCTTTATTGATAATGTTCATTAGGAGGCTTTGCAGACTAGAAAACCTTTGAAAAATGTTGCTGAAATAATATGCCTTATCTTATATGTAATACCTTTACCAATAATTTCTGGAATGATTTCTACTTCTATGTACAAAGCCCCACAGACCTGTTTCTTTCAGAAACCAAAACTTCTACTGTTTATGGCCCTGTGTGTTCTGCTCAGTTTTCTCTGTTGCACTGAGGAATCTAAGTGAAAACAGATTCCCCATCAGGACATAAATTTTTATTCCATAGTTAAACAGCCTTTTAGGCTGCAAGAAATTGAAACTGATTGGTATTTTTTCCTCATTGTTTTTGGGTGTCTGCACTATTGTTTAGGTATGTGTGTGTGCACACACACACAAATAGAAATATCTTTCCAATGACTTTTGCATATCTCTTTTTACTTTATGCATTCAGGAAGGCTGGTGAGTACCTATACTCTCCTGTATTGTCCCATTGTTCCTGGCCTCCATTCTATTCTATGCATTGATTGGCATTGTTGAAGGTGCACAGTAAAGAATTCAGGAAAACAACTTTTGTTTTTCTCTGTCTCTACAGAAAACAGAAAACAATTTCAGTATGCGTGTGTATGAAATAAAGATTCCACTGTGAGGTAATCTTGATCTCAGTAATGTTTAATATTTTCTTTCTTTCTGGAATATTTTCTGGAAATTACTGCTGATCATAATTAACACTGAGGTCAAGTATATTTTTTCTTCATTGACATACTATGTGTAATGTAATTTGTAGAAGAACAAAAAATGCTTAAGTGACACAGATGCAATGTTTTGGTGGAGTTCCTAACAACATTCTCCATTTATAAATTACTTTACACTAAGTACTTCTAAAAAATTCATTAAAAAGAAAAGCAGAAACTATCCCACTCCTTGTGGCTTAAAACCACCAATTTATATTTGAAAATAATTGTAGATCAGAATGGTGTTCCATTTTCTTCTTTAGACAATGATTGGATATAATTAATTTGATGTAACTACTACTTCCAATGGAATAGGCATTGCCTTGTATGTATTCTGACTCTATATTAAAATGATAACACAAAATAGTTTCTGTATTTCAAATTTATCAGGATGCTTAAAATTGAATGAAGATCGTTTAACTCCAAAAGAATTTTTATTAATAATTGTATTTATGAAAGAAGTTAAAAATAAAAAAAAAAGTGTTAAATGATGACTCAGTGAATGCAAGCTCTGTGCTCCTAAAGCCTGTTATTACAGTGAACTCTGCAGTTATTTAAAAAGAAGCTTGGAGTCATTGTGACTACCCAAAGCATTGTATATCATAGTATTACTATATTATTATATACAATCTAATCCTTTTTATGATAAAATGTATCTTCAATAATGCAGACATACCTCATTGAACATAGGTAGTACATATGTTCAATACAATAATATGCCTTATAATTTTTTAAATGCCACTAATTATACATTAATTATAATTAAGTTTATAAATACAATTAGAACATCTATTTAATGTATTCTTTCACTATAATTTAATCATTCATGTAGTGTTTGTAGATACTCTGTCACAGAAAATGTTCTGAGTAAGAGATATGACAGTGAACAGAACAGTGTCTGCTTTCTTGGAACTTAAGGATTAATTTTCATTGCCTCCAAGCACAAAGTCTGATTACATTATAATTGTAATGACTCAAAGAAGGATATCATTGAGATGGTAGAGAAGAAAATTCAGTCAAGGTTGAATAAACTACACTTATGTCATAAAATCCCTAGATTCAGGAAAGTGTAATAATTACAATGCATACATCTCTCTAGTAAAACAAAAGTCAATAGCTTATGGAGCTATGATGATACATTGGGTTTATGTTCTTAGTCTTTTGTGATTTTTTTAATTCAATGCTTTTATCATCTAATGTTCAAGCATATTATCATCTCATGTTATCATGTTATCTGTTGTTTACTTTTTCATTCATTATTTATTTATTTATTTGCCTTTAAAATTTTCTACTAATGGGGACATCTATTTCTGGCCAAGATGGAGGGAACTGGACAAGAAATATCTTCCTGACTGAAACAACCACACATATGGACAAAATACAAAAGACAACATTTTTAAAGGGAAATTCCAATTTGTGCCACAACGAGTTACAAAAGCACAGAAATTAGAATGGTGAAAATTAAAATAGCTGACCCTACCAAGTGTTGAGGATGTAGAGAAACTGTAACTTTTTTACACTGCTGATGGAATGCAAAATGGCAAAACCATTTTGGAAAATATTTTGGCACATTTTTTAAAAGTTAAATATATATGTACCATATGATCCAGCTAATCCACTCTTCAATATTTGCCCAAAATATATGAAAACAGACGCCATACAAACCCATGTACATAGATATTTATAGCAATATCATTTGTAATAACCCAAAGCGGAAGCAATGATGTGCCTATAAACAGGTGAACAAATAAATATACTGTGATATATTTATGCAATGAAATGCTACATATTAATAAAAAATAATGAACTAGTATAACACATTACTATATTACTATACATGGATCTCAAATAATTACTGTGAGTGAAGGAAGATAGACAAAGAGTACATGCCGTTTTATTTCAATTATTCTAGAAAATTTAAGCTAATCTATAGTTATAGAAAACTGATCAATAATTGCTTGGGATTAAGGGTGGAGTGGAATGGGGATAGGAAAATGGGATTACTTAGTGGCACAAAGAATCTTTGCAAGTGACATATATGATATATTTATTATCATAGGACTGACATCTGTCAAATATCTTCTTGTTAACACTTTAAGTATGCACAGTTAATTGTATGTCAATTGCACCCCAATCAAGCCAATAAAAAATATGACAGTGAAAGATAGCTAGATGTCTCACTTAGTAAGCAAGATGCTTCCATATAATTTTGAATGAAATGCTAGCTGTGAAAGTATTTGTTGTCTATAGTAAAAGCACTTTTTTTTTTTTTTTACTGTAGGCAAATAAGCTTTGGGTATATGATGTTTTGATTATCCATTGACTGTTTTATGGTGCTACACAAAATTTTTAAATTGTTGGTGGACTATGAGTAAGAAACACTTAAAACACGCCCTCATTTCCATGGCTGTAATTCTCTAGTGAATGGTGATGGCAGCAAAGTATATTAAAGTGCTTTATTCTAAAGGCAGTTTTATTTTAGTGTTGAGTAAGGGGCACCTTTAGAGAGTCTATAGTGCCCTATAGTATTATTTTAGTTTAGAGTTTCCATATAATGAATTAAATTTATTATGCCAAGGAGACATTGGGAATTGGTCATTTCCATATAACTGGACATAACTTGAAAATTCCTGGGTTTTTAGAGTTCACAGAGAGAATTAACTAACTATATCATTTTAGAAAGTATTTCTGACATTCTAATAAAAAACGTTTGTATAGATTCTTTTAATTCCCAATTTTAAAAAACACACAAGTGCCTAGTTTGTTTCATATAATGAAATATAAGTACCTGTGTATAATGTAAAATAACTTAGAGCTCAAAAACATTATTTTAAGATCAAAGGGATTTCTCTAAAGTATTGCATTTCCAAGGCTTAATTTTTATAAAGTCGTGTTGACAATTATTAGCACTAAAAATGTCAGCTTCTCAGTTACAAATTACCATAAACATTAGGGTAGAAGCACAGACTACATATATTTAGATGTTCACTGCTCTTAGGAGGAATAGGAAAAAAAGTAAACACAAAGTAGCATATTTGAGTCCCCTTAAGGTTTCTAGCATCTATACATAAGTATATTTTTCTTTCAATTTATAACATGAAATATTTTAATAGATATATATATAAAGTTTACTCTAATTCTTTATAAATTCTATTATACTCAAAACTATTTTTGAAGGAAGAAATAAATATTGTTTATTTTAAAACTATTTTCTGAAGTGGACCTAAGCTCCAGTTACAAAAAATTGTTTCTCTAATTGAGTATTTTATTTACATGAAATAAATATCCACCATTTAGGGGACTTTTTGTTGCCTAATGTATGTCTTCTTCTAAGTCTAAATTTTTCTTATATGTCTGTTATGATGATATTAATATGATGTGGGGACTCTCCATAATGCTCTATTACTCCACTCATTGAGTTATGAGTGAGCTCTTCACTGTGTTCATAAAATTTTTTTTCTCTTTTTCATCAATTTTTTTTTGTAATTATAACCTTCCACTTCCTTCACTCCATACTCATGAAAACCCTAAATAAATATCAACAGGGCCAGGTGCGGTGGCTCACGCCTGTAATCCCAGCACTTTGGGAGGCCAAGGCGGGCGGATCATGAGGTCAGTAGATCCAGACCATCCTAGCTAACACAGTGAAACCCTGTCTCTATTGAAAATACAAAAAAATTAGTCAAGCATGGTGGCGGGCGCCTGTAGTCCCAGCTACTTGGGAGGCTGAGGCAGGAGAATGGCGTGAACCCAGGAGGCGGAGTTTGTAGTGAGCTGAGATCGTGCCACTGCACTCCAGCCTGGGCGACAGAGTGAGACTCCGTCTCAAAAAAAAAAAAAAAAAGATAAATAAATAAATAAATAAATATTAATTACAATTACATAACATTACTACTTAAGAAGTTTTTTTTTTTTTTATTTAAACTATTATTTTAGAGATGGGGTCATGTGCAGGTTTGTTGCATGAGTGTATTGCACGTGGGTAGCGAGCATTGTGCCCAATAGGTATTTTTTCAACCTAATCCCACCTTTCCCTCCCCGCTCTAGTAGTGCATAGTATCCATTGTTTCCATGTTTATGTCCATGTGTGCTTAATGTTTGCACCTATTTGTGACAACATGTAGTACTTGGTTTTTTGCTCCTGTGTCAGTTCAGTTAGGATTACAGCCTCCAGTTCCATCCATGTTGCTGCAAAAGACATGATTTCATCCTTTTTTATGGCTGCATAGTATTCCACAGTGTATCATATCCAACCCATTGATGGGCACTTAGGTTGATTCCATGTCTTTGCTATTGTGCGTAGTGTAGCACTGTGGAAAGCAGTTTGGAGATTTCTCAAAGAACTTAAAGACTGTTACCATTCAACCCAGCACTTCCATTACAGGGTGTATACCTAAAGGAAAATAGATCATCATGCTAAAAAGATACGTTCATCACCACA
Source organism: Homo sapiens (assembly GCF_000001405.40). NCBI lineage: Eukaryota > Metazoa > Chordata > Mammalia > Primates > Hominidae > Homo > Homo sapiens. Next base: position 18,656,497 of record NC_000021.9, on the reverse strand, counting down.
ATTTTTTATAATCAGCAAATCGCCTTCACTGAAAAGTAAGAGACTTTCTGATTTCTCCTTCCCAGTGTTTGTTCCTTAACTAAAGTCTACTGTAATTTACAAAAAAAGAAGGTAATCAATATTAAAGCTATATAAAAGTTTAACAATAGTACTTTCTATGCACTATGAATTCTTAAATCTATTTCCAAGTTTTGTTGTCTATTCTTTTTAGGCTTCATTGAACCTTCAAGTTTTAGGGCTGGGATAGGTAATAGATTTCATTTTTTTCAAGTAACTACAGTAGATGAATAGAGATTACCAGTAAAGCATCTTGAGACGGATACTGTAGCCACAGTGACTTTTGTGTCTGTGGAGAGGAAGTGACTGTTTATGTGATACTAAATTCTCTATGTAAGAGCTACTGACAAGCCCTACACTTGGTTTATACTCTATGTAAGGGATGATCATGCGTCTGGTTAATGGGGTTTCAGTTTCTTTATTGATATAACCTAAAAATTGTATACCACAGTTCTACCATCTAGAAATGTATCCCAGTCTCTGGAATATTACGAGTTTAGTATTCAGTGTGAAACAGTGGAAGGCACTGTGTGAGTACAGACAACTAGAAAGTCAGAGACCTCATGGGGATTCAGTCACTAAGCAAAGAATAACTAATTCTCAAGGGTAGCCACAACTTTTTACAAGGTAGTAGACAACACTTATCAACCCATATGCACATTTTAAAAAATGGAGTAAAATTCTCAGGACACAGAGGAGGCAGGGATGTCTACTTGGAAGTTGCAATTTAGTAAATGTGAATGAGGCAAATGTTTTAGTATTTTTAAACTTTACTACTGGGTATAAATTAAATATTTTATTTGGTTAATGTAAAAACATTCTCTAGTTCCCATATAGTAGCATTTTAAAGCGTAAAATCCTCTCCTGTTATATACAATGTAATTTTCATTTGAAATTCTATTCACTGAGTCAGGTGAGAAGAATTTGAAGTATAGAATTCCACATAGTCTTGCTAACAGTAATTGCCCCATCCAAGGGCTCAAATGAATTTTAATCAGGTTCAATTTTAATGAAATTAGTTCAGATTGAAATTTTTATCTGGGGATAATTTTTAAAAGTAAACTATTTTTTCTGGCAACTTGCATATTATATGACCATATATATTTCATTTTATGGCTTTCTTATTTTTATTTTATTTTTATTTATCAAATTATCTTCTGATATTGGAAATTATTTTGTCATTTTCTTTTCATTTTAAAATGTTCCTCCTGAAAATAATTTATTAATATGAAAATATTGCCAAAAAAGTATTTTTTATGTTTAAACTCAGCACAAAATTGATAGTGCTATAAAAGGATGTCCATTTCACGTTATACTATGAAGGATTCTTCTGATAGATTTGGTATAATTTTAGATCATTCTATGATGTTTACTTTCCATCATTCTAAATGTTTAAAGTCTGATGTAAACCACAATCTGGCAACAGATTTATGGGGACACTTTTAGATACATTTTCCATATCTCTGAATAACAATTCACTTGGCTTTGCAATAGATCAAGTTTTGACATTAAAATGTGGAAGGGCTCTCACAAGACATGGCAATGCATTGCACTTATCAAAGTCTCTACATTGGAAGACACACTTCACTTTTCTTTAAGCAGTAAACTGCCTTGATTCCTGTTTTGAAGTACGTAGTTACAAATGAAATATACATATAATGCTTAATAAATGTGAAAGTTTACTAAGTCAATAGCATTACAATCTCAACATCACAGAAAAATAGGACTGGGTTGATCTTAAATTTGTAGTCCAAACATTCTTCTAATATCTAAACTCTATACCATCCCCACTAAACCTCCATCTGAGATATGCCTGGTCACTTCTAGCTATGGTGAAGTCCATGAGTCTTCAGGCTATCACTTCATCTCAGGACACCCTTGCTTCAACCACTAAGCCTAGTTCTAATTTATAGGGACATAAAAATCAAATCAAAATTCACTTTCTCTTCCACATAAGTGTTCTTAAAATACTTGGAAAGCAACTCTTTGTTCTCTCTAGTGAAATGTTGCAGCATCTTTTGTTTTTATTATAAATTTAGTATATTTGAAACTCTCTTCCATTAAGCTTCCTTTTCCTTTGAACTTAACCCAATTAGACTATGTCTTTTTGTTTGTTTGTTTGTTTTGTTTTTTGAGACAGAGTCTTGCTCTGTAGCCCAGGCTGGAGTGCAGTGGTGAGATGTCAGCTCACTGCAACCTCCACTTCCTGGGTCCTGGTTCAAGCAATTCTCCTGCTTCAGCCTCTCGAGTAGCTGGGATTACAGGCATGCACCAGCATGCCTAGCTAATTTTTGTATTTTTAGTAGAGACGGGGTTTCACCGTGTTGGCCAGGCTGGTCTTGAACTCCTGACCTCGTGATCCACCCGCCTCCGCCTCCCAAAGTGCTAGGATTACAAGCATGAGCCACCAGTCCTGGCCAGTCCAGATGTCTTTAAACCTATTACATCATTGCTGAGAGTAGTTCTCTATGTGGAGTCTAACCCACAGCAACTAGAGGTAGACGATCACCTCTCATAATATGAATGTCATGCTGCTTCTGTTATCACAGAATAAGATCACATTCAGCCTATGTAATGTGCTGAATTGCAATTACAATTGCACATTGTAATTTGTCAATTCAACATAGTTGAATCGGACCAACTATGCTGTCCAATAAAACCCTTATGTGTCTTTCACGTATGATGACCAAAGCCCATATTCTTGTATCATGAAACTGTGTGATTGGCATTAAAACTTCAATGAAACCAGCAAATAGTTTTGTTATTCATGGAGATTAGTCAGTAACAAAACTGGGGAAGTTATGCACATAAAATTGATTTGTGAATTAATCCTTGGATTCAGAAAAGTAGTTCAATATTAAGACTATAGACTCTGGAGGCAACCTGATGAATCTCTTGATTCAACTTTATCATCTATAAAAAGAGAATATGTTATTATCTAACTTGAAAAATGGTACAAGTATTAAAAGACATTATTTTATAAATGTTTTTTGCATAATGACTGGCATAGTAAGCACTAAGATAGATGATATCCCTGGTGAAGATAATGGCAATGATGAAGTTTGGTGGATCCAAGTATCTCACACTCATCATCTAACGTTCTTTTTACCATGTTAAAAGCTGAATTGCAGCACTACAATCTATATTGTCATAACAGAGGGAAGAATACACCTTTCAAACAAGTTTCAAGAGCTTACATCTGGTGAAAAATAGACAAACAAAATAAGCAGATTAGAAATTAACATGAAACCTCTATACAATGCGTATTTTTAATAAGTGTGAAACATTGATGCAGTTGTATTTGGGTTTACTTGGAGAAATCAGAGTGGGCTCAACAGAGAATACAGGATTTGAAGTCAAGCCAGAAGATGAATCAGTTTCAGGCAAAACAGAAAATCAAAGGTCCTGGGATCTTTACTGTCCTGGGAAGACAACTATAACTGTACAAAACTATGAGAAAGTGTGGCATTGCCAGAGATGAGGAAGAGTGCAGCATAATCTGTGAGGGAAGGAGGGGAGGGGAGGGGACTCAACAGAGAGAGTCCATGAAGGGCTTTGAGCTGTCTACAGGTTTCAAATTTTTTTCCTGCATATAAAAGGAAATTATTGGTAAAAGCAGGGCAATTCCAAAACCATGTTAATGGCATGATCATATTCTTAGGTTTGAGAGGCTAGTATGACAAGAACAGAACAGGAGTGATTGGGCAAGCATGTGCCTGTGGGGAGGGAAAACTATAAGAAAGAAGAGGAACAATTCAGTGGGGAAAAATGAGAATATCATGCAGAATAGTAGTAATTAGCATGTAAAGAACAGATAGTTATGGGGGATACTAAGCAACAAAATATTTTTGGAATGTTAACATGGAATCTTAGAAACAGGGATTTAAGGCAAAATTGAGGTTTCTTGTTTTTGAACCACAATGGATGTTCAATTTTCTGAAATAGGGAATGAAAAAGGTTGTCTTAGTCTGTTTTGTGCTGTTATAGCAGAATACCACAGATTGGGTAATGTATAAAGAAGTAAAGTACACCTTCATTTCTCACAATTCTGGAGGCTGGGAAGTTCAAGATCAGGGCATTAGCATCTGATGAGGGCCTTCTTGCTGCATCTTCATATGGTGGAAGGTAGCTAGAGAAGAACTCAGGCTTGCTAGCCTTTTTCTTTTTTTCTTTTTTTTTGGAGAGGGGGTCTTGCTCTGTTGCCCAGGCTGGAGTGCAGTGACACAATCTCAGCTCATGTCACCCTCTGCCTTCTGGGTTCCAGTGATTCTCCTGCCTCAGCCTCCCAAGTAGCTGGGATACAGGCGCCCACCACCATGCCTGGCTGATTTTTGTATTTTTAGTAGAGACAGGGTTTCACCATTTTGGCCAGGCTAGTCTCCAATTCCCGACCTCAGGCAATCTGCCCACCTTGGCCTCCCAAAGTACTGGGATTACAGGCGTGAGCTACCGCGCCTGGCCACTAGCCTTTTTTATCGCAGCGTTGATTCATTCATGAGAGCAGAGCCCTCAAGACTTAAATACCTCCCATTAGGCCCCACCTCCTAACACTATTGCATTGGTGATTAATCCAACACATGAATGGAGGAATGCTGGAGGTATGGAAGGAGGCATGCTAAGGTGTTGGTACAGACAAATGTATCAATGGAGGAAAAGGAATTCAACTAAATTTTTGCCTTATAGATTTGATTTTCTTGTAAAAATAGAAGCAACATAATTTGGTAAATGTGAAGAAAAAAACACAGGAATGCTGGGGAACATATTCAGACCACAGCAGAAGGTACATAAAAACTGGAAGAAGTTGGCAATTGTTAGATTCAGATTAATAGATTTTAAATTGTTTTAAATTTAAACAGATTAAAAAGATTACTATCTTTTAAATTAATAGATTTTAAATTGCTGGAAGCCCAAGTGAGGAAATGTGAGAATGAGAGAGACTTTGAGAAAACTACTAATAAATGGGAGTCTCAGACACAAATATTAATAAAATTGCCCAGATAGGATATGCATAATAAGGAAAGACCTAAGTCTGAGCCTTGTGAGATGTCAGTAATCACAGGATGTTTTGATGCATGTGTTTGCATGCAGAGGGGAAGATGCCAGTAGGTAGACTGAAGGACATGAAATTGAGCCAAATTCCCAGAGGGAGGGCAAGGGCAAAATCCCAAGTCAGGTAAGTGGGTTGGATTTGGAAAACAGGGATTTTTTCTTTTTATTTTTTTGACATTTGCAGGAAGGAGGCATGCTAAGCTGTTGGTGTACATATATGTATCAATGGAGGAAAAGGAATTCAACTGAATTTTTGCCTTATAGATTTGATTTTCCTGTAAATAGAAGAGCAGAATAATTTGGTAAATGTGAAGAAAAAATTGAAATTATAAGCTTTAGGAACACAGGAGTCATGAAATATTTGGTGAGGCTAAAGGGATAGGAAACTTTCCAGAAACATATAACACGATGACCCAGAAATGTTGAAGGCTTAGGGAAGGTCAAAATCCTCATATATCATATATCCATGATGACAGAGCTGTCTCAAATAGCATTTAGCTATTTGGCTGTGAGATTACAGAAAACAGACTGTGTGTGTGGCGGGGTGGGTGGGTAGTGTACATTTAAGAAAGTGTTTCTTGAACCACAAAAATAAAACCAAATTGGTAAGGTCTTAAGGCACATGAGGAAGTAGTCTTAAAGTTTAAAAGAATTTTATTTTTGAGACAGAGGGACCAGAACTACATGGGCAAGACAGCTGTATTTGGCCATGTAAATCATTTTCTTCTCTTCACCAGAGTCTGAGTCTACATTTATGTATTTATGTCATCTCATATACTACTCATCACCACTTTGCCTTTCTTTTTTTTTTTTTTTTTTTTTTTTTTTTTTTTTTGAGACAAGGTCTTGCTCTATTGCCTGTGCTGGGTTGCAGCGGCATAATCATAGTTCACTGTAACCTCAAACTTCTGTCCTTAAACGATCCTCCAGCTTCAGCCTCCCAAAAGGCCTGGACTGCAGGTGTGAGAAACTGCACCCAGCCTCTTTGCCTTTCCTTGAGTTTCCTGCTACACAATGAAATCACACCTATCCCTTCCTACATCTAACCAAAAGATCCCAGCCTTAAAAGCACAACCATTTCCTCTGCATGAAATTTTCCTCGTATATTTCAACATTGATCTGATCCTTTATTTTAAACGCTATTGCATATAAAATCAATACTCATATTTTAGTTGTTAGCTGTTCTCATTTGTTAATGATTGCTAGTTTTGAGGTGTAATTCAAGGCCCAGATTTCTGTCCTATATTTTATATCCCTCAGGATTCTTTGACAATAATTGTTATCTATGTGCAAAATAAAAACGTGTTAATTTTATATGCCCAACTCAATATAAACAATGCTTTCCTGGTGAGCATTGTAGGCAAGGAATCAGTGAACTTTTTCTTACATGACAAAATAGTAAATACTTTGAACTTTGCAGGCCAGATATCTCCATTGCAACTGCTGGACTTGATGTTGTAGTGTAGAGGGAACCACAGACAATATAGACATGAAGAGGCATGACTGTGTTTCAATAAAACATTATTTATGGACACAGAAACTTGCATTTCAGATAATTTTTATCTGTCAAGAAATATTATTCTTCAGAGCTCTTCTTTTTGTCCCAAGATGTGCTCCTTTACATCTATTTAAAATCAGAAAGAAAAATAACAACATTAAGTTTTATGTACAGAGTTTTCGTCATGGAAAACTGTGAGAAACTAATACCTGAATATCAGAACTTCATTAAAGAGGTGGTGGTCTCAGAGGATCTTCCTCTGAGATATACCTTGATGTTTACAAAAAAATTATTTTTTACATCTTCTGGGATCTACTTTTTCAACTTTGCATCCGCTATAGTTGCCAACTCTGCACGTACTAGTCCTCTAGAAATACGTTAAACTGGAGCATTAAACTCTCCACAGGGCTTAATTACCAAAGAAAAGTATTATTAGAGGAGCAAAATTATAAGCTTACCTAGGCATATTGTAAAGCTCTTGAAAAATAACTCAGAGAGAGGCTCGTAAATGGAAATATAGTGCCTGAATCACATTTGGCTTTAAAAGGTTTGACAAATACAGATTAAAGAAAAAAGAAAAGAAATACTATTCTTATTTTGATTTTTTCCAACCATAGAAAAACGTATAAAACATTCTTGGTATATACAAAAACAGTGGCAGGTAATACAAAAAAGTGGCAGCTGAGATTTCACCTGTGGGCCATAGTTCAATGATTCCTGCTATAGATCAAAATTGTTAACACACAAAGGTTTAAAGTCAGCTAAGCAACACATTCTTATATGTGTTTGAGCTCTTCTTTTTATCTTGAATTTTAAAGCTAGAAAGTGGCTTAAAGAATTTTCAGTCTTTAGTTTATGAGGCAGTTTTGCATGTATGTTCAAGTGCATGAGTCTTGAAGGATTCATCGTAAGTTTTGCTATTCTTGATGACCTAGGGCTTGCCATGTAATACCTCAAGTCTCAATTTCCTTCAGCTGTGTCATAACAACAAGCTATCTCCTAGGGTTCTGTGAGCATTCAGTATATCAGTAATACATCGTTTTGCTTAGAAGAGTGCCTGGCACATAATAAAAAAATAGATATTAGATTTTTAAACACTTGCTATTACTCAAATTTTTTTTCCAGAAGATTACAACAAACTTGTTTAGAATTAAATGTCTTTCATCACTCATTTAGGTGACAGGATTAATGTTAAAAAAAAAAATAAAGGACATATCAACACTTCCCTTCATTCCTTATTGAGAATGAGTTTTTGAGTTTCGCTCGCTCTTAATGAAATATTTAGTTTTGATAAAATACAAAATATTTTTGGCTTAAATATACTCCAGAAAAATACAGTTTGTTTTGGTTTATCTTGAGATATGATTCTCATTGTACAGAAAACTCCTATATTTAGTAAATTCATTTCAGACAGGAAAAAGTAGAAATATATTTGCTCTGGTTGGGAAAAAATGGGGAGAACTTGAATGTTTATTATTCAATTAAATGAGACCATAATAATACTTCCAAAGGGTGTATTATTAAATATTTATTTCCCATTAACACTTAATGTAGAGCCAAAATAATTAAATTTTATAAAACCTCTTTTAAGTCATTCTGATTAATTAAAGCTAAAAAAGGAGCTGCCTCAAGTTCTTGTTATTACAAGGTGATAGATGATAGATAGATAGATAGATAGATAGATAGATAGATAGATAGATAGATATGATAGCTAGATAGATAGTTTTCTGAAAAATACCATAGTTGTGATGGTAGATATAAGTAGTTGGCAAAGTTAACTTTGTGACTGACAATGTTAATATGTATTCTGTAGTTCTTGAAATCTTACTTATGTCTGGAAAACCATAACTCTTTATGAAAATATTTAAATCGGTTATAAGTAAAAGGAAAACAAAGCAGTCACAGGAATTATCATGTTGTGTTTAATGTAATACTGAGCTGTGTCACTGACTATATCTACCATTGAATTATGAAATGTTAGGAATCCTGTCAAGAAACTTGGCATATAAAAATTTTGATATAAACTCCTCAAGAAAAAAGCATAAATGATGTTTATTCAGTGATGCCAAAATATACAAACCAAGAAGTGTGTGATACAGTAATCTTAAATTCAAGAAGTGGGAAAAAATATGTTCAAGTCTGTAGTTGATTTGGTATAAATAAATCATATTTCTATGAATAATTGTATAGGCAGATCAATTCATGTAGCATAAAATATAAAGGGACAGTTTGATGGGCTTGTATCTATCTCATAAAACACTCTTCTGGCCAGATACGTACAGTTATTCAATTTCAAATCATCTGTAATAATAGATATATATCTATTTCTGAAGAAAGGTATATGACCTAGGACTTTCTTACTTCGGCATAGATGAACAAAGATAAAAAGAACCTGATGTCTATTGAACAGTCAAAACCATTGTTTTACCAATAAAGAAAAAGAGATACTGAAGAAAAAAGCAACATATCTTTCCTCTGGTAGCTGGTGAATATCACAGTTAGGACTAAAGCCCAGATCTCATGACTCCAAACACGTAAACTTATTTTTAAGAATATTTTGCTTGCAACTGATAAATGTGTTACGTGGTCTAAGTGGCTCACGCCTGTAATCCCAGCACTTTGGGAGGCCGAGGTGGGTGGATCACAAGGTCAGGAGTTAAAGACCAGCCTGGCAAGATGGTGAAACCCTGTCTCTACTAAAAATACAAAAATTAGCCGGGCATGGTGGCACACACCTGTAATTCCAGCTATTCAGGAGGCTGAGGCAGGAGAATCACTTGAACCTGGGAGACGGAGATTTCAGTGAGCCAAGATTGTGCCACTGCACTCCAGCCTATCGATAGAGCAAGAGTCCGTCTCAATAAAAAAAAAAAGGAAATCACCAAAATGTCTACATCACATTGTGAAATATTTTAGAGAGTCCAGAGCGTGGGAGAATTGGAAGAAGAAATGATTTCCACAGTTGGGCCCCTGATTACTGTAAACCAATAGTAAGAAAGAACAGAGATTTTAATGGTAACAAATTTAAAAATGCATGAAAATTTACCATACACTAACAATGAACTTGTTTTAAAGATTTTGTTCACACTTTTAAAAAATTACCATATTGAAATATGAATACATAGATGATCTGGAAATGGTTCAGAGAGGCATCTTATTTGCATAGGTTCCAAAAATACTACCATCAAAATCATTAAGATAATCACTTCCAGTTCCACCACAATCATTGCAAATGTTAATACAGAAAGATCTAACGATTTCTGTATGTAATATGGATGACAGGATTTGGTAAGGTCAATAGCTACTGAAAAGTGACTTCTCTCCACCTTTAATAGTCTGTGCTTACTTGATTCAGTATTAGGATTAGCCCTAAACAATTTGCAGAGGGTCATATTTTTTACCAAATCAATGTTAAAGAACAAGTTAGAAACGCTTTCATCTAAAGCAGAGATTCAAACAAAACTTCCAGAGGGAATTAGTTAAAACAGAAGCTTCCATTTGGTGTGAGTTCACATGAGTTACCCACAAAGAGGCAACAGGATGTGGTCCTTATGTGCCAAGGGACCTAGAAATGTTACATAATATGGCTAAAAAGCTTTTTTCTGTCAGCTGCTGAGTGATAATGAGCTTCTGTAGCTTCATGTTAAACATTAGTTTCAACTCTTATTCTGTAACCTTTAAAAAAATGCTTTGAAAAAAAGAACTTAACAGAAGCTTTTGTTTCTTATAGGTTTGGGAAGTGGAGAATATTTTTGTAACTGTATTCTGAAAATTGGTTAATGTTCCCAGTAGTAGAGAGGGGAGATACAGATATAAAACCTCCTCTATTGTAGAGCATAGGCAAACATCAAAAAGGTTTTGATATTCAAATGATAGAAAATAATACAGTCAGGCTGAGGTCAGTGCTGAAATGAGATCAGATTAGGCAATGCAGCTACTGTTTTAGAGTAACAAAGGTGGTCAAATGGAACAAAGACACAGGTGGCAATTTAGTAAATGCATGTGTTCATTTGAACACCAGATCTCAAAGCAAAAATTATAGAGGTTGCGTGAGCCCATCCATTAAAGTAAATGATAAAATAAAGCCCTGAAAGATATGTTCATTTCCTAATCCCCAGAACCTGTGAATGTGACCAAATTTGGGAAAAAAGAGGGTTTTGTAAATGCAATTAAATTAAGCATCTCTGGATGACCAGACAGATCATACACTAAATCCAAGTATCCCTATAAAATATACAAAAAGAAAGACACAGAGACACACTGAGAGAAAAGAACAAGACCATGTGAAGACAGAGGTGGAGAGTGGAGTTTTGCAGCTAGAAGCCAAAAAACATCTTGTGAAAGGAAAATAAATATTGGAACCCACAAATCACTAAGCCAAAGGGCAGGACAAAGGACAGAACTCAAAGTCATCCCTCTGGTCACGTGCGAAAAATGTATTTTTGATTGATTCCTCTGCCCTATTGTTTATGTAAAAATGCAGATTCACTGAGCCAGAGTAAAGCATAAATGAGTATTCCTCTACCCCTCTCTCAGATGTAAATTCTGTATTCAGTGAAAGATTGATCAAAGACCCAAAATAACGCAACTTTCTGTGCTTATCTACCTATGACATGAAAGCCCCCTGCTTTGAGTTGTCCCAAATTTCCAGACCAAATCAATGTTAATCTTACACCTACTGATTGGTTCCTCATGTCTCCCTAGAATGTATAAAGCCATGCTGTACCCCTACCACCTTGGGCACATGTCATCAGGACCTCCTGAGGCTGTGTCACAGGTGTGTCCTTAACCTTGGCAAAATGAATTTTCTAAATTGATTGAGACCTGTCACAGATACTTTTGGGGTCAAAGTCTGGAGCCATTTGAAGCACAAAGCTCTGGGAAAGCAATTCTCCCTAGAGCCTCCAGTGGGAGTGCATGCTTATCAACACCTTGATTTGGACTCTGGCTTCCAGAACTGTCAGATAATAAATTTCTGTTGTTTTAAGACACCAAATTTGTGTTAATTTGTATGGCAGATTTAGGAAATTAATACAATTGCTTAAAAAAGAATAGTTAAGTGGTAACAGAGGGACATTGCAAATATACATTAATTGAGCAGAGTGTATCAAAACTGTTAGGATTTACATGACATGCAAAGATAAAAACTCTTAGGAATTAGAAGCATTTTTGAACCAAGTAACTATTGAAGAATTAGCTTTTTCAGTTTGTCTTTTTTTTCAATTTTTACAAGGTATTTCATTTTTATAATACATATGCATTAAAGTAAAAATGTCTAATATCTAAGGGTACTACAGGAGAGAAAAGCTTTTCCTCTACCCTTTTGATTTTATGACTGGGAGGCTTAAAATTAAACTAACAGATACAGATTAACAGGAGAAAAGGTATACACTTTTATTAATATTTACATGCATGGGTTTTTACAGAAAAGAAGTGAAACTCAAAGAAGTGGTTAGATTTGGGTTTCTGTACCATTTTAACAAAGGAAATGTTGTTTGGGCTTTAAGAGACAATAGATTGTCAGGAAGGGATGAGGACATTTGTGGGGGGAAAGCTAATGCAAGATAAGGACCACTTTAGTAAGGTTTGTTTATGCAGCCCAATCTTACTGTCAACTCTGCATCTCTGGTGACAAGAGTTGCTCTCCCATTCCCAGTATGGGAAAAAGGGATGCCTTAACAAGGAAAATTTTCAACGCCCTCACAAAAGGAAATTTTGCTCTCCATTTAGGCAGAATATGGGAGGCCACATAAATCTTTCTTCCCCTGCTGATTTTGAACTGCCTTTGGCTCAAAGAAACCCTTATGCCAAAGTGGAATATTGTGAAGTGGGTGGCCTATTTTGGACTCCTTCAGTCCTAAATGATCATCTTGCCCAGATTATGTGGACCATGAATAAAATAAGCAAGTATATAAATATACACACACTTGCTACCACAATTTATAAGATCATTATTATTAGTCACTAGTTGTGATGGAAAAACTAAGGTTACAAGGGTTTCTTAATTATTCAAGGTCACAATGGTATTTAAAGGTATAGCCGATACTCAAACTAGCACTTGTCTGAATAAAGCTTGCTTTCTGAATCACTCCACTCTTGCCGTGTAACCTAGTCTAACATTTACATAGCTCATTATGATACCAGAAGTAATGAATCTGGGGAAAAAAGTCATTTACATTTTCATTGTGCTCTTATCATATTTAGTTTTCATTTATTGCCTTATGCACTCACCTATAATTTTTGTTGTTACAAGGTTTAAATGCCAGCAACCAGATAAGTGATAAACAAGTTGGCACAAGATTATCATTTGCTCTAGAAAGATATTCCTTAAAAATATTCCCTAGATGTTTAGGCAGCAGATGGTGTCTAATAAGTTAAACTCCAATCGCAGCCATTAGTGAGCAATGATTAAATTTTAAATGGAATCATGTTCTCAGAAGTATCTTGATATCTTGTTTTATTTGTTAATTGCACTCTGAATGGTTCAAGTCTTAGAAGTAATCAGTGCAATTCCGTGTGTCTTTACATTTAGCAAGAAATGTTCATTTACAAGCTTTTACAGATAATCAATAAGATAGAGAATTATAAAATTACGTTTACTATTTCATTTAATAACACAAAATATATGGAGCTCTTAGTATGTGTCAAGCTCTGAGGCAGGTTAAAGGATAAATAATATATGATTCTTCCTGCAAGAAACCCTTAATCAAATAAGGTTGCCTAAACTATAAGAATGTTACTATGGCATAGGGACTTCAGAACTTGAAGGACAAAGTCGTTGTACAAGGTAGGGAGCAAAACACATTCTGGGGTAGATCAGAGATTGATCTTGAGAGATAAGTAGGAATTAGTAGACAGACAAAGCAAGGGCAGATATTTAAGGCACAGAGAATTCCAAAGCCAGATAAGAAATAGAATAGATACATTTGAACACCAGCACATTTTTCTTCTAAGCAAGCATAATCTAACATTAAATGCACATTTGCTGTAAGGTGAGGATGTGGACGTACTATAACTCTCATACACCATTGATGGGGATTGTAAAATGCTACAACCACTTTCTCAAACGGTCAACAATTTCTTAAAAAATTAAACCTACACCTACAATATGATCTATCCATTCATCTCCTTAGTATTTATCTAAGAGAAATAAGAGCATACGAGAAGACCAAAACCTCTGCACAAAGATTTGCAGTGGATCTATTTGTAATGGCCTTCAACAGGTGAATGGATAAACAAATTGTGGAATGTTCATGCCATGGAATACTACTTAGCAATAAAAAGGAATTATCTATCTGTTCACATGGATACGTCTTAAAATAAACATACTAAGTCAATGAAGTCAGAAAAAAAACTTAAATGGTGTATGTTTTCATTTATGTAAAATTACAGACCATCCCCAACTTACAATATGATTTTGACCTCCAATTTTTTGACTCTACAATGGTGAGAAAGTGATATGCCTTCAGTAGAGACTATACTTCAAATTTTGAATTTTGATTTTCTCCTGGGCTGGCAATATACTATATGACACTTCTCTGATGCTTGGCAGTGGCAGCAAGAAGCAGCTCCCAGTTAGCTTCACAATGTTGAGGGTAAACAACTGATACTCTACAGTATACTGTGTTGCCAGATAATTTTTCCCAGCTCTTGGCTAATGTAAGTGTTCGGAACATGTTTACTGTAGATTAGACTAAGCCATGATGTTTAGTAGGTTAGATTTATTAAATGCATTTTTGACTTATGATATTTTCAACTCACCATGGGTTGATTGAGATGTACTCTCATTATAAGTGTGGGGTCATCTATATAGGGAATTGAAATTGATTTATTTTGACAGAAAATATATCACCATGTGCCTGAGAATGATATAAAATTTGAAAAAATGGGATGAAAAAAATGGATTACAAAGAAGCAATAGGAATCTTTCGAGTTGATAGATATGTTCTTTATCTTGATTGTAGTGATGAATTCATGGGCATGTACCTTTGTCAGAAGCAACCTAAATTTACACTGTTAATATGGGCAGTTAATTGTATGTGAATGGTACCTCAACAAAGGTATTAAAATAGATCATCAAAAGCTAATAGAATTAAAATAAGAAATGGACAAATCTATGATCTTATAGACTGAAAAAATTACCTCTGTAACTGAAGGAAAAGTCAGACAATTGGTAATGTTACAGAATACTTGAAACAGTATGCCTGACAAAATGCTACTAATTGACATGCATATAACAAAGCAGACAACTGGCAAAATGCACACTTATTTAATTGCAAAGGAAATATTACATCAAGAAATGAATGAGAGGTAATAAGGTAAATAAAAACATATTTTATATGACTCAAATAATACAATGTATGGTGTCTGACTATAGTAGAATTAAGATAAAATAAATAACCAAATAATAACTAGAAAATAAAAATTATTTTGAAGTTAAATAGCATACTTCTAAATTTCTCTAAGGTCAAAGAAAATATCTGAATGGACACTATAAAATGTTTGTATTTAAATAATGAGAAAATAACGCAAAGCACAACTTGTACCATGCAGTTTAATTAAAATTTGCTAGGAACATTGCAGCTCTAAATTCATGTATTAGAAAAGAATAAAAGTTGACAATCAGTGACCTAAGCATTTATCTAAAAAAATGAAATAAAAACAGCTAACTTGATAGGAAAAAAAATTTAGGAAGCTACTAATATAGTTATAAAAATTTATGGAAAAATTTAAAAATACAGAAGATTAAATGTATGAAGTTTGAAAGTTGATTATTTGAAAAAACTAATATCCTAATCTGTATTCCTCTGAAAATAAACTTGAAAGATGGTGTATTGGGGAGGTTATCCCAGGGAGCAGGGATGAGGGATCAAAAATTATAAAAGGCAAGTAGGAATATTAATGTTAAGGGTGTACTATTAAGTTGATCACCAATATATTTTATTTGTGCTTATCAATGCTTCTGAAAATTGTTGACTAGAAGATTGAAAATAAGTATTTAATTATAGGCTTCCATTTATCTATACTGAAGAGTTCCCTAGGGGCAGTACATACCCAGTATGCTATCTGTCAACAATCTTCTATTTTAACCCCATACTTCAGCAGTGTAGAGACTTCTGGGAGAATAAGGAAAAGTATCATGTGTGGGCTTGAGTTGGACACCATCAGCACAAAGTGAGTTGAAGACTGAATGTCATAGCTGCATCTAGAAATAGAGGTAAGGACAATAGGATGTGAGATGAGCCACAAGAGGCACCCAAAACAATTCAAAACATCAATGAACTTATAAGCTTCACCAAGAAGAAAGGGAGGACCACAAATTACCATGACTAAAAATTAAAAAGGACATAATTTGAGAGTATATAGATGTTAAAACACAAGATATTATAAACACCTTTGCACCAATACATTGAAAATACTAAATTGACATGAAAAGCAATAGAAAATATGAATATTTCCTTAACTATTCAATAAATGAAGTGAAATATTAAAAGCTGAAGAACTGATGTTACCAAAATTAATAATTATCAGAAATATATAGTATTTGATACAAAGATTATATGCACAAGGATAGATAAATACACTAAGAAATAAACATATACCTGATATGTGTGACCCGTAAGTGTGAGGAAAGGATATTCTTTTTAATTAGTGGTCATAGGTCAATGATGTGTACATATAAAAAAATTAAATATTGAACTCTGCTTCACAATATATTTTAAATATATTTTAAAACATATATTTTCAGATGGATAGGAGATCTAAATAAAAAAGACAAACAGTAAAGACTTTAGACTAAAATATAGGAGTTTACCTTCAGGCTAGAGATAGGAAACAGGAAGAAAACCATTGACTAGGTGTGAAACATTTATAAACTTGAATACATTCAATGAAGAATTGCTTTTCATCAACATAATATGATGAAAGAGAAAAGGAATGTAAAGAGGTAGAAGGTATCTGTACTTCATGTATTCAACAGACTCCTATTCTGATTATATAATGTAGCACAACAAATCAGTAAGAAACTTTAAAACCGTTTAATATAAAACATGACAAATTTAGTAGACACTTCACAAGAGAAGATAGTCATATGAACAAAATGTATGAGAAGCCTAAATCAATTGAAACTGTATGATATTTCCACAATGATGAAAACTAGAATAATGGCTCAGAAAAGGATTCTCAAAAACACACTTGCACATAGGGCACCTGACATAACAAAAATGAAGATGCAAAAAAGAGAAAAGAAGTATTCTAAATATATTAAGTTTGGTAATCCAGTTATTCAAATGGGAAAAGATATATATTGACCCCTCTCTCACACCATAAGAAAACATTAATTCATACATTTTGTAAAAAGTAAGATGAAAGGTAAACCAGTAAAATTTCTAGACCATAATATAAAAACATACTTTCATAGTCTTATGGTAGGGAAAGAAGCTCTAGTAACAAAAGTAAATGGTGATAAATTTGCTGTTAAAATAAAGACCAACGTTAAACATAAAATAAGTGAAAAGAAAAAAAAAACAGAGAATGAGAATATGTTTGTGGCACATAAAATGAGAAAAAAGAAACTATACCCAGAATACATAACACGTTCTTTAATATAGTTAAAAAATACCACACAATAAAAAAGCAGGTAATAGCCTTGAATAGCACTTCACATAATATAATATCCAAATGGACGACAGATAAACATCAAAAATGTTCTAAATATCTTTAATAATCAAGAAAATATAAGTTAAAAGAAGAGAGATAACATTACATACTCACCAAATGACTCAAATAAAATTATTGGCAAGGCTAAATTTTCTCAAGGATGCAGTGCAACTAGAAAATGTATCTACTATTCTGAGCACACATAATTTTAGAACCAATTTGGAAACATTTCAATGTTTATTACATATTAAAATTGAGCTTATGCATATCCTATAACCCAACAAATTTATTTTCTCTCCCCTTCTCCTTTTCTCTCTTCTCTTCTCCCTTCCTCTCTCCTTCCCTCTTTTCCTGTCTAACCATCTCTATACACAATGAAAGGCATGCATCTATCAAGCATAAAGTAGATTATGTGTACATAGTTGTGTATGAGTGTGTGTGTGTGTGTATGGTGTGTGTGCTTGTATCTGATATATTAAACAGTGGAACAAAACAATTAAAATGAACACCAAAAATATGGATGAATCTTATATCATAAAACATTGATCAAAAGAAGCTGGATACAAAAGAATACATGTTGTATCAGCCTAATTACACTACTTTTAAAAGGAAATAAAACTGTCCTTTGGTGTTAATGGCTATGTGTATCATGGAGTTGATACGATTGTCAGGAAAGAAGAGGAATAGAAATCAGGGATGCTAATAATGTTGCATTTCTGGAACTTTCTTAAGGGTAACTTTGATATTTTATTTTTTTAAAAAAGTTTATTTTTGGTTCAGGGATACATGAGAAGGTTTGTTTGGTAGGTAAACTCATGTCATGGGGGTTTGTTGTACACATTATTTCATCACCCAGATATTAAGCTCAGTACGCAACAGTTACCTTTTCTGCTCCTAAACCTCCTCCCACCTTCAATCCTCAGGTAGACCCCACTGTCTATTTATTCCTGTGTTGTGGTCATGAGTTCTCATCATTTAGCTCGCAGTTATAAGTAAGAACATGCAGTATTTGGTTTTCTGTTCCTGCATTAGTTTGCTAAGGATAATAGCCTCCATCTCCATCTACATTTCTGCAAAAGACATGATCTCATTCTTTCTTATGACTTCACAGTATTCCATGTCCACATTTTCTTCTTTTAATCTCTCATTGATGGACATCTAGGTTGATTTCATGCCTTTCCTAATATGAATATTGCTGCAATGAACATATGCGTGCATGTGTCTCTATGGTAGAAAAATTTGTATTCCTCTGGGTATATGCCCAGTAATGGGATTGCTGGGTCAAATGGTAGTTCGGCTTTTAGCTCTTTGAGGAATTGCCATACTGCTTTTCACAATGGTTGAGCTCATTTACACTCCCACTGACATTGTACCAGTGTTCTCTTCTCTCCACAACTTCACCAGCATCTGTCACTTTTTGTCTTTTTATTAATAGCCATTCTGACTGGTGTGAGATGGTATCTCATTGTGGTTTTGATCTGTACGTCTGGTGAGCTTTTTTTCATGTGATTGTTGGCTGCATGTATGTGTTCTTCTGAAAAGTGTCTATTCATGCCCATTTTCGAGTTTTTAATTGGTTTGTTTGTTTCTTCTTGTGGATTTGTTTAAGCTCCTTATAGATGCTGGATATTAGACCTTTTTCAGATGCACAAAGGCAAAATTTTTCTCCCTTCCGTAGGTTTTCACTAAGTTTAGCTTTGCTGTGCAGAAGCTCTTTAGTTTCATTAGACCTCAGTTGTCACTTTTTGCTTTTGTTGCACTTGGTTTTTTAATTTTTGTCATGAAATCTTAGCCTGCTTCTGAGTCCTTAATAGCATTGCCTAGGTTGTCTTCCAGGGTTTTTGTTTGGGTTTCACATTTAAATCTTTAATCCATCTTGAGATAATTTTTGTACAAGATGTAAGGAAGGGGTCCAGATTCAATTTTCTGTATATGGCTAGCCAGTTATCCCAGCACCATTTATTGAATAGATAATATTTTCCTCATTGTTTGTTTTTGTCAGCTTTGCCGAAGATCAGATGGTTGTACATGTGCAGCCTTCTTTTGGTCTCTGCATTCTGTTCCATTGGTCTATGTACCTGTTTTTGTACCAGTACTATGTTGTTTTGGTTACTGTAGCCCTGTAGCATAGTTTAAAGTTGCGTAACATGATGCCTCTAGCTTTGTCCTTTTTGCTTAGAATTGTCTTGGCTATTCAGACTCTTTTTTGGTTCCATATGATTTTTAAAATAGTTTTTTTCTAGTTGTGTGAAGGATGTCAATGGTAGTTTAATGGGAATAGTATTGAATCTATACATTGCTTTGGGAAATTGGCTATTTTCACAATATTGTTTCTTCCTATCCATGAGCATGGAAGGTTTTTCAATTTGTTTGTGTCTTCTCTGATTTCTTTGAGCAGTTTTCTATAATTTCTATAATTCCCATTGTAGAGACTTTTCCCCTACATGATTAGCTGTATTCCTAGGTATTTTATTCATTTTTTGGCAATTGTGAACGAGATCGCCTTCTGATTTGGCTCTTGGCTTGGCTGTTGTTTGTGTATAGGAATGACAGTAATTTTTGTACATTGATTTTGTATCCTGAAACTTTGTTGAAGTTCTTTTTCAGCTGAAGGAGCTTTTGGGCTGAGATTATGGGGTTTTCTTAATATAAGATCATGTGATCTTCAAACAGGGATAGTTTAACTTCCTCACTTCCTATTTGGATGCCCTTTATTTCTTTCTCTTGCCTGATTGCTCTGGCCAGGACTTCCAATACTATGTTGGATAGGAGTGGTGAGAGAGGGCATCCTTGTCTTGTGCGAGTTTTCAAAGGGAATGATTCCAGATTTTGCCCTTTTAGTATGATATTGACTGTGGGTTCAT
Source organism: Homo sapiens (assembly GCF_000001405.40). Classification (NCBI taxonomy): domain Eukaryota; kingdom Metazoa; phylum Chordata; class Mammalia; order Primates; family Hominidae; genus Homo; species Homo sapiens. The sequence goes on along the minus strand of NC_000021.9, from coordinate 18,636,370 downwards.
CATAGATGGCTCCTATTATTTTGAAGTGTATTTCTTTAATAGCTAGTTTATTGAAAGTTTTTAATATGAAGCTGTGTCGAATTTTATCAAAAGCCTTTTCTGCATCTATTGAAATAATCATGTGGTTTTTGTCTTTACTTCCATTTATGTGATGAATCACATTTATTGATCTGCATATGTTGAATCGAACTTGCATCCCAGGGATAAAGCCTACTTAATCATGGTGCATAGGCTTTTTCATATCCTGCTGGATTTGGTTATCAAGTATTTCATTGAGGATTTTTGCATCTATGTTCATCAAGGATATTGGCCTAAAGGTTTCTTTATTGTGTGCATCTCTGCAAAGTTTTGGTATCAGGATGATGTTGGCCTCATATAACGAGTTATGGAAGAGTCTCTCCTCCTCAATTTTTTGGAATAGTTTCAGTAGTTATGGTATCAGCTCTTCTTTGTCATCTGGTAGAATTCAGCTTTGAATCCTTTAGATCCTAGGCCCTTTTTTGATTGGTAGGCTATTCATTACTGATTCCATTTTGAAGCCCAATCTCGGTCTTTTGAGAGAATCAGTTTCTTACTGGTTCATTCTTGGAAGGGTGTACGGGTCCAGGAATTTATCCATCTCGTCTTGGTTTTCTAATTTGTATGCATAGAGGTTTTTGTAGTAGTGTCTGATGGCTGTTTTTATTTCAGTGGAAACATTCCCTTCAACATTTCTAATTGTGTTTATTTGCATATTTTCTCTTTTCTTCTCTATTATTCTAGCTAATGGCCTATAAATCTTATTATTTGTTTCAAAACAAAAAGTAAAACTCCTGGATTTGTTGATCTTTTGAATTTCTGTGTGTGTGTGTGTGTGTGTGTGTGTGTGTGTGTGTGTGTGTGTATGTGTTTTGATTTCCTTCAGTTCAGCTCTGATTTTGGTTATTTCTTGTCTTCTGATAGCTTTAGAGTTGATTTGTTCCTGCTTCTCTAATTCTTTCACTGTGATGTTAGGTAGTTAATTTGAGACCTCTCTAACTTTTTGGTGTGGGCATTTACTGCTAACCATTTCCTTCTTAACACTGCCTTAGCTGTGTCGAGAGATTCTGGTATGTTATATCCTTGTTCTCCTTAGTTTCAGATAACTTCTTGATTTCTGCCTTGATTTCATTGTTTACCCAAAAGTTATTCAGGAGCATGTTGCTTAATTTCCATGTAATTGCATAGTTTTGAGCAATTTACTTATTCTTGATGTTCATTATAAATTCCGGAGAATGGGTAATTTATAAAGGAAAGAGGTTTAATTGACTCATAGTTCCACATGGCTGAAGAGGCCTCAGGAAACTTACAATCATGGTGGAAGGGGAAGGAGCATGTCTTACATGATGGTAGGTGAGAGAGAGGAAAGAGGGAAGGGAGAAGAGTCCCTTATAAAACCATCAGATCTCATGGGAACTCACTCACTGTCATGAGAACAGCATGGGGGAAACCACTCCCTATGATCCAATCACCACTCACCAGGGTTCTCCCTAGACATGTGGGGATTATGGCTATTACAATTCAAGATGAGATCTGGGTGGGGACACAGCCAAACAATATAACTGGACTTCTATTTTTATCAAGCTGTGATACAAGAGTGTGTTTGGTATGATTTCAGTTATTTAGCATTTGCTGAGATTTGTTTTATGTCCAGTTATGTGAATGATTTTAGAGTATGTGTCATGTGGCAATTAGAAGAATGTATATTCTGTTGTTTTGGGTGGAGGGATCTGTAGATGTCGATCAGAACCATTTGGTCCAATGTTGAGTTTAGATCCTGAATATCTCCCACTGTTATAGTGTGAGAATCTATGTCTCTTGTAGGTCTCTAAGAACTTCCTTTATGAAACTGGGTGTTCCTGTGTTGGGTGCCTGTATATTTAAGATAGTTAGGTCATTTTGTTGAATTGAATCCTTTACCATATGTAATGTCCTCCTTTGTCTTTTTTATTTTTGTTGGTTTAAACTCTGTTTTGTTTGAAATTAGGATTGCAACCCCTGCTTTTTTTTTCTGTTTTCCATTTGCTTGGTGGATTTTTCTCCATCCCTTTATTTTGAGCCAATGGATGTCATTACATTTGAGATGGATTTCTTGAAGACAGCTTACCATTGGATCTTGCTTTTTTATCCAGCTTGCCACTCTGTGCCTTTTATGTGGGGTCATTTAGCCTATTTACATTCAAGGTTAGTATTGATATGTGTCATTGTGTTATTAGCTGGTAATTATGGTGCCTTGTTTATGTGGTTGCTTTATAGTGTCACTGGTCTGTGTAGTTAAGTCTGTTTTTGAGTTAGCCACGAGCAGTCTTTCCTTTCTATACTTAGTTCTCCTGTCAAGAACTCTTATAAAACAGTTCTGGTGGTAGAAACTTCCTGAGCATTTGCTTATCTGAAAAGGATCTTATTTCTCCTGGCTTAAAAAACTTACTTTGGCTGGATTTGAAATTCTTGGTTGAAAATATTTTTCTTTAAGAATATTTAATCTAGGTCCCCAATCTCTTCTGAGATGTAGGGGTTCAGCTGAGGGGTCCACTGTTAGACTAATGGGGTTCCCTTCGTAGGTGACCTGCCCTTTCTGTCTAGCTGCCTTTAACATTCTTTTTTTCATTTCAATCTTGAAAAATCTGATTATTATATGTCTTTGGGATAATATTCTTGTGCAGACTCTTGCAGGCGTTCTTTGCATTTCCTCAGTTTGACTTTTGGCCTTTCTCACAAGGTTGGGAAGTTTTCATGGATAATATCCTGAAATAACATTTATATTTTACTTTTTCCTAATTTTTTGAGTAGTATGTATTTATGTACTGCTATAAATATATAATTATTAAATAAAATCATTTGTGCTAAAGTCTATTTTGAGATTATTTATCTAAATAAGAAGCAGAATAAAAATATGAGTTATGAGAAAGAATTATAGTTATGTAGACAAAAGTATGAATATTAAGTCAAACAAGGACAGATATTTTGGAGGCCGAAAGCAAAACGGCTAAGAAAGCAATAATAAATTAAATGGTATTGGAAAACTTGCAAATGTTAAAAAAGTAAAGATCTGACTTCACAGAACAAATATAATGCTTATTTTTTTCACAATTCTGTACCATCCCCTAGTATAATATTGGCATATAGCAAAACTATACCCTATTTTTATTCCATTATTTTCAAGGGCTATGTTAATGATTATTCAAAAAATGAAAAGCAAATTTTAATCAAAGTATACACTCTTGCATATTATCTAATTTTGAATCCTTAAATTTTTCTCATGAATATGAGATTATGAATAAAGTCATAATTACGATCATAATTGCTTGTTAGAACTTGAACCCAATGTAGTCTTTGGTATAAAACTAAATACATATTTGATAGCAGGTACTAGCAATTATTAAATAGATTTCAATTATTAATAATATATAATATCTTCTTCATGAAGTCTTTGTAATCATTGACTTGGCTTTTAAGTATTTGTCCTAAAGCATAGGTTTACATCTTAAAATATATGTTCAGTGGAATAAAGTGTACATTTCTATTACTTCTGATAAGAAATATCAAATGCCACTGGAATCCTCATATTTCTAAATCTCAACACTTTCATTCAAGTTCTTTGTGTTTGAAATAGCAGTGTATTCACAGATCAATTACTCTCATTTGGAAATCCTGCAGTTAAATACCCTTAGAGAAATAAGCACTATAGGATTTTAGAACCAAAGGCAACAGGATTATATAGAAAAACATGAAAGATAGGAAATAGCTAAAATGCAAAGGATTTTCAAACGTTAAAATCTCTGTGTAACAAAGATGACAAGGGATTACACACACACACACACACACACACACTCACACTTGAGAAGAGTCTAATTCAGTTTTGCTTTAAGCAATTGTTGGCAGGTCATATTTTCTAAAGATCACTTCAATACTTCCCATTCAGTAAGACGACTTAGAACTTTTTAGAACATTGCCACAACCCTATTAACAGACATAGCTACTTCCATTTCCCTTAAATTGTATTTGTGGCTTGCTCTTAATCAAAAGAATGAGTGGCCGAAGTGGCAATCAGCCACTTTCAAGCCTGGATCATAAAAGTGATCAGTTTCTACCTTGTGACTAGAACACTAACACTGGAGTCCTGAATTGTCACATAGGAATCCAATGGCCCTAGGGCCACAGTGATGACAGCAAGTTCAGGTCATGTGGAGAGATCACATGTAAGGGTTCAAACCTCAAGTCTGGCTGAGACTGAGGCTAAGGGTAAGCAATACCCACAATACATGTGAGCAAATGTCCCTTCAGATAATTCTAGCTCCAAGCAGCCAAGCTTATGCAGGCTTTAAGTCTCCTCAACTAAATTCCCAGCCACTGTAGAGCAGGGACTAGTCATTTTCATTGTACTGATTATTGACCTTGGAATTGATGACTAAATGAAGGTTGTTTTAAGCTACTTAGTATTGGAATATTCTGATATGTGGCAACAGTTACTAAAATGAGTAAACAAAAAATGAATGAATGATTATAATTATATTTGAAAATCAGCCATGAGAGTCTGTCACTCAACTCCAACTATTTTCAGATGAGTCAACACAATTTTAACAGCATCATAGTGTGATAATTACTCTTTGCCAGTGACTATTTGTATGAATTCATGATAACAACCAGCTCTCAGTGGAAAGTTCACAAATTTAAATTGTTTGAAAAGGGCAATTTTGAAATAATATTGAAAATTTAAAAACTGAATATGAGGGAGAATAAAATTACCCTTTAGATGGAAAACACTTTTTTTCTCAGTTAGCTTCATTCAAGGAATGATTTTTCCTATCCCAGAGACATAAAATTGAAATATCTGCTCTTTTAAGCTAGATAAATATATGTTAATATAATGTAATATAATTTTTTTCTTACTTAAAAAGAAAAAAATGTCATTGACTAGAGTCACAGAATGAAAAAAAATAAAAAGGAAAAATGCCTGAAATAGTGAGGGAAGGATTTGCAAGTTTATTTTGTATAGTATGGCCTAGACATTTTATCTAGACAATAATTTATTTGGCAAAGTAAAGTCATTTATTTTTGTGATGAGCACTAAAAATTGCTTTAATATATACCAAAATTATGTATTTTGGATCATTTATAATGTTTTCTCAATTTTACTTGCATATTTGAAAAAATAGCATGCAATGAAATACGTAGTATTTAATGAAAGAGCCTATTGCTTTAGTTTTCAATGAGCTACATATATGCACATACATACACACACACTCAGCATATGCAATAAAAGGAATGGTAAAAATGGTAATAAATATCCAAAAATAATTACATATATCCCAAACTAGTTAATTATTTCCATGTAGAGATACATACATAAGGTTGCCAATTTTCCAAGTTTAAAAGAATTGTTAAATCAGCATTTTGGTATGAAATAGCCTGTTTGTTTGTTTTAATTGTGGCTCAGTTCATTAAAATAGAGTCATTTTGGTTGATAGCATGATTCATAGAGTATGAGATCACACCTGATCACTAAATGACACAAGTATCACAAAACAAGAAGACAGAAAAATTAGCATAGTTTAAAGGAGAAGCCCTGTTTGGTTACCTTCATATTAGTAACTTGAAGTGGTTCTTCATATGTGAAAAAAGGAAAGATTTCTCCATTTCATCTAAGTATAGAAAACCGCTAGAGAATTAGTCATCAGTATCAAAATGCAATGTGGGTAATCCATGAAAACTGACTCACTGCAAATCATTAATGACGGTGGAAAGAAGGCAGAGCCTAGATGAACTGTTGAAGTTACCACTTAAAGTGAGGATGCCAGGTAATAAGAAGAAAGGCTGTCATTGCTTAGCTGTTTAAGGTTATTTTCAGCAAAATAATGTTGCAGACCCCAGGGCAGTAATGAAATCCTTGTGCATACTGAATGCCTGTAATGTTTCATACATCTGTTAGATATTCATAGAATATTGGTTCTATATCCAAGGCCATTTCATTGTTATGCCTTTTCTACTTGTATATGTGTTTGGAGTGAATTTGCAAGATTTATGAGAAAACCTATTACTGCTTTAGAGAAATATGAAGTTCTTCTGTACAGAAACTAAAGAAAATTAGATTTCATAACATCTGTGTCTTAAGAGGTTGTAAATGTGTATTAAGGGGGCTCCTATGTGCATTCCATATCAACTTCCATGAGGTTCTGATTTGTTGTTTGTTTGTTTGTTTGTTTTTTGCTCCAAGGCCAATAATCTGAATTTGTGAAAAACCAGGGTATATAGTTTCACCTCTAACAAGAAAAGGGTTTGAAAGTTATCATTCCCATCTTAAAAAAAAAAAAAAAAGATGAGCAATTGAAAAATCAGTGAGTTTTCTTGCATGCATCAGAGTATTGCGTTGCTTTGGATCTGAAAAAAACAAACTGAATACAAAGAAACAAACCTCAGATCAGGTTACTTAGAAGAGGCCCTGATAGAACTATAAACTGGGACATTTCAACAGTAGTCAATAAATTGTTGGAGGCTCAGTGTAGACTAGCTTGAGAATAAAAAACTTCTGGGGACTGTAATCTTAGAGAGACCCCCTACAACTTTATGGGCTACCAGGTTCTCATGGTGGAGATCCAAGAAAACTCAGCTCATGTCTTTGGCCAGGGAGAGGACAAAAGTGACCACTTTGAAATACAACTATGCATACCCCAGAAAAATGGATTATTTTCCACTGAAAATGAACTTGCCGGTGATTTATCTTCCATAGGCAGAAAAGCAATTATCTAGTTCCAGCACTCTCGTGCTTTCTTATCTCACCTAAAGTTGAAGGAGGGGAGAGAGGTAAGAGATGCTTGTAAAGGACACAACCCAGGGATGCAGAACCACCAAAAGACTGAGATTGTATAAGATTATAAAATGCCTCTCCTACCCTGTTCCTTATTTTCACAATGACAGAGCTTCAGGCTCTATTAAAAAAGGAATTTTTAAAGAAACAAAAAACAAAGAAGAGAGACAAGTAAGAATACTAGAGGAATTTGAAGGCCTTGGCACCCATGGCTACAGCGAAAATTAAATACAGTTCAAGTCCTAGAAAGATTTACATAAAACTTCACACTTGATAAAAGAGAAACTTCTGCCAAATTTAATTTAAAACAGTTTAACTGAACAATGAAAGATATGTGAATCAGGCAACCTCCTGAACGAGACTAGGCTCTTTGAGACTCCGGCACAGCCACGTGATTTATGGACAGAAAAAGGAAAGTGAGGTACAGAAAAAAGGAAGTAAGATACAGAAATAGATGGATTGGTTACAGCTGGGAGTTTGACTTATTTGAAGAGTTGGCTACATTTGATTGACCATAACTTGGTGACTGGCACAAGTGTAAGCTATGGTCTGTTTACACCTCCACTTTTTACAGTTCACAACGTATAGAGAAGACTTTAGGTGGAACTTAAAATATGTAAGGAGGCAGTTTTAGGCTAAACTTGATTAAACACACTAACGGCCTATCTACCTCATTTTCTATAACTTGATATAGCATGCTAGGCTTTCAACAATAACAACAAAACAAATGGTAAGTCATGTGAAGGCAGGAAAACAGTCTGGAAAGAAGAAACAAGTTTCAAAGCCAGATCACAAGCAGATATCAGAAGTTTTACAGTGGCTTTAAAATAACTATGATTAATATGCTGAGAGCTCTAATGAAAAAAGTAGACAACATGCAATAACATATGTGTAATAAAAGCAGACAAATAAAAACTCTATGAAAGTATCAATAGAAATTCGTAAAATTAAAAAACACTAACGAAAATTAAGAATGGTTTGGATGTACACATCAATAAACTGACTGAGGAAAGAACTGGTGATTCAGAAGATAAATCAGTAGAAACTTTTCAAGCAGAAATTTATAGAAAAAAAGAGAAAAACGTAATATCCAAGAACTTCTGGGCAAATTCAAAAGTTGTAACATATGCACAATTGGAATGCCAAGAGGAGAAAAAGAAAAGAAAAAATATTTGAAGCAAGAGTGGTGGAGAACATTATAAAATTGGTGACAATTAAGAAACCATAGATCCAGGAAGCCAATAAGCACCCTCCCTTTTTATAATTAAAAAAAATGTAAAAACAGGACATAGGATAAATAACAAAAAATGACACCTATGCATGGCAAAGTCAAACTGCAGAAAGAAAAAGAAAAAAAAAAGGAAATTCTGAGAAAAAAACAAAAACAAAAAAACAACCTTACCTATGGAGGAATAAGGAAAGATAAACATTACAGGAAAGTTGTCCTTGGCAGAAGTCCTGTCAGCAAGAAGAGTGTGGGATGAACTATATCAAGAGTAGAAAGGGAAAAAAAAAAAAAACGCTGATCTAGAATTCTGTATCCCACAAAACTATCCTTGAAAAGTCATCAACAGATAAATACTTGCTCAAACAAAAACTAAGGGAATTTATGACCAGAGACCACCCATGCAGGAAATGTTAAAATATTTTCTTCAGGAAGAAGAAATATATGTCAGAAACTCATCTCTACATAAAAATAGAAAAATCAGTGGAGAAGAAATAAGTGAAAATAAAATAAAATTTTTTTATATTCTAAATGAATCTAATAGGCATGGATTTTTGAACAAATATCACCAATTTATTCTTTGATTATGCCATATGGATAAGAGAAATAAATGACAATTTTTCAAGGGATAGGAGAAGGGAAGTGGAAATACTCTATAAGTTACCTGAAAAACCAGTAAGGAGGCATAGTGTTATTTAAAAATGAACTTAAATTCATTATAAATGTATGTGGTAAACTCTAAAATAACCATTTTTTAAAAAGTATAATTGATAGGTTAAGAGAGGAAGTAAAATGAAATCATTCAAACTTCAATGAAAACCAGAGAAGATATAAAAAGAGAAGAGATAAAAAAGAAACAAATAATGTTCAAGAAAATTTTAAAAGCTACAAACATAATCGATACTGATTGAAATATATTAATAGTCACTTTAAATGTGAATGATCTAAATATATCAGTTAACAGACAAATTTTGAGTGCAGGGGGAAAAACTCTATCTGTTCCCTACAAGAAACCAATTTTAACTATAAAGACATAGATAGGCTAAAAGTAAAGGAGATAAAGAAAGACATGGATGCTATCACTAATCAAAAGAAAGCTGGAGCAGCTTTATTCATTTCAGACAAAACAGAGCAGAAGGAAAATTATTACAGATAAAGAGGGACATTACCTAATGATAATGATAAAAGGTTTAATTCTCCAAAAAGACATTAGCAAACCTTGAAGCATTCACTTAAAAATCAAGTGTCAAAATATGTGACAAAAACTGATAACCGCAAGGAGAAACATACACATTTATTATTATAGATAGAGATTTCAGCCCCTATTTCAGTAACTTGATCCAACTGACATTTATAGAATTATCGTTCCAATAGCAAAATATACATCTTCTCAACCTCACAGGGAATGCTCTGCAAGATAGAGAACATTCTTGGCCATTGGACATACATGTGTGAAATTAAAATAACAGTAATCATACAAAATAAGTTCTCAAACATGAGGACTTTAACTAAAAATTAATAGCAAAATGATAGAAAAATTTCAAAATACTTGGAGATTGAGGAATATACATCTAACTAATTCAAGGATCATATAAAATAAGAATGTTAATGAATCATTTGAAAATATTTTTAAGAAGTAGAGTGAGGGCAACTTATGTTTAAATCCCCCTCACATCACAGGCTCTGCGGGTGCACTTTGCATGGGTTGCCTCAATGAATTCACTACCTGCCACTACAGGCCCTCAGTGAATATTTCTGGATCTAGGTATTGATGAATAATGTATTTCACAGCAATTTAGGGAGAAAGTGTTGTTGAGAAATCCAAAATGTTTGCTACTGAATCTAAAAATTTTCCTTTTTCAATCTGTTGTTAAATTATGAATCCTGCAAGTTATCCCATTAGAGAACTTAGTGTGAAGTATGGCTGTCTATTAGCAACATATTGCTTTTATATTAGTTATAACATATTGGTTATAAAACCCTGCAGTTAGGAGTTTCTACACATTTCTCAAAATGTTTACTACTGTTATTATAAGATCTTTATGTAGCTTTGGATTCATTAATCTAGTGTTTTAAATATTTTTATGCTCTTGCCAATCTCCTTTTTTATCAAAGTGATTATGTATGAAATGTTCTTGAATTACATCATATTCTAGTATGTTGATAATAAAGAATACATAGTACGAAACTAGAAATCTGAACAGTTGAACAACAGTATAAACACGTTAATTTTTTCTATTTTATTTTGCTGTAAATTTCATCTAACTTTTATTTGCATCGTCTGAATCTTAAAAGAAAAATGAGTATATTGTAATTTATTTTGCTTTATCAGAAGAATGAACTCTTAATTCCCCAAATTCAGAAAAAAATGGAAATTTGTTATTCAATTATAGATCACTGAAAGAGAAAATAAATAACAATAAATTATAAACTATATAAATAAATAAAATCCTTAGAGCTAAAGGGCAGAATTTTCAAATCATTCCAAGCTTCCTGGAAAATTAGGGAACACCACACTCTGGGGACTGTTGTGGGGTGGGGGCAGGGGGGAGGGATAGCATTGGGAGATATACCTAATGCTAGACGATGAGTTAGTGGGTGCAGCGCACCAGCATGGCACATGTATACATATGTAACTAACCTGCACAATGTGCACATGTACCCTAAAACTTAAAGTATAATAATAAAAGAAAAAAAAACTTAAAAAAAAAAGATCCAGCAAAAAAAAAAAAAAAAAACAAACAAATATAAAGCTCATAATAGTAAAATTTTGGAATATAAGTATATTTCTAGAAAGGGTTAAAATCATATCAACCAAACAGAAACAAAATTCAATGGAATTATTTTTTCCAATATCTAAATCACTTTCTAGAAGACATAGATTAATAACTTTAATATTCTAAAGGGACAGGTTTTTAAAAAATAAATCTAGGTACTTAATCCAGGCAGCAGTTCATTAAATTTATTTCCCATGAATTATTTCTTGGGAAGAGGCTTAAAGCTATCTACTAAGGGCTTAAGCTAAGAAAGAAAACCTGAGATTGATGAAAGGATAAACATCAGCCATCAATATCAGTCCTAGGATGACAGTGATGCAGCAAGTTTGGAAACAGGCACCAGCGACCTCTGCCACCTTATGCAATACACAAAATCAATCCTAGACAAATAATATAAAGGTAAAACATCATAGTTTCTAAATAATTTTGTAGGACGTTAGCTTTCTGTTATTGGTTGGGAACTATTTCTTAAACAGGATCCAGATGTACTGACCATAAAATAAATGATAAAAATAACTAAACGGTATTAAAATAAAGAAATAAGGATTTGTAATTTAAAAATGGCATAATTGAGAGAAACTGTAATCTAAGGAATGGAAGTGATCACTTCTAATACATTTAATTATATTTGTATAAATAAATTATTGTCAATTAATAATAATTGTGGCAGAAAACCCAATTAAAAAATATGAACAAGAAATTTAGATAGACACTTTATTAAAAGATTAATACAAACACTCAGACATATAAAAAGGGTTCAAACTCCTTATTAAGCTGAGAAATATAAATTAAAACCAAAGTAAGATGTTGCAACTTATCTGCAGAATATTTAAAACTTAAGACTTAAAATGGTATAAGCTACTGATGAAGTAGGGCCCTAAAATTTTGCATGCAATGTTGGCAATAGCGCATCCTGTACCTCCACAGTGGTAAGCTGTTTGACAGTACTGCTAAAACTGGACTTATGATGTTTACAGCAATGTTTATTTTGGACAAATTCATTCTTGGCCAACAAGTGGCCTAGCATTATATTTGAAAATTAGGGCTGATTACAGTCATCTAAATTCCTCTTGGTTAAAGCCATTGAGGGAGATTTTATGGCAGATGAAATAGATTCGGGAAAGGGGAAATATGATGATCTAAGCTAGCATACTGAAACAGAGTTCAATATAACAAAGGGTATTAAAATTTCTGTCAGCAAATCAACTTGGCCACCTCCTGTCTGTCTCAGACACATAATGTTTTTGAGCTGCCACATCTTCCTCCTCTTTTGGCGGTGGCGGGATGGATGTCAATTTTGTATTCAGTTATAAATAAATTCTCTATCCTCATGTGCCAGTTTGGTCCAAAGAAAACAAGCATATATTAACATTATAAATCTTACGCTAGGCCATACACGCTTTAAATCTTAGATTCCCAAGAGGTGATTTAGAAGACGCTGTTGTGCCAACCTGATACTCCTCAATTCTTACCATTTCGGATCATCTCAGCCCTACTTTAAATTCTCACTGAGTTATTACTTCAGGCACCAGAGCCTGCCATGCCTGTGTATAGGGCAAGCTGAATATGTTACACAATTAGCACCTCTCAACAGCAGCCCTCAAAGAAGGTCCATGGAAGGCGGTAAATAAATAGCAAATGTGTCCCCAAGGCAAAAAAAAAAAATCTCTGACTCCTGTGTTCTACAATATCTCTCAAGTTTTCCCAATAGGATTAACCTTCAGTTGCCCAGAGTGGGTAACTTCCTTGACAATATATTATTTATTGTCTTCCTTATTTTTCCCTTCTCAATTGGTCTTACTGTAGCAATGTTTCCTAAGATTACCTCCCAAAAATTTAATTGCTCTTAAACTCTTGTCTTAGGGACTGTTTGTGTAGAACACAAACTAAGACAGAGATGGTTTTTATGTAAAGATGCTAATGCTTTTTGTGAATCTTCAACTTGTGGTCTTATATAAAGGCGCTGCATGCACTCTTTTGTTGCTGAGATATTACATCTTTTTGATGATTAAAGGGAAGTGTTTTATTTTGTTGATTGTTGCTGGTGAAGGAACTGGCTACTCTGTAGGATATGTATATGAAAGTTCTTGGGGCTTAGCACAATATAATAGTATGAAGTTTAAGAATACCACTGAACGGATGCACCAGTATTACATTAGTATTCATGTGATAGGTGTTGCTTTCCAGAATCCAGACATGAGGTTAGAGTTGGGGATCGCCTTATAGGAACTGTCTAAGAAGGCCAACTTGATTTGTTTATGAGACTTCATTAGAGACCTTAATTAACAGAGAGAAGATAACTAAAGAGGACAATTGGTGGTTAGATTTTTTTTTTATTTTCTGTAACTTTATGTTGCTTAAAGATTTTTTTTTATTTTCTGTAACTTTATGTTGCTTAAAGATTTTTTTTTAATTTTCTGTAACTTTATGTTGCTTAAGGCAATGATTCAGAAGCAAGTAATCTCCAGGGTTTTCCTATTCTTGTTTCATTAAATATCTAAACATGCTCCATGTCTTTTGTTCATTTCTGTGTGGTTCTCATAGCCATTACGGTGAAAAATAAAGATTCAGGAAAATTTATATGTTGTGATTTTCTTACCTGCTTTAAATTCCTTTGAACTTTGCTTTCATACTTTGAAAGGTATGAAAACAGTTATGTAACTTGTTTTTAAAAATTACTGCTTTATTTTGCAGTCCTCCCTGAGACCTAAGAGATGGTTCTGTCTCTTACTGGTAATGGGAGCAGACAACTTCCAATGAAAAATTAAATCACTTAAAAAAATCCTTTGTTCCTATAAATACCAGCTCCTATAGGCAATTCTACAACAGGAAATAACATATAAGCATTTGAAAATATTCATGTCAATTTGCTCTGGGAGATGGAATGAATCTCATTAGAAGAGGCCAAAGGCTGCTCTCATTGACATAACCATCTTATCAGGTTCCCCATGGTGAACTTGATAGAGCATCTGAAACCAGAATCTTGAGCAATTTGTATAAACACTAGGAAAAGCCACTGCTTCCTAGTATGACTTATCATTCCTCTTTTTCTTATGTAAGACATAGAACATAAAAACAAGATAGTGAAGAAGAATCTGACAGGCAAACAAGTGAATACCTGATCACAGATTTATCTGCACTTAACATAGAGTTTGACTGAATAAATTTGAGACATTTCAAAGGAAGGATTATAACTTTTTTATATTACACCATTTTTAATAAACATATTGACTTAGAGGGCAAGTAAAAATATATATTTCTATAGGTTGCTCCCTAGACTACAAAACCAGCCAGAATATTCCTTTTGAGACTTCACTAGTAATTCTCTTTGTACTTATATTTAGTTCACATATCTTGGAATTATTACCATATTGGTACAGAAAAATTCCTGCTAGTAGTATGGGAACACAGTATCACTTCAGAAGACATTTTAAACTTATTTCTGCAAAGTCCTTATGTGGTGGCTAAAGTGACTCCATCTTGGATGATAATCCACCATGTTGACTTCTGAATAACATCAGCCCTGGGAATGCCCTCTGCTTCCAACTTTGTTTACTGTCCTTAGTCTAAACATGTACTAACTATAAAATCCTGTCCTCAGGTCAGAGCAATCTTGATGTTATCACACAAATTGTAGACCATGATGCACATAGCATTCTTGCCTGTTCAGGAAGTTGCCTTCAATTATGTCTATAGATCACGTATACCTTTTCCCAGTGGAAAAAAGCCCTGGGTCTGGGAAGTAATGGTGCAGATATCTACTGGCCTTGCTCTCCAAGACCACACTTCTGTTCACAATTTCCCAAATAAATTGCTTTTTACCAACAAACTGGATTTGTCTGCCTTGCTTTTGGTTTCTTGGTTCCTTCTGTGTTGGAGATCTCTTTGCATACATGGCTCTTCCACAAAACCCCTTGGAAGAATGGTCCCAATTTAGAATACATATAATAAATAGATCCAAGGATCTGTGAGCTGTGGCCCCCTGGAAAATGTATCCTAAGCTATACAAGTCTCTTGGCTGACACATAGAAAGGTTTCATAGTTTCAACATACCTGAGGGTGCATGGAATTCTGCAGACTTCATTAGACACCTTAATTATTCTGCACCAGAGGGATATGCCCAACATGAGAAGCAAGATGTAGAGATTTTTTTTCAATATCTACACATCTCTTTGCTTTTCCTCAGCTTCTTAATTGCCTACTTCTTTGATATTTAGTGAAGCTTAATTCAGACTGGAACAGATCTCTGATTTGCATAAGTCTGATAGGGCATTATAATCCTATGTGTTAGCTCAGATTGGCATCAGTATTGGAATTTTCTATTAGATATAAATATCACAATGTCTAAGGTGATTTGGGGCAAAATTAAAAGGACATGAAAAATATGAAGATTTCATGCTTCCCACTGGAGAGGCAAATGATTGTGTCACTTTTTTCTTTTTAATAATTTCCAACAAGGCTATCATTTCCAATCTAGCAGGTCAGGATGCAGAGATGTAGAATGAGCCATGAACTAATTTTTTAAATCATTTTAGGACAAACTGAAATCTAAAACTTCAGAAGATCTTATAACTTGTTAGATAGATGGCTCTCTGTCTTTAGGATTATATTGCTGCATAAAGTAGAACTCTGACAACTGCCTGAGACATCCGTAAACATGTGTGGATCACTAAAAACAACATATCAGGACAAACTGAACTATCAGTATCCTCTCCAGGACTCAACAAAGCAAGTGTGCTCAACAGAAACTACCATACCTACCAGGAACTACTAAATGTTTACAACAAAACCAAACAGGCAGCCGCGGAAAAGTATCTGATAGCCTAGACATCCAAGTGGTGGTTGAATAGACATATCTGAAGAGAGAAATTTAAACAGTTCATACTGCACTTCAGTTTGCTGGCTTGGGCATGCTTCATGCTTCTGCTTTTTGACCACAGAGCAAAATAATATCAGAGAGCTGAGCGCAGCACCAGCTGTAGCCAAAAGTGAGCCCCATTCACTTTCTCACCTTCAGAAGGGTTGAAAGAGAGCCCTTTCGACAGGATGATTCCAATGCATTGCTGCACACATAAATCTTTTACATTAAATGTTGAATTTAACATTGTGAAAGTTTTTTGGAGTACTTTTTAGAGTAAAAAATTCATGCTGACATTCCAAGATAACCATGCTAGATGTTATAGTTCTAACATTTAGATAGTTGTGTGGCTGACATTTTAACTCATTTTCATGAATTTTTTGATGCTATGAATGTTATATGCTAATGCCTATCTAATCAAAATTGAATATACAGCAGCAGACAAAAATCCATGATGCTTCTAGGTAGCACAAGTTTGAGTACTGCCTTCAATTTTTTGTTTTATGTGCCTGGAGAGATGGTTTGAGGTCACTACTGATGTATTTCAGCAGTAGCATACTATCTTTCTCTGTGATGAGAAACTTAAAAAAAAACAGGATAACATACAGACTTAAAAAATGTGCTAATAATAAATAAATAGTAAAATTTTGTGCTCGTAATAAAAAAATAAAAAAAATCAGGGCTCCTTTTAATTTGATGATACATGTGTTCTGTTCTGAAATTTTAATACAGTATTTCTTTGATAATTCCTTCTCTTTTGTCTGTTGTTTCTCCTTATCTACTTCTACTGGAAGTAGAAGTACAGAAAGTATCTCCAGGAAGGTTTTACACTTCTTGTATTAATCCTCTAATTTTACTTGTTATCTCTTATTTTTATGTTTTTCTATTTTCTTAGAGATTTTAACAATTTTATCCTCCAAATTTTTCATTATTTTAAGTCATCATGGTGTAAATTACCATTAAAATCTTTTTCTCATTTTATAAACCTTTTATTCCTTCATGAGAGCTCAGCTGACACAATGAATCAGATCAGTAAATCAAAATTACACTAAACAGAGATCTTTACCAGTAATTTCAGGGATGCTAATTTCAAGGATGCTAATAGATTATAGGCCAGCTGCTTTAATGTCTTTCTCCCATAAGTATAATAATTAGCTATCTCAGTAGACATAGATGCTTATTTATTTCTCTTACTCTCTTCACTGACTACGCTTTCCTTAGAGATGCTTTTACAGGTTAATTTATTATTACAGGCAATCATCGGTTTTCTAATGCTAGTGATTAATTCAAATGTAAGCCTCTAAACATTTGTATATTTTTGACCAGTTGTTGGTAGAGAGGCTGGTATACTAGGAAGCTAGATTCTATCCGGTAGTAACTCCGTTTCATTGGACAGATACCCAACTTTCAGAATCTGTACAATTTTGTGTCCTCTTATACCCAATCTACCATATTTTATTGGACTCTGCAAAACATGATGATTTTGGACATCAGCATTCTGCAAATATCACAAGCAATTACCCAATAAGTAAAAATTATCATGCCATAATAAAAATTATTGTGCCATAATATGATAGTAAAACTTATTAGGGAGGTGAATCTAGTGGTGATCAAATCTTTGCTTGTGAAACTGAATAAAATTAAATAATAATTCCAGGTAAGAAGTAAAAGTCTAAAATCTCAGTAAGCTTCATGATGATGCCTATACTCTTTAAGACAGAATACTATAATCTCACCATGTGCCCCAAATACAAGAAAACTGAAATGGTTTTGAAGAAATATTCATGCTTTCATATAGTCACTGAAGTGAGGATCAAAGCCTTTTTGGAGGAAATAGCATTTAAACTGAGGGAAATCAAGTAGCTCTTGGGCAAATAAAATGTTTTTTTAACAGAGTTTCAGGGAGGAAAAAAATCATGTGAAAAAGCCATAAGCCAAATGGGACTATGAAAAATTTTAAGGAAAAAAAATGACATTCTGGCATGATTGTTATTCTGGGAGTAAAGGAGGATGGTGTGCAAAGATAGTTTTCTTCGGGACATAGTAGAGCCGCTTACAGATTTTGGATATTTAAAAAAAAAAATAGAAGATAGTAACAAAAATGTGATGTGATCAAAATCACCCTCATTAAAATGTCATTCTAGCTGTTGTAGAGGAAGGAATTGGAAGTAACAAATTGTAGCACAACAGGACAAAGGCAAAAGTAGATTCCACTTAGGTATGGGTTTAAAATACAGTTTTGTGTTAAAATCCCAAGAATGTCTTCCAACATTGGGAATCATGCTTCAACACGGAGGGGATATATGTCCTTCGTTGAAAGTTACTGGTATTTGAAGATGATAATAAGCACTGAAACAGAAAAGAAGACAGACATTTCCAGACATTTACTGTAAGTGAAAAAAGGATTTACAATAATCTCTTTACATAATAATACACAGTTATTAGAATGAATTTAGCACTTTTATGTTCTGATATGGGAAGACTATATTCAAATATTTCCAAAGAAATTTAATTTGAGTCTATATAGCAAATATATCCAATGATCATATAGAACAGCTTCACTGACTAGATAAGTAATTTCCTCTTTAGTTTTTAAAAAGTCTATTTTATGCTACTGAATCTTTAAAATTAATAAAATACATTTCTTCATTAAGTTAGAACATTGAACATTGTCACTGAACTCATAATTCTGTACGAAATTAAGTAAAAGCATGGACCAAACTATTTTGTTCACTGATTTCACTTGAGTTTTCATACTTGGAGGTATAATATGTATTCACATTTTCCTAACTTTGTTACTGCAATCAAGTCTTTATATTCTTAAATTGAAAAGTAGAGGAGAAAGTTTGTCTTAAACGGCGAATCCAAAGATTGTTAAGTATTTTTCCTAATAAAAGAGTTAGTAATTTATTTTAAGTTTTAGGTAATTGTCCAAGGTCCTTCAACATATCAAAATGTTATGATTTACTTTTGAGGTCCAAAATGAGTCCTAAGTGCTGCTTGACGTATAGAAATACATTTCTCTGAACCCAGCTGTTTACTTGAAAGAACGAAAACGGATCATATAACTTTCTTATCCAGTGCTTACAAGGTTTCATTCTCTTTTAAAGGTCAAACCCCTGTAAGCATGTTGGTTTCTGGTCAATATGTTTCTCTCTTTAAAGTAGAAAGGGCAGGAAGACTACCAGAAACAAGCAGACCAGTATGAATCCCAGCTGTGATGTGAATGTGTTCTGACTGAAAAACAAAGACCACAGAAGCTGAGCTAATTTTTCTCACTGAAGACCTGCTGTTCAGATAGCATCTGGCCCTTATCACTCCAATGCTGTATATCTGCAATCTGGTTATAAAAAATCACATTAGCTATTCAATTATAACTCTTATGGTGAAACAAAATTTAGTAAGCTACTATCTGAAGTTTGGATACTTTGAAACACAGCTTTTAAGTCTCTTTCTTTTATTTTAAGGCAATATTTTAAAAGTGTCAAAGAGTTTTGACCATATCTAAAAACAAATAGTAATATGAACGGGAATTATTTTTCATTTCATTAAAAAGGAAAGATCTACTTACTGTAAATCTAGAATAGTGCATATTTGAACTCCAACAAACAAATCAAAGTAAAACTAGAAATGATCAAGTCTAAACACAAACATTCAGGTCACTTTCAGAAAATATATATTTCTTAAGCATTGGATACTCAACTGTGGGGGAAAAAAGTATGGAAAAATGTCATATATCCTTCAATACATATTATCCTTCAATTATTTGTTTGTACTAAGTAATCATGAATTCATGATTGTTTGAATAGCTCTATTTCAGGATGTTTGAGTCTGTTATAAATATAAATATTGGGATACCTTTAAAAGAGAATTAATCCTTGTAAGTACTAGATAAGAAAGTTATATGATCCATTTTCTTTCTTTCAAGTAAACAGCTGGGTTCAGAGAAATGCGTTTCTATACGTCCATGCTTTTATTTAATTTCATGCAGAATTATGAGTTCAGTGACAATGTTCAATGTTCTAACTTAATGAAGAAATGTATTTTATTAATTTTAAAGATTCAGTAGCATAAAATAGACTTTTTTTAAAAAAAGGGGAAATATCTAGTCAGTGAAGCTGTTCTCAACAAAGACATATTTATTACATTTCTGATGTGTTCTATCTATTTGGGGTACTCACTGAATTCTCAAAATAAAATAAAATTTTAAAAGCAGTATCAAGAGAAACAGGCTTTTCTGGTTCTTTTATACTTCATTTTCCAGTATGGTTGAAAGGCAAAAAAACAGGCATTCAATATCTAGCAATGTACTTTTTCAGAAATCAGAAAAGAAGAATGCGTTTGTCATAATTGGTGAGCAGTAAAACACTAAACACCATCTCTACAGCATACCCTAAATCAATGTTCATCTCACTACCGCCAATGTATACCTTGAACTGAGGCTCAAAATTAAGTTTGTAGATTTTTTTGTTAGGTTTTGTTTTGTTGGTCCTTAGAGAAGTTTAAAAATAATTGCCATTGGTATTTAATTTTAGTAAATGCTTGATATTTCCACCACTTACGGGATTATATGCCTCAAACGTAATATATATTTGATGTTTTTTAAGAAAATCTGTCAAATAGCTATGCTTAAATGGGAGAATCATTTAGGTTATTTAACTTAATTATTTATAGATTAGATAAGAAAGCAAAGTGCAGTTCAAGGATGGAACTTTTAAAGAAACAAAATGCATTTAACATAAGAATGTTACACAAACACAATTCAAATAATTCTTTACTTATTTGACTTATTACACAAATAAGCTTTATACATAGTGATGAATCCATTGACACCAAGTATATTTAATTTTTTGGTATAAAATGGCATTATATGGTCAACAATATAATCTGGTTCCAAATGCAAATCATAGTAATTAAACAAATTAGGCAAATTTCTTTAGAGCGGATACCCTTAGAAATTTTATTGAAGTTTGTTGTAAACCTGTGAGATAGATATGCGAATAAGGACATTTCATAAGCTTACATAGAACATTTTTCTTCCCATCAAGACACCTTATTAACATCATGTGATTTTGATGTTTTGTGAAGAAGAATATTAGGTTCTGAAGTCTACTGTATATGAGAAACTATCTCTTCATTGTCTCTTGAACATAACCATATACATTTTAGACTCTAAGACCCTATTTATACTCTTCTCCTGTCTTTACTTGTTCTACCTATATTTAGACTACATTCCAAGTTGGCTGAAATTGGCATAAAGTCTTAATATTAAAATATGCCTTAAAATGTTTTTTAAAGACCTGTGGAATAGAAATAACAATTTAGACAGCTGAATATAAAAGAATAACATGGAATCCTTTAATACTTCAACTTCAAACATTGTATTTCTTTGATGATGAATGCTTTTTAATAGAACTTCATCTGCAATAAGCTTTCTTAGAATTTATGCTAATTTGTTCAGATACAACATTTGTGAAATCTTAAAACAATGAAAATAAAATGATACTTTCTCTATTATTAACATAGCATAAGACCTTTTAGGGGCTAAATAATTATGCAAGGACTAAGACAAAGGCTGGAAAAATAAGGTCATAAAATGTAAATCTTGGAATGTAGATCTGAAATTATCCAGATCTAGATAATCTAGATAATCTCACTTTCTAGTGAGGCCTAGAAAGCTCAAGTATCTTAACCTGACTTGGTAACAATCTTACTACAAATAAAATATACATCAGGTACTTTGGAAATGATCATTTTTAGCAGTTTTTAATCAGTGTTGTTACCACAATATGAAGTCAAATTTAGGATGAATATTAACATAATAATGCTATTTAATATGGCGTGGTTAGAGAAGAGCAGCGCAGATGAAGATGCATTTTTAACATGGTTTAATATCTTTTCTCTCTTACAAAATGATATTTTTGCAACACTATAATAATCTGCCTTTCATGAAACTTCACCACTATATTAGAAACTTGAAAGTCTTCTACATACTCCTGACAAGATAGCAATTTAGTATCACAGTCAATCTGCGAAGGCAGAAGATTGAATAGGGGAAGAAATGAGAAGGTCTGAAAAAGTCACAATGTTGGAGAATCTGACTCACCATGAAGCTGACTTACCATACTAAAAGGACCGGGGTCTAAGCAAATCCTTCCTAGCATACGCTGACATGATGACATGCCTTATTTCATGCTCCATTGAGAGAGAATGCAGGAGTTCAGCTTTAATGTTCATTGTCACTTTCCTCTCTCCTGCTGATATTAAAGCCTTCATTACTGTGTGTAAGTGCACTGCAGCATGCAAAGTAATATTCTTTGGGTCATATTCTCTCCTGTCATTATTTGGCCTCTAAAATGGGTGCACAGTTTTGCTCCTACAAGCTCACTTCTACATTCCATACTTCAAAAAATGGTTTTAAGTTGGCAGTAAAAATGTGCAAAATGACTTCTTCCAAATGGAAATGCTGTATATCGGCAAAGTATCACATATATAATGAATAAGGTTTTTGTAATGAGAATGGTGACATAGGTAAAAAACATCATCAAAACATGGGTTCAAATGCAAGCTCTACAGCTCACTAGCTCTTTTACCTTTGGAAAGCAATGTTTCTTTTTCCAGATTTATCATCTCTAAATTACAAATAGTAATGCCTGTCCTGAAGAATTATTGTAAGGTTTATAAATAATGAATGCAAAGCCTTTTACAAATAACATATGGTAGTTACGACTAAAGAGGCTCTAACTGGTTTATAAATTAGGGTTCAATCAGAAAGACAATAAATCTGTATAGAGTAGTATAGAATAATGGATTTATTATGGTGATTAGACTCAACAATTGTGATAACTAGTGAAAAAGTCTATGCAATTCTAGTTATGAACCTAAGGTTGGGAACACCAGGTATATAGTGAGAGACAGAAAGGAAAAACTGAAACACATGAGCACAAATTAGAATTCACAAGGGCAAGTCAGACTTTTAACTACTCTATGTTTACCCTGAAGCTCTCTAATGCAGGTAGCAACAGTGCCTAGTGCCTCCCTCTTGCCATTAGACAATGCCAGCTGCTACTTTCCTTCTGTCTCCACAACTCATGCAAGTTTCTCTTTTGTCCAATTCTAACTCAGAATCATGTATGAAAAAGTGTACTAATAAATATAGTTCAGCAGGGTGCAGTGGCGCACCCCTGTAATCCCAGCACTGTGGGAGGCCTAGATGAGCAGAACACTTGAGTTCAGGATTTCAAGACCAGCCTGGGCAACATGGTGAAAACCCATCTCTAACAAAAATACAAAAATTAGCCAGACACGGTGCCACATGGCTGTAGTCTCAGCTACTCAGGAGGTGGAGGTGGGAGGACCTCTTGAGCCCAGGGTATGGAGGCTGCATTAAGCTGAGATCACACTACTATACTCCCGCCTGGGTAACAGAGTGAGACCCTGTCTCAAAAAATATGTGTGTGTGTGTGTGTGTGTGTGTGTGTGTGTGTGTGTGTCTATTTCCAGCATTGTTAAGTTGACACAGTATAAAGTTACTGCAAAAGGATAGGCTATGCTACTCTGTGATAATCCCTCCCAAACCTCAGAGGCTTAATAAACCAGGGTTTATTTCTTATGAAAATCATGTGTTCATAGTGACTCTAGGGTAGCTTTGTCCCATATAGTGCTTTATCCTAAACTCAGCTGGATGGAGCCACCTTTAATTGGACCTTGCCACTCACCGTGGCAGAAGAAAATAAATAATGTCAAACAATGTACTTGCTTATAAAGCTTTTGTGCAGAGGTGATATGTAGTATTCCTGCTCTCTATTTGCTGGCCAAAGCAAGCTACAGGACAAGTCCTATGTGAGCAGAGTCAAGATGGAATACTTCTTCAGGAAAGGGGGCAGGTATTTTCAAATGATAATTCAGTCTTATACAGCCAACTCTGCTTGTCAGAAATTTTCGATGCACACTGTTCTGTGTGCAAGTATGCTCACGCATTCTACAGGGAAGACACTCAAAGTGCAATTAAGTTATGGCACCAGACAAATCCAAGTCTCTGTGATTTCTCTTGCTCTTATTTGAGGATTAATGCCATTAACAGGGTAGTCATTCTTTTTTTTTTTTTTTTTTTTTTTTTTTTTTTTTGACAGGATCTCGCTCTGTTACCCAGGCTGGAGTGCAGTGGCACAATCTCGGCTCACTGTGACCTCCGACTACTGGGTTCAAGTGATTATTCTGCCTCAGCCTCCCAAGTAGCTGGGGCTACAGGCACGCACCACCATGCCTGGCTAATTTTTGTATTTATAGTAGAGACAGGGTTTCACCGTATTGGCCAGGCTGGGCAGTGGGATTCTTATCATGAGAGTGGGTTTGCTACGAAAGTGAATTTGACCTTTTTGCTGTCTCTTGCAGGGACTTTTTCCCTTTCACCTTCCATTATAGGATGATGCAGCAAGAAGGCCCTCACCAGATACCAGTCCTTTGATCTTGGACTACCCAGGCTTCAGAACTATAAGAAATAAATCTCCGTTCTTTGAGGATTACCCAGTTTGTGCTATTCTGTTATGGCAGCACAAAATGGACTAAGACATAGGTCCAATCTAAGGCCTATCTCCCAGAGGACACCTCATAGCTGTGAATGAATGAGCACTAAGTAAGCCAGCATCTGCCTTTTTTGTTCTGGAAATCCCACTGTTTATAAGATTTCAAACTATTGCACATCTCTGGTAATCTTTTCTCCTTGTTTCTCTCTCTACAAGGTCAAACAGACCTGTACATTTTCAACTGACTCTACTGGTTCCTTTTATTTTATTTTACATGCTAACTTTGATGCTTCCCCTTGCTATTGAGGGACAATTTAGAATAATGATTAAAGGGAATATTTTACAACCAGAAATTATATGTCCTAATTCCCATTCTTACCTATTAGTCAGTGTGTATCTTTGCTTCTACTCCTAATTCGCAAAATGGAGATAAAATTGTAAACTGGACTCTCAGGGTAGGTGTAAGAAGCAGATGACTTAACATATACAGAGCACTTAGAAAAAGTGCTGAGGCTCAATCTCTGGGGTCTCTTTTATTTTTGTTTTTACTTATCTTTATTTTGTATTTGTATAATTTTAAGGGATACACATGACATTTTGCTATATGGGTATGTTGCATACTGGTGAAACCTGGGCTTTCAGTATAACCATCTCCTGAGTAATGTTCATTATACCAGTTAGGTAATTTATCATTCCTTTTATGAGGGTACTCATTCTATTCATGAGGACTCTGAGTCCATGACCTAATCCCCTGCAAAAGTCCCTACCTTATAAAACAGACAGATTTGGGGTTAGAATTTCAACATATGAATTTTAGGGGGACACAAACGTTGTCTATATAAAGTGGTAATGTATGTTAAAATCTCTGTAAAATAGGCAACCACTATAATTCATCCTTATGACCAATACTTCCAATTGTACATCCACATTTTCTCTTTTCTATAGTTATTCTGTATTAAAATTCCTTCCTTTTGAGTCCCTGTAAACAACCTAGCTCATTCTCCATCTTCAGAATCAGAAATCTAATAGGGCATAGTTGATTCGGGTTAAAATTACTCTGGCTAAAATTGAAAGGAATGTTTGCTATTGTAATGATAAAATTAACATGTAAGATGGAGATCATAAATATAATTAAGGAAATTCAATTTTTCTACTAAACTTCATAGAATCATTAGGAGAATAATAGCCTTGTGCCACCAGTTCAAATGTAGCAATCCCCTAATGAGTTATTTTGATTATTGAGTTATGTATTTATAAGACACACATATATTGTAAACTTCAGATTTCTCATTCACTTGACTTTGAATTTTGACAAAATATATGTTTTAAGAAACCAATTACCACATCTATTTATTTAGTCATGGACTTTCTTCTCAAGATCAGTACAACACTATTTTATTTGAAATGATGTTTGTTTCTCAGAGTAAGGGAAATAACATAACTTTTAGATGACTTCTAAATTAATCAAAATCAATATGCACAGTATCAATATATGTAACTTAGAATAGTTTTATTGTTACTCATCTATTTAATAAATATTATTGTGCATATTATATAGTAGATTGTGTGCTAGGTGCTGGGAATATGAAGAAGAAATAAAATATGTTCTGATTTCAGAGAACAGATAACCTAATAAGAGAAATCAGAAATGTAAAATATAAATAAATGGGAATCAACATGGTTACTATTATAATAAAGGTCTATACAAGAACATTGAAGGAATAACTTTACATGGGGTAATCAAGAAAGCTGTTATCAAAATTTGAGACTTATCATTTCCTAAAACTTTGTTTTACATATATTCTATAATTTTAAAATAATATTAATTGCTCCCTTTATCAGCATCATACTAGTCCCCTAAGTGAACAGATCATTGCATTCAGAAAGAACATCTCAGTCTTGGGTAACTGAAAGTGGTAACCTCCTATGCTCTCACCATATAAAGTGATCATTTTCCAAAAACAGAAAACACAAATTTTGTTTTGATTTTTTTCTTCCATGCCTGTAAATATATACAAGCCTTCATCATGTTTCCAGTGACCTTCAAACCTCTAGTTCTGACCCACTTTTTCTCTTCTTTTCACTCAGCTTATGGTATAGAATAAAAACCCATCAATATCCTTCTTGGAAGTTAAAATTTCTATGTACATCATCACTTAACAGGTGCTGATTTTCTGTCATTTTTAAGCCTTCATTTCCACTAATCAAGGTCAAATTAGGTTTTGCAGACTAGAAATAGTGGATTGGACTCACGTAGATTAGATTCATTCAAAAACTCTCTATGTATTAGCATACTTTGAAATGCCTGTAGAATGGGTTTCTCCTCCTTGCCTGTAGTCCTTTAAGAGTCTCGAAACACGACCGTGTCTTTTCTATGTACATTTCCCTTGATGCATCTCTACATTTCCCATAAGCAGAGTGTCGCTAACACCGGTAAACACTAACTCATACATATTCAATGATTGCTGTGATGCTGGGGTTCCAAATGTCCTAAGCAAGCACTTGAACTTCCTGAAGTTACTCTTTTACTAGATCTAGGCAGGTAGATATAAAGTGATTTTAAATAGTTTTTTTTAAAATTTATGTATTAAAATGAGGTTCTAGTAGATCATAGTATCAGGAAATTCTGTATATTTTTATGCTTATCTGTCCAACAGTTACTGAATTTAATGTATATGATTTATTAATTTACAAGGAAATTTCCTTGATATTGTATCATATTGTTTTAAAAATATTTTAAAAATGCATTGGATAGATTCAAATTGCTCAAAACACTTTCTAAACTTTCAAATATATTCAAAACTAATTGTCAAATATTTCAATGCCTAATATAAGTTTGGATTTCATCAAAATAGATTGAACATTTTTATCACTCATTTCCTAAATACAATGGCAATCATGTTTGAGGAAGAGAGTTTTTTTCTTCAGAAATATATAATGATTGTGGCTAAAGTAACATGAAGAATTATGCTATATATGTCTATATATAGATATACATACATGCATACATTTATATATATATATACACACACATTTAAGGTTTTTAATGATGTGCTTACTGAAGTTATACAGGTTTTTTTTTCAAATATTATTTTATGTTAATTCGTTTTTTAGGAGTTTCCTGAATTAATCCTGGAGGGAACATCACTATGCTGTAGTGATAAAATAGTGGACTGTAACTAAAGATAATTCTATAATTAACATTTGAATGGCAATAGAGTGAGAAACATCAAAGAAAATCTTGATTTCACTTAACTCTTCGTTCAGTTTCCCTTATGCTTTATTTTCTGGGAAAATATTTAATGAACAATGTTTGCTTACTGTATTTGGAAAGGAAATTCTTTGCTTAGTTTTCTTACATGGAATACAAAGTAAAAATACAATATAAATATTCTGAAAAAAATTACACTTTAAAATGGGATATAAAGTCCAAGAAATATAAGCACAACCAACTGCATTTGTCTCAGTGATGCACATTTTTCAACTATAATTAATTTGCTCAGATCTCCTTTTTAAGCTCATAAATTACACACAGAAACCCAAACAGTATTTAATTTACATATCTGGAATCTTTCACAAAGCAACAAAAAAGACAGCATTTAAGTGCCTGCATTTCTAATATAACTTAGTTCTTAAAATAATCTCACTTCATTTTTACAAGAGACAAAAGCTTTTTGGAAGATCCATGATTATGGCACCCACATGCATTGCTTTTGTGCTGCTGTGGGTGTAAGTCTGAAAAACACTCAGCAAACAGATGGCTAACCCTCTGAATGACATTATTCATGTTAAACAGAATGGCTTTCTGATGATCATAATGTAGCACCTGCTCTGGCGTTTTTCTTCTAAGGGAAGAGGAAGAGTGGGATTTGGTGAGTTTGTCAATTGCAGTATCAGGTTTATGTTTTCTGAAAGCATTATAAGAAAGGAAATTGCTAATCAGTTAACTCATTTTATAATGCCCATCATAAAGCAGGAATGAAATTTAATATGACAGGTTATGCATATATATTTGTTATATCAATGAAAAGAAGGAGTTTGTGTATATATTGGTAGACCTTAGGAAATAATTTTTTTCTCTAATGCTCTAAATAACAAAATTAAATCAATTACTACTGAAAGTTTAGATGCAAAAAGGCCATATATCATAATTTTCAATTTTATCCTGATACACTTGTTACCAGTTTTCAAATTCCAAATATGTATTATAATATTTCACCACTTATACTGAATAATTATTATATGAGTCAAAATTTCTCATAAAAACACTCATCGGATTAAATGATTTTCCCTCTTCTTCCTATATAACTGCATTTCTGCTGCATCTTTTCAATTTACAATAACCTTCCCCAGTGAAATGTAAACCTATTTACTCAGAATCCATTATCAGTGGTCATAAAATATAATTCATCTCCCCCAAGGTTTTACTTCTCTACACTAATTGATGCTTATTCTGTTAGCATATTTTCA
Source organism: Homo sapiens (assembly GCF_000001405.40). Taxonomy (NCBI): domain Eukaryota; kingdom Metazoa; phylum Chordata; class Mammalia; order Primates; family Hominidae; genus Homo; species Homo sapiens. The sequence goes on along the minus strand of NC_000021.9, from coordinate 18,607,692 downwards.
CAGTTAACTTTATCCAATTCTTCTTTTATTATAAGTTTGTTCCCTTCCTACTCTGTCAATCCTTATTACAGATACATGGCTGCACCGTCATGACCAATAACACATTAGAAGGAAGAATTGCCCCCAAATACTTTGAACCTGCCACTGTCACCAAAGGCTAAGTATATTGATACTGTATTTGATGCATATGCTTAGTTAAGTAAACCAAAGGCCACCCATAATTAGAATAAGTTGATTTTATTTTTGCTATACTTTGTTATTAATTCAAAGTTCATTTCATGATATCTTTTCTAGATAAAAGGTTATTCATTGAGTTTAGAATCGTATTTAATTAGGTGCCTATTTATAATTTTATGACTGGACTTCATAGTGACATTTTAAACCAAATTTCAATGTATTATATACATAGGTAAAATGTTAGAATGAGAAATAAACTTTCAGTAAAAGTAGAATTTACTCACTTTAATACCAATTATACATTTTTAAAACTTTCTGTCTAAAATAAAGTAAACAAAACAAATCATTAAGTATATATGCTTGTCTACCATAGAAGAAACAAATACCGTATTATTTTCACATTCTAAGAACCTGAGAAAGTAGAAGGCAAGTCATTCACAGCCTAAGCAAGTGATTAACCTACTTGCGATTGAATACAAATATGGAAAATGTTGAAGATAGTTTAAATTTAGTTGAATTTCTTTATCTCTCTCCCTTCAAAAAATTGATTTTTCAGTGCCATTTATGTGTAGTACATAAAATAATTTTCAACTTAGCCTAAGAGCAATATTCTTAAAAAATTAACTTCATTTTAAATATTATAATTATAAAAGAGTTAGAAATAATATAAACTATTAATATACATTAATTTAGGATGGTGAGATGGATAGCACCTATTATGGGCAAAGAGGTAAGTTTACCTTAATATTTTTTTCTAAAAAAAGATTAATGGCTATAAAATATTATAAGAAATAAGGAAGTAATGAGTACTATGTTGACAGATTCTATAAAAATCTTAAATCAGATAAATCAAGAATTTATTGTGAATATGTGCAATTTGATGTGTTTCTATATAAATGAGATTCATTACTTCTCACTCCAGCTCTCTGTATAGATAATAAATACTATGTGAATATACATCTCTATTCAGGTAACAAAGTTTTACTCTAACAGGATTAAAATGACCTCAAAATAAAATCACTATGGTTTGTAATTGATTTCAGCCCCCTTATGACCAATTTGGCTAATATAAGAGAAGCTATGCTCTAAGGAATCACATAATATTTAAAAATTTTCACACACATTTCTCTGCAATGGAACACTGTTTCCTGAGAAAAATTTTGACCTACCCTGTGGATCATTTTAAGACACATTTCTGTGTTATCACATTTTATTTGGTTCTGCCCTAATTGAAGATTTAAAATTTCATTAGAAATTGCCAGTCCTAACCTCTCTTAAATTAATTATCAAAGCACACGGATCTACCTTTAATTTCCAATACTGGAAAATAATATAATTTAAAATTTCCTCAAGAATGTCAAGCATTGCCAAGATGCTAAAACATTAGCATCTTCCAAGTATAGGATGACAGTCCTCAAAATGCCATGTTTCAAAGGAGTAAGCTGTTCTTAAGAATGGATATTTTGCTAATATCAGTCTAATACCTTGGAAAACAGACATCTGTACATATACTGTTCTCATCAATCTGACTACTACTAATTGTTTTACTATTTAGAAAGATTCTCAATCCATTCCCATACTCAGTAGGGTTGTTTCCCATACTTATGCTACTCATTAATATTTATGTTGAAAGTATTGTTGCTGTTCTCTGGAAACTAGCAATTTTCTCAAATTAATTCCAACTTTCACTTTCCCTTAGAGACACCTAGTCTATTCATACAAGTAAAATGTTTGACCTCTCAGATACATTGGTATGGGTCACTTCTTGAAGCCTTTAAGCATAATGCCTAGAGTATTCCAAGTTGAATTGATTTTTTTATTATTAGTTTAATTTAGATTCAAATAATCTTAGATCTAAAACTACCAAAAATAATCTTCATTGGATTGGTATTGGCCATTTGTCTCTATCTAAAGTTACTCACTTTATTTTTATCTTTCTAAAAAATTGACGGTTTCAATTAGCTTGGGCTGTCATAACAAAATACTGTAGACTGGGTGACTTTAGCAACAGAGATTTATTTTCTCACAATTCTGAAGGCTGGAAGTCAGAGATCAGGTGGCCATTATGGTTGGGTTCTGGTTAGTGCTCCCTTTCCAGCTTGGAGATGACATCCTTCTCACTGTGTCCTCAAATGGCAGAGACAGCCAGCCATATTGTTTCTTCCTCCTCTCATAAGTGTGCTTATCCCTTATAAGGGCACCCATTCTTTATTATTGTGAGGGCCCATTTTCATGACCTCATCTAAATCTAATATTCTCCCAAAGACCCTATCTCCAAATACCATCACAATGGGGGATAGGGCTCAACATATGAATATTGGGGATGAGGGGTACACATTCAGTCTATTGCATTAATTGTGCAAGTAAAACTTCTAAAGTTTGTATAAAATGCTTTCTCAGTGTTCAAGTATGTGACAGCTACTCCATTTCTTTCCCCCACTAATTCTGTGATTATATTTAAATCTGTCAAGTGAATCTGGAATGATTAATTATTTAAACCTCTTGCTATTAATTACGTCTGTAAGTTCTTAATATTTTTAACGTTTATTTTATAATATAAGCATGCAGAAAAATTTACAAAAATATTTTTATACTATTGTTTTCCTTAATCTATATGTTTATAAGTCTTTACTTTTTTATTATTTTGCTTATTTTTTTCTCAACAGGTTCAGAAGTTACCTCTATTAATAACTGTATTAGTTAGCTATCACACTCATCCAGTTAGCAAAAGTATTGGCCCATTTTCTTAAAATCCAGAATATTTAATGTTCCTAAAGGATTTCTATTTTAGTTTTAATGTATCTGTACCTATTAGATAAGAGCTTCCCACATAGTCCCACATATATATTGTTCTTTCAAATGTAATTCTGTTCTGCGTAACTTTCTGCATTTCTGCTGCTACAACCCTAGTGGAGATCATCACTGTTTTTTTCTTAAACTACACTAATTCTTCTTGAACAATTTGTCCTTGCTTCCTCCCAATTAATATTCTCTGCAAAACCTTGGAATGATTAAGCAAAGCTAAATAAAGCAAAGCAAATCAAATAGGAAGACATAAAGTGGATCAAGTGAATGGCCTGCTAAGAGTACCTTGCTACCTGTGAACATGCCTTAGTCCTTACTTTGAGCTACTCTGCCCACACCCATAGTCACTACGTTCCAGATCTAATCCATGTGATTGTCATTTCCTGTGCTTTTCCTTCTATTTACAGTACACTGGCAGAATTCTTATTATTTTGCAAATTTCAACTCAGGTGAGGTTTGGGTCTCAGCTTCTTGACAGGTGGTATAGCATTGTGGTAAAAATACGGGCACTGGCACTGGATGACCTTCGCTCTATTCCCTCTCAAACTTTCACTAGCAGTGTGGCCTTAGGCAGGTGACATCATCTTTGTATTGCAGTTTCTTCACTTGTAAAAACAGAGGTATTATCACCATTCTCATAGATGTGTTTGCTGTATTAAATGATTTAATGTATATAAGACATTTAGAAGAGTATGTAGCATATTTTAAGCTCCCAATAAAGGTCACTTGTTAGAGTTTTACTTCAATAAAATGTCCACAACTATTATATTGTAATAATAATAATAGTAATAATATAATAATTATGATTGTTAATTGTATTAATTATAATAATAGATAATTCTTCAAAAAGTCTAAATTACAGAGACTGCCCTCTCAAATTCAGTTATTTCTCATACTCTTTATTACAACATCCAGGTTGTTATCTTTTTATGACATTAAGATCTTAATTACATATGTACTTATCTGTTTATGTGTGTATAATACAGCTCACTAAAATGAAGGTTCAGGTAAGCAGGTACTATGTCTATTTGTTCATCATTATATAATTAGCACCTATAACTGCTTAGAAAGGAGATCAATAACTATTTTTGAATCAGTGAATATTGTCCATAAAATTGAATTTCATCAAGCAACGGAGTGGGGCATGCTTTTAACAATAGAGTGGGAAACCCCCCACTAAGACAGAGAAGGCAATTTATGAGCCTAACAGCAGTGGCTACAGGAACAGCTTGGCAGGCAGCCCTTAACTGTAGCGGACCTTTCACACAAGACAACAACAAGCAGATTCAGTGAAAACAATCCAGCTGAAACACTGGTAGGTGAATGAGCTGGTATTGTAGGCATCTGTCAATAGATAGTAGGTAAGATCCAGGCAACTTGTAGATGGCCCCTATTAATAATTAGTGTAGATATGTGATCAGTTGAGCTGTGGTTGCTGGGTTAGGTATAGCACAACAGGGAATGAGGACTAGAGAAACCAAGTAGGAATTAGTATGCCAGGGGGAGATTTTGTCATAAAAGGTAAAATACTCTGGGCATGGTGTCTCATGTTTGTAATCCCGGCATTTTGGGAGGCTGAGGTACAATTACTTGAGGCCAGAAGTTTGAGACTTCCCTGGGCCACATGGCGAGAGCTAGTCTCTACCAAAAATCAATCAATAAATAAAAATTAGCCAGGTGTGGTGGCATGCACCTGTAGTCCTAGCTACTCAGAAAGAAAGCGGAGGTGAGAGGATGATTTGAGCCCAGGAGTTTCAGGCTGCAGTAAGCTATAATCACACCACTGCTCTCTGGCCCGGGTGACAGAGTAAGACTCTGTCTCTTAAAAAAAAGGCAAAATAGCACATAGCCTAAAATAGATTGTGCTGATAGCATAATGCTGACCAACACAAAAACAGGACTAAGTTTCCTTAAACAGGAAATTAAGCAAAAATTGTTTTTACCTCTAATGTTCTTATGTCCACATTGAAGGATAGCTAAGAAAACTTTTTAATACATATAAACTATGCTAGACACATTGAAAAGCAAACTAAGCAAACTTTTTTTCTAAAATGAATGAAGTTACATTTAATGTGTATTTTACATGATGATTTCATTGTGCTTCACTTTGTCTTTGATTTTCTCACTTCACTTAAATCATTGTATCTATTTTTCTTTCCTCTGCCTCTTCTGCCAAATAGCTGATCTTATTTGAATTAAAATTGCAGCTGTCTTTATCAATCTTTCGTGTTACATATGGATTTAAAAAATAAATTTACAAGTACAAAAACTCATGACATTATTCAGCTCATGAGCTAATTCAAGATTCATTTGTCTTGATGTAGTTGTTTCCATTCCTATGCAAATTCTGCTTTGTTCTTTGTATTGACATTTTCTTCCATTTCACAGTTGGTGGAATTAAAACATAGACTAAAACATTACAAGTAAACTGTCATTATACTAATGTAAAAGCTCAAATTATCCTAATTATAACCATTAATATAATTCACAAACAAATGCTAATGCCATCACTGGTTATGTGGCATGTTGATCCTTTCAATTTATATATCTTCCTTGGGATTCTTTGTTTTCACATCTTGAAATAGTAAAAGTTATGCAGAAATATCTCAAAGCCTCTGTGAATTAAGCCACTTTACCTATAAGGCACTAAACACTAAAGTTAAAAATAATTAAGCTAATACTTGACATGAATTTTTTTGACATGCTTGAAAATTATTTTGGAAGCTAGAATACCTAATTTGTACTTTTGATTAAAACAAAATGTTTATCATTCTTTTTATATTATAGCCACATGTCTAGGTAGGGAGAAATGAAATTACTTTCTAGAGTTGGGTAATTATATTTGATATTACTGAGAAATTGCTATCAAAATAATACATGTCTAAATGGAAAATAATTATAATTACACATTTTCAATCTGCCAACACTACTGGATTTGTGAAGAAAAATAGTCTTTGAGTATGTTCTTATTTTCAAACTTTTAAACAAATCAAAAGATGTCATTTTACTAATATCATGGTTCGCTTATCTCTGAATACACTCAAATATATCCTTAATGCCTATGAAATTAGTATTAACCTTGTCCCCACCACATATAATTTTATAAAGACTGATATTCCTACCTGTCGACTAATTGCACCAATAAACTTCACTACAAGGACATAATTAATAGACCGTAATATTTAAGAAGGTGACATTTCTCACATGTTTTGAACTCTTGACTTGGAATTTGAAAAGGAGAAGAAGTTACTGATACCAGGATTTTAATCTAGAATAGTATCCAGTTGGCAGTTAACTGAAACAGCTTTTTTTCCCTTAACAGCAATAAAACAGAAAGGACTAATTACCCCTTTTTATAGGTGCAATTGGAACTTAAAACTCTAGAGACAGTGTGAGCAATAAAGCACTGTTAGAGTCTATTTCACCATCTGCACCTTAAAGTTAACAGCTACCAAATCAACAAACAAACAAAAGACTCAATTATGTTAAATATATTATTCTAAGGTTGTAAATTGTTTATTAGCATTCTGTTCTGATTCTAAGTAATTAAAACAATTTCTTAATAAAATGTTCAGTTCATATATATTTTGAGAAAATTAGAAATTTTTAAACAAATGCTAAACAAATGCTAAATCTGTTTTAGAATTTTTAAAGAATAATTTTAAAAATATCTACCCTTCACTTCCTCTTTAAAGAAGTTAATTTAATTAAATAACTAAAATTGTCTCTTTCATAATCTGAACATTTACAGTGTTTTCTTAGTAAATACAAAGCAATGCCATCTTTAAAATGGAGACCAAATATGATGATCAAACGTGCATTTATGCCTTGAGACACTCCCACTATTTTCAAGCAAGATAGTTTTACATACATCTGTGAATGTAAGAATGAATCTTAAAATATGCATTTTCACATGAAACAATCAAATATGGAAACCATAGACTTGGGAAAGCACATGTAATTAGGTTCTTTGTTTACCAATACAAAAGTAAATCTATCCATGTAGATTTTAAAAAATAAGTCAAATTCTAAAATTAATGTTGATAGATATTATGTATAATCATCATATTTAACCTGAAGAACCATAGGTCTTCAAAACCTAACCTTTGAACAGAGTTCAAAATACAGCCTTTTTCTACTTAAGTCAGGAAATTCTAAAATAAGATTAGGCAAGAGGATAGGGTCTGTGAGTCTGAAGAAATACTTTAAATAATTCATTTTAAATTTTAAATCAAGGTGATATGCTTCTCAAAGTTTTAATGAGAACATCCTTTTATATTTCAATGCTACTTTTTTCTAGACTTCTTCACAATTTTGAAAATTACCATAAATTTACCATTTAAAAAAGTAACCATGTCACAAAGTGTTCAGAAAATCCCTTGTCCACACTCTTTCAAATATAAAAAGTCAATCATGTATCATTCAGAAGTAGTCTTACATATATTTCACTGATACAAAATGAGATGCCAGGCATTTATTGGGAATCAAGATATTCATTTGCTATGAATGCTAAAATAATCACTACCTTATATATGTGCTGTATTCACCCTTGCTGAGTGAATGAATAGGCCACCATTTTCCAAATTGCAAGGTCCCGCCAACAAAGGGAAAGGCCAGATTATTAGTTAGGTTCTCTCTGATTCCTTGAAGACTTGACTTATTATATGGGCCTCCTACTTTACTAAGTTTTCAGTTAGGAATTGTTTTTTCTCTCCTCACTGAAAAGAATATAAATAAAAGCCTCACTGTTTCTGCTGTGCCATTAAATATTAGAGATGGGAAGTGAAGGAATCAATGTTCAGAAAGAGCAGGAAGTAGGATAGAAAGAGGAAGGAAGGAAGAGTAGGAAGAGTAGGAAGAAAAGAAAATGCAGACCTCACTAATGACCAGGCAATATTGACCAAGTCACATAACACATTGCACTGAAAAACGTGTGGCCAATGTGAAGCACAGTTTCCTGAGATAGGAATAAAATTATAAATAAAAAGAACATGTTTAATAAATGGTGTTGGAAAAACTGGCTAGCCATATACACAAAACTGAAACTGGACCCCTTCCTTACATCTTCTACAAAAATCAACTCAACATGGGTTAAAGACTTAAACATAAGTCCTAAAACCATAAAAATACTAGAAGAAAACTTAGGCAATACCATTTAGGACATAGGCATGGGCAAAGACTTCATGACTAAAACACCAAAAGCAATGGAAACAAAAGCCAAAATTGATAAATGGGATCTAATTAAACTAAAGAGCTTCTGCACAGCAAAAGAAGCTATCATCAGAGTGAACAGGCAACCTAAAGAATGGGAGAAAATTTTTGCAATCTATCCATCTGACAAAGGGCTAATATCCAGAATCTATATAGAACTTAAACAAGTATACAAGAAAATAACAACCCCATCAAAAAGTGGGCGAAGGATATGAACAGACACTTCTCAAAATAAGATATTTATGCAGCCAACAAACATATGAAAAAATGCTCATTATCACTGGTCGTTAAAGAAATGCAAATCAAAACCACAATGAGATACCATCTCATGTCAGAATGGTGATCATTAAAAAGTCAGGAAACAACAGATGCTGGAGAGGATGTGGAGTAATAGGAACAATTTACACTGTTGGTGGGAGGGTAAATTAATTCAACCATTGTGGAAGACAGTGTGGCGATTCCTCAAGGATGTAGAACTAGAAATACCATTTGACCCAGTAATCTCATTACTGGGTATATACCCAAAGGATTATAAATCATTCTACTATAAAGACACATGCACACATATGTTTATTGTGGCACTATTCACAATAGCAAAGATTTGGAACCAATGCAAATGTCCATCAATGATAGACTGGATAAAGAAAATGGAATACTATGCAGCCATAAAAAAAGGATGAATTCATGTCCTTTGCAGGGACATGGATGAAGCTGGAAAGCATCATTCTCAGCAAACTATCACAAGAACAGAAAACCAAACACCACATGTTCTCAATCATAGGTGGGAATTGAACAATGACAACACATGGACACAGGGAGGGGAACATCACATATCAGGGCCTGTTGGGGTGTCGGGGGCTAGGGGAGGGATAGCATTAGGAGAAATACCTAATGTAGGTAACAGGTTGATGGGTGCAGCAAACCACCATGACACATGTATACCTATGTAACAAACCTGCACATTCTGCACATGTACCCCAGACCTTGAAGTATAATAATAATAATAATAATAAAACACACGTATGTCTTTTGACTGTCTGGTTGGTTGGTTGTCTAGTTTATTAGTTTGCTCATGAAAAAGTCTTTGGGCACACATTACTATTTTTTTTTTCCCGAGACAGAGTCTCGCTCTGTCACCCAGGCTAGAGTGCAGTGGCGAGATCACTGCTCACTGCAACCGCCACCTCTGCCTCCCATGTTCAAGCAATTCTGCTACCTCTGCCTCCCATTTTCAAGCAATTCTCCCACCTCAGCCTCCTGAGTAGCTGGGATTACAGGCACATGGCAACATGCCCAGCTAATTTTTGTATTTTTAGTAGAGTCGGGGTTTTGTCATGTTGGCCAGGCTGGTTTCAAACTCCTGGCCTCAAGTGATCCACCTGCCTCGGACTCCCAAAGTGCTGGGATTACAGGAGTGAGCCACTGCGCCTGGCCAGAGGCATACTCTCTTATAAGCAGGTAAGGCTTCTTCCATCCCCCAATGTATTTGAATGTCTTTAGACATTCAGCAATCTCTGGCATTTCATACTAACTGAGCTTTTAAAAGTAGAATCAATCATTCAATATTTTTCAAGCTATGTTTTAATATTTGGGAAAAATACAAAAGCCAATCTGTCAAAACGTATTGAACCTACAGTGAGTTGCTAATTTTCAAATGCAGAAACCAAAGTCTGGTCAGTTACTTCATTCTTTGGAACACTCAGATTAGACTATAAGCATGCAGTATCAATATCTCTGCAGACACTTCAAGGAAAGCTTGATTTGAGCTCCTATTATCTAAGCTTTCTAGGTGTAAACTTCACAATAATTAATAAAAATACTTGATTCTATTAAAATTTTCTTTGCTAAATTCTATATATAATTCCGAGAAGAAGAAGGATTGACAAGCTTAAATCCCTGCCTCTGTTAGAACCACCTTGCAACTAATTCATTTTTTATGTGATTATTCAAAAATTGATATTAGGGAATGATTTTTATGTAACCAGCAAATTGTTTTTAAAAAAGTTTTTTTTTTTTGGTCCAACCATGTCTGAAAATTGCAATGAAAAAACAACTTGCAAAGTTCAAAAAATACAATTTTTACCAGTTTTTTAATTAAATCATTAATTTTTCTATCAAAATAATATGTTCATATTATTTGAAAATAGATGTCACATTTTACTAAAAGACTTCTATAAAATCAAGGACAATATTATAACCACAGTCTCTAGCTATAGAAACAGCTACTTTGAAGCATTTTAGCTGTTTTTTCCTAAGCCTAATTTCTAATTTCTTTTTTTTTTCAAATTTTTGGTATTTATTGATTCTTTTTTTAAAATTATACTTTAAGTTCTAGGGTACATGTGCACAACGTGCAGGTTTGTTACATATGTATACATGTGCCATGTTGGTGTGCTGCACCCATTAACTCGTCATTTACATTAGGTATATCTCCTAATGCTATCCCTCCCCTCTCCCCCGACCCCACAACAGGCCCCGGTGTGTGTCCAAGTGTTCTCTTTGTTCAGTTCCCACCTATGAGCGAGAACATGCAGTGTTTGGTTTTTTGTCCTTGCGATAGCTTGCTGAGAATGATGGTTTCCGGCTTCATCCATGTCCCTACAAAGGACATGAACTCATCATTTTTATGGCTGCATAGTATTCAATGGTGTATATGTGCCACATTTTCTTAATCCAGTCTATCATTGTTGGACATTTGGGTTGGTTCCAAGTCTTTGCTACTGTGAGTAGTGCTGCAATAAACATACGTGTGCATGTGTCTTTATAGTAGCATGATGTGTAATCCTTTGGGTATATACCCAGTAATGGGATGGCTGGGTCAAATGGTATTTCTAGGCTTAGACTGACAATAAAAAAATGGCAAAAAGAACACATGATTTCATTTTAACTAAACCCCTAAAAGCTCCGGTAAGCCATTAAAGAAGACTGAGCAAATTGGATATAGAGTGATAATAATAAATAAACAACAGCAACAATGTTTTGAAGCTGAAAACTAGGAAGATGAGAAGATACTGACTTATCAGAGTAGGCAAATCTGAAACATTACTGCCAATAAAAAGCCAAGTGATGCACCTCTAAACCCAGAAGAAACTCAGAACTAAAAGAACTAGTATTTCTGCAGAAATGGGTGCTGGTAAGGTTGAAAAAAAAAATAAGATTAATGATTAAAAGCCTGCAAAAACAGCAAATAGAATATTGGAAACTTTCAGCCAACTCATTGAGTCAGTCTATTCTGAGGCAGGAAATTTACTCTCTGGTAAGATTTAGTCATAAAGACTTAAACTCAGAGCTACCAGGTCCCCGTAACTGCAGGGGTGAAGTATCTACTAAAGATAAGGGAACTTTAAGAATGTCTACATATATACTAGGGAAAATCTAAGGTTTTATTTTTTTATCATTTTTTTGTTTTTATTTTTTCCCCAAATGAACCCTCAGAAAACTCCAAATAAGGCTTTCAGAACCCAGGAAAAATATGGACATCTAGTACGAGAGAAATTACATATGATACTGACGTTTAAGGGAATCTAAGTGGAGTGCCCATTTACCAACAGGTGATCCTTAGGCTTATCAGCCCATAATCCCAGCCCATTCATACTGGTCTCATGTCAGATATGTATTTTTTTTCACCCTTCTCTTAAATATAAACAGAAAGCCAAGATCACCAAATATTGAGAAAGGACACAACACGAAGATTGAATTCAATCAAATAGGCAGCAAAATAAACTCAGTGGAAAAGAATTAGACTGTAAAGTGAGCAAAGGGAAACTTATAAAACCTAATAATATCCTTAAAAGAGAAGAGGTATTATTCTATCCATAGGAAAACAACAGGTTGCTATAAAAGGAACATTCAAAGAATAAAGAAAAAGCCACTGGAAATTAAAAATGTGACAATGGGAATTTTTAACCAAAAAAATTTAGAAATACATTTAAGAGATAATGTTACTTAAAAAAAGGCTCTTGAGGCTCTTGAAGTTATATTATATAACAGGCATAGTACAAAGGAGACAAAGCCCCTGACTTTATGAAATCAGATAAGAAACAACAAAAACAACAGAGTTAGGATATGGAGAGAAAAGCAAAGATTTACAACTACAGGGTGATATTTTCATCTGGGGCATAGCTCAAGAAAATAATCTCTCACCGAAAATAGAAATTGAAAATTGAAGAGAAAATAAAAGAAAAAAACAGAAGAGAAATCAAGAGATGTATCTATAGATATACCAAAGGAAGGGAAACTGAATACATTAAGAAGAGAAAGATAGCAAGGGAATAATAAAATAACTTTTTCCAGAACTAAGAAAATTTATGTTTAATGGAAAAAAAATTATCAAATTAACAAAATCAATGGGAAAAAAATAAAACTGGAACCTCTATAAAGAAAAAAGCAAGAATATGTAAACTGGGATGATTGTTTTTTAACAATACTAGAAGCTGACAATAAAATAATGGCTTACATGATTTTCAATCTAGAACTGTTTACACATCCAAAAAGTCAATTAAGGGAAAGGGCAAAGTACAGACATTTTTAGGCAGGTAAGTCCTGAGAATGTTTACTTCTTAAGCACTCTTTCTCAGGAAGATTCTGAAGGTTATGCTCCACCAAATTTAGAGACAAACCCAAGAAAGACAAATACATGATAGCCAAGAAATGGTTAGCCAACAGAGAAGAAACACAAAAAGAATTCCACAATAAATGGGAAAGAGAAGTCCCAGAATAACAGCAGTATGGCCAGCTGGAGATCAGCCAGCTCAGTCTGGAACATGATAATGAAAAACTTCAAGAAGAAAACCATCAAGGAAAGAAGACAAAATGGAACCAATGATACCTTATAGATTTATGTACTATATGAATTTTTGAACTGTACTAAGAAAAAGCTAGCCATTTTAGAATTCCATTAGAAAGTTTGAAAGTGATTTAGTAATAAGAAAATAGAAATTAACCAAACAAATAAGCAAAATTGATAACACCAGTAAAACAAAAGCAATAAATAAGAATGGAAGTACATTAGCAACTTGGTAATAAACATATTTAGGTAGCCATAATTATTTAAACAATAAGTATTGGACAAACCTTATAGTATGTTTATACTAGGAGTATGGGGAAGAGAAAATATTTGTATGTGGTAAGGTGGAGATGTAAAAAAAGCTAAAACTTAAAGTACTTTCAATTCAATTTCCCAACTTTCATTGTTCTTTTATACCAATATCATAATCAATGGTTGAATTAACGTTTAGAATATCATGACTATGCACATATTGTTTATACGCACGTAGCACACCACCATGGTTCCTTTTTTTCCATGTTATAACTTTATTTTCCAAGAATGCTTCTTCTGGTTTCTTTTTCCAGCTTGTGTAATGAGAGATAGTACATTAATGATAATACATTAATGATAGTACATTAATGAGAAAAAGGTGAGAGACCTTTTTCCAGTTTGTGTAATGGAGATAGTATGTATCAATCTCTCTTGCAGAGAAGGTGGCAAAAGCTTCCAAAGTTTTGTTTGTAAACTTGAATTTAATTGCCTTGTGTCCAGACCCATAGCAGCAAGATTTATATTTTCATTCTGCTGTCACCTTCTCCATAGCTTGACAAATGCATTAAATTAACTAATTCATTAATCATTAATTGAAAACAGCAAAAATCTTCAGGTTAGATGAAAAGATTATCATCCAACTGTGAGGAAAAGGTGGCTAGGCGTAGGCATGCACTGGTTTGTTTTTTAACATAAATTTGACACTTATTTCCTGTCTGTCTTCCATTCTAATTCCATTTCACCTCACTGGTCCACCTGACAGTTGAAGTCTGGAGCCTCTTAGGGATTTAGGGGGAAAATTGGGTAGGTACCATGTGTAGCCTCTTCCTGTAGATCCTTCTTGTAGGTCTTAGATTTTAACTACTCCCTCTATTAAATGTCCCCATCTTTCAAAGCTGTATTATGTTATTTTACTGATATCTTCTCCCTTTGTCATTTTAGATTAGGTTTTTTAAAATGAACTTGCAATCATTATAGTAGGGCTCAATGGTGTAAGTGAGTAAATAGGCCAGATATGTAATTATACATTTTGTACATGAACAGGTTGATGGGTGCAGCAAACCACTATGGCACGCGTATACCTATGTAACAAACCTGCACGTTCTGCATATGTACCCCAGAACTTAAAGTATAATAAAAAAAATTCAGCTAACGAAGTTTACCCACATTTAGGTCTTCCTTCTACAACTTTCTTTTAGTATTTGTACTATCGCAATAACCAATCCTAATATTTCAATGGTTGGTTCTAAACATGCAATATTTACTACAAATTCATAAACCAGATGATTATTCTCAACATATATTCCACTATATTAGGCTATTACTTAAAGACTCTTTTCATTTATCTTCTAACTATGACATTATCCTGGGCACAATACATTTATCAATAGTGCTGAACACTGCTTGAGCATTTCTAATAGTTTTATCATATTGCTGAAGTAAGTGAGCTTAATTTTATTCAAAATGATCAATACTATTTTACATATTCTGCTATTTAGATTCATCTATTCCTATCTTGTATTTGTCTTGGGGATTTTTTTGTTATAATTAAAGGGTTTATAATTATCTCAAATTTTAATATACTGTTCAGTATGCTATTTTTTTAAAAAAAATAAAAATTCTACTAACCTCCCATTTGTTGTTATGTTTGATTTCGATGAACGTGCTATCAATATCCTCACTCAAGTTATTAAGCTAAAAACTGTTGAGACAAAGTTGAGAGTGCAACCCAGTAACATAAGGCTGTAAACTATCAAAAAGTTGGCATCATTAACCAGCATCGTTTACTCACTGTCACAGAAATGGTAAGAACAGTCCCTGATTTAAATCATCCCAATTTCTCCTCTTGTTTATAAAAACATCATGACAAATCTGATCAAATGCTTTTATTGAGACAGAGTTTTTATGCCACTATTTATATCTATCAGCTTACTGCATCTTATGCTTTACTGACACATGGTAAATTGTCCTACGATTAGGACTATTTTTGGTTGAAATAAAATAAACTTCACTAAAACTTAAGCAGAAAAATAAATTTATTAAAAGGATGGTGAAGTGTTTTAGGAAATCCCATTCAGGGCCTCAGGAATACAACTGGAGACCTAGATCTTGTGGGGAAACAAGGAGGTCATCATAGCCTTTCTTTGGGATGTCTCTGCAATTTGTTCCATTCTTCTCAACCTATCTCTCTACACATTAGAATAAGGCAACCAAAAACACATAAGATGTAGATATTTCAGTGCAACTATACCCCCCAAATAATTTTCTCTCCCTAATTCCAAGTTTTAAATTCCTTTGAAAGGATCTTCAACTTCAGCTGGGAGCCAATTATTGAATAAATAGGATTGACCAGAAGGACGTACTTTGCAGAAGGAGAAATAATCAGCTCAGATTTATTCAGTTTCTCTTCCTAAACCAATAACCAATAACCTCCACAATTATCAGTTCTTGCAACAGCAATTTAAGTAATGTGGGTGCTCTGAAAATTAGGGAGGGAGAAGTTATCTAAAAAGGTCAGGTAAAGAGGTTGATGAGTGAGTTGGTCATATGGTTTAATAAAGTCTACTATTTGCTGTTTAAATAAATACTTTCTTTTTTCAAATTGTAAAAGGGAAAACTTTTTCCAAATGCCAAACTCAAACTATCTTGTGTATAACCACAAATAATGTAGAACCATAACAATTGTTGGTCAGCTGTTACTTACAGAAACAATGCCATGAAGCCACTATTCTATCACTTTAGCCTGTTTGGATACCGTCCATTTCTCTTCTATTTTATCTTTATATCTGGATTAATCAAGACTCTTTCTTGATTAAACGATGGAAACTTAACTCAAATTTGAACTCTTGTCACAATCAACTGAAAATTCAGGGAAGAATGACTTAGAAAGCACCAAGTCCAGATGCTCAAATAATATCCTCAGCAATGTCTTTCATTATCTTTTAGATCTACTGATTTCATTAACAGATGTCTCTTTACATATAGTAGTAAAAAATAGTCGCTGGAAACACCATATATGTACTCCACTATCTTGCCATCTCCAGTGAAAAAGTCTTCCTCTCTTCTGATTATACCAGATAAAATCATAAGACTGAATTTATTTGGTCTATCCTCAGTTATACGCTTTCCTATGATCACCTTTGTGGTCAGTGCAATCACAACATATGGACTGACCATAAAGGACTTGGAAGTCCCCAAAAGGAATAGTTGCATTTTGTAACAGCAGAAAGGATTGCTGTTTGGGAGAGAGTACAGAGGCACCCACCTACAACCACAAACGCTTGCATGCTCCTGTGGAGGAGATGAAGTACAGTTTTATCCCTTTGATGCCTCCAGTGGTGATATCTGGGCCTCTGCTCCAGTCCCTTTGCTTAATATTCAAATCTATTCTAATTTTGTTCTAATGCTGCATGCCATGCACTATATGATCAATTTAAAATGCCCAAAGCTCCTAAAAGGAAGATATCAAAGTACCATAAATTGCTCACCAGTCTAAGATTAAGGTTATCCTATTCGACTAGTGCAGCCGGAGAACTGATTGGATCAGTGAAAATAATGGGCATCGAGTGGTTACTTTCTTCCTGTGAGTGAAGTATTTTCCATTATAGCTGATTTGACTGATTCAGGTTGTAGATATTGAAAGTATTTTTTATGCCTCACTGGGTATACTTCCCTGAGCATGAAAATGTAGAGCTATATAGAGAGTTTCCAGGATAATGTCATTGAGAAGATGAGAATGGAATCAGTTCAAAATGGAGGTAAATGTTTATTTTTTTTATAGGAGCTGAGATATTTTATCTAAAGAGACAAGAGAGTAAAACAATGTAATGCACTGATCCAGTTCATTGGGTCAAAGTAGTAGTGAAAGCTTGTGTATTTTTGAATCTTCTTTGTATTTTTCTTTCTTCAGTATGAAGGGAAGCAAAATCATCAGATGTGAGTATTTCGTGTAGGGTTGGAGGTTTGAAGACAGTGGGCAAGGTAATGAAGCAGCCGTCTAGTAGACTGGGAGAATGACTGGACCAGGGAAATGCTGGACTGTGGCTGGGAGTCACTGTAGTCCACTTTAGGTAAATGGCATGAAAGTAATGGGGTACCAGACTACCTTGTTTAGTGTTTTTCTCCAGCCACATTCAACTATATAGAGATAAATAAAGTGTCAGATTATTGCCAAAGAAGCAAAATAAAAGAAGGGATCCAAAGACAGTTAAACGATTCAGCTATGGTGTTTAAGGATGAACCATGGGATTTAACTTTTTTGAGAAGAGCGTGAGACCATGGGAAGCAAACTCTCAATGAAAATGTACCAGGGAAATTGCATGTAAGATTCCGTCGAGGTGTGAAAGGCTGGGTATTTTGGGAAATGTTCTGGAAAGATAAAGGGTGATGTTTAGAGAGTTAATGTATAATGTATAATGTATAAATGATCCTGGGGTGGGGAAAAAGTTGTCATTATTGCTGACAGCAAGGCCTATATCTGTGTAAGAAATGGGAATAGCCTGAAAGACTGATTAGAATTGAGATCAAGATTACTGGAGAAAAAAAGTCAAGATAGTAAGAGTCCATTTGATTGGAAGGATCATTGTTATGGACATATAAGACATAAATTGTAACAGCAGTGGTATTGAGGAGATGGCAGTGACTCAGGTACAAAAATCTTCAAGAAAGCCTTGGAATGTGTTTTTGAGTCGGAAAAAGGGGGTTATTGGGAAAATGACTGCAAAAGGAAAGATTTTTGGCTGGAATTGTCAGGTGACCTGAGATTCAAAACACGAGGAAAAGAGAAAGGTCTGACATACAATAAAGAGCAATAACTTTTTCTTCCTCTCTGAGTCCTACAGTATGAAGAATGTAAGATAGAAAAAAACATTAGCATTTGAGAGGATTGAAAGAGAAGCATTCTCAGCAGAGCCAAGATTCACTTAGAACAAAAGGGTAAGTAGGTACTTAATGTAATGTGCATGTGATTATTATTTTTATTTTTGAAACACTGAGCCTTTGGAATGATGTCTTCATTTCAGATTGTTTTTGCATTTCATAAGGAAAGAAAAACTATTTTAACAAAGTAGATGCCAGACCTATCAGAATGAAAGAGAAACGTAGGTGTCCATATCTAACCATATAAAAACATCTCTTTGTAATAATGTGCTTTGACATTTTTGATATATGAAGTGCTTGTGAGTCATTAATCAACTGTCTTTAATTAAGAGATTCAAAAAGGAATTGAACAAACAGCAGAGAATAGAAATAAAACCTCACATCCTTCCTCAGTCATTTGCAGGGGGTGGTAGGTGTAGGAATAAAATTCAAATGTTTATGACATATTGGCTCTGGATGCAAACTTATGATTATCATGCTTTCATGTTGGGGGATTCAAAATGTATTTTAATCATGTAATTGCTCAGTTTTGATTCTACCACTGAATACAGTTTCCTGAAAATCAATAGTAATCACCATTACTCTCTTTCTCTAGTTTTCAATGCATACATTTACTTCCTTGAAACAAACATCTCTCTACGACCTCTTTGTCACATTGATGAATGGTGTTAAAAGAAAGAATAATGTATTTAATAAATCCCAACATTCAGTGAAATCGAGTTCTTTGTAAATTACTTTGGCTATCTTATATTCGTCTAGCAAAACTTAAATAATAGTTGTTTAGCAATACATTTAACAATTTAATTATTTATCTTCATATACAGATTATTGAACCACACTACTATTTGCTTCTCTTAAAAACAGGTATTTTTTTCTTTAAATAAAATGATACTGCAGGACACTGACACACAACTCTCTTTCCTTTAGACTAAGTGCTAAGTGACCCATATAACCATCTCAAAATTTCTTAAACAACTTGCTGTAAAACTAGATAAATAAATGTCTTGTGCAATAGCCTTGCAGAGAGGTTATGTTAGAGATGAAGCAAATTAGAATTGAAAAAATACAGAATATAATAGCTGCTGCGTGATTATAAATGGAGGGCAGTGCCTGCCTGTCTTGGGAGCTGAACCAATCAATCTGAGAGTCTTTGAAATTATGAATGTTGTTCCTTTCAGTGTGAACCTCAGCACTTTTTTCAGGTTTTAGCACTGACATTTTTGCCTCACAGTTATTTAGCTATAATTATTGTTTCAATAAATCTAGGCAATGTATTTAATAAATAAACCCACAGATAAAATGTCATTCAAATTAATTGGTGGTTATTCTCAGTCATTGCGAGAGGGAGCCTCTCTTGTGGGAGCCTCTTTTGGATTTTTTTTTCCTTTCTTTCTTTTTTTTTTTTTTTTTTTTGCTGAGCAAACCAACATGAGATCAATTTAACAATTACGTGTTGAGTGTCAGTTTTTTTCAGGTCACTAGATGCAGCACATACTCATGCCTTAAAAGAGCTTCTTATCTTAGAGATAGGAAACATATAAAGGAGATTTCCACATCCGAGCCTCCATTGTCAGTCATCTGTATACATGTAAATCACTTGGTGCCTTCTTTACACGGATTTAACTAATCTCTCATCCTAGATCCCTGTGAGCAGGATAATTTTTGTTTTCACTTGGTTTATTCAACCACATTGAGAACTATGTCTTGGGTACAAAACAGTTATTATTTGCCCTACAAATAGTTCCGTATATATTTGAATGAAGGAATGGCAATACAGTTTGGATTCTCCAAGAAGCACATTATGAGAGAAAGATAACACATAGAGCATTTATTGGAGAAATGTTTAGGATTAACACCTGCAGAAGAAAAAAGGAGGCAGGATTACGTGGGGGGAAGAGTTGTGCTGTGATACAATTTCAATGAAGTGCTCAGACATTCCTCTACAAGGAGCTCTTGTGCTCAGATGACACTTCAAAGTTGTCTGCATTTGGAGTAAGGAGGTTGGATGTTCATATCCCCATTCTGATCAGTCACTGATGCAGGAAACAGGGAATGGGCGTGCCTTACCCCATTCTGATCTGTCACTGACTGATGCAGGTAACAGGGAATGGGCGTGCCTTACCCCATTCTGATCAGTCACTGATGCAGGAAACAGGGAATGGCGTGCCTTACCCCATTCTGATCAGTCACTGATGCAGGAAACAGGGAATGGCTTGTGCCTTACCCCATTCTGATCGGTCACTGATGCAGGAAACAGGGAATGGCGTGCCTTACCCCATTCTGATCAGTCACTGATGCAGGAAACAGGGAATGGCTTGTGCCTTACCCCATTCTGATCAGTCACTGATGCAGGTAACAGGGAATGGCGTGCCTTACCCCATTCTGATCAGTCACTGATGCAGGTAACAGGGAATGGCGTGCCTTACCCCATTCTGATCAGTCACTGATGCAGGTAACGGAATGGGCGTGCCCTAGGCAAGGCTTTGCTTTCAGATGAAGCAGGGCTTAAATTTGAATGACATGAGGGCTATTTTATTCCTTCCTGGGACTCCAGATGGCGCCTCATAGGATCTCACACAAGTGAATCATTTATATCATGGGTTCGTCATGTTTTTAGCATGTTAACAGATATGCAAAGTGTAATGGAGAATCAATGAAAAGAAAAATAATGTATGAATGGAAATATTAAGAAAGGCTTCGTGCACATTGAATAACAGGCATGAATACAATGGGTGCATATCACAGAGAGAATTTCTTATTAAGTAGATAGTATGAGAAAAGGCAATAAGGGGCAAATAAGCAGGAAAACCGAGAAAACAAAATTAGCTTGCCTTAACTGGTGTATGAAACGAAATTTTAGAGAAAAAAAACAGTAATTATAAATAGGAGTTACATGAGATAACTGAATTTCAAATCTATTCATCTCCGTTTTGTTTTAATTTTCTGTAATTTTAATAAAATAACAGCTTTATTGTACTTTTATCTACAATATTTTAAGGTCAATAGACCACAAATAACAAACTTCCTGTAATGATAATTATGGTAATCAGGATAAAAAGTAATGGAAGAGGCCGGGCGCGGTGGCTCACGACTGTAATCCCAGCACTTTGGGAGGCCGAGGTGGGCGGATCACGAGGTCAGGAGATCGAGACCATCCTGGCTAACACGGTGAAACCCCGTCTCTACTAAAAAATACAAAAAAATCAGCAGGGCACAGTGGCGGGCACCTGTAGTCCCAGCTACTCGGGAGGCTGAGGCAGGAGAATCGCTTGAACCCGGGAGGCGGAGCTTGCAGTGAGCCGAGATCGCACCACTGCACTCCAGCCTGGGCGACAGAGCAAGACTCCGTCTCAAAAAAAAATAAGTAATGGAAGAAAGCCAAGAGACAATGAAGAAGTGAAACATACCTTGGTAATTGCATTCCACAGGTGACAAGAAGAAGTGCATACAAAGTTTTTAGTCTGAGTGTTAGAGAACATTAGTGTAACATCTGAACCAAATTTCCAGGTTCAATTTCCAGAGGTCACCCTTTCACCTGAGGCTGCATGTAACTGCATCTAAATCTAATGAAAGTCCTAGAAATTGACAGATCTATTGCAACCAGAACTGGACCAGCACTTCGTTAGTAGTACAGCCAGTCCAGAACCTGACTCTGCTAAGAGCTTAACTCCTAGACCTAACTATTTTAAAAATTGCTAAGTCTCAACATGCCTCATCTATTGTTATGTTGGATTCCTTCCCAAAATTTAAATCTTTCCCTCAATCCTCAATCCCATTCTGTACACCTTTACCCTTACAGACTTTTTCCTGATTTCTTAATCCAGTGCTCTGTGTTTTGGGGATCCTTATAACTTGGGAATATTATTTCAACTAAAATGAAACCTGACCTCAATGACCAAAACAACTTCTTGGATAAAAACTATTGGGAGATTGAAATGACCAATCTGTCTTCCACTTAATGCAGTTACAATTGAAGACATGCCCTACATTTTTATTAGCATGACTTTTTTACCATTTTCCAAATGCACCATGCTTCCCCTCCTCTAGGCTTTCTCATTAGCCATTTTCTCTGCCAAAAACCTTTCTCCTTTTCACATGCTAGCTTCTTCTCACCCTTTATTTACCTAACTCATTCATTCCATTCAAACTTCAACTTTGATGGAACTTCCTCTTGAGTAATTGCCCTTATATCTCAGGATTAGGTTTCCTTTCTATATGGACAGGAACACTGCTCAGAAGTTAATTGATATTCCTTTTTTTCTTTATTTTAATTGAGACAGAGTCTCACTCTGCCTCCACCTCCTGGGTTCAAGCGATTCTCCTGCCTTGGCCTCCTAAGTAGCTGGGATTACAGGTGTACACAGCCACGCCCAGCTAATTGATGTGCCTTTTACTTCTGAGTAAATTTTGCTAATAGTCTGGAAAATAACTCGGAGAAGAGGAAGACGATTTCATATAAATACATTTCTACACATGTGACAATAATAACATCTTGATTCCCTGAGGGTAGTATATAAATCTGTGAATTACAAATAGGTTCTGACTGAATTCACAGTTCAATTATGGTCTGAGCTGGAAAAACTCAGCTACCTGCATACCCAAACCTGGGTCCCTGTGCTGAAGGGAACTTGAGCCTTCCATGATCACAGACTGCACTATGGAGAAACCACACAGGACTTTGCATCCTACTTAAACTCTAGGATTGTATGGGAAATTTGGCTTCAGTGTTTGTGCCAAGGATCTTTGGTGAAAATAACAGAAGGGTGTATCACCATATAGATAAGTGATAAACTGGTTGGCTGGGAAGTACACATTTGGGGGATTCATTGCTAAAAGTGAGGTCATCTCTACAGCTTTAATACCCTAAGCATTGTGGCAAAGGAGAGAAAAGCTCTCCCCAGGAGAGAATGTTGGGAACCTGTTCAGTTTGATGTCCATGCAAGGCATAATGAGGTGAAGAGGTCTATGCTAAGTTGAGAGCCTGGAATGCAATTCATTCACTTATCAGATGTGGCCTCTGACATGGCTGTCCTAGTCAGATTAAACCCTTGCTCACCTAAGACCAAGTCTCCAATGCTGTCTTTGGGTCCAAGCCTTCCACATAGCATCTTTGATTCTAGGGGCTTACGGCAGGTAGATACTACTAATGGACTCAGTCTGAGAAAGGGTTGTATGGCAGTGAGTGTGTGAGTGTGCCAGTGGACAGGAGTGTTGTCCAACAAAGCCTGAACTTTCAGATGAGTACAGCTTCCAAGATTGCTGATGCATTGAGGATGTCTCTGGTTACCTTGGGGAGAGACTTGCCCTATTTGAGCATGGCCCTACTAAATCAGCCATCCCTTGATTGTTTTCAGCCACTGTGATGTCCATTTAGGAGCAATCTTGCTACCTAGATTATGATTCATTTGACATTCAGGCCTTAGGAAAGTCTTTTAAAGGGCCCGCTTATATACTTCAGAACTAGGACCATTGAGGGGTCAATGTAAAGAGCAGAACCTAAAACAATCAAGATTCAGCTCACCCCATATGAGGAACAGCTGTTTCTGCCTGTATTGAAACCATCTGCTTCCCCTGCTCCAGGCGGCACAGGGTGGGGAACAGAGCCAACAAGTGGTTTAGTCTACCATGCCAGGAGAAAGGATCCCAGGGTCTCCAGCCATGTCAGGACCACTAATGGGTTTGGCGAGATTATATGGCTGCTTGTTGGTTCCTAAATCTCATCCCACCTCCCTGAGAAGATGTCCTGATAGGTCTGGATGATCTTCTAAAGCACTCCTGAGGTCAATTAAATATTCCTTTTATTCTTTCCCAGATGTGCTTAGGACTTACCTAGAGCCCACAGGTTAATTCAGTTAGCCACGGAAATACTAGTCTCTTTACTGAAAAAGCCACATCTTCATTTCAAACTGAAATGTGAAACTTCTTTTCTGTTTTGGTGTTGGTCCAGCTCACATCTGACATGACGCAGAACTTTACGGATTTCTGATAAAAGGATTCTTGGTTTGAATTTTAGATATGAAGCCTCTGGGCTATAAGACTTTGTGAAATTTCTGGAATGTTCATGCTTCAGTTTCATCATCTATAAAATGGTACTAACTGGAGAATTTCTATGCTATGGTTGTGTAAGAATGAAATGAGATTGTTAATAGCAAGTGTTAGGCACAGGATGTCACAAATTTTAAGAGCTCAAGATACATTTGTCAGTATTCCTCTCCTCTCTCTGTTAGAAGATGTCTCAGGGACAGGATTTGTCAAAGTCACAACTAAGAGGGACTGTCTATAGCATACTAGACGAGACCAGGAAAGACACATAAATTGTGGGTCCTAGGACAAAATTAGAATACAGGTCCTTTGCCAGGCATGGGGAAGTCATCCTCTCCTAACCAAATGCCCACCTTCCCAACCCAAAAATTAGGGGTAGGCGAGAGCTCTCACCAATTCACCTAACCAATTATGTCCTGACACAACCAGCTTAGGCCATGAACAGCTCTTTTCTAACTCTGAACCTTCCCATACATAAGACCCCTTGCCAGTGGTGGAACATAGGTGTTCCTCATAGACACAATCCTGTCACTGCCCTAGGTGGACAGCCACAGCAGCCACAGCAGTGGATAGGGTAAGGAAGGCCAGGTAGACCTGGGGCACCTGGAAATGGGGAATGGATGGCTGAGAACCTGTCCTGGGAAGGCAGAAAGGTGGCAGTATACAGGACTGCATCGCGAGCTGTGGCTCCAGGCCCCCACTGGATCAAGTGCATGCTCCATTGTCCCATTTGACTGACTTACAGAATTCAGAGATAAATTTATTAAGAATTTCAAGACAGCCACTCCAGAGCATTAAACCTCAAATGCTGAGCCCTTTGAAGTGTTGGGCCCTGTGCAACCTCACTGAGCACACACTGTGAAGCCAGCCCTAGGAGAAACACAACCTTTCCAGGCCAAGGGCTCTCAGATACCAGGAGAGGATTTAAAGAGACCCAAGATCTGTAGGACATTCAAGTTTAAGCACAAACTGAGAGAAAATAAACAGAGGGACTCAGAGCTCAGGCTGTGGGCAAAGATGAGAAAAGAGATTCCCTCCCGAGAGGCATTGCTTCTCCTGTAATTCTGTGTCTCTTTTGTGAGGAGCAGGGAGTTATCAGGGCCATCTTTACAAGAGCATCTACCTCCCAGCACCAGGAAGCCACCTGTATCTTACAATTCATAATGAAAACAATATAAGCTAAGAGTCTTGACTCTACAGAGGGAAGTGATGGTGGCTGGGACTGGGAAGAGCAGACTCCAGAAATGCTTTCAGCTGCCTGTGTTTCCGAGAGCTGGAGACATGGAATTTGGAGTTAGGGTGTAGTGTGGGGCATAAGGACTCTGGAGATAGCACAGGTCCTCAATGCAAGCCAAATCTGGTTCCCACCTATCACAAAACACAAGCTACTTAGAAACTTCTCATGGAAATTCACATTTCCTAAAACAGTCATAGCATACCGCCTTCTAGTATGTGGACTTCTTCCAGTATAACTACCTGACAATAAATCTAGTCACAAGGCCAAATTTGCCATTCAGCACTTCCAGTGGCTCACTCTCTGTCTTTGGACAGATCCCTGGAAAAGTGTCATATGGTACAGCCTGACTTTCACCAGGGACTTGCCACCCAGAGGGTTGGTCTGTGGAGCATTTCTCCATGCAGTAATCCTTCCTGGAGAGGATGTCACCACCATGATTCCACCAGCATCCATAGGCAGCCAGTTGCCTCAATATCATTTGGAGACACCTTTTGACCCACTGGCTGCAGATCATAAATGTTATCTTTGTCCAGGTACTTTCATAGCCCTAATCCCTATGTCATTTGTTCCTTTGAGTCCTTCCAGTACCCTCCAGCATCATATCCACATTCTGCTGCTTAGAAATAACAGTGATATTAATTTATGTGGATGCACTTGCTGTTATTTTACCAATAATAAACTATCACCTTTTAATTTTTACTGGATAGCAAATGTGCATTCCTTTCTTGGTCAAGTTTTTATTATTCCTGGTTTGTTTGCCCAAGTTCTGCATATTCTTCTCCACTAGCTACATTTTCAATACATCTGTAAACAAACCTCATTCATCTCTGACCCTTTGGTTTTGAATAGAATTTCCTCATTTCCAGTTTTTGATGGTTGAGCTGCCTTCTTTATCTGGCTGGAGAACATGTTGAGGATATGAAGGCTCATCCTGATCTAGGTCTTTGAGCGTGACAAGGCTGTGTCTGCAGTTTCCCTGGAAACTCTGTTGGGTGGATCCATAAAGGCAACTTGCCACATTAAACATTAAATTCCCTGAAAGCAGAAAAAGTATGTTTACCATTGTATCACCAGGGCCCAGAACAATGCAATGATGATCATTAGTGTTAAATAGGGGGTAAGTAAATGGTAGAATTTGAAGCTGAGTAAGAACAAAATAAAAATTATAAGTTAATTATGCAATGAGCTGAGTTTGAAATGAGTCAAGTTATCAATTTGGACGTGTTTCATAGCCAATAAGGAAATGCAGATCTAATCTTGGTGGGAGGTTAGTAACAGAGATTGATATTTGCAGAATATCCTGGGATCCATCTGCATAGTGGTTCGATGAGACAAAAGTGTTGGGTAAAATTATAGCAGAAAATAAAGTCTAGGACCAGCTGTATGCTCAGACCTCTATATGGGCTTGATTGTAATAGGCATCAGTATCTGATATTTTTGCACTGTGCTCTTACCTCTTTATACATGTTTCTTTCCTTTTATTCATTGTTACTGACTACTATTATATGTATATGTATTTATTACTGTTCACCATCTCCTATCACTCTGCAATAAAGTAGGATAATAAATAAAACAAATATAGAGAAAATGGAAATAGCCATTGACTGATACGGTAAAAGAACTAGAATTAGATCAAGACAGGAAAAGGCAAGTTTCAAAAAGCAGGGTGAACAAATACTGCAGGGATATCCATGAATGAGAACTGAGAGGCAAGCATGGGGTTTTATCTTAGGAGTCATTAGTAAACCAGGAGAGCAGCCATAGTGCACTGGCCCAGGTCAGTCATGGCAGTGAGGTAGAATTAAGCTATTCTGGGACAAAAGGCTTGCAGCAAGTGTATGTTTGAACTGACCATCCTGTGCAAGTGTATTAAGGTTTTCTAAATTTGTCCAGATGAGAAGCATGTTTGATCCTGTACTGCGGGCAGAGCTGAGCGTATCAGCAAGGGTCAAGTGATAAAAGCAGACATACCAGGAGCAAAAGCCAAATAATTTAATTTGTGACCCTGGTCTCCCTGGGAAAAAGTTTTCCTTTCTACTTATAGCAAACGGACTTTTACGTTCACTGCAGAGAACTATCTTCATACACAATGTAAATGTTACAAATTCATTGAAAATATAATTCAAAGAACATCTCCTCTTCATGTAAAGTTGGCAGTGTGACCTCAAAGTCTTTTCAATGCCTGTAAAGGGAGACATTTTTTGGAAAGTTTCCATTTCTGGGTTAATTTAAAATGCTCATTTTCTTTATCAAGATTCTTGTTCATGTCAGTACATGATTTTAATGATTTGACCTCTTTTCATTTCTGGCCCTGATACTCACTCTGTTGTCATTCATGGGTGGTTTTTCTTTATTCATTAAGTACTTAGATCTTTAAATTGTAGACATATTACTTTCATTATAGAAAATACAATTTATTCAAAACCACATATTGCTATAAGTTAAATTTTTAGTAGAAAAATAGTCCAAGAATTAGTTGTATGATGATGGTGTCTGAAATTGTATTTCCCAAAATGTAGTTCGTACAGCAAATAGTCTTTTGCTAAGAGTTTATTTTGTAAGTAATATGGAAGCCTGGTGAGAGACTAGGAGACAGGTAAAGGAGGATCAGCAACAAAAGGTATATTACTGAGCCAGGAACCACTGCAGATCACTCGGGTTCAATGCCAGTGAGAACCTATGTGGAAAATATCTCAGAACTATGGTCCTGAGGGACAGGTAAGTGTGGTTTTTATTCACTCACATTCATCCTCATTGGTTGAGGTTTGCTACTGCAATCATTAAGCCCTTGGCACTTCCAAACTGTCCTGCAGGCAGATTGATCTTGATCATACAGACAGAGAAAGCTGCGCGACAGAGATATAGAAATACACAGTAGAAAACCACTGGCATATAGGAGGACTTCCCCAAAGTTGCCATTATTCTCTGTAGTGGGCTAAGGAGATTTCAGTGAAGCATTAAGTGTATCACCTGAAGTCTACACCTTGTATCATTTAGATCTCATGGCCAACATTCAATCCACTCTGCCCTTCACTGATTCACCAATATGATAGACAGCTATGATTCTTAAGAAGATAAGAACTATAACAAAAGAATTAGTCAAACTGAAGTTGAATGTGGTACAGTTAATCTCGTGATAAAACTGATATTTATTACCTCTTTCTTCTACCACTTCTTTTAAGGTCCCTTCATATTTGGGCAACACATGTGCTGGTCTAGACTGCAAGCCTAGTCAGATAACATAGACCTTCAACAGAGTGCAAAAGAATTAAATGAGTCCTTAGTTACCATGCCCTTGCCAGGTCCTGGTTGCTGTAATTTCCTGCTTAATGTTATTATTGGGCATGGAGACATCATTAGGCACCCAGGTGAATGCCTTGAGTGATCAACATACTCTTTTCCTATTTTCATTGTATAATAGTGCCTCTAGCTCTCTGTAATAATTAATATAAAAATTCCAGACATGATAATAGTAATTATTGTCTAAATCTCTTACAGGCAGCCACTGTTATATGCTAAATGGAAATCTTACAATGTTCTCTTATAGAACCACCATATTCTTTCAAGAACCAGAGCCTTAAATCCAAATATGCCTCTGGTTGCAGAGAGAAACACACTAACTATTCAAGTGACTCACTGGGAGTGATGGTGAGATTGGCTGTTCCTTTCATATTTTGGTTCTAAGAGACTTGTAGTCTAGATATTGAAGACATGGGCCTATAAAATGATAAATATTCTGCCACTTTTAAGATTCTAAAAGAGTGTATTTGGGAAGTGATCCCAAGAAGTACCTCAAAAGAGTGGGGATAATAAAGAAGGAAATCCAATAAATAGGACATTAATGCTGGGGACAAATTGAGCTCAACCCTGCTAGAGACTCTCTGAGAGACTGTGTAGAACACACCTCAACTGTCAGTCTGAAGGTACAGGAAGCTAAAGTATAATACACTAAATTCCTACATTGTGGCACTTCCACTGTATCCTGGGCACAAGTTGATCTTGCTCTTGTAGCTAGAGAAAGCCCTCAGGAAAAGACAAATTTTCATGACGTAGAAAGTTATTAGCATGTGTAGTAGCTGTCCCCCAAAGATGTAGGTAACCTCTGGTGTGGCCAAAGGAAAAGAGGTGAGTACTGACTGCAGTACATTGATAGCTAAACTATTAGGTTGGTGCAAAAGTAATGGCAAAAATGGAAAAATAAAATAAATAAATAAATAAATAAAGTGTACACCATAAGAGAACAAGATAAGCTTCAAGAGATCCGTGCGATTCCATTCCCATAGGATACAGTGAACCTTCTCACACACCAACTACACGAATGGCAAAAATACCATTACTTTTGCACCAACATAATATCAAGAGTAAACCTGACATGCATGCATGGTTTATATGTCCCTTGGCAAATAAAGTATATGATATTATTGTAATGGTGACTGAAGAATTTATAAAATGGTAATAAAGTTTGATAAAGAGAATAGTAAACCAAGCTGGGACATCCAGAACAGAAGTTTATGGATCTCAGTGTAGAGAGAGGAGTACTAAGAAAGAAAATGGGCAGGAGAATTCTGTAACTCCACATTGGTGCTAGCCAAACATCCCACTCTATCACTGAGTTCAGACATGCTGCAATTGGTACAGGTTCCCTTGTGAGGCAGGGATTCTTGTGTTGAGAATTCAATGAAGTTGTTTTTGTTTATTTCTAGAGAAGTTGATTAGAAAGATCTTCTTTAGAATGTGATTCTAGGTCAATGCTTTGGTGCAGAGAGGTAAAACAGTTTTGAACGCATTTCACTTGATTCTTTATTACCTCCTCCTTCTTTGTCACACAAACTGGCTAAAATTCATTTTAATTGTGCAATTTACTGTTCTATGGTCATTTAGTAACAATATGATAATCATAAATTAAAAACATTTGAAGCTTTCATATGCGTATATACATTCCATATCCAGAAAGGAAGGCAATATCAAAATTGAGAGTAACAATTCCTCCCTATTTGGAACATTCACATTCCTACAGATGAAAAGAAGTTCCTGTGTGATCTGAATAGTCAGACTACTGGGACAAGAGTGAGGCTGTGAGGTGGATAGCTTTCCTGCTGGTCTGGCATGGGAGCTGACGTAGCTCCCATCCTTCACCCTGATAAAGCCATCTAATTAAGAGCTCCAGGAGTCACCTTCATCAAGGCTAAGACCTCTGCCCAACATTGGTTATTACATTTACCCACCTGCTTTAGCTACAACTGATGCCTACCCAGAAATACCTCCCCTATTGGCTTGGAGCCTGAATCATCAACTGAGTAAATAAACTACTTGGGAAAAATAAAATAAATAAATAAATAAAGTGTACACCACAAGAGAACAAGATAAGCTTCAAGAGATCCCTGTGATTCCAATCCCATAGGATACAGTGAACCTTCTCACACACCAAGTATACAACTACTACAACTAGGATCTGGGAAACCCAGTGTACAAAGATGCTCTATAACTAAGGAACTCATACTGAGTCTTCAACCCTAAAAGCACCAAGAATCAAATTAGGCTAAAATAAACTACAAACACTAAAGTCAGATCCTTCAGAGGGGAAAAAAAGCAATAAAAAAAAGTCCAATCAAAAATAAATTCAAGAACAATGTGAAGAAATAGTCTACCCAAATAAGAAAGAACCAGAATGTTAAGTCTGGTAATATGACAAAACAGAGCTCTATAACACCTCCAAAAGATCACACTAGCCCCCCAGCAATGGATTCAAATCAAGAAGAAATCTCTGAAATGCCAAAGAATTCAGAAAGTTAATTATTAAGCTACTCAAGGAGATACTGTAGAAAAGTGAAAAGCAACTTAAAGAAATTAAGAAAAAAATTCAGGATATGAATAAATTTTTCTCCAGAGAAATAGATATCATAAAGAAAAAAGTAATAGGAATTTCTGGAAATGAAATACACACTTAAGAAAAAAAAAAATGCAGTGGAAAATTTCAACAATAGACTAGAACAAGTAGAAGAAAGTATTTCAGAACTTAAACACAAGGCTTTTATTAACCCAATCAGTCAAAGGCAAAGAAAAAAGAAATAATAAAATAAACAAAGTCTCCAAGAAATAAAGGAATACATAAAACAGCCAAACCTAAAAATAATTGGTGTTCCTGAGAGAGAAGTGAAGTCTGAAAATTTGGAAAACCAATTTGAGGGAATAATGGAGAAAAACTTCCTTGGCCTTGCTAGAGATCTAGACATCCAAATACCAGAAGCACAAAGAACTCCTGGGAAATTCATTGCAAAGAGATTATCACCAAGGCACATAGTCGTCAAGCTATCTGAAGTCAAGATGAAGTAAAGAATCTTCAGAGCTGTGAGACAAAAGCATCAGGTAACCTATAAAGGAAAACCTATCAGACTAACAACAGATTTATTAGCAGAAACCTTACAAGCCAGAAGGAATTGGGGTCCTATCTTTAGCCACCACAAACAAAATAACTGTCAGTCAGTAATTTTATATCTAGAAAAACCAAGCTTCATAAATGAATGACAAACTTGGTTTTGCTTGTGTTTTCAGAGAATCAAATGCTAAGGGAATTTTCCACTACCAAACCAGAACTATAAGAAATGTTAAAAGGAGTTCTAAATCTTGAAACAAAAGCTCGGTACATGCCAAAATAGAATCTCCTTAAAGCATAAAACTCACAAGGCCTATAAAACAGTAACAGAATGATAAAAAGAAAGTATCTAGGCAACAACTAACATGATGAATAGAACAATATCTCACATCTCAATATTAACATTGAATGTAAGCGGCCTAAATGCTGCACTAAAAAGATACAGAATTGGCTGGGTGCAGGGGCTCACACCTGTAATCCCAGCACTTTGGGATGCCGAGGTGGGCGGATCACGAGGTTAGGAGATCGAGACTATCCTGGCTAACACAGTGAAGCCCAGTCTCTACTAAAAACTCAAAAGAATTAGCCAGGCGTGGTGGCACATGTCTGTAATCCCAGCTACTCGGGAGGCTGAGGCAGGAGAATTGCTTGAACCCGGGAGGCGGAGGTTGCAGTGAGCTGAGATAGCACACTGCACTCCAGCCTGGGTGACAGAGTGAGACTCCATTTTAAGAAAAAAAAAAAAAAGATACAGAATGACAAATTGAATTAAAAACTGACAACAAAATATCTGCTGTCTTCAAGAGACTCACCTAACACATAAGGACTCACATAAACTTAAGTCTAAGGGGTAGAAAAATATATTTTACACAAGTGAAAACCAAAAGCGAGAAGGAGTAGCTATTCATATATCAAACAAAACAGACTATAAAGCAACAATAGTTAAAACAAAAAAGACAAAGAAGGGCATCAAATCATGATAAAAGGATTAGCACAACAAGAAGATATTATAATCCTAAATTTATGTGCACCTAATACAGGAGCTGCCAAATATATAAACAATTACTATTAGACCTAAGAAATGAGACAGATAGCAACACAATAATAATGGGGGACTTCAATACTCTGCTAACAGCACTAGACAGATCATCAAGACACAAAATCAACAAAGAAACAGTGAACTTAAACTATACCCTGGACAAATGAACTTAACAGATATTTACCAAACGTTCTTCACAACAACTGCAGAGGAGACATTCTTCTCATCAGTGCATGGAACATTCTCCAAGCTCTACTAGATGCCAGGCCACAAAACAAATCTCAATAAATTTATGAAAATCAAAATCATATCAAGTATCTTCTCAGACTACAGTGGAATAAAACTGGAAATTAACACCAAAAGGAATCTTCAAAATTATACAAATACATGGAAATTAAATAGTCGGCTCTTGAAAAATTTTGGGATTAACAATGAAATCAGGATGGAAATTTTAAAAAATTATTTGAATTGAATGATATTAATGACAAAACTCATCAAAACCTCTGGCATACAGCAAAAGTGATGCTAAGAGGAAAGTTCATAGCATTAGATTCCTACATCGAAAAGTCTGAAAGAGCACAAATAGACAACCTAATGTCACACCTCAGGGAACTGGAGAAACAAGAACAAACCGAAACCCAAACCAGCAGAAGAAAAGAAATGACAGAGATCAGAGCAGAACTAAATGAAATTGAAAAAAATATATACAAAAGCTAAATGAAACAAAAGGTGGTTCTTTGATAAGATAAACAAAATTGATAGACTAATAGTGAGATTAACCATGTAAAGAAGAGAGAAGATTTAAAAAGCTCAATGTTAAACGAAAATGGAGATGTTACAATGCCACAAAAATACAAAAGATCATTCAGTGCTACTATGAAAATCTTTACATACACAAACTAGAAAATCTAAAGGAATTGGATAAATTTCTGGCCGTATACAACCCTCTTAGATTAAATCAAGAAGAAATAGAAATCTCGAACAAACCAGTAACAAACAGTGAGATTGAATCAGTAATTTAAAAAATTCCCAACAAAAATAAATGTCCAGAACCAGGTGGATTCACAGCTGAATTATACCAGACATTCAAAGAAGAATTGGTACGAATTCTACAGAAACTATTAAAAGAAAAACAAAAACAAAACAAAACAAAAAAAAGAGAAAGAGAAAATTCTCCCTAAATCATTTGTTAAAGCCAGTACCACCATGATAGAAAACCGGGAAAGGACATAATAGAGAAAAGAAAACTACAGAGCAATATGCTTGATGAACACAGATGCAAAAGTCCTCAACGAAATACTAGCTAACCGAATCCAACAGTGTATCTAAAAGATAACACAACATGATCAAGTGGGTTTCAGATCTGGGATGCAGGGATGGTTTAACATATGCAAGTCAATAAATGTAAAACATCACATAAACAGAAACAAAAACCATATGATTATCTCAATAAACACAACAAAGGCATTAGATAAAATCCAGCATCATTTTATGATAAAAACCCTCAACAAAATAGGAACAGAAGGAATTTACCTGAAAGTAATAAAATAAACCTCGAAGCCATGTATGACAAACCCACAGCCAACATCCTATTTAATTTTTTTCTTGCTGATTTGTTTGAGTCGCTTGTAGATTCTGGCTATTAGCCCTTTGTTGGATGCATAGTTTGCAAATATTTTCTCCCGATCTGTGGGTTATCTGTTTACTTTGTTGATTTTTTTCTCACTACTGAGTATCTACCCAAAGAAAAAGAATTCATTACATGAAAAATACACATGCACACACATGTTGATAGCAGCACAATTCACAATTGCAAAGACGTGGAATCAATCTAAGTGCCTATCAACCAATGAGTGGGTAAAAAAATGTGGTATATTCACCTTATGGAATACTACTCTGTCATAAAAAGGAATGAAATAGTGTCTTTTGCAGCAACTTGGATGAAGCAGGAAGCCATTATTCTAAGTAAAGTAACTCAGGAATGGAAAACCAAATACTGTATGTTCTGACTTATAAGTAGGAGCTAAGTTATGAGGATGCAAAAGCATAAGAACGATATAATGAATTTTGGGAACTCAGGACAGAAGAGTGAAAGGGGAGTAAGGAATAAAAGATGACATACTAGGTATAGTGTACACTACTCCAGTGACAGGTGCAGCAAAATCGCAGGTGCACCAAAATCTCAGTAATCAACACTAATGAACTTATCCATGTAACAAAAAACTACCTGTATCCCCAAAATTATGGAAATAAAAATTTAAAAAAAGGATGAGTAGCCCATTAGAACCTTAGTTTTTGGTAGTAATTACCTGAGTCCATAATACACTTGAGGTCTATTAAGGTATAATTTTTTCCATTAGTAACTTGAACATAATCTCTATTAGACAATGAACTGGATTTGAAACACCTAATTCTAACAATTCAAATTTATTGTCTATTGGAAATTGTTAACAAGAAAATGTAGAAGTGGAATTTATAATTAAAATGTAAAAATTAGACTAAGGGGTTAGATTTGTATGCTTATGACATATTCCTTTCTGCCTATATCCAGCACAATCAAGGTGATTTTCCTATTTCTGTCTCCCCTCCCCTTCCCCTTCCACCAACTTCCTCCTCCCCTTTCTCCTTCTCCTCCTCCTCCTTCCCATTCCCATCCTCCTTCTCTTCCTGCTTCTCTCTCTCTCTCTCTTTCTGTCATTCTCTCTCTCCTCTCTCTATCTCTGTACTTTGGCAACTATATTTGTATATTCTATTTGGAACCTATAATTTTCCTAATTTTCTAAACCTCCTCTAATCTCAAATAAAAACAGTCCAACTGAAGATCATGGTTCCCTAGTGACAGGTAAATATAGAATGAAACATGAGTTTTTGGATATTTTAACTTTCATTTGAAGACTTCTGTGTAGTTATACATATAGTTGTAAATTATCATCAAAATGCAGCTTTAATCATTTTAAATATGTTTGCATATTTTAGATGATTTAGTTACATACAGAGTAAACTTGTTTTAATACATATATTTTTCTAAAATTTTCAAATGTAATTTCAAAAAAAAGTAAGATTATTTTTCATCTCTGGTGATTAGTTATAATTTTATCTTTATAGGTCTAAATTCATGTTATATCTTTACCAGGAAATACATTAGTTGGTATTAATCTTCTCGTATTAGATAATAAGATGTGCTTTTGAAATTGCCATCAGCATAACAGTTAGTGGACTTTTTAAGAAAGTTACCTTAATTTTTTTTTATTGCCCAGTACAATTAATTAACTTCCAAACTGTATTTTTGTATGTAAAAGATGATACTTTCAAATATTTTCTCTTAAAAGTTTTAGTACATATATAATAAGAAAAAGAAACATTTATTCCTCCCAAATTACATAAATTTATATTGGAAATTTTACAACTTTTTAGTTTATTAGATTTATTGAATATTGTTTATGGAGAATGTCTTGCCTTATCCCAAATTCGCTTATAAATTTTTCAGTGGTCATAATGTATCATATACTTTCTCAATGTATCAAAATTTTCATATTCTTTTGAGGCCTACCTAGTTCAAATGACAGTGATGACTGAATTATTCATCTCTACTTATCCAAATGAACTGGAATCTGTGATATAGAAAAAAAAATTAAACATCATAATTGGAGGCTGAAAATGTTGGGTTCAAATCTTAGGTCTGCTATTATCCCTGTGATTGTGAAAATTTAATAATTTGAATTAAGATGATGTAAAGTGCCTGGCACCATAGATTTTTTTAAATGATTATATAGATTCCCTGAACTGATGTATAATTTTCGATATCTGTTTATTACATAAAAGACAATAGCTTACATTTAAAAACATGTCTTTTCAAGCCCATAGAATTGTTGTCCGCCAAAAAAGGAAGGAAGGAAGGATGGAAGGCCAGCCAGGAGGAAAATAAAGAAAGGCAAAAAGAGGGCTGGGTGTGGTGGCTCATGCCTGTAATCCCAGCACTTTGGGAGGCCGAGGCGGGCAGATCATGAGGTCAGGAGCTTGGGACCAGCCTGGCCAACACGGTGAAACCCCATCTCTACTAAAAATAATTAGCCAGGTGCGGTGGCACGTACCTGTAGTCCCAGCTACTCAGGAGGCTGAGGCAGGAGAATCACTTGAACCCAGTAGGAAGAGGTAGCAGTGAGCCTAGACTGCGCCATTGCACTCCAGCCTGGGCGACAGAGCAAGATTCCGTCTAAGAAAAAAAAAAACCTCAAAAAGAAGAAAAAAGAAATGATAGAAAGTAAGAAGGAAAAATTAGAGGTAAAAATGAATGGAGTTAGAGGAGTGAAAAAGTAGGCTATTTATGAAGCTATTCTCTCTCCACTCTAACTTCACCTTTGCTTTGTGATGCTAGGACTAGCATCTGAAAAACCACTTTCTACTCTGCCAGGATAAAGTGGTACTGAGAGACTGAGGCTGGGGGAGGAAGTGACTTCCTCCTTCCTGTTTTCTTCCTCTAGGCTTGCTTACATTCTCTCGCTCCCGCAGCTTCCACTATAGCAGTGTTTCTTCACCCTGGCAGCAGCAGTTCCTCCCTGCGGTTGCAACTAAATCCAGGTTGCAGTTTTTCCAACATTTACTATACCAGCCTTACCAGCCTCATCACCACTCACACCAGCACCCTCTTCTCCAAGGTTTGTGTTTCATTTTCTCGGGCCCCTCCTCCATGCTTCTAAATTTCAGTAATTCTAACATCTTCCTTTTGTTCTTCTAGCCATAGGGAACAATGGTAGATTATTTCAATTGTTGCCTCCATGATACCCTATAGTTTTAGTCTGGACTTTCTTATAAGCTAATTAACAAATTTGTACATGGTTAACAATTGTTTACATTAAATTCTATTGGTAAAGTAACTGATGTGATTTTGTTTTCTGAATTGACTCTGACTGATAGAGGGAAATAGACAACAAAAAAGATAATACTTATTTACAGCATAATATATGCCAAGCACTTTGCTAAGTATTTCAGATATATATTTTATTTTAAATCTCATATGTATTATGTAAAAAGAATACATCTGAGAATCATAGCAGCTGAATTATTTGCCCAAGTCATGCAGCCTGTAAGTGGAAAAGCACGACTTTTCATGGTCTTTTTAAAAAATAAAATGTCCAATTTAAAAAAATTAAATATTAACTTATTATAACATTATCTTGCAAAGAATTCATGTTCAGTAAAATGTCTTTAATAACAACATACTATAAAATGAGTGTTATTTATTGCCAGGTGTGGGGAAAAGCAAGAGAGATCAGATTGTTACTGTGTCTGTGTAGAAAGAAGTAGACATAGGAGACTCCATTTTGTTATGTACTAGGAGAAATTCTTCTGCCTTGAGATTCTGTTAATCTATGACCTTACCCCCAACCCCGTGCTCTCTGAAACATGTGCTGTGTCAACTCAGAGTTGAATGGATTAAGGGCGGTGCAAGATGTGCTTTGTTAAACAGATGCTTGAAGGCAGCATGCTCCTTAAGAGTCATCACCACTCCCTAATCTCAAGTGCCCAGGGACACAAACACTGCGGAAGGCCGCAGGGACCTCTGCCTAGGAAAGCCAGGTATTGTCCAAGGTTTCTCCCCATGTGATAGTCTGAAATATGGCCTCGTGGGAAGGGAAAGACCTGACCGTCCCCCAGCCCAACACCCGTAAAGGGTCTGTGCTGAGGAGGATTAGTATAAGAGGAAGGAATGCCTCTTGCAGTTGAGACAAGAGGAAGGCATCTGTCTCCTGCCTGTCCCTGGGCAATGCAATGTCTCGGTATAAAACCCAATTGTATGCTCCATCTACTGAGATAGGGAAAAACCGCCTTAGGGCTGGAGGTGGGACCTGCGGGCAGCAATACTGCTTTGTAAAGCATTGAGATGTTTATGTGTATGCATATCTAAAAGCACAGCACTTAATCCTTTACATTGTCTATGATGCAAAGACCTTTGTTCACGTGTTTGTCTGCTGACCCTCTCCCCACAATTGTCTTGTGACCCTGACACATCCCCCTCTTCGAGAAACACCCACAAATGATCAATAAATACTAAGGGAACTCAGAGGCTGGGGGGATCCTCCATATGCTGAACGCTGGTTCCCCGGGTCCCCTTATTTCTTTCTCTATATTTTGTCTCTGTGTCTTTTTCTTTCCTAAGTCTCTCGTTCCACCTTACGAGAAACACCCACAGTTGTGGAGGGGCAACCCACCCCTAAAATTAGAAGTAAATATGCCTCTTATCTCAGCTTTATTAAAATTCTTTTAAAAAGAGGGGGAGTTAAAGTATCTACAAAAAATCTAATCAAGCTATTTCAAATAATAGAACAATTTTGCCCATAGTTTCCAGAACAAGGAACTTTAGATCTAAAAGATTAAAAAAGAATTAGTAAGGAACTAAAACAAGCAGGTAGGAAAAGTAATATCATTCCACTTACAGTATGGAATGATTAGGCCATTATTAAAGCAGCTTTAGAACCATTTCAAACAGAAGAAGATAGCGTTTCAGTTTCTGATGCCCCTAGAAGCTGTTTAATAGATTGTAATGAAAAGACAAAGAAAAAATCCCAGAAAGAAACGGGAAGTTTACATTGCGAATATGTAGCAGAGCCAGTAATGGCTCAGTCAACGCAAAATGTTGACTATAATCAATTACAGGAGGTGATATATCCTGAAACGTTAAAATTAGAAGGAAAAGGTCCCGAATTAGTGAGGCCACCAGAGTCTAAACCACGAAGGCCAAGTCCTCTTCCAGCAAGTCAGGTGCCTGTAACATTACAACCTCAAACGCAGGTTAAAGAAAATAAGACCCAACCGCCAGTAGCTTATCAATACTAGCCGCCGGCTGAACTTCAGTATCGGCCACCCCCAGAAAGTCAGTATGGATATCCAAGAATGCCCCCAGCACCACAGGGCAGGGCGCCATACCCTCAGCCGCCCACTAGGAGACTTAATCCTACGGCACCACCTAGTAGACAAGGTAGTGAATTACATGAAATTATTGATAAATCAAGAAAGGAAGGAGATACTGAGGCATGGCAATTCCCAGTAATGTTAGAACCGATGCCACCTGGAGAAGGAGCCCAAGAGGGAGAGCCTCTCACAGTTGAGGCCAGATACAAGTCTTTTTCGATAAAAATGCTAAAAGATATGAAAGAAGGAGTAAAACAGTATGGACCCAACTCCCCTTATATGAGGACATTATTAGATTCCATTGCTCATGGACATAGACTCATTCCTTATGATTAGGAGATTCTGGCAAAATCGTCTCTCTCACCCTCTCAATTTTTACAATTTAAGACTTAGTAGATTGATGAGGTACAAGAACGGGTCCGAAGAAATAAGGCTGCCAATCCTCCAGTTAACATAGATGCAGATCAACTATTAAGAACAGGTCAAAATTAGAGTACTATTAGTCAACAAGCATTAATGCAAAATGAGGCCATTGAGCAAGTTAGAACTATCTGCCTTAGAGCCTAAGAAAAAATCCAAGACCTAGGAAGCGCCTGCCCCTCATTTAATACAGTAAGACAAGGTTCGAAAGAGCCCTACCCTGATTTTGTAGCAAGGCTCCAAGATGTTGCTCAAAAGTCAATTGCCGATGAAAAAGCCCGTAAGGTCATAGTGAAGTTGATGGCAT
Organism: Homo sapiens; assembly: GCF_000001405.40. NCBI lineage: Eukaryota > Metazoa > Chordata > Mammalia > Primates > Hominidae > Homo > Homo sapiens. The sequence goes on along the minus strand of NC_000021.9, from coordinate 18,567,256 downwards.
ATGAAAACGCCAATCCTGAGTGTCAATCAGCCATTAAGCCATTAAAAGGAAAAGTTCCTGCAGGATCAGATGTAATCTCAGAATATGTAAAAGCCTGTGATGGAATCGGAGGAGCTATGCATAAAGCTATGCTTATGGCTCAAGCAATAACAGGAGTTGTTTTAGGAGGACAAGTTAGAACATTTGGAAGAAAATGTTATAATTGTAGTCAAATTAGTCACTTAAAAAAGAATTGCCCAGTCTTAAATAAACAGAATATAACTATTCAAGCTACTACCACAACAAGTAGAGAACCACCTGACTTATGTCCAAGATGTAAAAAAAGAAAACATTAGGCTAGTCAATGTCATTCTAAATTTGATAAAAATAGGCAAGCATTGTCAGGAAACAAGCAAAGAGGCCAGCCTCAGGCCCCACAACAAACTAAGGCATTCCCAATTCAGCCATTTGTTCCTCAAGGTTTTCAAAGACAACAACCCCCACTGTCCCAAGTGTTTCAAGGAATAAGCCAGTTACCACAATACAACAATTGTCCCCCGCCACAAGCAGCAGTGTAGCAGTAGATTTATGTACTATACAAGCAGTCTCTCTGCTTCCAAAGGAGCCCCCACAAAAAATCCCCACAAAGGTATATGGCCCACTGCCTGAGAGGACTGTAGGACTAATCTTAGGAAGATCAAGTCTAAATCTAAAAGGAGTTCAAATTCATACTGGTGTAGTTGATTCAGACTATAAAGGCGAAATTCAGTTAGTTATTAGCTCTTCAATTCCTTGAAGTGCCAGTCCAAGAGACAAGATTGCTCAATTATTACTCCTGCCATATATTAAAGGTGGAAATAGTGAAATAAAAAGAATAGGAGGGCTTGGAAGCACTGATCCAACAAGAAAGGCTGCATATTAGGCAAGTCAAGTCTCAAAGAACAGACCTGTGTGTAAGGCCATTATTCAAGGAAAACAGTTTGAAAAGTTAGTAGACACTAAAGCAGATGTCTCTATCATTGCTTTAAATCAGTGGCCAAAAAATTGGCCTAAACAAAAGGCTGTTACAAGACTTGTCGGCATAGGCACAGCCTCAGAAGTGTATCAAAGTACTAAGATTTTACATTGCTTAAGGCCAGATAATCAAGAAAGTACTGTTCAGCCAATGATTACTTCAATTCCTCTTAATCTGTGAAGTCAAGATTTATTATAACAATGAGGTGGGGAAATCACCATGCCCACTCCATTATATAGCCCCACGAGTCAAAAAATCATGACCAAGATAAGATATATACCAGGAAAAGGACTAAAGAAAAATGAAGATGGCATTAAAGTTCCAGTTGAGGCTAAAATAAATCAAGAAAAAGAAGGAATAAGGTATCCTTTTTAGAGGCGGCCACTGTGGAGCCTCCTAAACACATACCATTAACTTAGAAAACAGAAAAACCGGTGTGGGTAAATCAGTGGCCGCTACCAAAACAAAAACTAGAGGCTTTACATTTATTAACAAATGAACAGTTAGAAAAAAGTCATATTGAGCCTTCATTCTCACCTTAGAATTCTCCTGTGTTTGTAATTCAGAAGAAATCAGGCAAATGGCATATGTTAACTGACTTAAAGGCCGTAAACGCCGTAATTCAACCCATAAGGCCTCTCCAACCCGAGTTGCCCTCTCCAGCCATGATCCCAAAAGATTGGCCTTTAATTATAATTGATCTAAAGGATTGCTTTTTTACCATCCCTCTGGCGGAGCAGGATTGTGAAAAATTTGCCTTTACTATACCAGCCATAAATAATAAAGAACCAGCCACCAAGTTTCAGTAGAAAGTGTTACCTCAAGGAATGCTTAATAGTCCAACTATTTGTCAGACTTTTGTAGGTCAAGCTCTTCAACCAGTTAAAGACAAGTTTTCAGACTGTTATATTATTCATTATATTGATGATATTTTATGTGCTACAGAAACGAAAGATAAATTAATTGACTGTTATACATTTCTGCAAGCAGAGGTTGCCAATGCAGGACTGGCAATAGCATCTGATAAGATCCAAACCTCTACTCCTTTTCATTATTTAAGGATGCAGATAGAAAATAGAAAAATTAAGCCACAAAAAATAGAAATAAGAAAAGACACATTAAAAACACTAAATAATTTTCAAAAATTGCTAGGAGATATTAATTAGATTCAGCCAACTCTAGGCATTCCTACTTATGCCATGTCAAATTTGTTCTCTATCTTAAGAAAAGACTCAGACTTAAATAGTAAAAGAATGTTAACCCCAAAGGCAACAAAAGAAATTAAATTAGTAGAAGAAAAAATTCTGTCAGCGCAAATAAATAGAATAGATCCCTTAGCCCCACTCCAACTTTTGATTTTTGCCACTGCACATTCTCCAACAGGCATCATTATTCAAAATACTGATCTTGTGAAGTAGTCCTTCCTTCCTCACAGTACAATTAAGACTTTTACATTGTACTTGGATCAAATAGCTACATTAATTGGTCAGACAAGATTACGAATAATAAAATTATGTGGAAATGACCCAGACAAAATACTTGTCCCTTTAACCAAAGAACAAGTTAGACAAGCCTTTATCAATTCTAGTGCATGGCAGATTAGTCTTGCTAATTTTGTAGGAATTATTGATAATCATTACCCAAAAACAAAGATCTTCCAGTTCTTAAAATTGACTACTTAGATTCTACCTAAAATTACCAGACGTGAACCTTTAGAAAATGCTCTAACAGTATTTACTGATAGTTCCAGCAATAGAAAAGCAGCTTACACAAGGCTGAAAGAACGAGTAATCAAAACTCCATATCAATCAGCTCAAAGAGCAGAGTTAGTTGCAGTCATTACAGTGTTACAAGATTTTGACCAACCTATCAATATTATATCAGATTCTGCATATGTAGTACAGGCTACAAAAGATGTTAAGACAGCTCTAATTAAATATAGCATGGATGATCAGTTAAACCAGCTATTCAATTTATTACAACAAACTGTAAAAAAAGGAAATTTCCCATTTTATGTTACTCATATTCGAGCACACACTAATTTACCAAGGCCTTTGACTAAAGCAAATGAACAAGCTGACTTACTAGTATCATCTGCATTCATAAAAGCACAAGAACTTCATGCTTTGACTCATGTAAATGCAGCAAGATTAAAAAACAAATTTGATGTCACATGGAAACAGGCAAAAGATATTGTACAACATTGCACCCAGTGTCAAGTCTTACACCTGCCCACTCAAGAGGCAGAAGTTAATCCCAGAGGTCTGCGTCCTAATGCATTATGGCAAATGGATGTCACGCATGTACCTTCATTTAGAAGATTATCATATGTTCATGTAACAGTTGATACTTATTCACATTTCATATAGGCAACTTGCCAAACAGGAGAAAGTACTTCCCATGTTAAAAAACATTTATTGTCTTGTTTTGCTGTAATAGAAGTTCCAGAAAAAATCAAAACTGACAATGAACCAAGATATTGTAGTAAAGCTTTCCAAAAATTCTTAAGTCAGTAGAAAATTTCACATACAACAAGAATTCCTTATAATTCCCAAGGACAAGCCATAGTTGAAAGAACTAATAGAACACTCAAAACTCAATTAGTTAAACAAAAAGAAGGGGGAGACAGTAAGGAGTGTACCACTCCTCAGATGCAACTTAATCTAGCACTCTATACTTTAAATTTTTTAAACATTTACAGAAATCAGGCTACTACTTCTGCAGAACAACATCTTACTGGTAAAAAGAACAGCCCACATGAAGGAAACCTAATTTAGTAGAAAGATAATAAAAATAAGACATAGGAAATAAGGAAGGTGATAACGTGGGGGAGAGGTTTTGCTTGTGTTTCACCAGGAGAAAATCAGCTTCCTGTTTGGATACCCACTAGACATTTGAAGTTCTACAATGAACCCGTCGGAGATGCAAAGAAAAGGGCCTCCACGGAGGTAGTAACACCAGTCACATGGATGGATAATCCTATAGAAGTATATGTTAATGATAGTGTATAGGTACCTGGCCCCATAGATAATCGCTGCCCTGCCAAACCTGAGGAAGAAAGGATGATGATAAATATTTCCATTAGGTATCGTTATCTTCCTATTTGCCTAGGGAGAGCACCAAGATGTTTAATGCCTGCAGTCCAAAATTGGTTGGTAGAAGTACCTACTGTCAGTCCCATCAGTAGATTCACTTATCACATGGTAAGCAGGATGTCACTCAGGCCACAGGTAAATTATTTACAAGACTTTTCTTATCAAAGATCATTAAAATTTAGACCTAAAGAGAAACCTTGCCCCAAGGAAATTCCCAAAGAATCAAAAAATACAGAAGTTTTAGTTTAGGAAGAATGTGTGGCCAATAGTGCAGTGATATTACAAAACAATGAATTCGGAACTATTATAGATTGGGCACCTCGAGGTCAATTCTACCACAATTGCTCAGGACAAACTCAGTCGTGTCCAAGTGCACAAGTGAGTCCAGCTGTTGATAGCGACTTAACAGAAAGTTTAGACAAACATAAGCATAAAAAATTGCAGTCTTTCTACCCTTAGGAATGGGAAGAAAAAGGAATCTCTACCCCAAGACCAAAAATAATAAGTCCTGTTTCTGGTCCTGAACATCCAGAATTATGGAGGATTACTGTGGCCTCACACCACATTAGAATTTGGTCTGGAAATCAAACTTTAGAAACAAGAGATCATAAGCCATTTTATACTATCGACCTAAATTCCAGTCTAACGGTTCCTTTACAAAGTTGCGTAAAGCCCCCTTATATGCTAGTTGTAAGAAATATAGTTATTAAACCAGACTCCCAGACTATAACCTGTGAAAATTGTAGATTGCTTACTTGCATTGATTCAACTTTTAATTGGCAACACCGTATTCTGCTGGTGAGAGCAAGAGAAGGCGTGTGGATCCCTGTGTCCATGGACCGACCGTAGGAGGCCTCGCCATCCGTCCATATTTTGACTGAAGTATTAAAAGGTGTTTTAAATAGATCCAAAAGATTCATTTTTACTTTAATTGCAGTGATTATAGGATTAATTGCAGTCACAGCTACGGCTGCTGTAGCAAGAGTTGCATTGCACTCTTCTGTTCAGTCAGTGAACTTTGTTAATGATTGGCAAAAAAATTCTACAAGATTGTGGAATTCACAATCTAGTATTGATCAAAAATTGGTAAATCAAATTAATGATCTTAAACTGTCATTTAGATGGAAGACAGACTCATGAGCTTAGAACATCGTTTCCAGTTACAGTGTGACTAGAATACGTCAGATTTTTGTATTACAACCCAAATTTATAATGAGTCTAAGCATCACTAGGACATGGTTAGACGCCATCTACAAGGAAAAGAAGATACTCTCACTTTAGACATTTCCAAGTTAAAAGAACAAATTTTCGAAGCATCAAAAGCCCATTTAAATTTGGTGCCAGGAACTCAGGCAACTGCAGAAGTTGCTGATGGCCTCGCAAATCTTAACCCTGTCACTTGAGTTAAGACCATTGGAAGTACTACGATTATAAATCTCATATTAATCCTTGTGTGCCTGTTTTGTCTGTTGTTAGTCTGCAGGTGTACCCAACAGCTCCGAAGAGACAGCGACCATCAAGAACAGGCCAAGATGACGATGGCAGTTTTGTCGAAAAGAGAAGGGGGAAATGTGGGGAAAAGCAAGAGAGATCAGATTGTTACTGTGTCTGTGTAGAAAGAAGTAGACATAGGAGACTCCATTTTCTTATGTACTAGGAGAAATTCTTCTGCCTTGAGATTCTGTTAATCTATGACCTTACCTCCAACCCCGTGCTCTCTGAAACATGTGCTGTGTCAACTCAGAGTTGAATGGATTAAGGGCAGTGCAAGATGTGCTTTGTTAAACAGATGCTTGAAGGCAGCATGCTCCTTAAGAGTCATCACCAGGACTTTCTTATAAGCTAATTAACAAATTTGTACATGGTTAACAATTGTTTACATTAAATTCTATTGGTAAAGTAACTGATGTGATTTTGTTTTCTGAATTGACTCTGACTGATAGAGGGAAATAGACAACAAAAAAGATAATACTTATTTACAGCATAATATATGCCAAGCACTTTGCTAAGTATTTCAGATATATATTTTATTTTAAATCTCATATGTATTATGTAAAAAGAATACATCTGAGAATCATAGCAGCTGAATTATTTGCCCAAGTCATGCAGCCTGTAAGTGGAAAAGCACGACTTTTCATGGTCTTTTTAAAAAATAAAATGTCCAATTTAAAAAAATTAAATATTAACTTATTATAACATTATCTTGCAAAGAATTCATGTTCAGTAAAATGTCTTTAATAACAACATACTATAAAATGAGTGTTATTTATTGCCAGGAATTTATTTTCAATACTTTATATATAGATTTGTTTAATCCTTAGACTTTAATGAATCCTCATTTATGTTACATTCCTTAGGTTTTATTTATATTTACAGTTGTTCTGGCACAGTGGAAGACTTGACACAATGATGAACCAATTGTGCAACCAGTAGTAGGAGGCATTCAGATGAGAAATTATGAATAAGTTATTTATTTACTTACTTATTTTGAGACAAAGTCTCTCTTTGTTGCCCAGGCTGGAGTGCAGTGGTGCGAACACAGTTCACTGCATCCTCTACTTCCCGGGCTCAGATGATCCTCCCACCTCAGCCTCCCAAGTAGCTGGGACCACAGGCATGCATCACCAGACTTGGCTATTTTTTTTTAATATTTTTTGTAGAGACAAGGTCTTGCCGTGTTGCTCAGGCTGGTCCTGAACTCCTGGGCTCAAGCAATCCTCCTGCTTTGGCCTCCCAAAGTGTTGTGATTACAGGTGGGAGCCATTAGACCCAGCTCATGAATAAGTTCTTAATATTAAAGAACTTATTAAAGTAGTAGAAAACTGGTATATATTAAACTTCAATGATCATTTTTAAGAAATAATGTGAAGCTATATATAGGAAATGTTTTTAAGGAAATGTTTTTAAGAAGGTATGGGCAAAGAAGCCTGAACAAAGTGGTGGTTTAAAATGTATTTCCGTCCTCATTTTATAATCTGTTTAATGAGGTCAACTATGTCAGGCCCTAAATTCAGGAGGTTTCAATATGACTTTATATGGGAGGATTTTTACTGTGGTAGGTTTAATTGCCAGCCCATTCTCCATTCTTTCCTATATCATTGCTCCTTTTCATGTAGTTGTACAATTCTTACAAAGGAATCTACTTCCCTGACTCTCGACTTTGAACTAAGTGACTTGGTTTGTGCAATTGACACAACCAAGGGCTTACAGCATTAGGCTTGTTTCTTTATTCACTGCTAGGTACCTGAAGAAGAATCAAGTTGCTGAGCTTAATAAGTGGATTACTGAGTCTGTCCAACTGAGGTCAGAAGAGCTGCCCTCTCTGATTAACAGATGCTTGAGAGGAAATGTTTATTTTTAATGTCACTGAGATTGTGTTAATTGTTTATAATATAGCAACAGTTGACTGATACAGATGCATTAAGTACAGTTTGTGCCTTCCAGTGAATAATGTTGAAGTGGTACAATTATTTATACAATACTATTTGATTATGACACTAAGGCAAGTATTTAAAAAGTACTTTCTGAGCACACATGTGGAAATGCAAACTCAGACTGTCTCCAGCATTGTAATTGCATACTTGTCATGTGTATATGTATGCATTTAAGAATGATTGTACTGCATACTTGTCATGTGTATAGCTATACATTTAAGAATGATTGTTCCTAACTGATAATATTCTGTACCCCCAAAATAGAGAAAAAATGTGAAAATTTAGTGTGGCCTAATAACAATAGAGACTTCAACAGAGCTTGCTAGTTGCCTACCCAACATTTATCCTCATGTTCTTCCCATATAAAGTCATATACAATTTATAAGGTAAACCAAGCTACAAAATGATATAACCCATGTATCTTGTTGTTGCCATATAATCTAGATTCTAATTAAAGAGAGGTAAAGAGAATGGATGTATTCAACTTTCAGGAAGGTTCCTTAAAGAAAGTCTATTCAGTTGACAATGTACCCTTTTGATGTCTTTCCCCATCTGTTGAATTGAAAGAGCAGATTTGGTCCAGGCTTCAGTAGCCATCTTGGAGTATGTATGACTTGACTTGATAATAGATACAGGAATCAATAATGATGGAGTAGAAAACAGAAGAATGTTGGACCCTTCGATAGGAAGGAAGCCCTATAACTTCTGCCTCTGGATTTTTTTATGTGTGTTTCAATCACTCTTATTTTGAGATTATAAATATTTTCTGAATAGTCATAGAGGCTATTCCCAAAATACAGTAACATAGGTGAAATTATTTCTGAAAATAAATGTAAGGATATAAAACAATGTTTAATTCTTATTTTAACTCCCAAAGGCATGTATAAAAATTCTTTTCTATTGTTAGTAGTTAGAACCGTGAAATTCCCCAGCTTCCGTATTTGTACCTTTTCTAGCACTTCTGAATCTGCTAATGCAAATGTTTCATTTCCATTTTTCCTGCTGACATTGTCAGTCAGAAAGGCTCTCAAATATTAATTTATTCAAATAAGGCACATTTATTATTGATAATATTTTATTATGTCTCCTAATACAGGTCTACATCCTTTGGACAAAGTTGAATACTTAACGAAATTTTTCAAATGATCAACTTGATGTTCAAACTATTATACAATCTGAAACTTTGATATCTTTTGCAAAGATATTTCATCATTATTACTACCATTATTTCTTTAAGAGATTCTCATTTATTGAAAATTAAAATTTATATCACTGAGTTGATAGATAACATTTGTTTCAATAAATGTCAGGGCTGGACAAAATTCCCAACTCTATAACTCTTAGAGGTAACTCTATCTATTCATGTGAAGAATAAAAACAGAAGAAATATTATCCAGGTTTGGTTGGAAATTAATTCCTTTTAGGAAGAAGTAGGACAATGACCACTATTGATTAAGAATTCACTTGTTTACCTCATCAATATTACTGTGTACCCCTACATCCTCTCTCATTGATTATGAATATTTACAGATTTAAGAAATAAATCATAGTTCTTCATGATTCCTGCCTTACCTCTCATTACTTTATTACATGTGGAGAACCTTCTCTGTGTGTCTTAAAACTAACTTATAAAATCATTTTTATTAAGTTTTAGCATTTATGCTTATTCTTTTTTTAGTTCACTTTGTGTATGATGTGAGGTACAGGCCAAAGTTCATTAAATTGCTATACCACCATTGTTGTAATGAGTCTCCTATTTCCATTGAATTAATTTTCTTCTTTTTTTTATTTTTTTCTTTACTTCTACAAAACAAGAACAATAACAACAACAAACAACAGGATACATGTGCAGAGCGTGCAGGTTTGTTACATAAGTATGCGTGTGCCATGGTGGTTTGCTGCACCTATTGACCTGTCCTCTAAGTTCCTTCCTCTCACCCCCGCAACCCACAACGGGCCTTGGTATGTATTGATCCCTTCTCTCAATTTCCATGTGTTCTCATTGTTCAACTCCCACTTATGAGTGAGGACACGTGGTGTTTGGTTTTCTGTTCCTGTGTTAGTTTGATGAGGATGATGGCTTCCAGCTTCATCTATATCCCTGCAAAGGAAATGCAATCATTCCTTTTTTTGGCTGCTTAGTATTCCATGGTGTATACCTACCACATTTTCTCTAGCCAGTCTATCATTGATGGGCATTTGGGTTGGTTCCAGGTCTTTGCCATTGTAAATAGTGCTGCAATAAACATATGTGTGCATGTGTCTTTATAGTAGAATGATCTCTATTCCTTTGGGTATATACCCAGACATGGGATTGTTGAGTCAAATGGTATATCTGGTTCTAGATCCTCGAGGAATCGCCATACTCTCTTCCACAATGGTTGAACTAATTTACATTCCCATCAACAGTGTAAAAGCATTCTTATTTGTCCACAACCTTGCCAACATCTATTGTTTCTTGACTTTTTAATAATCGCCATTCTGACTGGCATAAGATGGTATCTCATTGTGGTTTTGATTTGCGTTTCTCTGATAATTAGTGATGTTGAGCTTTCTTTCACGTTTGTTGGCCATGTAAATGCCTTCTTTTGAGAAGTGTCTGTTCATATTGTTTGCCTGCTTTTTGATGGGGTTGTTTGTTTTTTTCTTGTAAATTTGTTTAAATTCCTTGTAGATTCTGAATATTAGACCTTTGTCGGATGGGTAGATTGCTAAAATGTTCTCCCATTCTGTATGTCGCCTGTTCACTCTGCTGATAGTTTCTTTTTCTATGCAGAAGCTCTTTAGTTTAATTAGATCCCATTTGTCAATTTTGGTTTTCGTTGGCATTTTCATCATGAAGTCTTTGCCCATGCCTATGTCCTGAATGATGCCACTCCTATTCAACTTAGTGTTGGAAGTTCCAGCCAAGACAATCAGGCAAGAGAAAGAAATAAAGCGTACTCAAATAGGATGAGAGGAAATCAAATTTTCTTTGTTTGCAGAAGACATGATTTTATATTTAGAAAAACCCCATCACCTCAGCCCCAAAACTTCTTAAACTTATAAGCAACTTCAGCAAAGTCTCAAGATACAAAATCAATGTGCAAAAATCACAAGCATTCCTTTACACAAACAATAGACAAGCAGAGAGCCAAATCATGAATGAACTCCCATTCACAATTGATACAAAGAGAATAAAATACCTAGGAATACAGCTAACAAGGGACATGAAGGACCTCTTCAAGGAGAACTACAATCCATTGCTCAAGGAAATAAGAGAGGACACAAACAAATAAAAAAAATTCCATCCTCATGGATAGGAAGAATCAATATTGTGTAAGTGGCCATACTGCCCAAAGTAATTTCTAGATTCAATGCCATTCCCATCAAACTACTATTTACATTCTTCACATAATTAGAAAAAACTACTTTAAATTTCATATGGAATCAAAGAAGACCCCATACAGCCAAGACAATGCTAAGCAAAAAGAGCAAAGCTGGAGGCATCACGCTACCTGGCTTCAAACTGTACTACAAGGCTACAGTAACCTACTGGTATCAAAACAGACATATAGACTAATGGAATGGAACAGAGACTTCAGAAATAACACCACACATCTACAACCATCTGATTTTCAAAAAAACAAAAACAAGCAATAGCAATGGGGAAAGGATCTCCTATTCAATAAATAGCTGGGCACACTGGCTAGCCATATGCAGAAAACTAAAACTGGACCCCTTCCTTACACCTTATACAAAAATTATCTCAAGATGGATTAAAGAATTAAATGTAAAACTCAAAACCATAAAAACCCTAGAAGAAAAACTTTTACTCTTTTGAAAATCAGTTGTTCATATATGTCTGTATATATATATATATTTTTTTGCTTCATTTTCTACCCTGTTCTATGGATCTATGTATCTATCTTAAAAACCATAACACAGTCTTGATTATAATGGCTTTGTAGTATGTCTTGAAATTATGTTAAGTTCTTAGTTATGTTAGTTCTCCAACTCTGTTATTCACTTTCACTAGTATTTCGGCTCTTGTAGATACTGTGGATTCCCATATAAATTTTAGAACCGATTTGTTAATTCCACCAAACAAAAGCTCCCTAGGATTTTGATTGGGATATTATTGAATTTTTAGCAAATTAAGGTGAATGTACATCTTAAAAATATTAAGTACCCAGAGGTATGAACATGATTTATCTCTTCCATTTATTTAGGTCTTCTTTAATTTCTCTCAGCAACATTATAAAGGTTTCAGTTCTCAGAGTAGAGAATACAGATATTTCACATGTTTTATCAGATTCATTCCTAAATATTTCATACTTTTATGCTATTATACATGATAGTTTTAAAATTAACAAAATATTTAAATATTATTACTAGTATATGTAACTTTAATTACTGATCTCGTTTATTAGTTCCAGTAGCTTTTTCATAGGTTTGGTCAGAATTTGTACATAATCATGTCATCTATGTAAAAACAAGTTCTACTTCTTTCTAATTTATTTTTCTTGCCCAACTGCACTAGCCAAAGCTCCACTACAATGCTAAAGAGAAATAGTAAGACTGGACATTTTTGTCTTGTTCCTGATATTAGTAAAAAGAAAAAATTCAGCCTTTCACCATTAAGTTTGATGTTAGCTATAGATGTTTCAAGATGTTATATCAGATTGAGAAAGATTCCTTCTATTCCTGGTTGGCTGAAACTTTTTAATAATAATGGGTGTTGAATTTTATCAATTAAAAATAGGCAAAATATTTTAACAGACACCCTACCATAAGGTATAGAGAGATGGTAAATAAGCACAGGAAAAATATGCTCAACATCATTGTCCATAAGGAAACTGCAAATTAAAACTGTCATAAAAATACTACTATATACCAATCAGAATGGCTTTAAACAAAAATGGCCAATCATACCAAGTGTTTGTGAGAATACAGAAAAACTGGAACTCTCATATACTGCTGTGGAGAAAATGAAATGATAATGCCATTTTGGGAACAGAGTGGCAGTTTCTTGAAAAGTTAAATAGACACCTACACTTATGAGCCATCTCTTTAGTTACTGGGAATTTACTCAAGAGAAATAAAAGCATTTATCTGTATGATTATTTATAAACAGATGTTTCTACAGTTTTATTGGTAAGCAACTCTAATGTCTGTCAACAGGTCAATAGATGAACAATTGTGGTATATGAATACAATGAAATGCTACTGAGCAATCAAATGGAATGAGCTACTGACACATGATACAGATGAAACTCACAATAATTATGCTGAATGACAGAACCCAGACAAAATTATGTGTGCTATAATATGTAATTCCCTTTATGTCATTTTTCAAAAATGCAAACTAATGTAGAGTGAACAAAATTAGATTAGTAGTTTTCTGGAAACTGTGTGAGAGTGAGTAGAGAAAAGCAATGAGAAATAATTAGGAAGAGGCCTAAGCAAACTTTCTGGGATGATGGATATGCTGGTTATCTTGGTTGTGGTGATGGTTTTGCAGTTGTATACACAGGTCATAACTTGTCAACTTGTACATTTTAATATGTGCAGCATGATGAAAGTCAGTGATATCATAATCTGGCTGCTAAAATTAAATTTAAGAGAAAAATACTGGTTTGGCCAAACTTGCTGATAGCTAAAATAAGGGACTGCAATAGACAGAATCTGTTTCCTCGAAATTCATATGTTAAAACTCTAATCCCAATGTGAAGGTATTTGAAGGTGGGGCCCTTGGGCGGTGATTAAGTCATGAGAGTGGAGGCCTCATAAATGGGATTAGTACTTTTTATAAGAGGCTAGAGAGCTTATTAGCTCTCCTTCTGCCATATGATGATACAACAAGAAGTCAGTTTTCTGCAAACAAAGAAGTAAGCCCTCATCAGACACTGGATCTTCCAGCATCTTGATCTCAGACTTCCCAGACACTAGAAATGAGACATAAATTTTGGTTAAGCCACCCAGTCTATGCTAATGTGCCATAGTAGTCCAAAGTAACTAAGACAGAAATAAACTGAATAATTCACAAATCCTATTAAAAATTTATGTATTTGCTTATTCTGCACCTTTCCACATTTTAACATTGAGTGTGTAATGGCTTCTCTTAAATAAGAGAGACATTATGGTTTCCTACAATTAATATAACAATTATTTAATACCTCCTCCAGGCAATAGTGTTGTTTTATATTTTTTTTATTACTAAAGAAGATAATATTTATAACTCTACCATAAAACACTGTATTTTGGTTTATTGCAATCCAGACTGACAAATTAATGTCAATCATTTGCTGGTGATTGGGAGTAGCATGATAATATTTTCCACCCTCTGTAGTTCACTGTTCATCTAGAAACACTCATTCTCCATGTTCCAATTATTGTCAACCACCCACCAATAAAGCACATTCCTTCCTAGACATGTGGACAAAAGAAATTTGTTGGATTGAGTATTTTACTCTTAATTGTTTTATAAAATACTGTTTAGAAGACCAAACAAAACCACATCAAAAGAGAAATTTAGTTGATAACCTGCATCTGTTATAAGATGTTCCACAAATATCTCACTAAAATATATATATGGGGGGTATAATTTAGATGGCGCTACTAAGTCTGTCATTGTTCTTTTGGGAAGATAATTGAGTGAATCACCTTTAAGTCCTCTATAAAAACAATGGAGAACTATTGGTGGATCTCTAGGGAAAAAATATTGGAACTGATTCTTTTGGCTTTCCACTATTTAAAATTAAGATATCTGATTAAATGCCCTTGCATGACCTTTATTGACTCTTATCTCAAAAACAACTACAGTTTGAGTGAGTAAAATACTGAAACTACAGAGAAATGCATTTGCAGAATGTGATGATTATTTCATCTGTCAACATTACCGGGATCCAGAGTGCCCAAATATTTGTTCAAGCATTGTGCTAGGTGTGGGGGTGACGGTGTTTCTGGATGAGATTTACATTTTAATTGGTAGACCAAATAAAACAGATTGCCTTTTTCAAGGTGAGTGGGGCTTATTCAGTGAGTTGAATGTCTGAATAGAGCAAAAAAGATGACCCTCCTGGGAGTAAAGGGAATTTCTCCTGCCTGAGTGCCTTCAAGTGGGGACATTGGTTTTCTCCTGCATTCAGACTCAAACTGAAACATTGGGTCTTCGTGGGTCTCAATCCTACATGGTCTCAGACTGGAACTACACTTTCACTCTCCTGGTTCTTAAGCCTTGGACATGGACTGGAGCTATACTATCAGCTCTCTTGGGTTTTCAGATTGATTGTAGATCTTGGTGCTTGTCAGCCTCTATGATTGCATGAGCCAATTTCTTAGAATAATCCTGAGAGATTAACTATTGGTTCTATTTCTTTGCAGAAGCCTCACTAATACAAAGGGGACTAATAGTTAATGTTTAAACATTTTTTAAAAAATCATTCCAGTTTGTTCATCAATGCTTTTGTAAACTTCAGGCAAGAACTGCTAAGATATTAAGTCAAATAAGCTCAATGTGCTGAGATAAGGATACAGATTCAGTGGCCATCCTCTTACAGGTTAAAGGGTTTAACTTAATTATATGAATGTATCAAAATGCAATAGTTTATATAACTATAGTAGGCTCAGATATGTATTTGTGAATACCCCTAGTTACTTTTGCAAATGCAAGGAATTATACCCTCTAACTATAAATGTGAACTGTGGCAAGTGACTAGTGGAATAAATCCCTCAAACTTTCTTTGATCTCAGAAATCTTTAAATCTTAGAGATTTATTGAGCAGGAATTGGGACCATGCTGAAGCCTGTAAGTACAAATACTGTGTCAAAGTAGCCTGGTAGCAAGACTTTCTCACATACAGCCACCCTTTGCCCAACACCCACTGCCCTCTGTCCTTTCCTCTGAATAATGTACAGTGATACTCTGTCTCTTTATTGTCCTGATCTATGGATTAAGTAACTCCCAGAAAGAACTCATTTGATCTTTTGTTAAAGACTAAGTGCTGCTGTGATTGGTATTATATAACTACTTATGGGAATGGAGCATTATCTCTAGCACTGTGAAGCTATGCCATCTCTCACCCTATTAACTGTTGTAAAAGTCTGATGAAATCCTGAGTGTATTATCACTAAAAAGTCCCTTAGCTTTTAGATTCCTTTCTATACATTTCCTAGGTGACATATAAATTTAAATGACTCTATTTCCTATTCATCACATTTTTAAGGACTGCAAATGTAACCTGGGTTGACTGGGGATGGAAACAAGAGGGAGCAATTTTAAGAGTACATTTTTTTCCCTTCTACTTCAAATTATGCGATTATTCTACAGTGATTTATAAAGAAGGTAAGAGCTGCAAGTATAAATTTGATTAAAAGAAAAGTTTGGGTGGAAAAATAAACTGTCACTAAAGTAGCTCTAAAAAAAATAAAGATTTTTAAAACTCTTGCTCTTCTTCCTAGATTCTGCCATGACCAGCTCCATCGAGAATTTTTAAAAATTAAGATTTCGTATGGATTTGACTTTATTTTTATACACATATTGTTCAAAACGTTAAGTAGTAAAGGCATTAATAAAGACGTATGTTTTGATTGTACTTACATAAATTCACCTGCATTTGGAGTGCTATAATAAGCCTTATTTTTTTTATTTATTTATTTTTTTGAGATGGAGTCTCGCTCTGTTACCCAGGCTGGAGTGCAGTGGCGCAATCTCGGCTCACTGCAAGCTCCGCCTCCTGGGTTCACGCCATTCTCCTGCCTCAGCCTCCCGTGCAGCTGGGACTACAGGCGCCCGCCACCACGGCCGGCTAATTTTTTGTATTTTTAGTAGAGATGGGGTTTCACCATGGTCTCGATCTCCTGACCTCGTGATCCACCCGCCTCGGCCTCCCACAAGTGCTGGGATTACAGGCATGAGCCACCTTATTTTTATAGGGAATCTTAAGAAAAATACTTGACAATGAGTTATCTTCCACAGTTTACTTGTTTGATAAATTCTACTTGACTTAATATTTTTAATTGAAATGATAAAATTTGCCATTACCTGTGCCATAATGTTAGGATATTGTTGTATTTGTTTTCTTCGGGTATTCCTCATTCACTCCTGATGTACTTAGAGAGCGGGAACCATGTCATCCTGTTTGAGATATAATACTACATGTGACAGTATATAATGCCGGACTCTCAGCAGTGCTATTTTATGGTGGAAATTCAAATTATCACAGCAAGGAAAATTGTCATATGAAAGTGGTAGGTATTCCAAGAGCAGCTGACAAAGTACTGCCTGTCACCATTTACTCAAATCATATACTGTTAGCTTTATTAATAGAATTTTTAAAAATCTTTTCAGTATTGACCTCTGGCTGTGACTGTCATTGTTTTGTTTTCCATCTTTTTATTAGAGAGTGTACTCTGCACTTCAACAAACAATGGTACAAATAGTTGTGGATCAACGTAGCTGAAGGGTATAGACTAGTGTTTTAAATTAGTTTGACCTTTTAAAAATATTTTTAAATGCCCAGCTCACAGAGGAGTTGACCTTTGTCATTATCCAAGGACTTTCTGTTATTTGAAGATTTAACTCATTAATAAAATTAATGGTAGGTTATGCAGTGAGAGGAAAAAATAATGTTATGTGGTTTGCATTGGGTGAACTAGGGCTAACTGTAATTCTTTGTATATCACACATACACAGATGTTTTATAAAATAAATTGAAGCTGCATACATAATTTCCAGACAATAAACCTGTATATCTTTGTGTTAAAACAATATTAATGTACCAACTCCTTATGCCAAGGATAAGGAGCAACAACAAAAACAACAACAACAACAAAGAAAAGATAAAAAAGAAAGAAAAATTATTCTGTATTTACTCAATTTTTATCTAAAACAAAATGGGTTCAAGACCTATTAATTTCTGGAGCCGTTGCATATGACTCCTGTTTTTTTCTCAAAGTAGAAAAGGTTTCACAGAATATCTCTGTGGTTTTCAGAGCAGCCACACACATGTAAAACTTGAGTGCTGAAACTGACTCAGCTAAGGAATCTGATCACTGTTCTCAAGAGCATATTAGGGATAATAGAACTCTCGTTTTGATTTGTCTCAGATTCCAAATCTTTTTAAAAAGACTCACCCATGCTGTTTTTAATACTGCAAAGAGACTCCAGGAAAGAAAGTCAGAATTTCATGAACACATCAACCAAGGATTTTGTTTTTGAATCAGAGAGAAAAGCTGTGCTGCTAATGAAAATTACAAAAGTGTTGACTGATTTGTTTTTGTTGTAAACAAATTGTGGAGTTAACAGAAAGGTTAATAGGAAAGAAATCGCTTTAAGATGGTGATTACTCACCATCATATCATAAGATTACAAATGATTGTTCTTTGAAAGCAGACAGCGATCAGTCAGTGGAAAATGATGTGCCTGTAGTGAATGATTCTCAATTGTACTTTTAAGCTTTAAAGGCTAAAAATAATGAACATTTTTCCTTGAATTAACAAGCCTTGTAATGAAGTTTACAAAGTGGAAGGTAAAAGAAAGGCAGATTAATTTTCTCCCTACAGAAACTCCCTCACGAAAGCTTAAAGTTTTTATGATATTAAAATACATTATGATGATGTTTAATATTTTGTTTCAGTTTCCCATTAAAAATGTGTATTTTCCTAAATGTAGTAGTTTTTCTAAAATTTCAAAAATTGTACATTCAAATATATCAAATATATGTGAGTAGAAACAGGAACTTACAAATGAACATTTTTTAGCCTAATTGTTTCCAGTGAGACCTGTGCCATCTCATATTGAGAAAGATAATTAGCCTACAACAGAGTACTTTTTGGATCTTTTACTGGGATCCTGGTTGAGTTAAATGGCACTTTTAGTTCTACAAGAAATCCTATTTCAATTTCTTAATTAGTGAGCTTTCTTGATTATCTAGCCCCCAGATTGTATACTCATGTATTTCAAGAGAAACAGGTTTATTGCTTGTTTTTTGTTTGTTTGTTTTTGCATATTGATGTTTCATATTCCTATGATATTATATTGAATAGGTTTAATTTTACTAAATTTAAATTTTAATGCAACTAATTTTAATGGATTTTAATTTAATACATTTTAAATTGAATTAAATAGACTTAAATAAAACAAGCAAAGCATAATTGTTCACACCTAAAATTATTTATAATTATTCAAAACAACACTTAACTTTTAATAAGAAAAGAAACAGTTTAAGCAACATGTAAATATTCAAGAGTTTCAGATAGAAAGAAAAGTATATGGCATAAAAACTATTGCATCATCTGCCCAATATTTGGAAATTAATATTTCATTATTTAAAATGTACTGGTTTAAATATTTTTAAAGTACACACTTTCAACTTGATGTAATGAAGAACATAATATACTATTTTGATCCACAGAGTATGAGTAGGAATTTGAGCACTATTCATTTTAAATGAATCCTTTGGTCAAATTGTTTAGCTTTTGTTAATAAAATAAAGAAAAATTCCATTTCTTTATTATGGTTCTGTTAGCAAATGTTAAGCCAATTTTAATAACATGAATCTTCATTGAACTGAAGACTTTAACACAATTTAAATATATTTATCAGAAATCTACACTACTGCTTTGCTCATTTTGTGCAAAAAAAAAAAAAAGCCCTGAAATTATTTTGACAGTTTTTTTCCAGTATTTTTTAGAGGGTATACTAAGAAACAAAAATAGTCTGTCAGAAAGCTATATCAAAGATAACTGGGATTTTTGCAAAATTATTTTTCTTAAAATAGTTTCCATTAAATTAAAACCAACTTAGTGGTCATTGAATGATTTTCTATGTACATGCTTCCTCCTGCATGCCTGATACCTCCATTGAGATATGTTCATCTGTGCTACAGAGATATTAACAAAGATAACTTCTGTGACTAGTTGTGGGTAATAATCAATGATAAACTTTTCATTAAACCAGTTGGAATATTCTGTGTGATAGAAGATGATTAATGATTCCTACAGCAAAATTATAGGTGGATATTGGATGCCCCAGGTGTCCACTGGTGGATGGTAAGTCAAACATCCGGGATTATGTGTGATATAAAATTTTTTGAATTATATGTATGTCCTTTAAAAGGAGCCATGACAGACACAACTGTGTAAAATACAAAAGAAGATGAAGAATAGGTGAATCACTCCTCCAGGTTGCAGTTGAGTAAAATTCCTACTATAATAATCATAGTAACATGAATGATAATGTTTGTCCTTACATGCATTCAAGATACAAGAGAAACCTTCATTATTGGGGTAATGTGATAGTATCCTCTAGTGATAACCATTATGTTCTGATACATCCCCATGCTTCTATCAAGCACAAGGGCACATAGTTATAAATATGATGATCATAAAATTCAGGAAACTTTCCTGTGGGGTTAGAGCTTCTGTCTGCTCAACAAATTGCAGATATGAATAGGGTAGGCTTAGAAGAAGGCCAGTTGTTCCACACAGAGATCAGATTCTGAACTTGATTTTAGAAAGCTCTTCAAACAAATATGACAGCACTCAATGGGCTAACAGAAACTTCAGTGCAATAAAGTAACAGACAAGATCACAGAGTAGCATATATGTAAATGAGTGCAGTTGTTTTTAATTCTGTACACTTTTTTTTCCTTTTGAAAAAACTACATCCAGAGTGGCATATCTACTGTGAATCAATGAGGCATAGCTAAATTTCAGGATTTCTCAGGGAGAGAGATGGTTTGGGTAATGAACTATAAAAGTATATATAATTGAGCTGCTGGCAGTTTGCAATGTTTTAGCATAATGCAGAAATTCTCATTGTGCCACAGGTAAAAGGAAAGATTCTTTTCAGTACATAGGCAGTAAAAATTTGGCTGCCCAAATTTGTAGACAATGAAAGTTGCCTATATTCTTCTTTTACTTTTTTTTCTTCAGTCCAAAGTGCCAGAAGACGAAAGAATTAAAAAAGAAATGTGAAGACCAAAAGAACAAGAGCAGTAGAAATTGTAAATGGCCAATCCAGCAGCACTCTGATAATAGAAGTCAGTAGTCAACAACCAAACATAGAAAAAAATATTACAGTCTACTTAATTCAGAAAAGCTTGGGTCATTCTAGAACTTGTGTTTGATTGGGGATGAGAAATGGTTCAGCCAATTTTCCTGAGGTTTAGGAGCTCTAGAAATACTTCTGAGGAAAATTCTAGATACCCTATCTAAGGTACCCTAACCGGGTACCTACATTAGAGTGTGGATCAGATATTTCATTTTCATTTACAATGTATAATCTACCTGTTATTGAAATCGATATCTGAAGAAGCTCATGTACTGCATTCAAAAGAATAAAATTAAACCACAATGTTTTCAGATAGATTGGTGTAGGTTTTAGTAATAACAATGTATGATTGCATTAATCGACAGAGTTCAGTGCTGTATGGAAACTATTCTCCTCTAAAGATAATCTATTCTTTCTAGGAAACAAAAAGACTGGGCATATTTACATGGCTTGAAAACATTAGAAAACACATGGAAAATTTTTTTCTACTCTAAATGGAAGTATAAGTTTTCCCAGATCTTCGCAGTCTATGTGTTTTGATATGGTTGTGACATGGTAACAAAACAATTTTCACATGGACTCACATTGCTCCTGGAATCATTGCCCCTTGGTTTCTGACTATGGATGACTCAGTCAGTTTCCTGCCTCTTTCTGAATAATTTACATTTCAGTATCCCAGCTTTCCTTCCTGCAGAGTTGATTCTATTAGAACTTTTCCAGTCTATCAGACACATTTGTGGATGTGTGAAACTCAGTATGAAAAAATTTCAAATGCTTTCTGGAAGTTCCTCAATCCCATTTATATCGGAACATTGTCAAAATAAATATGTGTTAGAGTGACTTCAAATATTCATTGGTAATTAATGAGGACTATGGCTTCCAAGAGGACACAGAGAATCTTTAAGAAGGTAGGGGAATATGGGTTCAGGATAAGTAAGAGTTAAAATGTTACCTCTGATTCCATCAAAATACATTTCTATGAGTGTTTATATTAATATTTTCACTATTGTTGTACCTTTAGTAAGTTTTGACTGAGAAGAGTAAAGTTAGTCTATAACTAAATGTTTTTAGAAATTTCCTTAACAAAGTAAAATTATATCTGGAAATATTTTGTAACTTCACCAATTTAGTTCCAAATGGTAATAATCAGATGAGACATTATTAATAATTTATGACAGTATTATAGATTATTCTTGCCGTAATCCAAGCGAGATGAGGTTGGATGAAAATTGTGAAAGTTTTTTAGCACCAGAGAGAGATGTTTTCTTTGGCTGAGGGTGTAGAGAAGGCAGAATCCAATAACATTGAATTTTATAGCCCACATTAAAAATCTCCCTTAACCTTTCTATGGCATTAACATTATTGACTATCTCCAATTATTTGGAACACTTTTCTTGATTTCCATGTCAAAGCAGATTTTAATTTTCCTCCTACATTTTAAACTCTTTCCTTCTCCTTCATTTGCTTGTTTTCCTATAACTGCTTATAAAACGTTTGTTTTCCAAGGTTCTATACTTGCCCTCTTTATTATCCTTCACACACTATTAACCTCAGCCATCTCAAACACAGAGCATTCCACCTGACCTTCATGTGAAATTTAAGGACAAATGTCTATGTTGGATCATTTTAAAGAGCTTCAGAAAATAGCCTCTTTACCTCATTTGGGTGTACGAAATCCTTCTTAAAATCAAAATGTTCGAAAGTCAATTCATTACATTTTCTCCACATTTCACAATACATGCTCCTACTTCAGAAAGACGTTTCTGAAGTTTGAATTCTGACTCCATTAGGGAAGCAGAAGCCAAGGCGAACCAGAGTGACACCATTTTAAAATCAACTTCATCTTAAAACTAGCAAGTTAAATTCCTTGCCACATTCTTATGACAACTCATGGTCATAAGATTTTTATAGCTGAGGAAACAGTCCAAAGATACCTACAAGAACAGACACCTACAACAAAAGAAAAGTCCAGATGTCCCAATACCCATAACAATATATGCTTGCAAAATAATGACAGTTATGTTTGATGTACTTACACACTAAAATGTCAAGGATAGTTTTCTTTAAATCAATAGAATAATACATTTTGTCATGCTGTCTACTCATCCTTGTATAGTTACAGTTTAGTTTAGTTTTTGCATAGACAAGACCCAACATCAGAAAAACAAAAAAACAAACAACAACAACAAAAAAAGACAATGTGTTCCTCCACTCGCTTTCTGAGGATGCCATACTCTGTGACAGAGTTGCTTTCTATAAAATCTCTTCTCACTGCTCTCTGTGATTCACCTTGAATTCCTTCCTGCATGCGATCCAAGAACCCTCTCTTGAAATCTGGACTGAGACCACCTTTCCAGTAACAATTCTGCTATTCATAGTCTTAAATCTCATTTACTATGGATTTCTCTGTGCTACCAAATTTTTATCTATACTACTGGGAAGATAATGCCTATCTTATAGTATTGTTTAAATCTGTGACCACGTTTTGAATAAATCAAAATTCAGATTCAATAAATGTTAGTTAATGTTAATATTAATAGTATTAATACTGTTATTATTATGAGCAGATTCCCAAATCCACTCATATATATTAGCAGAAATGTCAGGTTCTCATGGACTCTTCCAATATCTTATCATAACCAATGTCTCATAAAATACTATCGACTCTCTCCCTTGACATATAGCTTATTAAAGATCAATAAAAAATCAAGGTTTCGAGTCTATACTTGGTTGTTATAAACATATAAATGATATTTAAAGCCATGCATTAGGGAAAAGGGTATAAATGTAGAAGAAAATACTGTGTTTTGTGCCATTTAAGACTCTTTATCATCTGACATCAGCAGACTTACCCTTCCAGCATAATTTCTTCTACAAGTGTCAAGAGTTTTCTCTTTTAGTGAACTCAAAATACTGAGAATTCACTATTCAATGTACAGGTGCCATGTAACATATAATACTTTCTTAATTATTGTTCATCAATGGGCAGATCTTACCCCAAAGTCCGAGGAAGATAAAAATGCAAGAAAAAAAGGCTGACATAGCCAGTTTCTCAGGAGAAAAAAAAAAAACATTTAACAGGGACTTATGAACAGAAGTTATGTCTGTGTCTGGCAGCAGGTGAGACAAGATGGTGGATCTCCATGCCATTATCCCCTGCCCCCAAAACTCAGGGCTTATCTACCATATGTAAATGTATACATGATTCAGAAGGGATGTGTATGACAACTAAAGTACAATAACATCAAGGTTGTTTGACTTAAGGCCAAGAATTATTGTAACACCTGCTCTTACACAAGGAACAATGGATAAACTGGAGATCTTAGAGGGCTCCCCAGAACTGGGGTTAATAAACAGTCAACATGGCCGATTAACATCCAAGATGGAGTTGCTTTAGCCTCCACAAGGCAATGTTACATATTGGTTTACATGTATTTACATCTGCCAGACAGCGAGTTCCTTGCTTAGAAGAATCATGTATTTTCACCAGTGCAATTTCAAAACCTTAGTACAATTCCTGGCACAAATACTATACTAAACTAAGGTCTGCTAAGCATCTTTTTTCTCTACATCAACAATTTATGGTCAGAAATTTATTATGTGGTGTTCAATAGATTTTGTTCTCAGAACAATTTGTTAAATCTGTAATGATTTAGATGATGTACTAAGGAGAGCAGCAATCTGAATTTAAAAAGAAAAGATCTCCTTTTTATACTTTGGGCATGTTTTGAGGTGAAAAAGAATATATCCTTTGGGACTAATTCCAAAAGTCTCAAAACAATTGTATAATCATCTAGTAACTTTTATGACAAAGTAGATAAATTAATCAGAGACAGAAATTTTTTTTAATTATTATCATATGAGATTTTAATGCTCAAAGAATATAATTAAGGTTAAAAACTACAATATGTATGAAAATAGTACATAAAGAACATTAAGTAGAGTATAAAAAATTTAATATTCTTTTGTATCAGCAGATTGCTTACTGAATGCTTTACCTTAAAAACTATTTAGGCAAAATCAATACTTAACACATTAATGAAATAAAATTTATGTGAGTAGTAATAAAAATCAATAATAAGTTATTATGCTAAGATCAGTGACCAAGAAATAGATAGATATATTAAGTAAAAGTGCTCTCTAATGTTGTATATAATTTTGGTAATTGTTTTGCATATCTAATTCAAAATTATTAATGGACAGTATAAATAAAACACATCCTAATCAGGATCAATCTATTATAATATATTACTGCTCTTTTCATTTGTTATCTATTTCTAAAAATGGTGCTATCTTTTATTTTATTTACAGGTATTTAATGTGTATAGGAAATTGTACAAAGTGATGGTGCAGATGTTATGTTTCAAAAACCACATTCCCACGTGGGAGCTATAAAATCTGTACAAAAAGAAAAAAAAAAGCACATACATCTGTAAAATCTGTTTCAACGCATTGGAGAGTTATGAAAGCTACATGGCCTTGAAGGGGAAGGGAAGCACATTCCCAGAGAGAAGAAAAGCCCATGGATGTCAAACCAGTGTTCTAGGTTCTCCACATTACAGTATTTGTCAATCCCAAAGCTATGGAGGAAAGGATGGGAAGCTGAACAGATATACTGAAAAGTTTATAGTGCTTGACAAATAAAAACTGAAGGTAAGGATCCACCAAGGATGATGGTCTCTGGTAATTAACATATACTTTCAATTGTGCATGACGGTATGAACCCTAGGGGCCAGCTGAACTGGGTATAGATCAATAAATACAAGAAGTAAAGGCAAGATTAAAATCTGGTGATATACCCTCCAACTAAATGGTAGACTCAAACAAAACAACAAGTTGTGGAATAAAATATTACTATTTAGGGAATAAATCTATATTAATAGTTTTTCATACAAAATATCTGCCATTTGGTTTTTAAAATTAAATAAAAGAAGATAAGAATTGATCAAAAACAATGCAAAAATTTTGGCAATATAAACATATCTATAGAGAATTCATATATTGAAATTATTTTTATAGGCCTTTAAATAACTATATGTGTGTGCAAGAAAGTAATATGAACATGGTGAGTTTTGAAAGAGAAATAAAAGCTTTAAAGAGAACATAATGGAAATTATCCATTGAAAAATAAAACAAGTGAGCTGGTTTCAACATATTTGACAGAATTAAAAAGAGTTATAAACTTGGCAATAGAGTGAGTGAAAATCTCCAGATAAAGGATAGAAATAGAAGAAAAAAATATACAAGATACACGGAAGATAGTGAAGGGTTTAAAATATAAGTAATTGAAATTGCAAAAAGAAAAAAGAATAAATGGAGCTGAAGCACTATAAGGAGAAAATGGCAACGACTCTCAAAACTGGTGAAAAATGTTAAGTCACAGTTTTCACAAGCAATTACAATACAAAGCAAATAACTATGAAAAAAGCCTCAAATGAACATAACATACATAGCATAACATAACATTATTGCTGGAAATGAAAGACGGAGAAAACATTAAAAGTTTTCAGAGCCAAAATGGATATTATAACACCTAAAATTTAAAATTGTAGGTTAAAGTTAAATTGACCACTAAGTTATCAAAAAAACAAAACTTAACTAAAGACAGAAAACAATTTTTAAATTTAAACAATTTTAAAGAAGAAAAAAAAGAAGCCACATGATCATTGAAAATTATCTTCAAAGTGCTTAGATGAAAAAAATGTTGATGCCCTAGAGTTACATGTCTAATGAAAATAATACAGACCAAAGACAGTTATATTTGGCAAGTAATAACTGAAATAAGTAGTCAGCAGAATCCCCACAGTAAACAAAATACTAAAGCAAATTCTTCAGGTAGAAGAAACGATCTCAGTGATTAGTACGGTCAACCTCGGACTGTCTAAGGTATTTACCTGAACACATGAAAAGGTATGCAGTCTCACTCATTAGAGATCACATGTGAATTAAAAATACAATTGAATACCGATGTATGCACAAAAGAAGAGCTAAAACTTAAGCTCTCAAAGTTGCACCCAACATAAATGCTTGCTTATAGTTACAAAACACGTATAAAACATGTTTATTGCACTTTATTCATAACAGCTTCAAACTGAAAACAAGTTAAACATTCATCAACTGTTAATGTGGCAATCACAATGAACCAATTACCGCTCTATGCAAATATAGGCAAATTGCACAAACAAAATGTAATGCTAAACAAACCAGAGATGAATAATCTGTATTATTTCATCTCATTTATATAAAGTTATTTGAAAAAAAACTAGTCTGTGGTGATCGTTCAGGAGCATGGTTACTATTAAGGAAGGGGGTAGGTAGTAATCAGTCATTGGAGTTGGGTGTCAGTAAAAATCTTTGGATCTGAGCAGTGCTCCAAAAGCATCTTCACTTTCTGAAATTTTACCAAAATGTAACTACTGATTTGTTAGCTTTTCTGTATATATTTGATTCTTCAGCAAAAAAATTTAATACAATTCCACCTTCTATAGTAGGAGCTTCTCGTCTCTGACTTCCCTAAGTATGGGTTGCTTTTAAAATAAAACAAATACTTACTTCTTTATAACAAATTATATAATCTTAAAGTATCTTTCATTAGTTATCTATGTCTTCAAAAACTAATGTAATACTTGTTATATAAAATGAGACTGATTTTTATTTTTCCTACTGTACAATTGAGTAGGAATGGGATAAATTTTTTATAGTATTACCAGATTACTAAAATCATAGAATTTTGAGATTATACAGATATCATCTTTTGAAAAATAGATATTGCATGTATTATGAAAACATACCAGAATGAGATCATAAGAAATAGCATGATAAGTGTTTCATCTCTAAGAAACTTCAATACATACTCTTTTAGTTTGGGGTAAGTGAAATCATAAAGGTAGATTTATTTGAAAATTATAACTCTTTTTTTAAAAGATGGGGTCTAGCTCTGTCACCCATGCTGGAATGCAGTGTAGCAGTCATAGCTCACAGTAGGCTGGAACTCCTGGGCTCAAGCCATCTTCCTGTCTCAGCCTCTTGAGTAGCTGGGACCACAAGTGTCCATCACCATGTCCAGTTTGGAAATTATAACTTGCTAGGAAGACGTGCAGAAGAAAAAAACAACAACATTAATCTTTGGTTAAGGAATAAATTAAAGGAAAAAAACTAATATAAAACTAATAATTATCAATAGAATATATGTCACATGCTACAGAACATAAATGGCGAGCCCTTCATGATTGCCATTCTAAGAAATGCGTGTACACAAATGTGTATCACATGAGGCAATATGAATTAAAGACTGTAATGGAAACCCAAAGGACATTGGGAGCACAGGGTAGAATAAGATATCTTTAGATATAAAGGAAAAAGCCTTTTCATGCATTTTTGCATTTTAGTTGTATTTAAAGGGGTTGGTGGATTTTAAATAGGAGAAATTACAGAGGGCATACTAGGTAAAGTGGACTTTGTGAACAAATGACCAGAAACAAGAAAAGAATAGAGTACAGTTTGTCTGAAACACTTGTGGGCAAAGTATGCATAGTAAGAAACAAATGGAAAAAAGCAGATGTTGAATACTGGAACTATTTAGTTGACTTTCGTTATGTAAACTTGGTATCAGGAGGCAGGGAGAAGGGTAGAAAGGAGGTTAAAGATTGTTTTTAGGAAAAGTCCGTGACAGGAGTCCAGTCCTTTCTATTTAAATAATATCTATGTTTTCTATATTAAAATGTGTGGAAAAGGTGAATTTTAATCAAAATTTCAGCAGTAGCTGAGGAAATTTAAATAATTATTCCATTACACCAAAAAATAAATGAGTTTCTCTCTTTGAGATTACTGCATAACACTTAAAACATTAAGGACTGTAAGGATTCCATGTATATCCACATAGATAAATCCTCCATTCACTGGTGACTTCATACATTGTTTTTCAATCCACATTAAATTATGTCAGTTACTAAGACTCCCAAATAAATTTTCCTGATCATTCTCTTTGTTTGCAATGTTTAAAACATAAAAAAGACAATGTATAAAAGATGTGAGAAAAAATATATCCCTGTTTTTGGGAATTTTAGGAGTCATTCATTTTGGAAAACATGGTTCAACATTTTTTTATAGTACAAAAATTATTAATTTTCTTAAGTTTGCATTATGAGCACATGTTTTGTACTACTTATAAAGGAATTCATACATTAAAATGATGTCACTTTATTTATTAAATGCAAATCGTTTTAGATATTGGTTGTCCACATACTAAATATTAATTAATTTTGGTGAATGGAGAAATGCAATAGTCAGGTAAAATTTACATATTCAGGCTTGGAAGTGTCACCTTTTGGCAAATGCCTTCAAACATTCAGTAGTAAAATAGAAATAATTTTATAAGTACTGGTAGCTACAGGTTAACCTGGTTAGGAATGTAGTATATTAGTTATGATAATGTTCCCTGTTGCAACAACAAAAAAATACATATAATGGCTCAAACTTGGTAGAAGTTTTATTTGTTTGTTTGCTTTTGTTTTAGTTTTTTTCACAGTGCGTTCAAAATTCTAGTTCCTCGTTAACTGGTGAATTTTCTCTGAGGGTTGTTTGTTTTAATGTTGGGGAGGTAACTTGAGCTATTTCCATATTTTTCTTCATCTTTAATGTATGGCTTCCAAAAATTTATCATTATCATTAACATCAAGCTTGCTAGGAAGGAAAAGAGTTTGAAAATCATGCATACGTTTATGTGAGCCTTGCCTTGAGGCGGGACATATTATTTCCACTATCTCTCCATATTGCTCCTTTGGGCCAAGTTGAGTCACATGGCCACCTTCACTTCAAGGACATATGGGAAATATCGTAACTTTATATTATAGCTGTTTGTCCCTTATGAGGACAAAAATTATGAGTGATTATTTAGCCAGTTTACATGGTAATAAATTGTATTCATTCACACTTTGAAGCAAAATGAATTAAGTGGCTAGAGTTGTAAGCATTGTGTGCTAGTCACATAAAAAATGCAAAACAAGAGTGAGCTAAGATCACGCCACTGCACTCCAGCCTGAGCGACAGAGCGAGACACCGTCTCAAAAAAAAAAAAAAAAAGCAGCAAAACAAGTATAAGTCAAAATAATAGCTGTGTAATAGCTTTTCATGTAGCTGGGGAAGAAAACATATAAAGAGTGAGATAATAAGGCATTGTAACATATAATTTAAATTTTCCAATCCAGTAATTGGGATTATTGCTATTCAAAGAAGGAAGACCAATTTATTAGGATTGTTTTGTAGTAATTCTAGATATGATGTGTTCGGTGGTCAATAGGAGAGAATCGTTTGAAAAATAGTGATGTTTAGTTTGGTAGAGAAGACCAATTAGGTGAAGAGATTTTGAATATCATCCTTATGTATAGAAAATTGTCCCTGTAAGCAAAGGAAGACATAAATGTGATTGAATAAGAAATTGGTACAAATAGGTTGTGATTTAGAACAGATTGAGAAATAGGAAGAAGAGAGACTACAATAAAAAACATGGTAAAATTATTGAGATATTCTGAAGACTTTGGTTCATAGCTATAAAAGGAGTCTGGGTGGATATTAGGGACTATAAGTGGAGCCTAAGTAAAAAGTGATTTGGAAAGAAAAACATTTTGAAAAAAGATCAACAATATTAAAAAATTCAAATGAACAATTATTTCCTTTGAATTTTTTAATATAATATAATTTTTAAAAATATATATGTGTGTATATACATTTGAAATCAGGAATAAAGAGATGTGAGAGTCTCCTCTTTTAAATGCATTGGCTCATAGCCAGCTTGAGAAGTATTAGCTGCTTTTCAGGAATAAATGATGACAGAACCAGATAAATTAGAAAATATTGGTAATATGCTAAATATTAATATAAGCTACCAAAATACACATTGACTACTAAAACTTTAATATACATTAGTATAAAGTTCAAGGAATGATTAAGAATGTGTTTATTCCATTAGAGTTCAAAACATAATAGTTAATTGAATAAATTTGTTGATCTTTTTACACCTTTTAGATTACGTAGAAAAACTGATCACCTCTGATGACAGAGGATTTCTGCATTTATTCTTTCAAATATTTAATAAGCAAAGATTGTATGACATACTAGATTTCATCCTATAGACTGAGAGTAAGAAGGTAAAAATATAGGCAAGGTTTCTAGTATCATGGTGAATATTTCCAGTGAGAATAAAAATATTAGTAAATAAAAAAATTATGACCTAGGAAATGCTACCAAGAAACTAAAATACTGTGTTCTACTTCCGAATGACAGTAAAAAGGGGGAAGCAACTTAGATAGCTGACAAGAAACATTTCTCTGAGAAGGTGATATTTTAAGCAGGAATCTAAATAATTAGAAGAAATCAGCTTAACAAAGATCTAGAGGAAAAAGTCAAGTTGGAATAAAAAAAAACATACAAAAAGATCCTTAAGCCAAGAATGATAAAAGAAGTTAAGAAAGACTATTATCAAGTGGACTAGAACATTTGTGCAGAAAACTGGGGCCATGATCAGAGGTTGGTTTTTATTGAAAGGACATAGAAAACTTTAAACAAAAAAATAACATGGTCTGATTTGTTTTAAAAAAGGTCACTGTCTGAAGAATTATAAAGGGACAAGTGGAAGCAAAGGACCCAGCTAGATTATTGTAGTTCAAGAAAGAGATGATAAAGACATATAATAGGATGACAGGCAACAATGTGGAGCGCTGTGCGTATGTTTTGGTTTATTTGCAGACGCAGAATGTGCCAGCTGAATTAAATTATTTCTGTCCTTGTTCCACCAGCACCCAGCAAAGTTTCTTTGTCAAGAAATATGAAACTTAACTACTTTAGTTTTACAATAACTGACCTACCCAATCCATTTTTTCCTTTCTGTCTGTAATGCATTAATTCTATAAAACACATTTGAAAAACTTGCTTTTGTTCAGTAGGGAAAACCACATTTTATTTTTATATCATGGTGCACAGATATATGAATTACCTCCTACCAATTAGGATGATATCAAAATGTAAATATAATTTATAGGGATAACTTGAAGGCATCATCGTTGCCTATTGCATAAGTATCATTTGATGATAGCAGAAGCACAGATAAGTGTGTTTCTAGAATATCTGTTACTAAATTTTTCATAGCTTATTAAACTATAAAATGACTTAAGGTACAGTAGATGTAAGGAAGTACCTACTGCTCTAGTATAGACCCAAGTTTTAAGCGTCTCTATTACTTTTCCCACCAAAGGTATATAATACTTAAGGCATCATCTACTAACAGAATAACTTGACCCTTAGTCTGCCTTATTCATCCAGAAAGAATTTTGAAAAAGGAAATTTCATGGCATGACATGTAACAGTCTAGGGTGCTTTCCATTATATGTATGGTATGAATATGTCCTAATAGTGTTTCACTTGCTTTTTCTCCTTGCTGTTTCTCCAAAGACGCCTCTGTTGCATCTATCATTCAGGATACAATCAATACCTATAACTCTATAAATACAGTGACTCCAGTATCAAAGAAGACCTTAATGCAGAGATATGTCATGTTCTTTGGTTACATGATTGTATGTTATAAATTTAAAAGTTTTCCCAAAATAATATAATTCTAAAATATTTTAATCAAAAATTCACTGGAGCTTTCAAATACTTTGACTACTTATTTAAAAATTATGTGGAATAAAACCTGTAAAATTAATTAAATGCTGTAAAAGAAAAGTAATAAGGGAAAGCTTAGCAGAAGATAAAGCTGTGATAATACACATTACTACACTAACAGAAACCAGATGAGAGAGCTAAGGTCCTAATGTAGGCATGTATGGGAATCAGGAGTGCCATGAGGATCTTACTTAAAATCCATTCTAAAGGGATTATTTGCTTCAGAAATTGCCATCAGGGACCAGGCACCCTGGCTTATGCCTGTAATCCTAGCACTTTGGGAGGCTTATGTGGGAGAATCGCTTGAGCCCAGGAGTTCGAGACCAGCCTGGAAAATACGGCAAGAACTCATTTCTATAAAAATAAAAATTAGCTGGACTTGGTGGTACATGCCTGTAAGTCCCAGGTACTCAAGAAGCTGAAGTAGAAGGATCACTTGAGCCTGGAAGGTTGAGGTTACAGTGAGCTGAGACAAATCACGCTGCTGCACTCCAGTGTAGGCAAGAGAGCGAGACACTGACTCAAAAGAAAAAAAAAAAAGAAAAAAAGAAATTGTCATTAGGACAATGACTATCTATTTAAAAAAAAGTTTCTTAACTCATTTTATATGTAAAACATTTCAGATAATAAAATTTTAAATATAAAAAAGTAAAGTAATAGGAAATATATCACATATTATTCACATTCTTAGGGAAGACATAACACATAACATGGAACATAGTAACCATAAAAATAATTACCATATAGAAATTAAACATTTTATCAGGAAAAGAGGAAAGAAAAATTAAGTAAAACATCAGGTTGTGTTTGATTACAGCTCTCTTGAGAACTGAACTTAATACTCTGCATAGCTAAAGAAAAAAGAAAAACAAAACTTTTATTAAACATCAAGTTAAAAAAAAGGTATGCATGCTATCAAAGTAGAAGTTCAGGCCATTCACCAAATAAGAAATGGAAAGGTTCACCAAGTTAAAAAAACAGTGTTAATTTTTTTTTAAGTTTTATTAATCCTCTAAAAATCTGCGAAACATATTTAAATGAAAAGAATCAATAGAAGGAGGAGGACATGAAGACGGGAGAGAGGTGAAAGATTAGAAAAAGAAGAAAGAAATGAAAAGATATGAGAACTGTTATTCTTACTTGTGAATAAAGATACAAAATATTTTTGAGTCTTTTGTAAAAATAAATGGGCCTCTTTTTGAAACATTCTCCATGCTCAATAGCATAGGGATAAACTCTTCTCTGGAAATTTGGTAAAACTGACTGGCGAACTATCTGTTCTTGTGTCTTTTTTGCAGCCAAGTCTTAAAGATCATGGTTTTTCCTATGGCTATAATTATATCAAGTTTCTATCTCTTTTTCAGTTAACTTTTGCAATATAAATTTCAAATATGTTATTTTCATCTATCTATCTGATTTAAAGAACAATACATGGTACATAGTTTTGTCCCAGATTTTAAAATTACATCTGTAACTGAGGACATTCAGCTCTCATTAACAAAGGTGCATTCTTGGGATTTCTGCATTTGCTTATTTAATGAAAACAGAGATGTTTTTCTGTTGTAATTTTTTTAATTACTGGTTATAAGTCTTATTAAGTCTATATTTGACTTACTATTTCATAGTTTCTTTAGTACTGTTTACGACATTATTAAGAGCCTATGTATGTATTATCCCATCGTGCCATGAACAGCTTCATGAGAATGGAGTATTATTATTACGATTTTACAAATCAGAACCCTCGTCTCCATAGGTTAAGTAACTTTCCCAAGGTTACACAGTGTCAACTAAAGAATGATGAGGTTCATACGTTTGGAAAGGAAAGCTTTATTTCCCATCAAGGGTTTGCAGCCTGCAGGGTGGCAAACAGGCTGGGAAGCACAGGGCCAGCCGGAATCTGAACACAGTCACTTCAAGTGTGAAAAGAATAAGACAAGAATTTATGCTGAATGGGGTGACCAAATATACATACTCATTAAGCTATAGGAGGAGTTATGAATATTTATGAAAGGAGAAACGTGCATGCGCAGTTGAGTTTCATGCCTCTCTCCACGGATCCCAAGTTCAAAAACTGGCAGTGTTAGCATTATCCAAGGGTGGAGTCTTTGACCCACTGTTATCAAAAGTTTAAGAAGAGGACCCAAACACTCTTGCCATGCATCCTTCATGGTCAGTGCTGTCTTATAAGGAAGGAAGGCTGGTTGGTTGTTTTATTATAACCACAAAAAGAAGGGGTACCATCAGGTGTTTGGTTGATATCAGAAGTGGAGCCAGTCTCTGCAAAGCGCTGGTTTCTTTTTAGCCTTTAGGGAAGAAAGCCAATAGTGGGTAGCGAGGGAGGAGCTAAAATCAGCTGTGTCGGACATCCCCCATCCTGTCATGGCCAACAACTCAGTTTTGAAGGTGTCTCTGGGGTTTCCTTGGCAAAGAGAGAGTCTGTGTCTTTGCAGGGCTTAGGATTTCATTTTTATTTCTCAATAGCTGATAGAAAATAATTACTTGAAGGTAGGTAAGATTGAGTCCAAAGCCCAAGCTTTTAATTATTATCCATTACTTTGTCTTTAATGCCATCTCCCCTGCTAATTATTTTTAGTTTAATTTTTTTGTTGTTAATTTTTCTCAATGTTTCAGCCATTATGAATAATTATATGTGTACCATGTTATTTTTGTTTTGCAATGATTTTTGGTTTCATTTAAAAATGTGAAGACAATTATTCATGCCCATGGATGAAAGAATTGAGAAGTTCAAAATAGCTCATGATGAAAAGTATCTGTGGTTGGCCCCATGCTCTAACCATTAGGCCTACACTTAGGGGGCAACTATTATCATAGTTTATTTTCTGTTTCTTCTGGTGGTTACATACATTCTTTTTGTTTTTGTTGTTCAGCACTTTATTTTTTTAATTTTTTAGTTTTTAACTATGATAACACAGTAATTTTATATATTTATGAAGGATATGTAATGTTTTAAGGACCTACAATGTGTAATGATCAGATCAGGGAAACCGGGGTATCCATCACCTTAAGGCTTTGTTATTTTTTTTATGTTAGAAACATTTCAATTCAACTCTTGTAGTTATTTAAAAATATACAATAAATTATTGCTAACTGTAGTCACTCTATTACATCACTGAATGCTAGATCTTGTTCATCTCATCCGACTGTATTTTTGTACCTATTAACTATCTCCAGTTTATCACCCCACTCCCTACTTCCCTTCCCAGCCTCTGTCAACCATTATTCCACTATCTATCTCCATGAGTTCATTTTGTTGTTGTTTTAGTTCTCACATATGAGGGAGAATCTGCAATATTTGTGTTTCTGTGTCTGGTTTATTTCACCTAATGTCATGTCCTCCAGTTTCATTCAGGTTGTGCCAAATGGACAGAATTTCATTCTTTTTTGTGGTGAAATAATATTCCATTGTATAAAATGTGTCTATATACGCCACATTTTCTTTATCCATTAATTTCTTGATAGACACTCAGGTTGATTCTGTATCTTGGCTATTGTGAATAGTGCTGCAGTAAACATGGGAATGCAGGTATCTCTCTCTCTCTCTGTTTTTTTTTTTTTTTAGACAAAGTTTCACTCTTGTTGTCCAGGCTGGAGTGCAGTGGCACGATCTTGGCTCACTGCAACCTCTGCCTCCCAGGTTCAAGCAATTCTCCTGCCTCAGCCTCCCAAGTAGCTGAGATTACAGGCACCCACAACCATGCCCGGCTAATTTTTTGTATTTTTAGTAGAGATGGGGTTTCACCATATTAGCCAGGCTGGTCTCATACTCTCAACCTCAGGTGATACACCCGCCTTGGCCTCCCAAAGTGCTGGGATTACAGGCATGAGCCACCGCACCCGCCGATACACTGTTTTGTTGTTGTTTCTTTGTTTGTTTGTTTTTTAAAATGTATACCCAACAGTGGGATTGCTGGATCTATAGTAGTTCTATTTTTATTTTTCTTTGTGGAACCTCCATATTGTTCTCCACCTCAAATATGCTGTGACCTCCTAGCAAAATGGGAATTGGCTCACTTTTAAAATCCTTACTTTCCATGTAATATTAATTCTTACATTGTTATTTTTATTGAGATAGCATTGATATGTTATATGTGCATCCTCTATTTTTGTTCCATCAACTCTCAATACATTCTTAACTTTTTTCATTTTGAAAGAAGAGTATGTAACCACTTTCTCTCACCACTTCCACTCTAAAACATTTTAAATTATATCTTCAGGTTTTTCCTGGAGATAATCACTTCCCTTCTGTTATAAAATTATCATTTTTCTAACGTATAACTTACTTGTAAAATTTGAAAACTAGTAAATAGTTTTTATATTTGAACCACATATATCGGCATATATCTGACCATTCTGTATTGTTTTGTCCTTTCTATAAAACCAGTATCTCTTGGCCACTAAACAGAGAGCCTTTAATGTTTGTTAGTGCTCTTAGTACATTCATGTATATGGCAATCTTCAATGTTTTTTCTTATTCCTATTTTATTTTTTATTCTTTCCCCAAAAATTAACAGTTTATGTCCTCATTACAGATTTTACTGGTAGAGTTTATTGGTTTGAGACTTCAACATACATGTCCTCTCACAGTGATTATTCTAAATAATTTAATACATATTTAAAAATTTAAAACATATAATTAAGCTCATATTTTTCTAGCAATTTCAAGCCATATGTGTTTGTGTATGTGTGCATGTGTGAGTGTGTGTGCATGGAAAAGAGCAGGACATAGTTCACCTTTAAAAATATTATCCAGTAGATTAGGCAGTAATTCCTAAGAAATAAATGCCATTATTTGGTTCTGGGTATTAACATTTACTGAATAATTTGAGCTCATTAATGACTACCTTGTCAATTTTATACCAGATGAACTAAACTATTAAATGTCCTTTGATGAATAATTTATGTTCTGAAATCATTCATTGCCATTTTAAACTAAGTATTATTTTAAACTACTGCAGGGATCATTTATATGTTATATATCTTTTAAATGATATAATATTTGAAATGTAGTACACAATATATCTATTATGCTCAGTATATATATTGTTATGTAATTTTGTAAGTTGTAAATTTATTAGTTTTAAAATAATGCCTACCATGGTGTGTCAGATTTATTATTTACATGCAAGCTTTTTTTTTGTTCATGTTTTTAAAATTAAAATGTGTACTCTAATAATGGATTCTACATGTTTTGAACCACAAATAGACACGAAAGGAGATGCAACTACAGACACACTATGATGAGAATTACACTTTGGCAGTAATGTTAGATTTTAGATATTGAGGGACAAATCATACAAACATTATTAAAGAATAACATTTATCCTCTGGTTGTAGTTTTTAAAAAAGCTACCCAGGATTTATTGTAAAGCTGTGAGAAAAGTTGACAATATTCCTATGGTTGAGAATTTGGGGTTAAAATAAAAATAAGGATGCATTAATGCTTAAAGCTTTCCAGATAAATGCAATTGTTAGCAATATGTATATTCTTGCCAAGACACGGATGGTGTGAGTCATCTTGTGTAATGACTGATGTATTGCTTTGGCAGACAGACATTATCCAGCCTAAAACTGGAAGCACTGAAGTCCTTGGCAGTGACAGCTGTGTTTTCATATGGAATACTTTGAGGTTGGGAGGTGTGATTCACACAATAGGAAACAGACCTAATAAATGCTAGGATCCTCTTCTTCATGACATAAGGCTTACAGATTTTGTAGAATGAAGCTCAACTCAAAGATGCATTTTTGAAGTGTGTATTATTCCACTTGTTTAAACATGTGTACATAAAAAACTAGTCAAAGCACATATTGGTAACAGAAAAGACTTAACCTAATGCCACCAATTTTGTCCTTCGTAGAAATATAAATCCCTCATGAAGCCATTACGTTGTACTTTACAACTAGCATATGAAATATGAAAATAGTAGTATAAAAATGACAGGCTAAAGGACAGGTTCAGTGTTTTGGAAAATTACAGTTTTGTGTGTGTCTGTGTGTGTGTACTTATATAATTTTGTAAATTGTATCTTGGTACTGTGGTAAGTTAGCAATGGCCTTTGCAGATGGAGCAGGTGACACATATTTGAAGCTTTTTTTAGAGATGGGAGAAATATTTTCAGTTTAAAGTAAATGTCATTGTAAATTATTTCTGTCATATCTATATATTAATATTTTAAAAACTGAAAAAGTTTATGAAGAAACCACTAAAAATATCTCTTAAATTGAAAATATATAGTGATTCCAAATCAAATATTATACGTAACTGAAATGAGTATTTTAAAGAATCTTAGAATATACAAGACCATGAGTTTCATCTGACTCAGAATAGAAAAGTTTTCCTATAAGTTGATATTCTTTTCAACACTATTCCAAAACTGAATGCAACTCCACATTTTTCTTGTGATATTAATTTGCTTTGGTGAGGGACCAACGACACACACACATATATATGCACACACACACACACACACACACACACACAGAGCCAGTAAGTTCAAGGTTAACAAAGATAGTAGTTTAATATTCATTTTCAGAGAAGCTGTCTGATCACTTGGTTTATTCAATGGGGTCTCAGATATATTTTACTGACTTCGTTCTCACAAATAATTATATGAAATTGAAATACAACCCATGATAAAAAAATGTTTGAATGTTTGAATTTTGAATATCCAAGATTGAGAGAATTTAGAATTGTTAGAGATTTTAGAATGATGTTCAAAGTTAAGAGAATTTTGAATAAACATAAATGGATTTAAAATGCCACTTCTAAAAAAGTAACCAGATAATTAATTTAAAACTGAAGAAAGTCCTTCAAAGAAAAGAAAAAAGATTATTGATCATATAAATGGCTTCAGACTAGAAATCAGCACATTAAATCCAGAATATAATGTATTTGCTGAGTGCATATGAGTGAATTATTTACTTTATTTTTCAATTATTTGCTGTGGAATGAGTTAAAGGCTGGAAAGGGGAGGAGGGGCAGAGGAATAGGGAGAGGTTGGTTAAAGGTTACAAAGTTACAGCTAGATAGGAGAAATAAGTTCTAGTATTTTCTAGCACTGTAGGGTGACTATAGACAACAATATAATTTATATTTTTAAATAGCTACGAGAGGATTTTGAATGTTCCCAACACACAAAAAAATGATAAACATTTGAGGTGATGGATATGTTAATAACCCTGATTTGATCACTATACATTGTATATATCAAAATATCACTATGTAGGCCAGGTACAGTGGCTCACACCTGTAATCCTAGCTCTTTGGGAGGCCGAGGCGGGCGGATCTCCTGAGGTCAGGAGTTCAAGACCAGCCTGGCCAACATGGTGAAACCCGTCTCTACTAAAAATACAAAAATTAGCCATGCATGATGGCAGGTGCCTGTAATCCCAGCTACTCGGGAGGCTGAGATGGGAGAATTGCTGAACCTGGGAGACGGTGGCTGCAGTGAGCTGAGATCTCACCACTGCACTTCAGCCTGGGTGACTAAGCGAGACTCTGCCTCAAAAAAAAAAAAAAAAATCACTATGTACCCCATGAATACGTACAATTATTATGTGTCCAATTTTTACGCTTTTAAAAATTTTCTTCTTTTCTTCTCATGATGCTTTAGGGCACTGGTCTTGGAACTTTTCCTTGCATAAGGATCACTGTCAGGGTTTATTAAAGGACAGATTTCTAGGTACCATACCCAGAGATTCTGATTCAGCAGGATGATTTGGGATGAGGCCTGTATGTCTAACAAGTCCTCAGATGTCAAATGTCAGGGGACCACATTTGAGAATCATCACTCTAAGGCAATGATTACAATTCCAGGTAGACTAGAAATTAAAAAAGAAAACAGCGGGCCAGGGAAATGGCAATGAGAAACAGGAGTCAACTGAACCAGCTGCCGCTGGCCAAAGGTAGAACAATTTATACAATAAAATAAATAAAGTAGTGTTGGATTATAACCCAAAGTTTAAAGTAAATATTAATGAATCCATAATTATATGAATGATTAAATAAGCAAATGATTGGAGGAAAATAGACAAATCTCTGCAGTATCCCAAATAATTTATGTAGATACTCTATCCTTGAGGAGATGAAGCATAACCCCACTCCTTAAATATGGATTGCACATAGTGACTTCTTTCCGAAGAATGCAGTGTGAAAAATAGGAGGGAAAACGTCAATTTACAGTGGAGAAAACTAACAAATGTTACCTCTGCTGGATGATCAACTTTAACATCAAACGTTATGTTATACAGTGTTTAACCTTGATATAATGTGATGACAATGGGACCTTACCTCTGTGTTCTTTCTCTTAAAATCCCTAATCTAATCATGAGGGAAAAATCAGACAAGTGCTAATTGAGGGACATTCTAAAAACATTTGATTCCTCAAAGCTATCAAGTTTACCCAAAGAAGGGAAAGTCCGAGAAACTATCAGAGCCACGTGGAACTTAAGTAGACACAATGACTGCATTAAAAAACAAAAAGAACATTTAGTGAAAACTAAAGAAATCTGAATAAATCTGGGCTTTAATTATTAATAATGTATCTATAATTGTTCATTAATCCTGATAAATATACTGCAGTAATTTAACAGATAAACAGTAAGGAAATCTAGATGTGAGATACATCAAATAATTAAAATATCTTCACAACTTCTCTATACATCTAAACAATTGTCAAATAAAAAGTTTATTGCCAGAAAAAGCAGGAAGGATTGCTATGGTTAAGCAATTGCGAGA
The DNA here is from genome assembly GCF_000001405.40 of Homo sapiens. Classification (NCBI taxonomy): domain Eukaryota; kingdom Metazoa; phylum Chordata; class Mammalia; order Primates; family Hominidae; genus Homo; species Homo sapiens. The sequence goes on along the minus strand of NC_000021.9, from coordinate 18,526,284 downwards.
TTAGGAGAAGCAGATTTCCATGTAATTTTCTAGTCATTTTTTTTTCTCATTAAAAGAGAGTTCTGGACACACACACAAACACATACACAGAGGGAGAGAGAGAAAGAGAGAGAGAGATAAAGAGGTGGGTAAGTCTAATTGGGCTATTTTATTTTATTTCATTTTATTTTTTGGCTGCTTCACCTAAATGCAGTCTCTACCTCAAAGAGACTACCTCAATAGTTACTTAGGTGACTACCAACTACCCTAGTTTTCACTTAGGTCTTGAAGCCTTCCTTATTGAACCTCTAATTTTTTAAGAAACTGACCCCGTTTGGTGCAAGGAGTGGGGCATGTGGCTGAGACCTAAAATAATTAGCTGAATTTCATAATCGGAGCCATATATATCGATAAGCATGGGATTTAATTCAGCTAATCAGCCTAAGCAAGGCTAGTGCTGGAGGCTTCTGGGGGACAAATTCTACTGAACTGTGTGGCACACAGACATAAAATCTGGAAACACTGTTACCATTTTCCCTTTAAGTCCAGGCTTTGGATAAAGCTGACACCATCACTGAAGACAGAAAAGAAAAGGCTTTGTAATTACCTAGAATAATAAATCCATGCTATTGTTTAAGTAAAGTTTCGATTAGAATTTCTATTATTTGTGACTAGAAACACAGTAACTGATACATGTAAAAGTATATTCCACAATAACCATATATCAAGTGAAGGAATTTTTAAATATATATGCAATAATTTGAAAAGGTTCTTTTTAAAAGAATAACAAGTGATATGGCATTTGATTCATCTAGGTTAAAACTGCATAAAAAAGCAGCTACAAAACAACATAGAAATAAACTTGTTATGGCAATTTCGTGATTCATCAGATTTTATTGGCTGAGCTGCAAATAAATATTATGCATCATTTTCCTTTATCCTTTTAATTTTTAAGCACAAAGTTTCAAACCTTTTCATTGACCTGTTAACTGTTTAAATCTATATTATCTTGAGAAAATTGAAAAACAGTTTTAAATGTTTTGATAATATTCTTAATGACAGAATTTATATAATAGTGACTAATTTCTAAATAAATCATTGGCTAATTTCTAAATAAAAGTAAACCATATTTTAAAATATTTTCCACTTAGCTTCTATATCCAGAAACTATGGAAAAAAGGTATTAGTAAAAATAGGAAAGGCAACATTATAACCGATTTGGTAGTGTGCCTAAGATGATACATTAACTAATATGAATTTTTCTATCTTGAGAAAATATTCTTGTGGCAGGTATCATTAACTGAGAATGATTCAAGGTGTCCTTATATGACTTGGGGACCTTGGGGAAAAGAGTATTGATGCGTATTAGTCCCTGAGGACAATGGCTTTAATTAAGCTTCAAGTAAAAATGGCCTCAACTGAAGTGCAAGCAGCGCTAAGTGAAATCAAACTTAAAAGTTCCAGAGACAAACACTCAAGTTCATGTAGGACACTGCAAAATATCTTTCTCCAAGAAACTTTTGAAAATATGAAGTGATACATTCCTAGGATTGTTTGAAAATGTAAGCTTTGCAAATACTTTCTCTTGGAGGAAACGGTACAACAGTGCTAGAGGCACCTCCCTGTCCTGGCAAAGTTTAGCATTAGAAGAAGTGGCTTTCCTGTCTGATTTTTCATCTCGGTGCTTTTCAGAGGTCTATCTGTTACTTTCATTGGGAGAGCTAGGCACAGTTTATCAGCGGCTGGCACAGACATATATGTCATGATTTACAGGGTTCTGGTGCTCTAGAGTCTCCTGTATTGAGCTCATGTTTGGAACTGCAAAGAAGCAAATACAGCCATTTGTTTTTCAGTGATAAACTGATGTAGCCAGTTGTTTTTCATTCAATTTTGCAGCTTCGATTCAGATTTCAGCGCTCCAATAAATAGGGTCTGACAACTATGACAAGTGTTTCAGGTATGTTTTAATGTACACTAAAGTGCATCACTGTGTCCCATAAGGATAACATTGGCTCTCAGCATCATCTTTTTGCCTTTACTTTGACTGTCACACTAATGATGGAAGATAAAAGCTTAATGCATTATCACACTTTACAATCTCATATCATTTTTTAAAAAAAAGCATAATGAAACCTTATTTTGTCTATTTTGTGGTAACTACACTTAAACAGCCAAGAAAATTAAGTGCACTTCAGTTTAATCCTCTCGTCAAAAACATTATAACAAGCAGTGCTTCATCAATTACTTACCACTTGACCTTGAAGTACTAATTATCAAACTCTTTAGTGTCACTCCTGAGAGCGATGAGGCTTTCCCATTCATTCTTCAACAATTCACCCTGCCATAATATTTTAATGAAATAAATAACAATATAGGCTATCTATTATTTCATTGATTTACATGTTCTTTAGATAGAGAAAGAGAGAGAGAGAAACAATATATTTGGTAGATTAAAATCTACAACTCAGATATAAAAATAACTACAAGAGACTGGCCATTTTGTTCACTGTAAGCAACTCCATTTGTCACAAGTTAGTTTTAGATGCTGATAGTTTGATAAAAATCTCTAAGTAAGCTTTTCTTTAGCAATTTTTAAAATACCAAATTTTTTATTAATTTTTAGAACTAGAAGAATGTGGAAATAAAAATTTCAAGAATATTCTTCTTAATATTTTCTCAAGTTATAGCACCCAGCAAGTTACAAGAGTACTCATGAGTATTGCTGAAAAAAAACATACTGGCTTCTGAAATTTTCAAACACTTGTAGATAATGTTCTAGGCATCAGATGGTTTTCAGTTTGCTTTTTCCTTATTTTATCAATTCGGTGGCATTTCAGTAAGTGATCATGAAATTTTTGCTAATTTTCCATATGTTAAAAATAACTTTATAATTGCTACTTTCCTTCCTCCACGACACTCCACCCAGAAACACCAACTCTCTCATAATCCTTACAGATGAAATCGTCCTTAAATTTTTACATCTATGTGTATACGTGTATGTTCCTCAATGCTCTTATCTCTGTGGTGTGTTTTTGTTTGTCTTTAGAGTAGTCTAAAAGGATAAGATCTTTGGTCTGCCTATTTTTGTTCCTTTTCTTTCCTGAAAAAAATAGATTTCTTCACTTTAATCATATTACGCCTACGTGTGGCAGTTGCTTAGAGGAGGGATTTAAATGTGTACAGTTTGCTTGGAAATGGGGTGAAGCTTGAGAGCACTCAACTTGTTGAGTGTCTTAAAGTTATTATTACTAGAATGCACTTTAATTTTTATTTAGATTGTGCATTTATTTAAATAGCTTAAAACAACATTCAGACACAAACTGAATGTTCGTTTATTGTTCTTTCGAAGGTAGCTCTAAAACCTCCTCTGAAGCCACCCCTCAGCATCTCTACTGCTTAGTCATAAAAGGGTTCGGATTGTGGGCTGGCAGTGATTGTGCTGACCTGTGAGTCCCACTCATTTGCCTTTCAGCAGCTAGAGAAAATCTTTCTGCCCTGGCCTTGAAGGGAAAGACCTGGCAGTTTTCTGACCTTGATTACTCCAGGGACAGCCCGTCTCTCACTGTTCTGAAAGACACTGCATTGCCCTGAGCCCTTTTTATCTCTGTCATATGCAACATGACCCCTGTTAAAATGTGGCAGGTTTAATATTGATCTTCTCCTTTAGGATTTAGTTCTGTTCATGTCAGATGTAGATTTAAAAATTTATAGGTACTGAACGTACCGAATAACTAACACCAAGACTAGATTCTAAGTATATAAAAGTGCTTACAAGACCTTAATAAAGAGTGGTTGCCTTCAGTTTAGTCTTAGCTCTGCCATTCAAGTCTTGCTTCCTGAATATATTGTAGATATATAGCGAACAAATCTGAGTTTGCCTTGAAAAAGGTACTGAGAGATTTGGCCAAGAAATTCTCACTCATCTGTTTGATGGTCTATGAGTGCCCTCCACAGGGTACTATGCAGAATTTTTTCTCTAAATTGTTGTCTCTGTTTAATTTTCTTGAGTGTTCTGTCTTGGATCATTTCTATATTAGAGAAAATTCATAAAGGCTTGAAAAGAAATTAAATTCCTTGATCTAATTTAGTGAATTTAGTGAATCATTTAAGTTAGGAAGCAAAACGTCAATACCAGCCTAATCCTCACTCCCACTGTACATCATCCTGCTGCATTCAATTGCTTGATAAGAAACTTCTGAAAAATGCTATTTGGTTCTTAAACAACAGGTAATGGATTTTTAATAGTTTTTTTCAGCTGTTCTTTCTGTAGGAAATTGAGTTAAGGGCACACATGTTGGCAATTACTCTTTTTTTTGATGGTATTTGTTTGAAACTAGTACTTAAGAAATCTACAGCAATCTTTATACTCTTCTAGGTGATTCATTCTGAGCACCTTGCTTAAATTCCTCATGAAACAGAGAGACCTCCTCCTTACTCTTTCAAGGGATATCACGGGATAGAATTTAACCAAGGGATAGCAAAGATTCCACTATGTCTATATTCACTCGTTTTGAAACTAATAAATTGAAGTGGACAAGAAATCATTACTAGAATAAACAAAATAAATAAATAACACCCACAATAGAGAAAAATTCCTCTGTAACAACTAGTTATTGCTTTGTCAGCTCTTCAGAGTCAGTTCTGGGGAGAGTGAGCTGAGAGATCTATCAGGGAAATGAAAGCAAAGAGAACCCAATATTTCGATCAAAATGGCTTTCTCAAAATAATCACAGAGAGTATATTGCCATTTTAAGAACAGATGCTGAACAGTTAAAACCTTATCCCTCTAAATATGAAAGAAAAGGAAAGCTTTCTAGCAACAGAAATGCTGGGCTGACATGCCATGTAAAACACAAGGCAGGCCAGCTGGGGTTGACATGCTATTGAAACACAAGGCAGGCCAGTAGAGCTCTGCTCTCAATGGTTAAGCCTGGACACGCCTGAGAACCAGCAATGCAGAGTATCCTGACGCCCAGCATTGCTCCCTGAGTCCTTGATGAAGTCTACTTTTTTATAACTGAAGCCACAAATGACACACTAGGGCCTGGAGGAAGAGGAACACTTGTTCTACTTTACCCCCATTGGCTAAAACACACACACACACAATCTACTTGATATTGAAGCATATTAATTATCCATAAATATAATTTCCTAACTATAAAAAGAAACAAGTCAAAAACAGTAAGAAAGCTGATCAATGGGAAAAAAAACTGAAGTCAGCCATGAATAATATGTATGCCATTAGAAGCATCTTCAAAAAGATGACTTAAGAATTGTATGTTTTAGTTGATTTCACAATGGCTGCTGGAATCAGTCTATAAACTGATTTTAAGAAATTTGAGGAGGTTATCTGTGTCCCATAAGTATTTGTAGTGTAAGACTGCACATTTCTAAGCTATTAGGGAATATTTCTGTTCTGCAACTACACCATCTGAAACAGGTGTCTGTCAAGGATACTGTAGATGGGGAAGAGAATTCTGGAGGATATTGCAGGATGATCTGTAAGAATTAGGACTGGAGGTTGCTTCACATCACCTCTGCCCACCAACTATTGACTAAAACTCAGCCAGATGTACCTACCCCATCATGACTGCAGGAGGTTAGGGAGTGAGCTGGTAAATTTCTTACTTATTTTTGTGTGCCCAGGAGGAAGAAACAATATGGTGACTGTGTAACATGTTCCCTGTCCTATTTTCCTCTACAGTATAAATATCTAAGTACAATCTAAGCACATTGCATTTACTTTGGGCCACTTTCCCTAGTATCATATAAATCATCATTGCTTCCTTTTTAAAACACTCATTTAACAATTTTTTCTCAATATTTTGTGATGTTAGCACTTATATTTTACAATTGACCATCTTTTCTTCTTCCTTTTATTTCAAAACCTTTATCTCATAGGCCACGTTTTAGAGGCCATTTCCAAAGAAACAAAGCTTTGAGAAAACATATTAAAGTTCAATGTGGGATATTTTGCTTATTTGGACAGGAGAGTCAAAAGCCCTTTAAGACACTTACTGAGAATTGAATACTCAGACATTTATCCCAATTTTATAGTAATGAGATAAAGCAAAAGAAATCCTTGTTAGCTTAATAGAAAAATCATCACCAGAGAGAACTCTGTTGGCTTTGAGCTTTGCAGCAAGGCATATTTATTGCTTGATTAAATATTAATATGATTAGAGGTCATGCTCTTTGGTAAAATCCCATTAGTAATACACAGTGGAGTAAAAAACACTCAACTTCAGCATATTTTTCTAATACATTTAAAACTATGTGACTAATGGCTGAAAAACAAAAACTTGAGCTTACTTGCATGGAGAATCCATAGACCAGATTCTGCCACGATCCAGTAACACCAGAGTCAAGGGGACATTTGATATACCAGAGACAAAAAGAATTTCATTCTCCTGACAGTCTAGACTGTACAAAACTATATTTCAAACCTAAGTAGATCAAATTGCAGTTAAGTAAGTACATGTGTCTGCATTAACTCATCAACCATTATGATTGTACAGACTAATTAGGTAGAGTTGAATTTCAGTCTATCGTAAACTGGTGATTAAATGGTAAGAAGGAAAATCTGAAGAACTGGCTCTATTAATAACTCGTCATGTGAACACAGATAAGTGACTGAGGTTCTTAATACCTCTATCTCTCTATGTTTAACTTCTGTATGATACCAACCTTGGACCTGAGAGTTTTAGGACAATTTTAATAAAGACTATGCCACTCAAAATGGATGAAGGTTCAAGTAGGAAATATGGAAAAAATCAGTACTAACTGCGCAAACAGTGTAAAGGCTGCTTGTCCATGGTGTCACTGATATTTTCCATAAATACCAAAATATAAACTTAGCAACAATGAATTATTATTAATGACATGGTAAGCAATTAAGAGCTAAGCTGTAATGGTAGGCTACTTTCTGGCTCAGCATTCATACAGTGGAGGTGTTGTATGAATGGAGAATTTCTCAAATGGATATTTAAGTTGCTGTTGTAAAAATGTTACTAGTCTATATTTTGTTTAGGAACTTATTTTTATGAAATTTTGTACTTGAATAATCACCCTTTGAATTTTAATTCCTTTCTAAGGAATTTCCCCTGATATCATTTGTCTTTGTTGTTGTTGTTGTTGTTGTTTGGTTGGTTGGTGTTTTCTTTGTTTGTTTGTTTGTTTTTGTTTCCTTTTTTTTGAGAGATGGTCTCACTGTGCTGCCTAGGCTGAAGTGCAGTGGTGCAATCATGGCTTACTGCAGCCTCAGATACCTTGGCCCAAGCAATCCCTTGGCCTCAGCCTTCCAAGTAGCTAGGACTGCAGGCATGTGCCACCATGCTGGCTAAATTTTTAAGTTTTATTGTTAGTAGAGACAGAGTCTCACAATGCTGCCCAGGATGGTCTCAAACTCTTGAGCTCAAGCAACCTTCCCACCTTGGTATCCCAAAGCGCTGGGATTACAACCATAAGCAACCATGCCAGTCCTCTTAAAAAAAATGTCCTGATATCTTAATTTGATTGGAAATACCACTTGTGTTTTTGAATCAAATGTGTATGGATGAAATTGGGATGGTGTTGTTACTTAGGCTATTAATAAGATAAAATTCCATTACTGGTGCTCCCACAAGTAAGAATCTGGGGATTGAAATTAACATGATAAGTCTTTATGTTAAAACAAGATCTAATTCAATTAAAATTGATACTTTTTTCTAAATTGCATAAGGGAATACTGCATTTTGTACAGAAACTCTGCATCACACTTACATCCCATTGGAATGATTCATATCTCATCTTTTAACATGCTGCTCTTTCAAAGGGGGTTTATGACTCCATGAAGGAGCCGACTGACAGTCCTTAAGAACTCTCGCTTACATGTATCATAACACAGGCATCCACTGTGCAAATTTCTGCACAAACCCAGCATTTAAGTGTGAACTACACGCATCCTGAACTGATGAAAACAGCGTATTTGTTACACTTGGTTTCCAGGGAAACGACACTTTACAGGATCCCCACTTATGCCGTTCCATGCGAAGTTGCCTCAGAATCGCCTTCAAAGAGCCCTTGTCTCCATCTGTGAGCTGAAGGGAAAGTGCTGTGATGGCAGCGGCTAATGAGCTGACTCGCCTCCATCAGGGCAGGTCTAAATTTACTTCCACTGTCCCCCTAGGGAACTGTCAACCAGGAATATGAGTGAGAGAAGAAGAAATGATTGCCCCTTTCCGGGAGCATGGCACTCTCTCTAACACACTTGCTAATTTGATAGTTACAATAAAGGATGGATAGTTACAGGGAAAAATCCGTGTACATTTGCTGGTACTGCAATGTCAGCCAAGCATTTGCTTCCTAACTTTTTCAGTGGCAGCTTCTTCCTGACATGCTGTCTGCAGGTGGCCGTGACTCTCCTTTTTGTCTGCTGTGCTTGTTCCTAATTGCAGTTCCACTTAGTGTACCCTCTTCTGAGGCTTGTGTTCCCTTGTTCTCAATCTGCAATTGACAATGAAGAATTTTAACAGAAGCTACTGGAAACATGAAAATGTATTTTGAGATCCATCATTAAAGATGATTTTTGCTCTGGCAATATTCATTAGTCGGCCACTGCCATGAATGTAATGGCAGGTGCCCTCCGTTCAATGGGTCACACGCTGAGTTCATCACTGCCAAGCAGAGCCACATGTAAGTTAGGCTGAGAAGGCCAGATTCTGAGGACAATTAGATAAATTCCACTGAGACTGGAGCAAATTAGTGAATGAGCATATGTTCCTGGATTCATATTTTGGGAACTGTTATAATCCATTTGCAAGTAAATTTCAAAATAACGTAAGGAAAGGGCAATAGAATTTTAACTAACAACACCCTAATAGAGGAAGCACTGTGCACCACTCACTAAACTTACAGCAGGTGGAACAATTGGCATCCTATGAATTGTCCCCTCATTTACATATATGTTAGGATTCCGCTAACTGAACTTATTGTCTCTTACAGAAGAATGTGTCATGTAGTTGGCTATGGCTGATACTATTCAATTAAGAGAAAGTGGTGATGACACTTAGATCATTCAGCCTTCCAGAACTGATTCACTTCTTAAGGAAATCTTGAAGGAGGAAGCAGAGTATATTACATAATAGAAAATCGTAAAGGGTGGGTGGGAGATAACGTGGGGTTTCTGTGTGTGTCTATGTGTGTGTGCACCTGCACAATTGTGTGCAGAATGTTTAGGTGCAGAAAGCTGCCATAGTAAAATTATAATGACAAATATATTTATTTCCAATATAACTGACTATAATCCTGGTAGCAGCAGAGCCAGATGGTAGCTAATAGAAATGGAAGTAGACAGGAATATATCTGAAAGGCTAGAAGTTGAATGAAATGAGAATCCCTAAATTATAGTTAAAAAAAGATCTCGTGAAGGCAACAAAAAGCAATCATTTGTGGAGAGAGGAAAAAATATTCCAATGAGTGGTATTCTTGCTTCTCCTCTTCCAAAGTTTATGTTCCTTCCATTGCTAGTGTCACATTTAGGAAGACATTACAAGTCTTTCTCCTAAAAACAGGATATAAAGAAGCCCAATGAGGTGCATGATTGAAGACCTTTTCATGATGGCTGAATCCCTGACGGCTTTTAGAAGAATTAAAGCTCATGTCCGGAAGTGAAGTTCCTTCTGAGGAAAACCATATAAGAACTCACTACTGTTTCCCTAAGTGTATAAGATAAAGGATACATAGAAACGGAATTTTGAAGAGACAGGGAATTTGACCTCCATGAGGACTGTTGTACAGATATTTGTCACACATTTTTCAGTAGACTATGAGCAACAGATGTCATCTTTTCTCTGCATATCACTGTTTTCTCTATTTTTGTGTGTGTGTGTGTCAAACATGCTTAAGCTTCTAGACAGAAAATTTGTTTTCCCCTCCCCTGTACCCTTAGGGGATCTTTTCCTTGCTTTTTATTTGAATCTTTTCTTTCTATATAATTTCATTTCCACCCAAGAGTGCACAGTCTTGGGAGAAATCGATCATGTGCCTATTGATCCAACTGCCCAAAAGGAAAATAAGTAAACAAAAAAATAATGTGTCTCTACTGAGTGCTCCAAAGGAACCAGAAATGTTATTCTTAGTCAAATCCTCACCAAAAGGAAGACAGTGTGGTCAAATAGAATGTATTTGAGTGAATGAATGTAATGGCAGGTGCCCTCCGTTCACTGGCTGTCTGTGTCTGAGTGCCATGGAAAATATTAGCTTCCATATGAATTACTGACTAAATGTTTGCCGTTAAACAAATTTGCACTCAGATAATTCTACCATAAGGATATCTGTTCTATGTATCTGTTATTCTCCAAAATGCTAACAGAGTTAAATTGGACAATTATAGCGTCCTCCAAGAAAGAAACACCCGGGGAACATCTTTAAGAGCAAACTACCCCTGCTGTTATTTATATTCATGTCTGTTTGTTCCTACCCAAAAATTGAAAGAAATTTTTGGGTAGGAAAATTGTATTCACTGTTAGCATCTGGAGAAATAGGTGCCAAAGGAAAACTTGATAATGAGAACGTAAGAGGAAAGAAAATAGAGAGTACTATGGCATTAAAAATGATAACATCCAGTAAATAGCTCCATCTATACAAATGACTCATTCTCTTTTCTGTAAATGCCTGCATTCAAGGGCATCTGAGTTTCTAAGAACTGAGGGTGGCTGTGGATTTTGATAATACTCCTATCCTGGTGGAATCAAACAAGTAACTTACTACACTGTAGCAGAAATATCCCCAAAGATCAGAAATTGCCAATAGTTGTGAAAGCCTTCTCTGCAGCCTTTTCAGCTGGAACACCATCACGGCTGTGTCTGGATGGCTTTCCTTCCCTCTCAAGGGGTGTCCAGTATTTTGGCTTCCCTGGGCCACATTGGAAGAAGAATTGTCTTGAGTCACCCATGAAATACAGTAACACTAGCGATAGCTGATGAACTAAAAAAAAAAAAAAAAAAAAAAAATCGCAAGAAATTCTCATAATGTTTTAAGAAAGTTTACAAATTTGTGTTGGGCCACATTCAAAGCCGTGTTGGGCCACATTCAAAGCCGTTTTGGGCCTCATGCAGCCCTCCGGCTGTGGGTTGGACAAGCTTGGTCTAGAGTTTACCAGGATACCTAGTTTACCTAGTAGCCTGGTTCCTTTCTCTTCATCCCCCAACTCAGGGATCTCAGAGGCTGGGTCCTTCCTGACTTCAATTACCATAACAGTTTCTAAGTGGTGGATCCAAAGGCTAAACTAAACCACAGACTCATTTGTGTGCTCTTGGATTCAGCAAACAAAGCCAGTTTTAAAAATTAAGAAACTTGATATAAAAGCTGAGTTTTCAACTATTTTGAAGTAACTCAAGAAGCTGTAGCAACACAGCCTGCAATATCTCCAGACAGGACCTTTACTTTGATGTAACAAAATCCCCATGGTTACCAGTTGTCCAATATAATTCCCAGTTCAGTGATTTAAGTCACCTCACTGATTGTTAAGGCATTTCAATTTCGGGCTCTTGCGCTTCTTGATCTTCTTGCTTAACAAGTTTATAGATTAACTTAGTTTTCACTTTTAAAAAAATGTATATCTGGACTAGAGCCCACATTATTTTATCAACTAAAATTTGCTTTAGTTCTGTATTACAGTGGATTTGTTTTCAAAAAACAATTTCTTCAAGAATTATAGAATAAAAATATTGTTCTAAATTTCTTTAAAAAAATAGCTTCAAGTGAAAAGGAGAAAAATTAAATGTTTGTAATTCCTTTTATTACTTTCTAGAGTAAAATATATCCATTTAATGAATGCTTGTGTCCTGTAATTTTTAGTCTTTTCATACCAAAAGGCCTGCAGAAAGTTGAAATAACATTAGCAAATTATTACCCTTTGAAGGACTGCATAATGAAAAGTACAATGTGCATATTTACATAACATGGCGTTTTTGGTATGGGAAAACTTTTACTGTTAACAGATACTAGAACCGTGTATCATTTCTTTACCAAATTAGCTATGGCATTTCGATTCCAATCTCCCCACCTACTCTACAAGTTTTTATTATGATATAGGTGGATGAAGTTCAAAAACATGTATTGTGATCTTGCTAATAGCTCAGTATATTATGTGTATCCTGGATTATAGAGAGATGATGAAGTCAGGTGAGTTTAATATCCACACATCCACATTTTTTTTGGTGGCAGCAAAAACAAAAAAGAAAGATCTGCTTTATAAGTTACTTCCTTGTAATAGAGTTGAAGTTTAAAACTGATCGAAAACTGAATACTAGAATGGTTTTGTATTTTAAGTTTTTAATCAACTATTCCTTAGAGCCATTTTGTCTAGATTTCTCAAGCATGTATAACCACATGTCTTCTTCTGGCTCTTGACCTAAATGACAGTAACCTGTCTCATTTAAATATTATTTATTTATTTATTTATTTATTTATCAGTTTATCATAGGTTGATTGGCAAAGATCCTATAGTAGGAATAGCCTATTATTCATTCTCCCCTTTTCAAAATTAAGCCAGAATCATAAATGGACATGATAATTTCTAGGGATTATAGGATTTTTGGTAATGCAGTTAATGTTTTTCAGGGAAATTGTGATTTTTAACCTTATCTGTGTTTACTTTATCCTCTTATCAGAACAATGTGCACTGAAGTAGTAAGTATTAAAAGAGTTAGGATAATGCATATTCTTTCCACTTACCCATTCTCACATTTTGGCTGTGTTGTGGGTTTCTGAGGGATCTCAATGTATGATTTTTTTCTCTCTTGACCAGGCACTGAACTAATTGAGAACATTTAAAAAGCAAAATGATAATAAAAGAGGGAAAGTATTACCTTCATCATCAGTAGTACTAGTTTGACGTATTAGCATTGTATGAGAGACCAGCAGACTACAGGATTGAGTAAATTTAGCCACCTGACTTTAGGCAGGGGTGGGTATCCCTGGCAGGCAACTTGGTACTGCAGAAAAGTCAAGAATGTAAGTTTCTTTCTATAAAGGAGATGTACTTTAAGTCAAGCATGCCCAGTTGTTTTGTTTTTATTGTTGTTAATTTACCTACTTGAAAAAAAAAGCACTCCATTTCTTAAAGGCAAAATGAAACTAAAAGCATTATATCTTTGGACTTCCCTCCACCGGAATGGAAACATCAAGAGTGGGGACAAAGCATCCCTTTAACAGGTTACATCCTAGGCTATGTGACTCTCCCCAAGTAGACTAAAACTTCCTAAGGTCGGGGCCCATATCCACCTCATTCACTAACTCAGACACAATTATAGCAAAGTGTTGCCAGAGAATAGGTGTCCCATACTCATTTTCAGCAAATTCTAAGTTAATTTTCATCCAAATAATAGTTCCTACTCTTATTAATGAATGCTGAAAGAACAGTAGTCTTTGTTTTTGTTTTTTTTTTGTTGTTGTTGTTGTTGTTGTTGTTGTTGTTTGAGACGGAGTCTCACTCTGTCACTCAGGCTGGAGTGGAGTGGCACGATCTCAGCTCACTACAACCTCTGCCCTCCGGGTTCAAGTGATTCTCCCACCTCAGCCTCCCAAGTAGCTGGGATTATAGGTGTGCACCACCACGCCCAGCTACTTTTTGTATTTTTTATTAGAGAGAGGGTTTCAACATGTTGGCCAGGCTGTTGTTGAACTCCTGACCTCAAGTGATCTGCCTGCCTCACCCTCCCAAAGTGTTGGGATTACAGGTGTGAGCCACTGTGCCCAGCCAACAGTAGTCATTTTTAACTCTTCAAGTAGCTGACAGTGGACACTCTTAATTCCTGAGACTATTCTGTGGTGATACACAAGTTGGTTGGAGGTGTAAATGGGTTGTTGTTTTGATACTGTCTCTGAAGAAGTTGCAAGGTAGAAAGTTCGTGGTTCCTACTCTTATTAATGAAGTTCGTGGGCAGCAGGAGTGATTGAGGGAGGAGTCAAGTAAGTAACTGGAGGAGGAGAAATGCTTGGGAAATATCTTCAAGAGATGTTTCTTATTCTAAACCAGCAAGGTCAGCCATGACATGTAAGTACTTTTTGATGTCTAGCAATTCAACTCAAGAACAATGTTTCTTTTTCCAGACCAAGTTTCTACTTTGCAGCAAAGCCTGACTTCACTCTTAAATGCTGAAAGTATTAAATAGCTTTTGTTTCTCTCTTTTATATTTATAGCTAAAGTTTACATAGTCTATTTTATCAATGATGTCTAATAAGACAGTGAATGAATACTCTTTCAGGATAAGTACTAACTCCTGTTGACTACCAACTGAATTCAGTTGATTGCTAAACCTCTTGTAAAATATACAATTTGGATTTGATGTTTGGTAATTAGTTCATTTACATTTGTGTCTTTGAATAATGAAGTTTGGTTTCATTGTAGAAGTGACTACATTTCAGTGATAAGCAAAAATCCTTCAACAAGGAATATAAACATTTGCATTCATTTAGACATTAATTTGGGAATATCGGTAGGGAAAAATACATAGCTTTTAAAAAAATATTTTGCTACTTGTTTATCTGACATCTAGACTTGATTATACTCATGGGTTTTTTTCTATTTTCTTGAGATTATACTGTCAAGTTAATTACTATAATTCAATTTATTCAGATTTCTGTAGCTGATTATAATTTTTCAAGTTAGTATATAAGTCACTGTTGCTTTTGTTCAGGTTGATTTTATTCAACCTGTTTTGGGGTTGCCTTATCATTCTATATCTGATTTTTGCTTATTCTACTATTGAATCATTTTATTGTTTTCAAATATTTTATTATTGTTTTAATTATATTTAATCTAATATTAGAAAATGTATTTCCTAACTGAAACGTGGATTACATAAGTTTTCTTTCCCCATACCATTTACTTAGGGGGTTAAAATATGAGAGGTATGGCTTAGAGGAATATTAAAAATGAATGGAACATTAACCTAATTTTAAAATCTCTGGAGGTAGTAAAATGAGTACCAAGATACATTTACTCTTTAATGGCAGAAGCAAGACTAAAAACCAGACATTTTCAGTTCTAGTTTAGAACTATTTCAAATACACTGCTCCATAGGACATAAATTATATCATAACAGAATAAAATTTTATTAGCATCATGCTAACACAATGTGTATCAGGAGTGAGCCTAAAGAATCTGATTCCAAAATGATCTCCTTTGACTCCATATCTCACCTACAGGGCACGCTGATGCAAGAGACGGCCCCTAAGGCCTTAGGAAGCTCTGCCAGTGTGGCTTTCCAGGGTACAGACCCTCCAGGCTGCTTTCACAGGCTGGTGTTGAGTGTCAGTGGCTTTTCTAAGCACACGGTGCAAGCTGTTGGTTAATAGACCATTCTGGGGTCTGGAGGACGACCCTCTTCTCACAGCTCCACTAGGTAGTGCCCCAGTAGGGAGTTAGTACTTATCCTGAAAGAGTATTCATTCATTGTCTTACTAGACATCATTGATAAAATAGACTGTGTAAACTTTAGTTATAAATATAAAAAAGAGAAACAAAAGCTATGTATGGGGGCTTTGACCCCACATTTCCCTTCCACACTGCCCTAGGAGAGGTTCTCCATGAGGGCTCCACTGCCACAGCAAACTTCTGCCTGGACATCCAGGCATTTCCATACATCCTTTGAAATCTAGGCAGAGGTTCCCAAACCTCAATTCTTGACTTCTGTGCACCCATAGGCCCAATACCACGTGTAAGCTGCCAAGGCTTGGGCCTTGCACCCTCTGAAGCAAAGACCTGAGCTCTACATTGGTCCCTTTTAGCCATGGCTGGAGTAGCTGGGACACAGAGCACTAAGTCTCAAGTCTGCACACAGCAGAGAGGCCATGGACATAGCCTAGGAAACCATTTTTTCCTTCTAGACCTCCAGGCCTGTAATGGGAGGGGCTGCTGTAAAGACCTCTGACATGCAGTAGAGACATTTTCCCCATTGTCTTGGAAAATTAACATTTGGCTCCTCATTACTTATGCAAATGTCTGCAGCTGGCTTGAATTTCACCTCAGAAATTGGGGTTTTCTTTTCCATCGCATCATCAGGCTGCAAATTTTCTGAACTTTTTTGCTGTGCTTCCCTTTTAAACATAAGTTCCAATTCCAAACCATATCTTTATGAATGAATAAAACTTAATGCTTTTAAGACCACTGAAGTCCCCCTTTGAACACCTTGCTGCTTAGAAATGTATTCTGCTAGGTACCCTAAATCATCTCTCAAGTTCAAAGTTCCACAAATCTCTAGTGCAGGGTCAAAACACTGCCAGTCTCTTTGTTAAAACATAGCAAGAATCACCTTTGCTCCAGTTCCCAATAAGTTTCTAATCTCCATCAGAGACCTCTTCAGCCTAGACTTCATTACCCATTTCACTGTCAACATATTGATCAAAACCATTCAATAGTCCCTAGGAAGTTCCAAACTTTCCCACATCTTCCTATCTTCCACTGAGCCCTCCAAACTGTTCCAAACTCTGCCTGTTACCCAGTTTCAGAGTCGCTTCCACATTTTCAGGTACCATTATAGCAGCACCCCATTCCCTGTGGTACCAGTTCACTCCTATTACTCCATTCTCACACTGCTATGAAGAAACACCTGTGACCGGGTAATTTATAAAGAAAAGAGTTTTAATTGACTCACAGTTTCCCATGGCTGGGAAGGCCTCAGGAAACATACAGTCATGGCAGGAGGCACTTCTTCACAGAGTGGCAGGAGAGAGAATGAGTGCAAGCAGGGAAATGCCAGACACTTATAAAACCAGCAGATCTTGTGAGACTCACTCATTATCATGAGAACAGCATAGGAGAAACTGCCCCCATGATCCGATTACCTCCTCCTGGTTCTGCCCTTGACATGTGGGGATTATGACAGTTCAAGGCGAGTTTTGCGTGGGGACACAGAGCCAAACCACATCACACCTTTGCTTAATCTAATACTTCTCATTGGTTATGCCTTCAGAGCACAATTCCAGAGTTATAGTTGTCCTTCTCAGGACATATAATAGCAATTAATAAGTGTCTGCAATTACACGTTTATTCCTGAGATCATTGGATTGTCTTTTTCTCAGCTAGATCATGAGTGTTATAAACAAAAGGAAGATTTTTTTCTTATCATTTTATCTTTTCCCATTGAATCCCCAAAATCTAATAGTGTATCTGGTACATAGTAGGCATTTAACAAATGCTTAATGAATTTATTCAGTGAAAAATAAAATGTATTGCTAAATTATTAATTGCTGCTAATGTTACACAGCTGTGAAAATAGTGTTTTAGATCCTTTAAAACATCAAATTAGATTTTTTTCTAGTTTTTCTATACTTTTCTACAAGTTTTGTTTTGTCTGAAAGCTTTATACAAAATGAGGCCAAGGTAGTTGCTTCAAATCATTTTGGAAATTGGGCAGGATATAAATTAAACAAATAATAAATCAATAAAGTACTCATGCATTTGGTGAATTCCTACATGTACAAGGTAGAGAGGGAAATTTTATCTGTCTTATTGTAGATACTCTGGAAATAATGAAGTTTATATTTATAAAGTTTTTTAAAAACTGAACCACTGTTGATTTGTATTGAGCTAAGAGTCAAAAAACATGTAAAGCTTTCTTACTCCTTTGATTTTTGCACTTGAGTGCATGCAGGTTTTCATTTATCGTTATTAAATTCTGCCTTACTAAATTCACCTTATTATAGATCCAACCTGTCAAAATATTTTTTAGAACTTGATGATGAATGAAAGATCTAGAGTCCGGAGCACCATGGTGTCCTGAAAGAAGCTCATTTGGTGTTAACTTTAGGGCTTTGTCTGTCAGCGTGAACAGGCATTCTAAATTAAGCTGCAAATATGGCCATGATCCCTCTCATACTACTTAATGTATTTCTTTCATATCACTTATCAAGTTTTTTTTTGTGTGTATGTAATACACATCCTACCTATCCCCTTTTCATGTCCTCCACTGTTAGAGTAAAAATATGTGTCTTACTCATACTTGCATGCCTGGAACTGTTTATTTTAAAGGTGACTTATACATTATTGATCCAAAAAATTTATTCATTTAATGACTTAAAAAGTAAGCTCTTACTCTGACTTAGAAATTATGGCATGTGCTTGATATATAAATGTGAATAAGTTACAGAATTGGAGATCAGAAACTCATAGTTCTAGGGAGGTGGGAAGCACATGAAGCATTTTAAACCATACAACAGTGCAATTATAGCAATGAGCAAAAAATTTGAGTCAAATGTTAAATTAAATGGAAATAATCCCATCTGCCCATTTTCTCAATTATATTGAGTCCTGAATTCCTGGAATAGCAAAGGTTGGCACAAGGTACAGAAGCAACCTATCAATCACTTTTCCACTTCATACCTAGCTCCTGATAAATATCTCCCCATTCAAAGAGAGATTTCCAATGTATCATATTACATTATATTAATCATATTTTATTATATAATCATATTTATTATATTAATTGTATTATAGTAATCATATAGCATATTAATTATATTATATATCATTAGTATTTGGGGATACAATGAACCAGGACAAGAGATAAGAGTATAGAAGGAAAGAGATTCAAAATAGGTCTAGGTGGTTTGCTAAGAATGACAGTGAGAAAGGAGGAGGAATTAAGGATAATTCCCATGTGTCTGGTTTCATTGACCAATGGTAATTCCAAGCACAGCTTACAACCCAGTGTGGCAATTAGTTAAAATGAAGCATACATTAGAAAACCCTAAACTCTCAAGATGGTAACTGGGGTGAATGAACCCCTCAATAGGTCACCACTGGTCTTGAAATGCCTGCTACATTTCTTCTGATCTGCCTTGCATTTTCACTTTCTATGAATGGTGTGGCATGGAAAAAGTTTAAGAAGAAACTTCATGGAAAATTTAGACACAATAAATAAAACAATTACCACTTTCCCAAATATCATGCCACAATCAATCTTTCCAAAAAGAAAAATCAACAGCATCTCTACATACCAATGGCAAATTACCTAAAAATGGAATCAAGAAAGCAATCCCACTTATAATAGCTACCAAAACCCCTCAAAAGAAAAAACTAGGAATACATTTAACCAAGGAGGTGACATGTCTCTCCAATGAAAACTATAAAATATGGAGGCAAGAAATTGAAGACCACACAAGAATGGTACAATATCTCATTTTCATGTATTGAAAGAATTAATATTGTTAAAATGTCCATACTATCCAAAGTTATCTATAGATTTAATACAATTCATATCAAAATGCCAGTGACATACATTCTTCATAGGAATTATTTTCAATTCATAATATTTGTATAGAACCACAAAATACCCAAATAGTCAAAGCAATATTGAGCAAAAACAAACCAAAAAAAAAAAAAACAAAGCTGGAGGCATCACACTACCTGACTTCAAAAAAAAAAAAAATACTGCAAAACTATAATAACCAAAACAAAATGGTACTGGCATAAAAACAGGCATATGGACCAATGAAACAGAATAGAGATCCCAGAAATAAATCCACACATCTACAGCCAATTGATTTTTTATCAAAGGTGCCAAGTACATACAATGGGGACAGGAGAGCTTCCTCAATAAATGGTGCTGTGAAAACTGGATATCCATAGGCAAAAGAATGAAATTAGTTGTTTATCTCTCACCATATATAAAAATTAACTCAAAATACATTAAAGAGCTAAATAAAACACCTAAAAGCAAAAAAAGAAAAAAAAAAACGAAAAATCTTAATGACATTAGTCTAGGACAGGACTTTTTGGAGAAAACCTCAAAAGCACGAGCAACTAAAGCAAATATAGACAAATGAGATTACATCAACTTATAAAGTGTTTGCACAACAAAGGAAACAATCAACAGAACAAAGAGACAACCTACAGAATGGAAGAAAACATTTGCAAAACATACATCTAGTAAGGGGTTAATATCCAAAATATATAAGGAATTTAAACAACTCAACAACAAATAAACAAATAACTTGATTAAGAAATAATCAAGAGACCTGAACAGACATTTCTTGAAAGAAGACATACAAATGGCCAACAGGTATATGAAAAAAACATACTCAACATCACTAATCATCTGAAAAATTTAAGTGAAAACTATAATGAGATATCACCTCACTCAAGTTAGAATGGCTACCATTAAAACATTAAAAGATAAGTATGGATGAAGTTGCTAAGAAAAGACAACTTTTACACACTGCTGGTGGGAGTGGAAATTAGTACAGCCATTATGGAAAACAGATTAAATTTCCCTCAAGAAATTAAAAATAAAACTACCATGTAATCCAGCAATCCCACTACTGGGTATATATCCAAATGAAATGAAATGAGTATGTCAAAAAGATATCTGCACTCCTATGTTTATTTCAGCACTGTTCGTAATAGCCAAGATATGGAATCAACCAATATGTCCCTCAACTGAAAAATGAATAAGGAAAATGTGGTATGTATACACAATAGAATACTATTCAGCCATAGAAAAAAAAAATGAAATTCTGTCATTTGTGGTAAACATGGATTAACTGGAAGGACACTATATTAAGTGAAATAACACAGGCACAGAAAGACAAATATCATATGATCTCACTCATATGAGGCATCTGAAATGTAGTTCTCATGTAAGTAAAGACTAGAACAGTAGTTACCAGAGGGCTAGAGAGAGATTGGTCAATGGATACCAAATTACAGTTGCATAGGAGGAGGAAGCTCTGGTGCTCCATTGTATAGTAAGATGGTTAGTGCTAACAACAGTGTATTGCCTATTTCAAAATAATGAGAATAGACATTTTGAATGTTCTCATCACAAAGAAATGATAAATGTTTAAGATGATAGAAATGCTAATTACCCTGTTTTATGAGTACACAAAGTATAAATGTACCAAAACATCATGCTGTGCCCCATAAATATGTATAATTATTACATGTCAATCATTGTTTTTTAAAAAAGAAACATTGGTGGTACTTCCTGCGTTATTGAACTCATACTAGTAAAAATACATGTCTGTGGTAGATCAAAATTAAGATTTTTAAAACCGTAATTATGTATAAAATGGCTCTGTCTTAAAAGAGTTGCGTTGTTTTAACTACCAGAAGAAATCCATGATAATATTCTACTACTTGAACCTTAAACATTATAAAATAGAATTTAATTATATTTAGACCTAGATAACAGTCAATACCTTATAAGATGAGGCATCAGTTTTTCTTCCTGAAAATTCAGTGAAGTAGTAGTAAATATATCTTAAATCTTGTAAGCATCCAATATAAAATGGCTAATATATGTATTATAACCTTAAACAAAATAAGTCCACAACCAAGCTGCTTCTCTGCTTCACTGTTTCCTATGCTTTTAATATCATCATTGAAAACCTTGGATTGAAATCCTTGGCACCATGGTTAGTAGCTGTTCTTTTTTTTTCTTGCAGTAAAATGAAATTTTATTCTCAGTACCTTTAATTAGTCAAAATTCTGGAAATAGTTTTTGTTTGTAGTATGACGAAACTATAAAAGATATAAATTTGTTTACTAATCCATGTTTCCATCTAAATCATATATATATATATATATATATATATATATATATATATATATATAAAATATGTATATTTTATTATACTTTAAGTTCTGGGATACATGTGCAGAACTTGCAGGTTTGTTACATAGGTATACGCATGCCATGGTGGTTTGCTGCACCCATCAACCCATCATCTACATTAGATATTTCTCCTAATGCTATCCCTCACCTAGCCACCCACCCTCTGACAGGCCCCAGTGTGTGATGTTCCCCTCCCTGCGTGCATGTGTTCTCATTGTTCAACTCCCACTTATGAGTGAGAACATGTGGTGTTTGGTTTTTCTGTTCCTGTGATAGTTTGCTGAGAATGATGGTTTCCAGCTTCATCCATGTCCCTGCAAAGGACATAAATTCACCTTTTTCATGGCTGCATAGTATTCCATGGTGTATATGTGCTACATTTTCTTTATCCAGTCTATCATTGATGGACATTTGGGTTGGTTCCAAGTCTTTGCTATTGTGAATAGAGCTGCAGTGAACATATGTGTGCATGTGTCTTTATAGTAGAATGATTCATAATCTTTTGGGTATATATGCAGTAATGGGATTGCTGGGTCAAATGGTATTTCTGGTTCTAGATCCTTGAGGAATCACCACACTGTCTTCCACAATGGTTGAACTGACTTACAATCCCACCAACAGTGTAAAAGCATTCCTATTTCTCCACATCCTCTCCAGCATCTGTTGTTTTCTGACTTTTTAAAGACTGCCATTCTAACTGGCATGAGATGGTATCTCATTGTGGTTTTAATTTGCATTTCTCTAACGACTAGTGATGATATGCTTTTTTTCATGTTTGTTGGCCACATAAATGTCTTCTTTTGAGAAGTGTCTGTTCATATCCTTTGCCCACTTTTTGATGGGGTTGTTTTTTTCTTGTAAATATATTTAAGTTCCTTGTAGATTCTAGATATTAGCCCTTAGTCAGATGGATAGATTGCAAAAATTTTCTCCCATTCTGCAGGTTGCCTGTTCACTCTGATGACAGTTTCTTTTGCTGTGCAGAAGCTCTTTAGTTTAAACAGATCCCATTTGTCCATTTTGGCTTTTGTTTCCATTGTTTTTGGTGTTTCAGTCATGAAGTGTTTGCCCATGCCTATGTCCTGAATGGTATTGCCTAGGTTTTCTTCTAGAGTTTTTATGGTTTTAGGCCTTACGTTTAACTCTTTAATTCATCATGAGTTAATTTTTGTATAAGGTGTAAGGAAGGGGTCCAGTTTCACTTTGGCTAGCCAGTTTCAGCATATGGCTAGCCAGTTTTCCCAACACTATTTATTAAATAGGAAATCCTTTCCCCATTGCCTGTTTTTGTCAGGTTTGTCAAAGATCAGATGGTTATAGAGGTGGGGCATTATTTCTGAAGCCTCTGTTCTGTTCCATTGGTCTATATATCTGTTTTGGTACCAGTACCATGCTGTTTTGGTTACTGTAGCCTTGTAGCATAGTTTGAAGTCCAGTAGCTGATGTCTCTAGCTTTGTTCCTTTTGCTTAGGATTTTCTTGGCTATGCTGCCTCTCCTTTGGTTCCATATGAAATTTAAAGTAGTTTTTTCTAATTCTGTGAAGAAAATCAATGATCGCTTGATAGGGATAGCATTAAATCTATAAATCACTTCGGGCAGTATGACCATTTTCACGATATTGATTCTTCTTATCCATGAGCGTGGAATGTTTTTCCGTTTGTTTGTGTCCTCTTTTATTTCCTTGAGCGGTGGTTTGTAGTTCTCCATGAAGAGGTCCTTCACATCCCTTTAAGTTGTATTCCTAGGTATTTTATTCTTTTTGTAGCAATTGTGAATGGGAGTTCACTCATGATTTGGCTCTCTGTCTATTATTGGTGTATAGGAATGCTTGTGGTTTTTGCACATTGATTTTGTATCCTGAGACATTGCTGAAGTTGCTTATCAGCTTAAGGAGATTTGGGGCTGAGATGATGGGATTTTCTAAATACACAATCATGTCATCTGCAAAGAGGGACAATTTGACTTCATCTCTTCCTATTTGAATACCCTTTATTCCTTTCTCTTGCCTGATTTCCCTGGGCGGAACTTCCAATACTATGTTGAATAGGAGTGGTGAGAGGGGGCATCCTTGTCTTGTGCCGGTTTTCAAAGGGAATGCTTCCAGCTTTTGCCCATTCAGTATGATATTGGCTGTGGGTTTGTCGTAAATAGCTCTTATTATTTTGAGATATGTTCCATCAATACCTAGTTTAATGAGAGTTTTTTGCATGATGGAGTGTTGAATTTTATTCAAGGCCCTTTCTGCATCTATTGAGATAATCATGTGGGTTTTGACACTGGTTCTGTTTATATGATGAAAACTATCTTGGTTTTTTCTTAATTGGCTTGTTCCACATGTAATTTCACAATAGATTTCAGATAGCTGAGAACATCCCCGTCTAAGCCTTAGTATAACACTTCTCTTCAGGGCTATCAAATTATATTATCACAGCTTTCCATGGCTGTCCCTTCAGCCCTACGTCCTCCATCCCTCTATCTCCTCTGACATTTTGTCTTTCAATTATTCTCTTTATTTTGGATATTTCATTTCTCTTCTTTCTTTTTCTTGTTTGGTTAAAAGCATTCCATGCTGTATCCTAAATACTATCATCCTGTGTTTTCTAAATATTATAACACAAGATTTAACCCTAACAGTGAACACTTTAATCCTAATTTCCTATTTGATTTCATTTTACTGCCTCGATTCTCAAGCAGTTGTTTGCCTGTTTCTCCACTGCAAACCCACCAACACTTGACTTATTTCCCCAAAACTTTGATAAAATGACAATTTCCAATATGGCCTTGACCTGTTCTTAATTCATTCCATGATATCTTTCCTACCCCCTTGTCCTGTTTTTGGAATTTTACTTCAGGGAATCCCTTATTCTTTGGCTCTGGTGAATTCATATTTCATCTCCCATACACATCTAAGATAATTATTTTAAATATTTCAGTGGTGACTATTCTTTCTCTAACATAAAATGTGGATTAACTCACATTTTTGGCCCTTAATCCCTTATTTCCCATTTTCTCTTCGCTCAGAAATTAATCTCCTCCTTCTGGTTAAATTAACATTTTTAAATATAAGTTTTTAAATCTATACTGACAATCTAACTTTTTTCTGCTTTGCATCTCTAAGGAGAATCATTATATTTAAACAAATGAAAGACATCTTAAAATATCTAAAACTGAACTGAATTTTTTGTGTCTTTTTGGTGCAAATCTGCTTTCTCTTCATGTTCTCTAGGCTTAAATTCTCATGACCATTTCTTATCTTCCCCCCTTTTCTGTGATTAAAATCCATCCTGTTTCATATTTCTAAATGATGTCTATTTTAGTCCTTCCCTTTCCACATCTGTCACCATTATCCTAATGAAGGCTCATACCTCTCAAGTTCGTTCTGTGGAACAGATTCTTCACAGGTCGTCTCTCACTAAAGTTTCTGCTTGTCTTGCAAATAGGTTAATCACCCTAAACGCTGCTCATTGATCATGTCACACAGCTGATATAAATAGTTTTCATCACACCAAGGCAACCAAGACTGGAGTTCAAAATCACACACAAGCTGTTTCTGATATATCTTTCTAGATTCCTCCAATTATTTCTCCTTACCCCTTCTCCAGCCAGATTTAAATATGAACTGCCACCATATGTGTCTGGAACATCAGGATCTCCGAGCCTTTTCTCATGCTATAATGCCCTCACCACCTATCTGAATTTTGCTAAAATGTAAAGATCACATTACAGTTCCATCTTCTGCATAGAACACTTTTAGTTTACTGCAACTCACAGTGATCTCCTAAATTCTGTATAACAGCATATTTTTCACATAAAACGATGCTATGTGTGTTGTTTTGGCATATGCATCATATTCACTTAATTCTATTTTTCTTGTTTTACATCAAAGGATATGGCTTACATTTCTGTTAGTTATTTGATTTTCAGTTCATAGTAAGTACAGCAAGGATTTTTTTAATGATAACTATTGACAAAACATAATAATTAGTTACTATTAACAAACATAATAATTACTATTAACAAAACATAATAATTAAGGTTTATTTTCTCTCTCCAAAATGTGTATGTTATATGTGTATATTATACATTATTTAATGGTGAATAATTCCATTGTAGAGAAATAATATTTTGTCCCCATTTTTGCCCCTATGTGTGCACATACACAAATACGTATTACACCCTAGCTGCTCTGTGATTTAGGTAAGCTATGACATTCTGCACCTCAATTTCTTCCTTTTTAAATTGGTGATTATACTACTTGTCTCCCTTCTCGCTGTGGATGTGTATGCATGAATTTATACTGTGTTATGAATATAAATTGCATATGTGTAAATACATCACAGCACTTCAAAGAGATGTTAATCTATGTACCCAGCTTATTATTCACATTATTATTTTATATTAAGAGGTGCAGAATCCTTCTTTACAATGAATATATGAGATAATTTATCTGAGTAAAGTAACTGAAATGCCATAAATATATTTTCCTTTATGTGTATTTTTTGTCCCGCATGTACATATCAAAGACTAGTCAAATTGGGTTGATGGGAATGGCAGTTTCAGTGCTCAGTTCGTAAACTGTCTGATAAATAATATTAACTTTAATGAATTTATTATTTTTGGAGCATTTCATATGCATATCCAAATTTGCCACGTCGACCCCCTAGCCATTAAATCTTCAGTATTTGTTATTGCTAAAACTTGGTTTGTAAAGAGCAGTAGTGCCCTCTGGTGGCAACTTTTTCTCAGCTGCTGTATACATTTTAATTAGTTTCACAATTTTGACTGTTGTTCTGAAATATTTTCTAGTGAAATTGATCACAAATTATAATGAGATACAATTCTTTTCCCCACATCATCTATTCTCAGGAAAATATATCAACACATATAGAAGCATTAATTTAATTATTTTTAGGGATTTAACAATCAGTATTTTCATGTAGGAGTTAAGTCTCAAGAATATTCCTGACAGCTTTCCACCCAAAGCAATTTCATTTCCCTGCCAAATATGATTAGAAAAACAATATACATATCAATATATGAGACGATTTGTTAAAAATAATCATTTTTATTTATTTTATTTATTAAACGGCTTAATATAAAATGACTAAGGAGTCTATGGGCAATAAGAACAGCCTGGTAATAAATCCCAATATTTACCACCTATTACTTAGTTTCTAATACATAAAGATGTTCAAATAATAATTATGTACTAGGGGCTTATTTATATATGTAGGAAAATGAGCCAAGTCTATTTGCAGTTTAATTCAGTTAAGTAAATGTTTATCAAATATCAATTAGTGCTGGGTAGTGAAGATACAGTAAGAACTATGCTACACGCAAAAATCATTTCTCTAGCAATTGTTTTATTAAAATCATATCCCATAAGTTTGTAATATTCTTGGATATTAATAATCTTTCCACATAACAAAGAAGATACCTAGAGTATAGGTAAGTTAAAATGTGAGTAAGTGCATTTTGAATATCAGGAGTACAGCCCTGCTAAGCATTCAGCGCTTAAATCTTAGAATGCCTGTCAACATCTGTGATGTTCTAAACCACATAGTGTTTATGAAGACATAAATACATACACTTCAATTGAAAATACAAAACATAATTTAGTAAGAATTAAGATTTTTAGAACTTCCAGGGCATGCCTATAATTTTGAGATCATATTATACAAATTTATGTTGTTTTTATTAACTCCTCAGTTATAATGAGTTGTCAACATGTACTTTATTCTTCTAGACCATTTTCATGAACTCCTCAGTTATAGTAAGAGTTGGTAAGATGTATTTTGTTACTCCAGACCCATTTTGCTAACACATTCAGGCTGCAGAGTTGGCTAAAGTGGTCTCCATGAAATGATTTTCAATGTTCAGTTTTGCTAAGTGTCTTCCATTGGCCACCTCAGACTCTCTCTCCATCCTTCTCAGCCTTGCTCTGGGCACTGGAAGCCTGCTGTGTATGTCTTATCGAGGTGGTGTTTCTTGCCCTGAGATGAATTAAGGAAGAGAAGAATTGACTCTCTAGCTTGCCTTCCTCTGTGGCTTTGCTGTTATCTCTCCATCAAAGCTGGCAGCTCCTAGAAGGCAACCCTCTCCACAAAGCCTTCTGTGTCTTTGGGTTCAAATAATTTCATCCTGTTCTCACCCTTTGGGGCCTTGCTAAGAGCAATGTTATGAACTAAATTGTAACTCCTCTAAATTCATATGTTAAAGCTCTATTCCCCCAGTGCATTAGAATGTGGCTGTATATGGAGATAGGGCCCTCAAAGAGGTAATTACGTGAAAAGGAGGCTCTTATTATGGGCCCTAATCCAGTCTGACTGGTGTCTCTATACAATGGCAAAAAACGCAATTACTTTTGCACCCACCTAACAAGAAGAGAAGATTAGGACATGTATGAGAGACCACGTATGCAGTGCAAAGAGAATAGGCTATATGAGGTCACAGTGAGCAGGTGGCCATCTGCAACCCAGGAGGAGGCCTTGGGAGACACCAACCCTGCCAGCACCTTGGTCTTGGACTTCCAGCTTCCAGAACTGTGAGAAAATAAATTCCTGTTGTTTAAGCTACATAGCCTGTGATGTTTGGTTATGACAGCCCTAGCAAGCACCCTTACCACACTACCACTTTCGCTGTCCTGTATCCTGACCTCACATTTGTAAAGAGTCACTTTGTTACCTTCTCTTGAATTTCTCAGTTTGAATGTGCTATATAGTTCCTAAATGGATTCAGCTTTCCATGTATGTATTAGTCCTGGTTTTATAAAGTTTATGACAATGATAGTGTATTAGTTTACTGGGGCTGCCATAACAAACTGATAGCTTAAAACAACCTAAATGTCTCTTCTCATAGATTCGGTGACCAGAGCTCCTAAACCCAGATGTCAAGAGGCCCCTTACTCCCCCTGAGGGCTCTAGGAAAGAATCCTTCCTTGCCTCTTGCAAATTCTGATGGCTCCAGATGTTCCTGGGGCTGCATTACCCAAGTTTCTGCTTCCATTGTCAGACGTCCTTTCTCATGTATCTTCTCCCCTTCTCTTCTTTTCTAAGGATATTTTACATTGGATTGAGGGCTCACTCTAATTAATCAGGATTTTCTCTTTCAATATATTTATTTAATCACATCTGCAAAGATCCTTATTCTAAAAAAAAGTCACATTTGCATGTTCCACGTGAAAATATCTCTTGGAGGACTACCACTCAACCCACTACCGATAGAAAAATAATCTTCAAAGGGATTTAATATCATCTTGCCTGATGATGTCTTCTATTCAACGTAGAATCTCTCTCTCTCTCCCTCTCTCTCTCTCTCTCTCCATCGATAGTAAAAGTATCATAATTAGAATGTATAGGGTCCTATTTAATACAGAAGTAGAGTTTGGTAGTATGATTCTACATGACTTGCCTTCCCAACTGAACATAAGGCACGTGAGTGCTTGGGGCATATAAAAATGTGAACTACATTAATTAGAATACATAAAATATGTATTTACTATATGTGGACAGCCACATACGTAGACAACCATGGACGTCCATAATTTATTGACAAAGGTATAAAAAACAGTGTTTTTTTCTTTTTTATATTATTTAGTAAGTGAAATTGGCAATAGTAAGAGGATAGAACATTTTAACAAGTATATAGGAAACCATAGTTACTGAAGAAGAACAATTGGTGACTGATTCAGAGTATTTTTTATACTTACATGCAAGGCATTTATTTATCCAAAAAAAAAAACAAAGAGAAATGATTCTTAAGAATCAATATTATGAATCATGAAGTAACGAAAGTTAAAATTAGAAGGTTATTTAATGTAATCCTTTATTTTACATATGAGAAATCCAAGTGTATATGTATCAAGCCCTTTAATCCAGGCTTAGGTTTCCTATTGAAATTCCACACCACCTATGAACTCTTTCATGTTAACGGTATTATTTATTTATTTCTTCTTCTTCTTTTGTCAGTTGGGAAGGAGAACATTTGCAGCTACTCTTTTGTATAAAAATTTACAATGTCTAAAGGGACAGATATAAACACACAAGCCACAAATTGATCTCTAAAACCGTAGCTGGTCAATTATGGCCAGAGAAATATAAACCTAGGTACTTTTCATGTATTTTTCTTTTGAAAAAATCATTTCTCCCTGAAGACTTACAGTCTAAAGAAGTTCTCCCAAGTTTTTGAATAACATAAGGTTGTAAAGACACTCTTTTAAAACCTGATAATAGCACTTAATGAAGCCATTGTATACCAGTGAGCAGTTAATAAAAGTTCTGGAGCCACAATGTCCACAACAAAATAACTGGATAACTTTGTTGTTTTATTTGTATTACTTTATCTACATTATTATGCCCAACTTAAACTACCCTTATTTCTCTAAATAGGGGGTGAAGAGCAGGTTTGTCATTCTCTAACCTCTGAAACATTTAATTTACATGAGATGTGAGGACGCTTTACCTTTTGGTCAGACATAACCGTTTACATTACAATTATTTTGAAGACAGTGGACTTGACAGCATGTGAGGAATGTTTAGTATTGCTTCATGACTTTCTGGCTATGCATAATTATAACATAAATCCTGCAATTAAACTCTCCTTTATGAATTTTAAGACCTCTTTGGAAGATAGTAAACTTTATAGTTGTCCTTTCAAAAAGTAACAGATTTAAGATACTTTTAAAAAAAATTTTTTATATGTCCCCTTAATTTGTCCTTCCTCCCCGGAAGAATGAGACTCCAACACTAAACCAGTATGAAGTCTGATGCCTCAAGAAATGACCAGGCAGACAGAAAAACAAGTGAAAAAATAATCAAAGCATTTTCTCTTAGGAGGCAGTTAATATTTGGCTTATATTTGATTCATACACAGATTCAGACATTTCTATTACATTCATATTCATCAAAATGCCTGCTGAAAGCTGACACAAATATTGAACACTCCTTGAGTATTTCAGCAGGAGGCTGAAATCCATGTCTGACACTGTAGTGCAGTGATTTTTTATGTTGTGACTTGTGGCTCTCTAGGAAGATGCCAGACACCATATGGTGGTAGAGTCATTAAATTCTTCCCAACTGGACATGTAAGTTAACTTCATGCCCAATTCTTTATTTACAAAGAAATATGCCTGTTAAAGGAATTATGAATAATGACTTGACGACTCTAGGACCTTTATATACAGTTATCTTTGTAATAACAGTAATCGATACGATGTTTAGTATCAAAACCAAGGATATGTAGATAGCCATGGAAGTCACCCACATAACGTCAAGCCAAGGCTGTGAAAAACAATATGCCTTTGTTTTTTGTTATTTAGTAAGCGAAATTGGCCATGACAAGAGCATGGAACATTTATTTCTATTTGGAGAAATGAAAATAAGGTGATTTTAATATCTAAAGATTCCACATAAAATCTAAATACATTCTGGCTTCTCTTCATTGTGCTATGAAACAAATACAAATTACAGGTAGGAAAATTGTAGTTTTACATATTTGTGAAACTCAGATTATAAATACGTTCACAAAATGCCACTACAGTCTGCAAGGACTCTGCAACAGGACTTCTGCTTTTCCACCAATAATATCTGCCACTGACTGTATGTGTTTCATTGTCTTCCAACTCTCCAATCCAAATTAAGATTTTTTTTCTCCCATGCAGCACTTTGTACATGTCACTGGTAAAGAATATATACCTGGAAATAATTTGTGTTTGTATATTTCCAAGTGTCAATTAAATTCATCTTTGCACCCCTGTCCTATGCGTAACACACTATAAGCTCTCAGTATATTTTACCGAATTGCTGGTAAATCTAACCATGATGAACCTTATCATTTTCTTTTACCTGAAGACTGCCCATAAGCAGTGCTGAGATCTTGGGCAACTAACTCATTCTTTTTAGACCAAACTCCTGATCAGCAAAATTATGATGATGATGAATGATTGATTGATTGATTTTGCAGACATAGTCTTACTATGTTGCCCAGGCTGGTCTCAAACTCCTGGTCTCAAGCAATCCTCCTGCCTTGGCCTTCCAAAATGCTGGGATTAACCACACCCAACCAGCAAAATTAAATGTTTGAACCAAAACTATAATTATATGGTTCCAAGTTTAGAAAGTTTAGAACACCAAACGAATATGTAAAGAATAATCTTTTTTTTTTGTTTTGTTTTTTGAGACGGAGTCTCACTCTGTCTCCCAGGTTGGAGCGCAGTGGCGCAATCTCGGCTCACTGCAAGCTCCGCCTCCAGGGTTCACGCCATTCTGCCTCAGCCTCCCGAGTAGTTGGGACTACAGGCGCCCACCACCAAGCCCCGATAATTTTTGTATTTTTAGTAGAGACGGGGTTTCACTGTGTTAGCCAGGATGGTCTCGATCTCCTGACCTCATGATCCACCCGCTTCTGCCTCCCAAAGTGCTGGGATTACAGGCGTGAGCCACCGCGCCCGGCCAGGAATAATCTTAATTTCAAGCTAAATAGAATCATGGTCTTTGGAAAAAGTATTCAAGATTAAGAAAGACATAGTTTGTCTTCAAAACACCAAAGAAAATCTATATCTTTAACATGGGCACATAAAATCAAAGGCCTAGTGATTATTCTTTTTTTTTTTTTTACATTTTTTTTTATACTTTAAGTACTAGGGTACATGTCCACAACGTGCAGGTTTGTTACATATGTATACATGTGCCATGTTGGTGTGCTGCACCCATTAACTCGTCATTTACATTACGTATATCTCCTAATGCTAGTGATTATTCTAACTAGCAGCTACATATGCACTAGTTAGCACCACAGTGAAGGGCTAATTGGTTTGGGAAAGAAAGAATTACTCCGAACTGCCAAATGCATATGATATATACTGATTGGTGAAACAAACCTAGTGCATGATTTTGTCCCACTGTTTAGCTGTAGTTATTAGTGGCTGCCTACCTCTCCGCCTCCAGCAACATCATTGTCTCTAGAGCTCCTGAACCCATTTAGTTTCCATTCGCTGCTTGCCTTACTGCCTGCAGCTGTATTAACACATCCCAGAAGAATTCGTTCCCATCAATTACAGCAGAAGTTGTAGTCACTGTTCTGTGACACATCAGCACGACCGTGAGCAAACCGGGAAAAAAACAAAAAAAGTCAGCTCATGAGTCATTGCAATTAAGATACTGAGATATAGGAAGAGAAGAAAAATAAAAGGTGCTTCTACTTTGCAAGATGAATTATTTGATACCTAAGATGTTGCTAGACGCAGAGTATAATAACGCTCCTGGAATGATAAATGTACTTAGGGTTAGTTAAACTTTCGGAATGAGACTAAATGGTAAGAATAAAAGGAGGTACAACATTACAGAACCAGACTAATTATTTCAAATCCTTAATTGTGACTCCCTTGGGCTTTAGTCTTAGAAGGTCAGTTTTCCTCCTAGGAATCTCTTGTTAAATGTTTATTCGTGCTACTAGAAATTATGTGAAATGAAAAATGCCAGGCACAGATAAACATTGTGGTGTTACTAAGATTTGAATAATGGTGCTAGAAATGAAAGATAATATTTTCTAAATTTTTTATTATTATAATTACTTATGACTTACATGGTCTTACAAAATGTTAAAGGCAAATGAATCCCTGAAGATCACACAACTACATCATTTCATTCATGAGAGCACTGAAATGCCTTACCTCTAGACTCAAAGTACATTAGCGTAAAAGTGAGAATAGAAAGCTATGCAAATGTTTATTGTTCTTTCTTTCGAATTTTTGTATGATAATTTTGAAAATAAACATTTCAAGGGGAAAAAGGTTGCTGAGGTTGGGCTCTGCCTCTGTGTGTCGTGCCCACATTATATTCTAATAACCTGACTTTGCAAGAAATCACATGAGATACTTAGTTGATAATGGGACAAAGTATTTTATACTTGGACCATGTTGAAAATCTAGGACATGCAGCTAACTACAGGGGGAAATGTTAATAGGAAGATGGTATGAGCTATATTGATTTTATAGCCAGCTTAAGAGGAAGAGGCCCACAGCCAGTGGATGTCTCAAATAGATGGGCCTTCAGGTCCACATCTTGATCTTCAGGCTTTTACAGCTCACTAAAATCCTGCAT
Organism: Homo sapiens; assembly: GCF_000001405.40. Taxonomy (NCBI): domain Eukaryota; kingdom Metazoa; phylum Chordata; class Mammalia; order Primates; family Hominidae; genus Homo; species Homo sapiens. The sequence continues at coordinate 18,492,604 of NC_000021.9, read as the reverse complement.
TTTCTTATCTATGGATCAAGTAATAACCTATATTTCTTTGGATATTATTTCTGCTGTCCAGATCAGTGCCCAAATTTTATCCCATAGAACACTAACTCCAAAGGCTGAGAACAGTGAAAACAAGGGTTCTTAGTTAAACACTGAAAAATAAATCCTTTTGGAATACATAGTTCCTATTGCATACTGAAGATTCTGGAAGGTCCTGAGACTCCAATTTAACTGTATTTAACTCAGCATTCCCAAACTCTTTTCAGCATACCTGTCAATCTCCTACAGAGGGCTCTTCCATGGAACATCAGCTGAGGATAGATTACTTCATTTTAGCATTTCTAAGATAAATTTTTTTTTAACCTTTCAATGTAAGATCTGTAAAATTAGAGCACATCCTACAATCTGGGTATGGTGCCTGTCAATCACAGTCACTCAGGTGGTAAGCATGCTATTGCTGTGGACCTGTGAACCCATTCAAAGCTGTTCATTGTCATTTTAACTGAGTTATGTGTATTATTGGTATGACACAAGTTAAATTTAATTGCTATTGAATATAGCCTCAGGAAGACTTAAGTGCGTTTCAGAAATGAAACAATAAGTTTATGTGCATTCAAAAAGTCATAGAAGGAGAGCAGCAATGTGTAGGTGATATTAGTGGAAAAAAAACACTGCTGGAGGAATTCATATTCAGGTGATAAATATGAAGAGTTTTAGGAATAAGTGAATCTATTTTTAAATTAATCTTAAAATTTCTATTAACAAATATAAAACTAAAATTCTGAGTATAAAAACAGGAAAGCTAACATTTTACCTCCCATTTCAGAGGCTCCTTCCTTTGCATGTTGGTATAGATGGTGATAGTCTCACTCTCAGAGACTTTATACTCTAAGTTCATAGTTGATATACCTGAGACAATTATGATAAAAATACCAAGTTACATATTTTCAATGGCTACCTTATGTAATACACTAAATAAGTGCGAGGGCAGAAAGATCTGTAGGACAGAGTGAGATACAAGAGATGTGGAACAGTCAGCAAAGGTGTCAGTGAATGTCATTAATTTAGGTCAGTTTTCATGTCACTTTCTCAGGGAACCTTCCATCACTCAATGTAAAGTAGACTCCAGGTCACTTTCTATCCCAAACTCGGTTTTAAATTCTTAAATAGCACAGAAGCACTATTTTATACTTTCTTGCTAAGGCATTTAGAATGCAAGCTCCATGAAAGAATAGACTTTGCGTGGTTTGTTTAAAACTCTCTCTCCAGCACCTAGCACTTAGTAGGTCTCTGGCTCTTAGTAGGTGCTTAAAAATAATTTATAGAATGAGTAAATGACTCTGAATCTAAGAAAAAGAGTGACTGCAATAGAAATAAAAATAAAGAAATTAGTGAATAAGACATTTTAAAATATTTGTTTATAGGGCTTGGTAAAGGGATCTGGAAACAGCAAAAGCCAGATGAAAGAAATATAAATTACTTATAAGGTTTGGTAAAGGGATCTGAAAAATGCAGAAGTGAGATGAAAGAAAGACCCAGAGTTCCAAACATAGGTGGTTTAGAAAATGTTGTGAATACTTGCAGGGAGCGGGGTGGTGGAGAAGGACATCAGAGCAGTGAGCCTCTCTGGATAGGTAAGTAATGAATTAGCTCAATGTTATATTTTCCAAACGTGTGGTGAATGGGAAATAGTCATGATAGATCAAGTATGTAATTAGATATGGAGCTGAATTTCAGGTGATAACAGATCTTTTGATTAATTAGGATACGTTATTTTATGCTAGCCATTGGCTAGGTCTTGTACATAGATACAGTGACTAAGAGACAGGCCCTGATTTTGAGAAATTCATCAAAGTAGAGATAGACAAGCATATACATGAGATGAGTAAGATTGATTTATACTGATTCAACAAAACACTGACGGTGAATTGTCAGATAGAAATAAGAGGCCTCCTGGAAGACAACATACCCTGAGTATGTCAAATACTGAGTATTTCAAAGACGACGTACCCTGAGTATACAAAGACAGAAAGCTTGGCCTTTGGTAGAGGGCTATCATTTAGACGTGTCTTTCCTGGATTTATCACAGGAGAAGAAGATGGGAAAGCAGCAAGTAAAAACTGAAAGGAGTCACTAAAAGTGCTGTAAGACATCAAAGCCTAGTGTACCACACAGAGGACAGAAGGATATGTGTATCCACTTTTTTTCTTACAGGGCTAGGCATCAGTGGAAGCTTATGAAGGATATGGCAATGGCCAGGAAACACTTCACTATGGCACAGAAGTAAGAACAGACACAGCTAACTTTGCAATCACTCCCTCTTGTAATTCCATCTTAGCCATCCTTTGAGTCAACTAGAGTAGGAGTCCCTAACCCTGGCCATGGGTCAGTATTTGTGCATGCCTGTTAGGAACTGGGCTGCAGAGCAGGAGGTGAGCAGCAGGCAAGAGAGCATTCCCACCTAAGCTCTGCCTCCTGTCAGAGCAGTGGCAGCATTAGATTCTCATAGGAGAATGAACTCTATTGTGAACTGTGCAAGCAAGGGATCTAGGTTGTGCATCCCTCTGAGAATTTAACTAATGCCTAATGATCTGAGGTGGAACTATTGCATCCCCAAATCATCCCCCACCTCTACCCACTTCACAGAAAAAATGTCTTCCACGAAACCTGTCCCTGGTGCCAAAAATGTCGACCACTACCTTAAAGTCTCTGGTTCAGAGATTCTTCCTTTTTGTGGTCTTCTGTCCCCAAAATGTCCCCTCTCAAATTACATGGCCAGTCATCATAATCCCTGAAGTACCCCTGATTCCTTTCTGTTCTTGCTTTACTGGACTTGATATGGTTTGGCTGTGTCTCCAACCAAAACTCACCTTGAATTGTAATAATTCCCACGTGTCAAGGGCAGGGCCAGGTGGAGTTAATTGAATCATGGGGGTAGTTTCCTCCATACTGTTCTCGTGGTAGTGAATAAATTTTAGGAGATCTGATGGTTTTATAAATGGGAGTTCCCCTACACAAGCTCTCTCACCTGCCACCATGTAAGACGCGACTTTGTTCCTCAATTGCCTTTCGCCATGATTGTGAGGGCTCTCCAGCCATGTGGAAGTGTGAGTCAATTAAAGCTCTTCCCTTTCTAAATTACCCAGTCTCAGGTATGTCTTATTAGCAGCATGAAAACAGAACTCTTTGGCAAAACCATAATGATGGTTAAATTCAACAATACAGCAACTTCTGTGTCTACTTCATATCTGCATCTATCTAGCAAAGTAAAGGTGAATAAAAAAATACACTGACTGCTGTCACTATAAATTAATAGCAATAGACTTTAAGCAAACCTTTAATGCTGGCAGACGTCACATCACATATTGTTGGTATGTTCATGCCTCCACATTCTCAATAGTATTTGACACGCTCTCTCTCCTCGAGCTTCCAGTATCACACCCCTACCTTTGTCCCAGTTGCTGATTGTGCTTGCTGTTTCACTGAGAAAACTGAAGCAATCTGAAAAGAGCTTCCACATAACCAATCACAACACCTATTCACCCATAAGTCTGCATTCACTTCCCTGCCTTCCCACTTCTTAGAGTCAGGTCTCATCTTCTCTTGCCAACTTAGGGATATAACACCAGAATTTTTTCCTTCTGCTTTCTCCTACATACTCAATATTTCACACTCTAATTATTCTGATTCAGATACAAACATGCTGATCATATGTCTCTGATTTGAAACTTTCCCCACTATTACCTGACTTATTTGCTATCCTTTGCAGCAAAACTCTGCAAAAACATTGTCTCCTCTCACTGTTTTTAAGTCCTCTTCTCACAATCTCTCTTAAATTTAACTGAGACTGTGCCCATGATTTCACTGAAACTGCCTTTGATACTATCCCTAACAACTTTCATATTGCCAAAAGCAATGGTACATTTGTGTTTCCTATTCTACTTGACTGATCATCAGGATTTCACTCAGCTGAGCCTTCATAGGCATAGTTTTTTCTCTTGATTTGTAAGATACAAGATTCTCTTCATTTTTCTCCTGTCTCACTGATTGCTATTCCTTAGTATCTTTTTGTTTCCTCCTCTTTGTCTCAATCTATCAATTTTGAATGTCCTAGGTCCTTACGATGGACCTCAAGGTCTTATATAATCTGTCAAGCTAATGTTCTCTGTCATCAACTCCTATTATTCTCTCTTTAACTGGCCCACACCAGCAACTCCCAGTCCCCTTGCTATTACTTAAACTCATCAGGCATGCTTTCAACTTAGTGTCTTTTCTCCAGCTGTTACCTCTGCCAGAAATGCATCCCTGTATAATTTCATAAATTCTTTATCAAATCATCTTTTTGCTTAAGATTTACATTCTCAATGTAGTCAATTATAATACCCTATTAAATACTGTAACCTTCTCAGCCCTCTTCAAATACCCCTGATTTTCTTTACTGTGATTTACTCTATTTCCAAAACTGCCAGCTTCTAATATTCTATTATCTGTATTTATTTATTATTTATTGTTTAGTATTTATCCTCTCCTTCCCATTATAATTTACCTATCAAGATAAAACATTGTTTTTCTATTTTGTTCACCAATATATCCAAAACATCTAGTGATGTGTTAATTACACAGTAAGAATTAAATAATTATATTCTGGATAAATAATGAAGGAGAGAATTGATAGAAAAAGTCCCCTAGGCAAGTAAGGGAGGGAATAATTTCAGGCACATAAGTGGAAAGACATTTTTACCGATAACAATGGAAAAATAAATATAGTGTCGTTGTGGCTACAGATGGGAGTCTTCATATTTTAATATAAGAAATTGATAGATCTTTTTAACCTAATCTTGTTTTATTCCAAGTGAAGTAGTTGGGCAAGAACATCAGCTAAAAATGAAAGTTGAAAGATCATGGAAAACAACTGTGAAGACACAGTGAATAATTAAAATTGCCACTGGGGAAATAGAAAAAAAAAAAAGTTCACCAGTTAGCAAATTCTTTCTCAGAACCACTGAGGAGACTGCAGAAGTTATATGTAGACTGTACCAGTTCAAAGGACTCTTCTGTATTTTCCCTTATGAAAGTGGGCATTCTGCTGTTGTAGTGGAAAAGGAGACAGTTTTTATTAACCAATACTCAGAGCTCTGATTTTTTCATGTTGTGAAAATCAAAGGATGCAGATGCTCTAATGAAAATGGTTGAAATGACACAGAAGATCACACTGTTGTCAAAGGAAATATGCCCTAGATTAAGGGACAAATGATAGCCAGAAAGGCAAATAGGTTATATTTCGAAAACAAGGTGTTGAAATTTGAGATAATAAGTATAAGAGCCCTAGATAAAGGAGCATGGCCCAACCTAGGATCATTTTAGAAGCAGAGTGAAACTGAAGTGAAAGTTGATGATTTCAAAAGTTATGCTAATAGAGTATTTGGTAGATCCTATTTATGTATATTGAAGTAATCCAATACGAATTTAGAAAAGAAGAAATGGAAGAATCAAATGACTGTTATCCAAGTGTGATATTCCTCAATCTCTTTGGAGAAATGATCACTATATTATGACAACAAATACCCACAGCTGGTGGTATTATTACTGAGCATGAACTTCCAAGAGATTGTGCAAAATGTTGCACCGAAGTGTTTGAAAGTAGAAATAGGAGACCCGCAAAAAAAAAAAAATGCTGAAATGATTTAGTCCCTTCATTGAAGATGGGACAGGAAAATGAGTAGCCACAATAAAAAGGTTTAAGGGAAATGCCATTTTCGGGATACATTTGGAGTTCAACTAATACACAATGGTTCAGAAAGTACTCTATGAAAATGTGGAAGAAATTGAAGTATTTTGTTTTTATATTGACTTTCATTTTTATATTTATCAGAAAATGTGCTTCCAGGGAGTATAATAGGAATGATCGGGAAGGATGTTAACAATGGAAGGATAAGTGTTGTAGAGAATGAAGTGCATTTTAAAGTAACATTCAGCCGAGGCCATTGGTGACTTGCTTGCATTTTGTTTGTTACCAGAGAGCAAGAAAATGGAAACATGTTCTTCTACGAACTGTGGAACAAGGAGGGATCTCAGAAGACATGTAGTAACTTCTTTTAATAACTACCTGTGTCACTTTGGGCAAGGTGCTTATCCCCCTTAAACTTCAATTCTCAAGTTTTCAAAATAATAATAATACCTCACAGAGTTTCTATGCAGAAAAAATAAGATAACCTATGTCAGTATTTTTCCTGGAACAAAATAAGAGTTCATTATATGTTAGCCTATAACATTTAACACTATAATACTACTAGCAATACTTTAAAAACTTGAGTCCAATCCTAGAATCAAATGGCTTCCCCAGGAATTTCTTTAAAATACTTAAAATGGAAATAACACAGATATACAGAATTTCCAAATGTTTTTGAATGATCTTCCAGAGTTACAAAAGTTCATGAAGCTATCATCTTGAGATTAATATCTGAAAAGTTGTGAGACAAAAGGACAGTTACAGATCTGTCTTAGAAACAAAATATTACTCAATTAGGCCTAAGAATATATATAAATGATAGGATTTGGCTGTGTTCCCACACAAATCTCATCCAGAATTGTAATAATCTCCACATGTCAAGTACGGGCCCAGGTGGAGATAATTGAATCATGGGAGCAGTTTCCCCCATACTGTTCTCGTGGTAGTGAATAACTCTCACGAGATCTGATGGTTTTATAAATGTGAGTTCTCCTGCACAAGCTCTCTTGCCTGTCACCATGTAAGAAGTGAATTTGCTCCTCGTTCGCCTTCTGCCATGATTGTGAGGCCTCTCCAGCCATGTGGAACTGTGAGTCAATTAAACCTCTTTCCTTTATAAATTATCGAGTCTTGGGGTATGTCTTTATTAGCAGTGTGAGAACAGACTAACACAATAAAGAATTACAGTAAATTATGACAAAATATGGCTTGTTTCAGGAATTCAAGGGAAGTTAAGATTCATAAGTCAATATTATTCACCATGTCAAAAGAATAAAGAAGAGAAACTATGTAATTATTTTGACAGATGCTGAAAAGTCATCTGAAAAAAATTTTGTAACTATACATGATTAGAAACAACCAAAACAAACAAAAAAGATTACTTAGCAAAAAATGAATAGTGTGAAATTTCTCTAACCTGATAAAAAGCTATCTACAAAAGGCCAATAGTTAATATTACACTAAATATTAAGTATTAAGAGTATTTCCCGATGACATCAAGGATGAAAAAAATATTTACTATCACCTCGTCTTTTCTACATTGAACTGAGGGTCTTAGCTAATATAATAAGGCAAGAAAAAATACATAAAGATTGAAATAAAGAGGAAAAAATTATCATTATTCACAGATGAAATTATTTGTGTACATAGGATATCTATTAATTTAACAATTTATTGGATACAAGCAAATATGTAAAAGTAAATGGTATTCATTTTGTTTACCAATTACAAAGACATTAGAGTAAAATTTTAAAAGATAATCTTTATAATAGCAACAAACACCAAAAAGATCATGGTTTTAACAAAATATGTATAAGAACTATATTAAAACATTAAAACACAAATAACAAAAATAAAGGACTTAACTCAATGAATTAAAACAATCAGTATCAGAAAGGTGACAGTTCTACCCAATCTGATTTTTTTAAATCTCTTATTCATGAGGAAAATGAAAATTTGATTATAAAATTTATGAATTAATGCAAGGAGCTAAGGACAGTTAAGGCAACCTTACAGAAGAAAGATAAAAACAGAAAAAATACAGTGGCAGATATTGGATAAACCTGTAGTAATTAAGACAATTTACCAATGATGCTAGGTAATTATGGAAGAAAATAGAGAGTGGGAACAGAATATAGAGCACAGAAACAGATTCACCCATATATAATCACCTTATTTATGACAATGAATTCTTTATTAAAAGATAATTCTTTTTAATAAATGGTACTGTGGCAACTGGAAATCCAACTAGAAAAACATAATGTCCTGATCACTACATATATAAAAGTATGCTAGTCTGCATATATAAATAGAAGGTATAAAAAAGAACAGATGAATGAATGAATGAATGAATAAAAATTTTTTTTTTAGAGAGAAGGAAAAGATCAAGGTTAGAAGGAGACTTGTAGCCTATTTTTCTCCCTTTAATGTGGATACTTGAAAAGGAAATAGTCTGATTAAATCCTTCTACAATTATGCTACTAAACAAATACCCTAGCAAAAATATTGCTTAAACTTTTTATGTTAAACTTAAACCAGAACATGGCCTAATACAAGAGATAAAAGGCACTGTGGGAGTAGCATTGACAATCATGGACCTCCTTAAAGACTAAGCTTTTGTTTTGCTATCGTATCCTGTGAATTGTGAGTAAATTCAGTACTAGAATTAAAAATGTACATACATCGTCTGACTTGACATTTATTTTAGGAAACGATTTCCTAGTTCACCAGAAAGCAAATACATTCTAAGAATAACTAAATAGATTGTGGTATGATTACACAATGGAATACTGTAAAGAATGAAAATAAGTAAACTACAACTATGCAACAACATGGATAAATATTACAAAGGTAACTTTTTGAGGAAAAGAAAAGAGGGCACCTAGTAATGTATTCTGTGTGATTCCAGTCATATAAAATAAAAAATAAGGATTACTAAACAAGATCAGTTAATCTGTTGTTTAGGTGTTGGCATATTGGTTATCCATAATTCTCAGTTACTGGAAGTGGACACGAGAAGTTTCTGTGATGCTGGTATATTCTCTCTGTTTGATTCTGGTTACATTGGTGTAGTAACCTTGTGAAAATTCATAAAGATATGCATGATGATTTGTGCATTTTTTGTATAAATGCTATACCTTAAAAATATATTTAAAAGTCTAGAAAAGTGAGATGAGTTGTCAATTATCACACAATTACTTCAAGGAAAAATGTTGAAATAATATCCAGATATATTTCTAGTATTCTTATTATGTATACAGCTATGAATAATGCACACAGACATATTAGACAAATACCCAAATCTCTAATCGAGGCTTGTATTTATAATTTTCTAAAGGAATTTTACAGGTTTGCCAATAAAAATGTTACGCTATGTAAACTACAAAGGAAGAAATTACAGCAAACACCTTTACAGATTTGCCCTGGGTCTCAAAAATATCATGGAGTAGCAAATGTTAAAACCGAAACTCTAATGTTAGAACCAAAGGGCTGAATCACAAGCAGTTGCTGAACTTCAGAGTACAATCTATTTCAGTTGAGAAATAGCCCAGGGTGTAGAGAAGCGAACTGCTGTTTGGAAAAATAATAAATAGCAATGGCAAGGAAAGGATACCGATGCCTTTTCCCTGCCGGAAACTCACATTTTATCTGAACTCAGTGCGCTTTGATCAAAACTAAAAGAAGCAAAGGAAAATATACATTAGAAATTATTTTTGAGAATTGAAAAGGAAATTGTTACAAGTAAAATGATAGGGAATGTAGAAATTTCATCTAACAATTCTAGTGAGGTAAAACTGGAATTTCTATGATTAAATCACATATGAATAATATAGATACTAATAGTATTCCACTAATCACAGCTGTTTGGAAAGAATAAGCCTTGCACCTGGGACCCAGTAATTTAACAATAATCTAAAAGAATGGAAGCAAAGAGACAAAGAGGTTATAAAGAAGTCTTGTTTAACTGACTCTCAGTAAGGAAATAGTTACATATTAATAGATTCAAGAGCACTAGGATAAAGTAAGTTAGAAAGAGAAAGTAAGCTAGATAAGTTAGATAAGATAAAATAAGTTAGAAAGAAGGTGTTTCAGTTGAATTGAGATTTCCTAGACTAATATAAGGAAAAAAGCACACCAAGGCACAGACAATTTAAATAAGCTTCATTTGGAATTTTAAAAAATCACACAAAATATTTTCCTCAATAGGTAAAATCATATCATTTCTTCTATGTATACCCTAACCAATATAGCAATTACAAAAAAAATTGAAGGAATATAAAATTAAATAAATAAAATTAGGAGAAAACTAATTTTATTGGTACATAATATTTTACTTATTTATGGGGTGCATGTGGTATTTTGTTACATGCATAGACGTGTAATGATCAGTCAGGGTATTTGAGGCATCCATCACTTTGAGTGTTTATCATTTGTGTATTTGTGAAAAATTCAAGTCTTCTCTTCTAGCAACTTTAAAATATATAATATATTGTTGCTAAATATAGTCGCCATACCCTATTGTCTAAAGAAAACTAATAATTTTAAGATTACATGCTTATTTGAATATATTTTAAGATACTATTTTTAGAAGTGTAAAAATTCTGATTTAAATGTATAAAGTTTTTGGAAGATTTAATTCTCAGGAATTTCATCAAAATTGGTGTTCATATTGGATAATGTTCCTATTCTCTCTATCAAAATTATTTATATTATAATTTAAGTTGGTTAATATGATGAGAAGAAAATGAAAAAAATGAAGCAATACAATAAGTATATTTAGAAAAATTAGAAGTGAAGATGTATATAAAATAATTGAAATAATATATCGTAGATAAAATTATATTAATGCTAATGTAAATGCTGAAGTAAAGCAAGTGAAAGAACTGTAAGACAAAAATTATTACTATTCAGTCATATCTGAAGAAAAATGTTTTCCTGAATCTATGAAACAAATATTTCCTCAGAATTTGCTTTCATGTTTTCCTCCTGCATCTATTGTTTTTGATTATATAAATTAAGATTAATTCCCTCAGAAAATAAATTTGACTTGTGGTTGTAAAACTTTGAAATAGACTTTTGATTAAAGGATGTTTTTAATGTATTACCTACCTATTATTGCTATGCAAAGATTAGGAGAGATCATTTTAGGTTAAAATAGGAGAAAGGAGTAAAATTTAATTTTACTCCTTAGTAAGAGAGAGAGTTTTACTAATAGAACTGCACATGTGGCTGAAAATATGTAGGTGATTAGGACTTGGATTTTTTGTTTATCTCAAGATAAAAATATTTATTTTCTAATCCGTCTTCTGTAGGTTTTATTTTTGACATTAATAATTTGTGTACAAAGTTTAACGTGCAATGCCCCGTGCCCCTGACATCAAGCATGCATCAGCAAAAAGATACATCACATAGCAACATAAATTGTTTTACAACTGAAAATTATGTGTAACATAATAAATCACATGTTCCCATTTTTATTTATTAGGGAAAAACAAATTATGTATAACACCTCTATAACCTACTGAATAATAATAATGCTGTGGGTTGGAGTCTTTGCATACGTTATTCTATTTTATCCTGACAACACTCAATTGAGGCAGTCAAAGCCAGTAATTTGCAAGTAAGTCAATAGAAGCTCAGAAGAGTTAAGAAAATAGATGAAGTCGGTGTACCTGTGATGAAATAAGGGAGGGACTCTTAGGAATAGTACTTTATAAATTGGGAAACGAAGTTCCAGAAAAGTTAAATAACTTTCCAGAGGACACAGTTGCCAAATGGTAGAGTCAGGATACAAATCCTAGTAATCTGAGCTTGGATTTCATTGTATCAGGCATTACTCTGCCTCTGGTTTCAAGTTTGATTCCAAGACCACAGTATTTCAGACTTGTTTGAGTTCGATTAGTGGAGTTATCAATGACTCAATGTTGATTAGAACAAGTTGTTCCCTTTTGCTCTTTCATTATGCTATCTTTTTGATTAATGTCAGTCTCATTTTCAGAATAGTGACTAGCTAGGCAGCCTCCAATGACCCTTAGTAATACAACAAGAGCCACATGAAGATGGGACAAGAGTTAATATCTTTTATCTTGTTGACTTGCTTTGAGATTAGTATTAATGAAGCAGAGTCATGAATTTAAATTCCCTTTGAGTCACATAGATTTTTTTTAGATTTGATAACTACCCATTGCTTAGATTTAAGGTAGTCATTTTCTCTGACAAATAAATCATGCAGGTCACCAGGGAGGCAAGGTGAGAGCATATAGGTAAGTCTGCATCATCTTGAGCACCCTGACAAAAGAACTCAAAGTCCATCCATTTAGAATGTCCAGTCATTTCATCTTTACTTACAAACTAAACTTGCCGGTTTTGGTAGAATTTGATGCTGGTTTAAATAAAAAATATGTTTGTACATGCCTTCAAATATTGGTGCATATACAGTTAACATGACATAATCTCACTAAACCATGGCCTGGGTAGATTATAGAAAGTCTACTAAAATCTCCTGGAGACTATATTGTAAGAGAGTCTTTGTCAACCTACAGCACCACCTAAGAGAACGTGAGCTAGTTGTTTAAAAATCCATACATGAACAAGACTAAAAGTTTTCCCAGGGTGAGAGAATTCAGATACTAAAACCAGCATAATACTGTGCAAACTGTGATGACTGGCCATCATATTATTAGATCAGATATTTGAAAGAAATATTCAGCTCCCACTTATGAGTGAGAATACGTGGTGTTTGGTTTTCTGTTCCTGTGTTGGTTTGCTGAGAATGATGGTTTCTAGCTTCCTCCATGTCCCTGCAAAGGACATGAACTCATCCTTTTTCATGGCTGCATAGTATTCCATGGTGTACATGTGCCACATTTTCTTTATCCAGTCTATCATTGATGGGCATTTGGGTTGGTTCCAAGTCTTTGCTATTGTGAACAGTGCTGCAATAAACATACACGTGCCTGTTTCTTTGTAGTAGAATGATTTATCATCCTTTGGGTATATACCCAGTAATGTGATTGCTGGGTCAAATGGTATTTCTAGTTCTAGATCCTTGAGGAATTGCCACACTGTCTTCCACAATGGCTGAACTAATTTACCATCCCACCAATATTTTAAAAGCATTCCTATTTCTCCACATCCTCTCCAGCATCTGTTGTTTCCTGACTTTTTAATGATCGCCATTCTAACTGGTATAAGATGGTATCTCATTGTGGTTTTGATTTGCATTTCTCTAGTGACCAGTGATGATGAGCTTTTTTTCATGTTTGTGGGCCACATAAATGTCTTCTTTTGAGAAGTGTCTGTTCATATCTTTTGCCCACTTTCTGATGGGGTTGTTTGTTTGTTTTCTTGTAAATAACATATTTTTCTTTAGTCCCTAAAGGCTGGAATTGACTATGAAAGAAAATTGCCATGATGCATTTGTGACTCAGAACTATCCTATTGACTATGATGCCCAGTTAGGTAGTAAACAAATTTTAATCACCAATGGCCTGACAGTCTTTCACAGAGAAAAGTTTGGCTTGATTATTAATACTATCATTTCCTAAGTTTTGGTGAATTCTGAATATGCCACATTTGACATTAAAATTAGTGTATATGCATTTGTTTATGAATGTATGTATTTGTATGCATGTATGTGTAGATTCCAATCATATAGGAACTTCCAACTTTAAGGGCCATGGACATATGAAAGTATTATGCAGAAAGAAATCTTAGCATTTTTTTAAACCTGATATATACAGATTGAGCATTCCAAATCCAAAAATCAAACATCTGAAACTTTTTGAGTGGGAATATAACCATCAAATGAATGCTCACTGGAGCATTTCCAATTTCAGATTTTCAGATGTGGGATGCTCAACCAGTAAGTATAATGCAAATATCCAAAATCCAAAAGAAATCTGACATATGAAAGAGTTCTGTTCTCAAGTATTTGGAATAAGGAATATTCCACATGTATATCTGTGAGAGTCTGGAGGGTGTTGAAAGGGGAAATAGGAATTTTATAGTAGAGAAATAGAGAAACATGGTCAAAACTATCTTAATCAAATTGTAAAGGTTAATCTCACCAATAATTTTATGTTGACATTGTGTGTTCCCTCATAAAATGTGAGAAGATTGCTTCACCTCTGACATGTTCTTTCCAAGAATCTATAACCTCAATCTAACCATGAGGAAAACATCAGACAATTCCAAGTCTGATGACAAGGAAACAAGCGAAGACTGAGAAACTCTCACAGATTAGAGGAGACTGGAGAGACATGACAAGTAAATGCCATGTGGTACTCTGTATCAGGTTCTGAAACAGAGGATGTTTGTGGAAAGACTGGTGAAATCCAATTAATGTCTGGAGTTCACATAAAATGATGTTGAAATCTTAGTTTCGATGAATATACCAGGGTACTGTGAGGTGGTAATAAAGGGTGAAACTGGAAGAGGGGTACAACAGAACTTTCTGTATTACCCTATTTATTTCTGTAAGTATAAATTAATTCCAAAATGAAAAGTTGTCTTAAACAATCTGATATCCTAGAGGCTAGAATAGAGAAGGATTAAAATTAAAGCAAGGGACGAACAGCATAACCAAGATGGGAGATAATCAAACTGGGTAGGGACGGTGTAGATGGAGACATGAAAATGATTCATTTGAGATTTAAGTACTAAAAAGGAAACATGACTTAAAAATAATTTCCAAAGGCTGCTTTAACGTTTCTAGTTACTGCATCATGTAGTCAATGTATATTGACTTTACTCTGGAAAAAAACATCATTTGCCTTTCCATAATCATGATTAAGAGATTTCAACATCTTGTATATACACAGGGGCATTTACGGACCCAAGGTAGGATTAGTTATTGACTTTTATGTATTCCATTCCTCACAGATGACTTTATAGATTTAAATGGCCATTATTTACTTTTGCCACCTCAAGTCCCTTCACTCTTGGGATTAAGGAACCTTTCCTAATTGTGGGTGATAACCACATTTTTAAACACAGGATTGGAGTCTAAATCTATTCCCATGTCTGAAAATGGGCATATAATTGGATCTGAGATAAACAGCCTAAAACATTGCTACAGTAAGGGTGATTATTCAGGAAGGAATTATGAACAACATATAGTATATAATCTTCAATCAGACTCTTCAGTAAGTGAAAGTAAACTTTATATTTTCTCTAGATTTGCACTTTGATGAATGCCATCCTGGAGCTCCTAGAAACCAGTGCCATGAGTAAAGCCAGCCTGGAAGAGAAAAGATCTAAGCCCAGCTATGACTGTGTCTGTCACTTGAGTTTCTTAATAAGACCCTACATGACCTGAATTACATGAGTCCCTTCTCTACTCCTTTTCTGTTCAAGCCAGTTTCAGTTAAATTTCCATGTTTGTTACTTGCAACTAAAAGCCCTAAAGGAGAAATGATATCTTATAATAATGGACTCTATCATTTGTATGAACTTTCTATCTATAAATGTGATGGCCTTTGATGACTTCTAATTGTTATTTCAAGTCACACGAAAAAATGCAGAACAGCCTAGAGTTCGGTGAGAATTCTGAAATGTATGATTAGAGACCTTACTCCAATTCATATCCAGCCGCTGGAAGTGAGTCACAATTGGTGTAACGCAGTAATTCTCAAACATTAGAGTACTTCAAAATGTTCTGAGGAGCTTGTTAATCATCTGCAGGCTCCACTGCCAGTTTCTAACTCGGTAAGATTGGTTTGGAACCTGAAAATTTGGATTTCTAACAACTTGCCATAGATGACACTTTAAGAGCCACTGGTCAAGGCGTATCATATTAACTTTTGCCCTCATTACTCTGCAAGTCAGATAAGCGCTTTTCAGAAACACTTTTCACTGTTTAAAGAAAAATATAGGGTAATAGAGTTTCCCTTTTCTACTCTTTTTTCTTCCAGTGTTATGCATTGTAATGGGAGAATGTGGCATTTGGAGTTAGCACAGCCTTATTGGAATAAAAAAAAAAAGAGAGAGAGAATTGCAGAAGTACCCACTCACTGCACTGACCAGCCCTGAGACTGACTTCTGCAAATTAATGGCATTATTATTATCTAACCATTAGTCAAGTACTATGCTACTTTACTGTGCCTAGAAATCCTTATAAGTGGTCTACTATAATTGGTATGAAAGCCTTTTCTTGTAAGTTATTTTTAATGCAGCAATGTTTTTCTTTAGGTCCTGTAAACCCACAGCACGGGGCTGTGATGACATGGGTATATGGAAATCCATCTATCTACATGGATATATATGACATGTATGGATATATGAAGAGTTTCTTAAACACAGAGATGCCCAATAAATATTTGCTGATTTTGACAGTTTCACTTTAGCATAAAATAGTTTGTTTCAAGCACAAAAATGTTTTCATGTATTTTTTATTTCTCCTGTTAAACAGATTGCAAAAACCCCCCAAAAGCTTGTCTCTTTTTAATATTATAGTTCATTTTCCCTTTAAAGAAATATTTCTCTTGCACAATGATTTGAAATACATTTTTCTACCAGAAATCTAAAAATATTTCAATAAGGGAAAAAATCTAGGGTTGCAATTTGAGGTCATAAAATAACACATGCTAAAAATTGGAGTAAATGTATCTTTTCTTGTCAAGAAGTATTTATAAATCCCACTTAGAAGGACATCATTTCTCAGGATATTCTAAAGCCCTAAGTCAGCTGTTTAATAGAGAAGAATACTAAGAAATATGATTCAGATAAAATAGTTTTATGGCATATAATTTTTTTCATATATGATTTCTTAATGCTGTTAGAATGTCCCTATAATTCAGACTCGTAAATATTATGTCAAACACTTCTTTGGCTCTTGGAACACAGTAAAATACAATTCTCATTAATACTTAACTTACCATATTCTGCATCACCCAGCCTGTGGCAATTAATGTAGCATTTCTATATTTCTGTCAATAAAATTAAATCTTACATTTAATAAATGTAGATAAGGACATAATTTTATGTGAGAAAATAAAATCTGTACAAAGTCCAAAAGTGATCTTGTTAAAGAAAAAATAAAGTTCAAAGCACTACAAGCTTTAAGCCAAAGTAATTGCTCCCTTGTTTGTACTATGTGGGCTTTGTCTTAAATTATAGCACATGCTAGTCGTGACTAATGAAGCGAGCTTAAAGGGCAGTTTTCAGCCAAACAACCTATATCATTTACTCAAAATTAACAGGAAATAATCAGCATTTTTATTGAAATCTCCTTTTATTTCTCCCTCTTTTTGAAATGACTGGGAGGAAAAACTTTCAATCAAAGAAGAAAATTTTTTGAGACAGAGTCTTGCTCTGTCATCCAGGCTGGAGTGCAGTGGCACTATCATGGCTCACTGCAGCCTCAACCACCTGGGTTCAAGTGATCCTCCCACCTCGGACTACTGAGTAGCTGGGACTACAGGCCCGCGACACCACACCTGGCTAATTTTCGTATTTTTAGTAGAGATGAGGTTTTGCCATGTTGCCCAGGCTGGTCTCTAACGTGTGTGGCCTCAAGCAATCCTCCCACCTTGGCCTCCCAAATTGCGAGCCACTGTTGCCTGACTTGTTTTTTATTTCTTTATGTTTCATTACATCTGACATTCTAATGATAGACTTTTTTTAGCTCAATCTTTATATCAGTTTTAAAAGCTAATAGAATAGGAATCAACTCTGAAAAGGAGTAGTTTGGGATTGGCATTTATACATGACTGAAGTCAAATAAAAAATCGAATCTCTATTGGATTGATACATTACTGCATATTAATTTACAGCCTCTATTGGAAAAAAACAAAACAATGGGCTTAGGTCCCAGCTGTCCTAGAAATAATGTTAAAAGTGTCGTTATGAGGGAGAATACTGAAGTGGGGGCACTCTATATTATGGTCTCACATCTTCCTAGACCACGTAGCTGTATAATCTCATCTAACTCACATGAAGTAAATGTCTGTGGGGAGGCTGATAAATTCGTCATGATTCTAATAATCTGAGATTGAGCTCTTGTACCTGTGTCTGAGCTCCATGAACATTGCCCCACTACACAGAAAATTAAGACAGGTTTGTGTAGCCTCAGTCAGACTAGGATAATCTGACCGCCTTTTCTATGAAGTAAATAATTGGAAGGGAGAAACATAGATCTTAAGAGTACTAGAACCCAGTAACATCTTTTGTTTGTTCTGATCTTCTCAGCTTTTGGCTATTTAGCTCTTACTAGCTTCTTTGAAGAATTCTCTTTGTTGATCATAACAGCCACCTTGCACTTCATGCACTTTATTCATATATAAACATGGCAAAATTTAGGCCAGGTGCGGTGGCTCACACCTGTAATCTCAGCACTTTGGGAGGCCGAGGTGTATGGATCACCTGAGGTCAGGAGTTTGAGACCAGCCTGACCAACATAGTGAAACCCCATCTCTACTAAAAATACAAAATTAGCTGGGCATGGTGATGCATGTCTGTAATCCCAGCTACTTGGGAGACTGAGGCAGGAGAATCACTTGAACCCAAGAGGCGAAGGTTGCAGTGAGCAAAGATTGAGCCATAGCACTCCAGCCTGGGCAATAAGAGTGAAACTCCATCTCAAAAAAAAAAAATAGCAAAATGTATATCTTTTTTAATATCTCTGCCTACTTATCTACCTATATGTATCTCTCTGGCTATTGGGTGTATAGAAATACACATATACATATAGATGGAGATATGAGATATGGATATAGGAATACCCACATACAGAGATATATGGGTATATATATATAACATATATGGATATATATGCAACTTTATATTATAAAAAGGATGACAGTGTAGTGAAAAACTGCCCCTTTGAAAGTAGGAGCATTGAATAACTTAATGATCACTAGCTTCTAGTCTTTGTTTAATACCATCTGTCTATTTAATACCATCTGTAGTCAATCACATATGAATGAGACTGACCAAGACAGGACAAACCCTTGATGGCAAACTAGTTGAAACAGTTAAGAAAAAGTGAATAGTAAATTATATCAATAAAGTGAATTTTCCTGTTCATTAATGAGAAAAACTGCATTAACAAGGAGATTATAAGAATGTATTTTTAAAAAATCTCCTTACTTAATAATGAATTACAATATGCAGGCAAAAACATAAAAAAGAAAAATTAGAAGTTGATATTCTTAGGATGTGAATGGGTGGTATTATCAGTTGCACAACCAATTTTACCTTCTCTTTTAGAAAAAAATACTTCTCAGGTCCAATTCCCTAGAGCTGCTATAAGAATCCTTCTTAAATATTTTATTCCAAATATTTATGTGAAAACAGGTAACCCTGTGAATGATTAAAATAACACACATCAACTTATAATGGGTAAAATAAAAAGAAAGGTAGTAAAGTAAAATATTATAGGATTGTTCTAAGAAAGGTCAAAGTTGGACCTGTTGCCTGTTCATTCATATATTATGAGGTTCTTTTTTGATCTATTTAGCATGCTTTTCCTGATTATAATCGATACAACTGACTGGCCTTGGTCATGGTTATGGATATAACCTGCAGATTTCATTAATAAATGTAAGGAAAAATTTCAGGGTTCTAATAACCAAATGCAGATTTTATAAAATAACATTCTACTAACTAAATTTTAAAATAAATCATACTATTTTTCCCTTTGGCCAATGACCTCCCTTGTCTTTTATCCAGATACTTATTAAAAGGCAAGGAGAAACTTGTACTTTGAAAAATCCATCCCAGCATAAAGAGCTTCTGATTTTTATGCTACTCCAGGAACTCAGCTTTAGATAAGGGTGCTTTGTTATTGCATTTAACTTATTTATTACCTCTCTCCCTTGGGATTTCAAACATTGAGCTAGGACAACAGCTTGAACAGATTTCTTATCCTAGTCCTTTAAAGTGATTCTAATGGAATTCATCTGGATACAAACAATAACATCCATCTTGTAGTAGTTATCACTATAATCACATGCCTTATTAAATGAATCTTATCAATCTTACGTGCTATTATTGTGCCTTCTTATTGGAATAACTACCTACTGTTCACATTTTCAACAAGGTCATTGATACATTAAATAATTATACTGCAGTTTTTCTTATAGCCCTAACTTCAAATATGTCCATTCATTGATTTTAGTAGCTACTCAGTTTCTTTTTCTTTTCCCACTGATTTGCTGTACTTAAAATTTTAATGTATTATTTTAATTGCATCACCGGGCAAATATTTCCTTTCTAATTCTGCTCTCTGTCATAGCCTCATTTTTTGCTTTCTTTGAACCTGTACCAATAATTTAGACTCATCAAGCAGTTTATTTATTGTAGTGATTTGTAAAATTATTTTAAGCTAGTTCTTTGAATATCATGAAGTTAATACAAACCTAGCCAATTAAATGATTATATATGTGTGTGTATGTGTGTGTGTGTGTATATATATATATATATATATATATAATTCTTTTAGCTTTAAATTTGCACCCTTACTATGTATCCTGTATTTTTAGAAATATCACTCAAATAATTGGCTACCTGAATTGAACCCCATAGGCTAAAAGGGAGAAGTTCATTTTTAGAACATACGTTTATTTAATTTCAGGCTAGTTTGGTTAAGGTATGACATGCACACTATGAGACTTATTTATTACTTCTACCTCCAGCCTCTTTTCTCATAGAACAAAAAAAAATTTCTTTTTAGTGATATGAAAATAAAATCACAGGTAATCCTTCTTAAAGGTGTATGTTTTTCTGATGCAACAATTATTTCTTAATGTTTATATAACCTAAACTTTCCATCTTGATTTTGTTATTTACGTAATGAGATCTTCTTCTAAAGCAACTTCTGACTGAAGCCATTTCATCTTGAGAAAAAAATGGATTATTCTGTCTCTCCCTATGATTTTCCTTTTACTTTCCATTTAATCAGTTTGCTTCAGCCAACTGTTACACAAAAAGGCATGTCCACACTCTCTTGCTCTTCACCCTCACCTCATCAGGCCAACCACAGTGAGTGCTGATTCGCTGATTCCCTTCATGTTATTGGCTGTGGTGAATTCTCCTGCCTTTTTTTTGCCCTCATCTGTGGCCAAGCTATAAAACCATTTCTTAGTTTCTAACTGGCAGAGAAAGGAAGCAAAGATCTACAGGAGCAGACAACTTTTTGCATTGATTTTGCCTATGGTATGGGCATGCAGAATTTTCACACTCCAAGTGATTTTGCCATTTGAGTGGCTGGTTGCAAAGGTTTCTATAAAAATTATCATTAAGTTTTCAAAAATATGGATTATTTATAGGATTGTGTAAGACACCGTGTCTATCCCACATACTTATTCTTTGAGGTATCCTTATTTCTGCACTGCAGGTTTGTCAGCTTGAGCAAACATTACTTAGGCTTTAGGAACCAGGAAAAACACCATATTATGCTGTTTTTTTTTTTCAAAACTGAAAGATTAAGAAGACAGCAATCCCTCCAGGAATTACAACAATAAATAGTTACAGATTTAGACCATTAACTTGTATTTGGCTGTAAAAAGTTCTATATACTAAACACAACAGCTAAGATAACCAAGAGAGTGATGGCTAAGTAGGGGAACAATAATGCATCTAACACTATAGCAACATATATACATACTATTGATAGAAAAAATCATAGATATGAAATTACAAATCTGCAAATAGGACATTCTTTTTGTTTTTGTTGTTGTTGTTATTATCAAAACCAGCTTAATTTCCTTTTAGAGACATCTTGCAACCTTAATACAGTTCTGTTGAAACCCCAAATTTCTGCCTTTGGCAAGAAAAAATGAGTCCTATCTCTGACAGTTCACTTTGGAGTTTTGTTTCACAGTATAAAATGGTGTTTCAGTGACATCTTTCATATATCAACTATCATGGGTAATAGAGATGTAAGAAGTATTGAAAAAAATTATCCTAATTTTTACGTATCTTGTGATTTTTCTATTTCTAGACTAATCTTTTTAAAGATACAAAAATCGGTTCCCCAGAGAATCATTCTATGGATACTTTTTTCCACAAAGAGGAAAATATCTCCATGGAAAACCTTCATTGTATAAATTTAAAGTTTTTTATACTATATTTTGAGGCTCTCTTGTTTTCTGAAATGTGGAATATTCAGAATAAGATCATATGCCTTCTCTATCTCCCATTTTTTCATATTTCCTTTCCTCTCGTTCTAATGGCAAAGTAAAATGAAGTTTATCTATTGATAATTGCAACAACAGAGGAAAGAAAACAACAAAGGAGAATAAAGAGTCTGTGCAACTCAACTGAGATATACATGAAATCTCTGGGCAGACCTTGACAACATAATTTTGAAAAATAAATTTTAAAACTTTCAGATATACTGCTTCTTTTATACACACTTAACCATCACCCAGAGTATCAGAGGGAGAAATAACTCAGCATTTGCTTAGAATTCATTTATTTTCGGTTGGGGTAAGAGTTCTTCGTGTCATCTAGACCTAGGTATACAGTATAATTGTATAGAAATTTGTAGTTCATAGACACTTTGTGCAATATTCTTGACAGTTTGCAAGGACAGGGAGGCTCCTAAAAAGCATACTTTTTTTTTTGTTTTCTGTATTGATAAGGAATATAGGAGGGTCAAGTACATGGAATGGAATAGTATGCAAGAAAAAAGTTAACTAAGGAAGATGTGAAGGCCCAAAGAAAAGTTGGAGAGAGATGACAGAGATTTCTTGATGTCAAGGCCTTAGTAACACCTTCATTAAAAGAGAGCAAAGGCTATTCTCAAAGTAATCCTGACTTGCTCCAGTATTCCTGACTCTATAGTATTCATGACTCTAGTAGATTTGTTCACCAGAAAATTTACCAAAAAAACTAGGCTATCTTTCCTTTGTTTTAGACCCAAGTAAATAACAATGCAAAATATATTTAGGACAATTTATGAAATTTACCAAAGGTTAACAATGATTCTATTACTATTTCTGCTTTCAAGGTAATTGAGAAAATTCAGAATCATTTACTTATTGGAAACATGGAAAAAGATAGAGCTATTTTTAACTTTAATATAGGTACAAAACTATTTAATAAAGACACAAGACTATTTGCAGAGATAGGCTACAATAACGAGACAGTTATTTTTATGGCCAACAGAAATAGGGTGAATTACTTACTGCATATTTGTTTGTCTTCCCCACAAAATTACAAATCAGTTTACAGGAGGATCCCCAAAATAACTTTGCTCCTTAATTATATTAACTCCCCACTAAAATCTATCATGATATGTGGCTCTTGTATTGTATACTTTCTTCCTGATTTAAATCAAAGTTTGAACAATTGTAATGAATATTATAATAATAGCTTATATGAGGAGCAAGGCAATATAAACCAGAGGGGAATTATCTGATGATTTACTACAAAGCTTCTAGAATTGTCCCAATCATTTTCAAAAGCTAAATGTAAAATTTAATATTTTTATATCCTAAAAAACAGAGCATATTAATAATTTAGGTAATTCTTTTGTGACAAAAAAATGTTGCCTGAAGGCCAAGGGCAATAAACAGAACCTCAGGAAAATTCTAAAATGGAACACATCAGATTGCATAATTAAATTTAGATAAGGAACTATAAACCATAACTTTGTAAAGCCCAAAGCCTAAATTTAGGCATTCAAGCACTTAAGAAGGAAGTGATCTCCTTCTTTTATTACAAACATTTATTTACATCCAAAAGAATTCTATAATATACATGCCCTCTTCCTGCCTCCAAACTGTAATTGAAAAATAAAGGAAAACTGCTGGCAGTGCAGCTGTAGTTAGGGCTGCATATATTAGCCGGGTGGACATAAGAGCCAAGGCTTTCAACAGCCAGCTGCAATTGCTTTTTCCTCCGGTATTTATGTTAAAGCATGTGATTTTCTACTTTATATACATGCAAATTTTATTAGCACCAGAATGATTTCTTTCATTCAGAGGAAGTCGTAACTTATGACTACGCCTGCGTACTCCACATTTTGTTTTGCTTTTCTAAACTGAAAGTTATTACCAGAACATATTTTTGAAACCTAACAGGGTGCAGCTTGCACCGTCAAAGTAGAATTACATATGGTACCACCTGGAGGTATGATAGAGGGTAAATTAAAAGGCAGGGGACAAAGTGTATACCCAAAGTACAATTACTCGTTTATTGCTAAATGAAATAAATGAAACATTGGGTGTGGGTAAAGAAAACAATTATTCTCCTTTGAAGCTTTTCTTGTATTATGTTTTTGAAGCTGTGGTTCATTTCTCAATTTGTAAATCAAATATGAGACTTCTAAATGTATATAATAAAAGTTTGTAGAAATAATTGATGAAGCAAATAAAAAAAGGCAAAACTTTTTGTTGATTTTTTTTTTGTTTGAAAAACTGAATGCTTTCCTGGATTTCTCTCTTCTGTTTATGCACCAGAAATTAGTCTCCAGAGAGGTCTAAGGAGGCTGAGCCAGTGAAAGACATTATAGATAATGAATAAACAAGAGAAGTATCTTCTTCAGTAACCTGCAATTGTATATCAATATTATACCAACCTGAATTGGCTGTGTCACCATAATTGAAATAAAGCAGTTGTCTATTTTGCCAGTGTGATGCTGTAGTGGGAGAACAGAGGAAAAGCTATAGCACTGAGGTTAAATCATTCACTGATATCACAAAAGGAGCCTCTCTGTTTCTTGTCCAAAAATGAGTGGGTTGAAATAGGGATGGTCAATAGTCATTGTAAGCCTTCCAAATCTCTAAGGATCTAAAAACAAACATAAGACCTCAAAAGTTGTAATCCTTTTGAATATAGAAATCTGTAGAGTTTAAATAACCAACTATATATCCTATAATTTTGTAATTTTTATGTAAATATGGTCTTTTCAACTTTTTGTGGAACTTTCAAAAGTTCTCTTTCTCTTTACCTCCACTGTCTCTCTGTCTCTCCTCTCTTGTCTTTCTTTTTCTCTTCTGTTTTAAAAAACTAAAACTAAAACTACACAAATACACTTTTTGACATACTTTCAGTTTCTCTCAGGTCATGCAACCATAATCTCCCGTTTATTTTCACTCCACTAACTTCTTAGATTCGTTTATTGGTAGCATCCATAGGACAATATTATAAAATATCTTTATCATATTATCATTCCCACAACAAAAGTCTTAGGTCCCTGGTTCTAGCTCCTGATTGGGCCCCACCTTCCTCTTTACACAGACACACAATTTTCCCCCACTGATTGAATCTGTATATTTTAGATTTAGGAATTCTACTTTATTTCTTCCCTTTTCATCTCTTCCCTAAAACATTTTTCCAAGTCAGACAATTTTTTAAACTCTGGTATGTTAGGTATTTTGTAACAAAATAATCAAAGGTAAACCACTCTATCTGCTATTTTCTTCTCAGTATTGGATTTATCAAGACTTATTACTCAAAAGAATGCATTCTTGTCCTCAAATTATAGCTCCATGATAGGCAAGTAGGAACTTAGTTTATTATTATTATTATTATTATTATACTTTTCATTCTGGGATACATGTGCAGAACGTGCAGGTTTGTTACATAGGTATACACATGCCATGGTGGTTTGCTGCACCATCAACCCATCATCTACATTAGGTATTTCTCCTAATGCTATCCCTCCCCCAGCCTCCTACCCATCGACAGGCCCTGGCGTGTGATGTTCCCCTCCATGTCCAAGTGTTCTTATTGTTCAGCTCCCACTTATGAGTGAGAACATGCAGTGTTTGGTTTTCTGTTCCTGTGTTAGTTTGCTGAGAATGATGGTTTCCAGCTTCATCCATGTCCCTGCAAAGGACATGAACGCATCCTTTTTTATGGCTGCATAGTATTCCATGGTGTATATGTGCCACATTTTCTTTATCCAGTCTATCATTGATGGGCATTTGGGTTGGTTCCAAGTCTTTGCTATTGTGAACAGTGCTGCAATAAACATACATGTGCATGTGTCTTTATAGTAGAATGATTTATAATCCTTTGGGTATATACCCAGTAATGTGATTGCTGGGTCAAATGGTATTTCTGGTTCTAGATCCTAGAGGAATCTCCAGACTGTCTTCCACAATGGTTGAACTAATTTACACTCTCACCAACTGTGTACAAGCATTCCTGTTTCTCCACATCCTCTCCAGCATCTGTTGTTTCCTGACTTTAATGATCACCATTCTAACTGGTGTGAGATGATATCTCATTGTGGTTTTGATTTGCATTTCTCTAGTGACCAGTGTTGTTGAGCTTTTTTTCATATGTTTGTGAGCCACATAAATGTCTTCTTTTGAGAAGTGTCTGTTCATATCCTTTGCCCACTTTTTGATGGGGTTGTTTTTTTCTTGTATATTTGTTAAAGTTCCTTGTAGATTCTAGATATTAGCCCTTTGTTAGATGGATAGATTGCAAAAATTTTCTCCCATTCTGTAGGTTGCCTGTTTAGTCTGACGGTAGTTTTTTTTTTGCTGTGCAGAAGCTGTTTAGTTTAATTAGATCCCATTTGTCCATTTTGGCTTTTGTTTCCATTGCTTTTGGTGTTTTAGTCATGAAGTGTTTGCCCATGCCTATGTCCTGAATGGTAATGCCTAGGTTTTCTTCTAGGGGTTTTTTGGCTTTAGGTCTTACATTTAAGTCTTTAATCCATCTTGAGTTAATTTTTGTATAAGGTGTAAGGAAGGGATCCAGTTTCACTTTTCTGCATATGGCTAGCCAGTTTTCCCAACACCATTTATTAAATAGGGAATCCTTTCCTCGTTGCTTGTTTTTGTCAGATTTTTCAAAGATCAGATGGTTGTAGATATGTGACGTTATTTCTGAGGCTTATTTCCTGTTCCATTGGTCTATATATCTGTTTTGGTACCAGTACCATGCTATTTTGGTTACTGTAGCCTTGTAGTATAGTTTGAAGTCAGTTAGTGTGATGCCTCCAGCTTTGTTCTTTTCGCTTAGGATTGTCTTGGCTATATGTGCTCTTTTTTGGTTCCATATGAAATTTAAAATAGTTTTTTCTAATTCTGTGAAGAAAGTGAAGGGTGTCTTGATGGGAATAGCATTGCATGTATAAATTACTTTGGGCAGTATGGCCATTTTCACCATATTGATTCTTCCTATCCATGAGCATAGAAGGCTTTTCCATTTGTTTGTGTCCTCTCTTATTTCCTTAAGCAGTGGTTTGTAGTTCTCCTTGAAGACGTTCTTCACATCCCTTTTAAGTTGTATTCCTAGGTACTTTATTTTCTTTGTAACAATTGTGAATGGGAGTTCACTCATGATTTGGCTCTCTGTTTGTCTGTTATTTGTTTATAGGAATGCCTGTGATTTTTGCACATAGATTTTGTATCCTGAGACTTTGCTGAAGTTGCTTATCAGCTTAAGGAGATTTTAGGCCGAGACAATGGGGTTTTCTAAATACACAATGATTTCATCTGCAAACAGAGACAATTTGACTTCCTCTCTTCCTATTTGAATACCCTTTATTCCTTTCTCTTGCCTGATTTCCCTGGCAAGAACTTCTAACACTGTGTTGAATAGGAGTGGTGAGAGAGGGCATCCCTGTCTTGTGCCGGTTTTCAAAGGGAATACTTCCAGCTTTTTCCCACTCTGTATGATATTGGCTGTGGGTTTGTCATAAATAGCTCTTATTATTTTGAGATACGTTCCATCAGTATCTAGTTTATTGAGAGTTTTTTGCATGAAGGGGTGTTGAATTTTATTCAAGGCCTTTTCTGCATCTATTGAGATAATCATGTGGTTTTTGTCATTGGTTCTGTTTATGTGATGGATTACATTTATTGATTTGTGTATGTTGAACCAGCCTTGCATCCCAGGGATGAAGCCGAATTGATCATGGTGGATAAGCTTTTTGATGTGCTGCTGTATTCGTTTTGCCTGTATTTTATTGAGGATTTTCACATCGATGTTCATCAGGGATATTGGCCTAAAATTTTCTTCTTTTCTTGTGTCTCTGCCAGGTTTTGGTAAAAGGATGATGCTGGCCTCAAGAAATGAGTTAGGGAGGAGTGCCTCTTTTTCTATTGTTTGTAAGAGTTTCAGAAGGAATGGTACCAGCTCCTCTTTGTACCTCTGGTAGAAATTGGCTGTGAATCCATCTGGTCCTGGGCTTTTTTTGGTTGGTAGGCTATTAATTACTGCCTCAATTTCAGAAATTGTTATTGGTCTATTCAGGGATTTGACTTCTTCCTGGTTTAGTCTTGCAGGGGTGTATGTGTCCAGGAATTTATCCATTTTTTCCAGATTTTCTAGTTTATTTGCATAGAGATGTTTATACTATTCTCTGATGGTAGTTTGTATTTCTATGGGGTTGGTGGTGATATCCCCTTTATCATATTTTATTGTGTTTATTTGATTCTTCTCTCTCTTCTTTATTAATCTGACTAGCAGTCTATCTATTTTGTTAAACTTTTCAAAAAACCAGCTCCTGGATTCATTGATTTTTTTGAAGGGTTTCTCGTGTCTCTATCTCCTTCAATTCTGCTCTGATCTTAGTTATTTTTTGTCTTCTGCTAGCTTTTAAATACGTTTGCTCTTGCTTCTCTAGTTCTTTTAATTGTGATGTTAGGGTGTCGATTTTAGATCTTTCCCACTTTCTCCTCTGGGCATTTAGTGCTATAAATTTCTCTCTAAACACTGGTATAGCTGTGTCCCAGAGATTCTGGTACATTGTGTCTTTGTTCTCATGGGTTTCAAAGAACTTTTTTTTTTTTTTTTTTTTTTTTTGAGACGGAGTCTCACTCTGTCACCCAGGCTGGAGTTCAGTGGCACGATCTCAGCTCACTGCAAGCTCTGCCTCCCGGGTTCATGCCATTCTCCTGTCTCAGCCTCCCAAGTAGCTGGGACTACAGGCGCCCACCACATGCCCAGCTAATTTTTTGTATTTTTAGTAGTGACAGGGTTTCACTGTGTTTGCCAGGATGGTCTCCATCTCCTGACCTCGTGATCCACCCACCTCGGCTTCCCCAAGTGCTGGGATTACAGCCGTGAGCCACCACGCCTGGCCAAAGAACTTCTTTATTTCTGCCTTATTTTCGTTATTTATGCAGTAGTCATTCAGGAGCAGGTTGTTCAGTTTTCATGTAGTTGTGTGGTTTTGAATGAGTTTCTTAATCCTGAGTTCTAATTTGATTGCACTGTAGTATGAGAGACAATTTGTCATGACTTCCATTCTTTTGCATTTGCTGAGGAGTGTTTTACTTCCAATTATGTGGTTGATTTTAGAATAAGTGTGATGTGGTGCTGAGAGGAATGTATATTTTGTTGATTTGGGGTGGAGAGTTCTGTAGATGTCTATTAGGTCTGCTAGGTCCTGAGCTGAGTTCAAGTCCTGAATATCCTTGTTAATTTTCTGTCTCGATCTCTCTAATAGCGACAGTGGGGTGTTAAAGTCTCCCACTATTATTGTGTGGGAGTCTAGGTCTCTTGTAGGTCTCTGAGAACTTGCTTTATGAATCTGGGTGCTCCTATATTGGGTGTATATATAGTTAGGATAGTTAGCTCTACTTGATGCATTGATCCCTTTACCATGAGGTAATGCCCTTCTTTGTCTTTTTTGATCTTTGTTAGTTTAAAATCTGTTTTATCAGAGACTAGGATTGCAACCCTCCCCACCCCCGGCTTTTTTTTTTTTTTTTTTTTTTTTTTTTTTTGCTTTCCATTTGCTTGGTAAATATTCCTCCATCCCTTTATTTTGAGCCTATGCGTGTTTTTGCACGTGAAATGGGTCTCCTGAATACAGCACCCCGATGGGTCTTGACTCTTTGTCCAAATTGCCCGTCTGTGTCTTTTAATTGAGGCAATTAGCCCATTTACATGTAAGTTTAATATTGTTAAATTAATTATGCTAAATATGTTAAAAAATTATGTGAGAGATTTGACAAAGTCTCTCAGCATTTGCTTGTCTGTAAAGGATTTTATTTCTCCTTCTCTTATGAAGCTCAGTTTGGGTGGATATGAAATTCTGGATTGAAAATTCTTTTCTTTCAGAATGTTGAATATTGGCCCTCACTCTCTCTGGCTTATAGAGTTTCTGCTGAGAGATCCATTGTTAGTCTGATGGGCTTCCCTTTGTGGGTAACCTGACCTTTCTCTCTGGCTGCCCTTAAAATTTTTTTTTCCTTCATTTCAACCTTGGTGAATCTTAAATGCGTGATTTTCTTGATGCTCTACAAACCAAACTCTTTAGGCAAGCAATTTTTTTTTGAAAGCCACTTGTACAACTGTTTTTCTTGCTTGCACTTCTGCTTTTTATTTTTCATAGGCCATGTTCAAATTCTCAATATCTTAAAAATACTTTTAATAAAGTCTGCTTAAATGTTTCAAAAGTTTTATTTTATTTTATTTTAACAATGTTATTCAAATATAATGGTGTTCTTTCCTTATATATGGCCATTTACAAACTCAATATTTGCTTGATTATGTCTAATAGTGATTTATCTAATTAAATAAATTTTCTTCTAGGTGTAATATACCCTCCTGAAGTAAACCTTTATTGGACAGGTAGTTAAAAAAACAGCAATTCCAAGCATAAATTACTAGTCTACATCACACTTTCTTGTATGTAGCAACGATTTGTAGAAACAAACAATTATAATTAATTATAATTTACCACATTGTGTTTTCATATTGCTATTATACACAATCTTGAGTAATACTTGAATGCAATTTTTAGTCTTCTTTCAAGATTTTATTTCTCAAAAGACCAATTAACTGTCAGCATTCTGTGACCTTGAGAGCTAAGAGTTTGTCTCTTCTCAAAATATGAAATATATTTTCTACATGTTACCAATGCTGTGCAGTAATCTTGGTTGTGCCTCTTCTTTCATTACATGAAAATTTACAATCACATTAGGAAGGGTAAATTGAAGTCACATCATAATCATCATCACGTGAAGAATACAATAAAATTAGTCTCACAAGTGATGAAAAACTTAACTTTAAAAAATTTAATATATGCTGATCAAGGCAGTTTTTCTAATTCTGATAACCAAAGACATAGAAAGAAACTCCTCCTCCCATAAAGGAAGATTGTGCCTATTTTATAAAACATGAAGTTGAACTCAGGGCAACTATAGTATCCAAAGATCGTTGATAACTTTTAAAAGGCACTGAAAATAAATCGACTTTAAGTTATGACAAAAATTATATAGTTTTACTATATAATTAAAAGGAGGATGGGGAAGTGTCTAAAGGAAACATTATTGTACAAAGAAATTTAAAACTGTGAGGTTCAATTTTATTTCATAAACTATTCCATAAAATTTTGCTTATAACATAAAATGTGTAGTATTTCTTAGAATGAAAACTGTACTGTAAGATATTGATTTTCCCTTCCTGAAAAAGGATATGCGTGGGGAGTTTAGTTTTTCTTAATTCCTTGCTATTCATGCTACAAGATTCATACAGTGCATTTATTTTTTTTTTAAATCCTGCTTTATTAAGTTGTTACTGAAACACTAGGGATTTTGCTCACCACACAGAAAGCCAATCACTGAGACAATGAGTATTTCCAGGAAAGAAGGCTTTATGTGAGTGCTACAGTCAAGGAGAATGGAAGATTAATCTCAAATCCATTTCTTCAAGTGACTAAAATTAAGGGTTTATAGAGCAGGGAAGAAATGTAACTACATGTAGAAAAACAGAAATTAAGGAAGTGTACGAAAGAGGAGTTGGTCAATGGGTAGCAGGTGGTCTGTTAGGCAATCGTGATGGATGGAGATCTTACGTCTCATTGGCCAGATGCACTGATCTGGTAAGTTTCAGTTCCTTGATACTGTCAGGAAACCTGATGGTCGATTTGCTGAGAAAGGAACTAAGATAAGACAAATGTAATTTTTTCAAGCTCTAAGACAAGGAAGGTAAATTTCTATGTTCATTCAAGGAAAACCATAAACATCAGTTCTATGGGGAAATCAGGCTGATTTCAAGGTGAACTATCAAATAAAAATAGTATATAATTAAAGTGTAAAACATGGTGAATGCACAGCCATTGAAGGAAATAGCAATAACATGTGATGGTTAATTTTAGGTGTCAACAGTGCCCAGATGTGTGGTCAAAGATTATCATGGATGTTTCTGTGTTTTTAGATGAGATTAACATTTACTCAGTGAACTTTGAGTAAAGCATTGGGTCCTTCATTATGTGGATGAGTCTCATCCAATCAGTTGAAGGTGACTGAATAGAACAATAGATAGATCTCACATGAGTGAGAGGAATTCTACAGCAGGTAGTCTTTGCCTTTGAACTGCAGCATGAACTCTCCTCTGGGTCTCCCACCTGCCAGCCCACCCTGCAGAGTTTGCATTTGCTAGCCTCCACAATCGGGTGAGCCAATTCTTTAAAACAAATCTCTTTCTACAGACACAAACACTCTATTGTTTCTGTTTATTTGCAGAACTCTGATTACTGCACAGTACAGATAAATAATTGAATAACTTAGGTAAAATATTAAGGGTACTATCATAGGAGTTTATTCAATGAACTGCTGAATGTACTACATAGAAAGAGAAAGAAAAGTCTTGTGTTCCACTCGAGAAAGAAAAAATGACTAAATTTAATAATTCAGAATAAAACTTATGAGCAACAGATAGAATAGAAGAAAATGGTATCCAAAAAAAAACCTACTGCTAAGACTACATTTAATGGTGAAATATTGAACTCATTCTCATTAACACTGAGAATATTTTCTCTGACAACTCATTTTCCATATTGCTCTAGAGGTTCAATCCAATGCAATGAGGCAGAAAAATGTATATAAGCCATAAATACAGGAAAGTGGCAAAATTATATCTCTCTCAGAGAACATGATAATCTACATATAAAAAAGAAATTACCAAGAAACTACCTACATAATGAGTAATATTTAAACATCACAGAATAAAATATCAAAATATAAAAATCGATAGTATTATTATAAGCTATTAATAAACTACTGGTTTTTAAAAATTCATGTATTATAGCATCAAACAACATTCCTAGAAATAAATTTAATTAATTATGTGTGAGACCTTTACACTGAAAATTACAAAACTTCTCTGAGCCAATTTTAGATAATCAAAATAAATGGAGAGATGTATCATGTTCGCAGAGAAGTAACAAGTCTGAAGAATCAATAGTTCTTCTTAGATTTATTGATATATTTAAAACAATTCCCATGAAAATACCAGCATACTTTGACAAGTCAATTGTAAAATTTATATGAAAGGTAAACATTCTAGAATAAGACCAAAAATTATGAAAATAAATCAACACATTTGCAGCATTTTAATTATTAGACATATGCATTTGCTTTAAAGAAACAGTAACCAGGACATGAGATATTGACTTAAGAGTAGACACATTTGCCTGTAATCCCAGCACTTTGGGAGGATGAGGCAGGTGGATCACTTGAGGCCAGGAGTTCGAGACTAGCCTGGCCAACATGGTGAAACCCTCTCTCTACTAAAAATACAAAAATTAGCCAGGCATGATGGTGCGCCTCTGCAGTCCCAGCTACTCGAGAGGCTGAGTCATGAGAATCGCTTGAACTTGGGAGGCAGAGGTTGCAATGAGCCAAGATAGTGCCACTGCACTCCAGACTGGGCGACAGAGCAAGACTCTGTCTCAAAAGAAAAAGAAAAAAAAAAAAGAGTAGACCTGTTGATAACTGGAACAGATTAAAGAGTTCAGAAATGGATGCACCCTTATAAGATAAGTTGATTTTTATAAATGCATCAAATTAACTGGGGGAAAATTTATTGCAACCATAATGCTGGAGTAAATGAATATCCACATGGAATAAAACTAAACTTGACCTTGTACACTTTATATACCTATGCACACCATATACATATACAAAAGCACAATCAAAGACACATCATTGACTTAAACGTAAATGCTAGACTATGAAGGTCCTAGAAGAAAGCTAACGAGAGTATCTTTACTATCAAAGAAACAAGACAAATAATAAATAACAACAAAATAAAAAAGATAAATTTTATTTCATGAAAATTAAAATGATATAATCATCATAAGATATATTTTTCACTTTAGAAAACTCACATGATCAAAAGAAATAGTTGCTCATGGTATTTTTGGCAGCTGTATAGCAGTCTGCATGTGTTCTCCAACCAGGAATTTTATTTTGGGAAAAGTACCATGGGTCTGTTAGGGTTGAGATTCTCTTCTATGGGTGTTATGGAGACATTGTTAGAACTAACGCTTAATCCATTCTGTGGCTGTGAAATACATAGTTTTTGCAGTAAAATGTTAATTCTAATATTTTCTATTGTTAGTGACAGGCTCATCTCTCACAAGTCTAGCAGCTACCCCGTGTCAGAAATTTCATGAATGGAAACACTTTGTCCGACCACTTTGTGAAAACAACCGTAACTCCTCTGGAGTTCTACTTCTGCCTTTGATTAAAAGATATCCAGCAACCATTGCTGAATTTCATCTATTTGAGAACCACTTGAGATTCTTGAAACCTCAAAGACCTAACACAGTTCTGGCATAGTGTGCATTCAATATGAGTAAATTGACTAAACTGACTGAATATAGTCTAAAAGAACGAAAATTTCCCACCCTGAAGATAGATGCCAAAAGTAAGCTTTGTCATGCCTTCCCAAATATACCACTTTGTGACTTACCAAAGAATGCTTGAGCTCCCTAATTCCCCAATTATTTTTTTCATTCATGCACAAGGTTCCAACAGCTCCTTCCAGATGGCGTCTGAGTTAGCTAAATGACAAAATAAATGTGAAGAACGCCTTAACCTCAATCCTCCTTATACCTTAATATAAGGCTATCAAAAATTATGTCATTTTATTTCTGATTAGTGGACAAAGAAGGAAATGGTAGCACCAAGCACACTTACACTAACCTCCTGGGCTTCGTCTCAATGCAGTATACGCTCAGTCTGAATAAGGATCTTTCTTACTAAAGGGTATAACAACGGATGGAGATGATGTTCATTTTTCTAGAATTATACTCAAAAGTTTCTGGGCTCCCAAAATCAGTTGGTTATTCAAAAGTTATCTAAGTGCTCAGGCCACAGAATTTAAACAACAAAAGTAGATTATGTCAATTATGTGTCCATCTATTGATAAGGATTCGGCCATTTTTAGTGGTTTTTAGAAATCGTCACCTCCTTCTTACCAACAAATATCCCCTAGAAGTAGAAGGCTTAGGTTGTTGCCTTCTTGCTGAAATCAAGGACTTCCTATTAGAAGTGGGAGCCCATTTCTTATTAGCCCAACTGCTTTATCTTCTTGCAGAAACAAAATTTTTTGCTACAGGATTTTAAACTCTATTGCATTATTAATAACTACTATAAGATTGTTACTTTCACAAATCAAACATTATACATCGCTTTGCATTCCTAAACTTCCTGGAAAGATAATCACACATTGAAACTTAAGTGATCTCCTGTACATAGCATACTATCTAGGGTTTTTAATGACAAGTCCCCATCAGCACCCATTCCAACGTAATAAGTTGCTTTTCCTTTATAAAGAGGTTTAGCACAACTTCATTTCTCCCAAGGAAGTTGGGGTAGGTGAGAAACGTACGTGTCTCCAATATTTTTTCTGGCCTAATTAAATATGAAAGCCTCAAATATTTTAAGACTGACACCATTCACATGCTGTCTTTCATTTTTCGTGTCTAACTCTGTATGAAAAATTACTATGATAATAACAGACCACATATGTTAAGATACTCGGTAAGCACTATGCTGAGCAAGTTACATATAATTATTTCAATTATTTCAACAATCTACCAAATTGTTACAATTACTATGCATTTCACAATAGGAAATTGAGGCTTAGATAGGTCAAGTACTTTACTGAAGGTCACATAGTAAGGGGCAAAGAACAAATTCAAATGTCTCTCTGTCTAATAACAGAGTCCACTTTTTTAAACCTAACATTCTATTGCCTAAATGTTTTGGAATTCACTATTGAAAATTTAAATTTGGGTATTGACTGCTGCATTCAGGCTCTTTCTACATCTTATTTTCTAGAACAGTGTATCTTACCTAAAAAGAAAGTTACCTGTCATTTGAAATAATTACTCATAACTTTGTAAAAGGAAGATATAAATTTCTGAAAATCTTTATTGAGTTTGAACATATGTATCAAGGATAATACATTTATTCCAAGTGTATGCTTTGATTACTTTTATAATCAGTAGTAGCACTACGTATGTATTAAATTATTTATATGTGATTTACATTAATGAATAATATACAGCTCTAATTAACAATTCTAACTAGCTTCATAGTAAGAGTCTTGCTTAACATTTGTACTGTTTCCTTGTGCTATTTTTAGATTATCTTAATTTAGTGGTTTAAGTATCTTACTGGAATTTAGGAAACTAGGTAGCCCTCTTCAGGTCTAGTCTCAAATTCCCTCTAAAACTTGTAGTTCAATTGAAATGTCCTGAATATTGAGAAATGTAACTGGCAAAATAAGTGGGCTTTGTGTGTATGTGTTTAATTAACATGAATTATAAATAACATCATTTTAATCAGTAACTTAAGAACCTATGCGAGTAATTATTTCACTTCTTAGATAAAAATAAATTTGCCTATGTAGTTGTTCAGTGAAACGCTGACATTAGACAATCATTCTATTTTAGGATTTGTAAATGAAGGCTGAAGTTCTAAGGAATCTCCTAAAGGAGAAAGTTAATCCCTGAATCCCCTGTAAATATTTTACTCACTACTTAAATTCCTGCCTTGTGGGCACCTTAAAATTATCTATTAAATAATTCTGTATTATCTGTTCAAAAAGTAATTGCAGTAATTTCATTTCTTTGAAGAAAAATAATTATTTGACTTTTCTAATTAAAGGATTTACTTCCCATGTTAATTAGATTCATATAATTTTACTCACGGAATTTATTTTACTTTAAATCATTTGCAAGAGCATTGGTTTAGTCATCTTAGTAACCTACAAGGTGCCAGAATTTAATTATTCTGAGGAAACCAAATCAAATGTTATCTAGATTGCTATACAATACTATGCAAGGAGGGACATTTTCACTCCTATTTCCTTTTGGATTTGGTTTCATCCTCGCAATTGTTAAAATTAGTTACAATTACTTTTTATCCCTTCTCTTCTAAAATAGTTTTAGGGAGTTAATTATTACACATATTTCCCCCAAACTCACTGATTGTCACTGTTGATAGCTAACCTAAAACTAGATTTCTTTGCTGAGGAACTCAAGGGGGTCTTCTCCTCCCTGACAACAGGAATGAAGGGTAAGTAGACATTTTCCTTGCAAAGAGCAAAGTTCAAAACCTCTGCAAAGAGCTAATGTTCAAAAGTAAAATTTGATAAATATATAATTCCCACATCTAGAGAGCTTATTAATAGGAATTTAGAAACTGAAGCCCTGATATTTCTTGCAAGTACAGGTCCTAACTTCATCAGCCTAAATATTTCCTAACTGCAGATATGTTTTTCATGTAACTCTAATGTTGATGAAAAAATACCTAGAACCTGTGTAATGGCTTTCCATAAAGGACTATGATTATGTCATTTCATTGACAATAACAGAGCTTTATCAGAACATTAAAATTTGTCTATCTCCTATGCCCCTAAGAAAAGCTATGTATTTTCACACTGTATTAGTCCATTCTCATGCTACTAATAAAAACATACCCAAGACAGGGTAGTTTATAAAGGAAAGAGGTTTAATTGACTAATAGTCCCACATGGCTGGGGAAGCCTCATGAAACTTACAATCATGGTGGAAGGGGAAGCAAACAGGTCCTTCTTCACATGGTGGCAGGAGTGAAGGAAGGAAAAAAACCCTTATAAAACCATCAGATCTCGTGTGAACTCACTCACTATCACAAGAATAGCATGAGGGTAACTGCCCCCATGATTCAGTTACTTCCCACTGGGTCCCACCCATGACACATGGGGATTATGGGACCCACAATTCAAGATGAGATTTGGGTGGGGACACAGCCAAGCTATATCACATACTGTGATAGTTAAATTTGTGTGTCAACTTGACTTGGCTAAGGAACACCAGATAGCTAATACAATATTATTTTGGGATGTGTCTGTGAGGATGTTTCTGGAATAGATTAGCTTTTGAATCAGTAGATTGAGTAAAGAAGATCTGCCCTTACCAATGAGAACAGGCATTATCCAATCTGTGAGGCCCAAGATAGCACAAAAAGGCAGAGGAAGGGCAAATTCATTTTCTCCATCTTCTGCTCTTGGACGTTGGAGCTTGTGATCCTCCAGCCTTTAGACTCTGGCACTTATACCAGCAGCCCCTCCCCTCTCAGACTCTTGGCTTTGTACTGGGACTAAGAGTTACACCGTTGGCTCCTCCTGTTCTGAGCCTTTGTACTCAGAATGAATTATACCACTGGCTTTCCTGGTTCTCCAGTTTGCTCACTGGCATATCACGGGACTTCTCAGCCTTTGTATTTGCTTGAACCAATTTCATAATGAATCTCCTTTTATATATCTCTATATATATCCTATTGGTTCTGCTTCTCTGCAGAACCCTAACTAATACACATATTAAAATGGCTTCGGGGCAAAAGAAAATACTTCTTTCTATTTGAAGAACTTAGTTGGAATCCTTATGGAAGGAAACATCGCATCAGTGTACAAAAGAATATCACATTAGCAAGGAAGAAATGATGCATTCAACATCTAGGCAATTTTTCTACAAAAGCATTTTCAAAATGTCTACATTTCAAATTAGAGGTTATATTACAAGCATGAGTATCCTCTGTGGAGCTTTATAAATTGAGTTTCTTATATGATATTGTCTCCATTGTTGTAAAATTAAAGTTTAAATTTTCTAGTATTTAATTTCCAATACTCACATATTGTCCTTTGACAACTAGATCTCAATAAATCAAAGTAAAAATAACTATGAATTTGCTTGTTACCCTTAGCCCCTGGCAAATATCATATGCTTTGCTCCCATGAGTTTAACTCTTACAGATACTTCATACAGGTGGAATATTGCAGAATTTGTCCTTCTGTGATTGGCTAATTTCATTTAGCATTATGTCCTTCAAGTTAATCCATGTTGTCTCAAATGGCAGGATTTCCTTCTCTTTTGAGTCTTACTCATATTATACACATATATACCAGATTTTCTTTATTCATTCACTGTGATGGACCCTTGGATTGTTTCCATATCTTAGCCATTGTGAATAATGTTGCAATGAATATAGGAGTGCAGATATCTCTTAGAGATCTGAATTCCAATTCTTTTGGGTATTTACCTAAAAGTGGGATTGCTGAATCATACAGTAGTTCTATTTTTAATTTTTTGAGGGAGCTGCATAAACTGCAAAATAAGCTCGTCTCTAAATCTCCAGTCTTGATGGCCTTTAGATGTGAACTGCATCATTGACTCTCCAGGCTGCCAGT
Source organism: Homo sapiens (assembly GCF_000001405.40). NCBI lineage: Eukaryota > Metazoa > Chordata > Mammalia > Primates > Hominidae > Homo > Homo sapiens. Next base: position 18,453,501 of record NC_000021.9, on the reverse strand, counting down.
GTACCCTGCAGATTTTGTATTTGCCAGCTTCCATAATCAGGCAAGCCTTAAAATAAATATGTTTCTGTATATATGTGCGTATATGCACATGTGCATGCATGTGCACACATACACACATTCTATTGGTTCTGTTTCTCTGGAGAACACTGACTAATACATTAGAAAAGCAGAGATATGGGGTGGAGAGCATGACACGTGTTTATGAGTATCTGGAGGGCCTTCATGGAAATATAATCAGATTTATTTTGTGAGATTTTTGAGAGATCCAGATGCCTGGATTTAAATTAGAGGCTGGTAGTTTTCAACTTAGAGGGAAGACAACAAAACTGACACATCAATACAAAAAAATCTTTTAAAGGGATTGACATGTGACATTGCAAAATTAAAAATGTGGGGTTGTTTATAAACTGTGGCAGTTGTTCAAAAGATATAAAGTTTCAGTTGTGCTAGATGAGTAAGCTCTAGAAATATGCTGTATAACAGTCCTTATAGTTAAAATGCAGTATTGTGCACTTCAAACTTTGTTAAGATGGTAGATCTTATGTTGCACGTTCATACTACAAAAACAATAAAAGGGACACAAGGAAATTTTGAGAGATGTTGGATATGCCTATTACCTTGGTTTTGATAATGTTACCACAGATATTTACCTTCGTCCAAACTCATCAAATTGCACACATTAAATATGTGCAGTTTTTCTATATTAATTGTAACTCAATAAAGCTGTTAAATAAATGATTTCTATTGGCTCATATTGAAATTGTCATCGATTAGTTCATCTTTATCCATATTCCTATTCAGTTTGTAACATTCCAGTTCAAAATATTGTATTGAATCTCTTTGTTTTTCTTGAGACAGGCTGGAGTGTACTGATGCTGTCACAGCTCACTTCAGCCTCAACATCCCATCCAGGGCTCCGGTGATTCTCCCACCTCAGCCTCTCAAGTAGCTGGGACCACAGGTGCCCACCACCATGCCCGGATATTATTTTTTTATTTTTTGTAGAGACATGGTTTCGCCATGTTGCGTAGGCTGGTCTAGAGCTGTTGGGCTGAATATGTCAGCCCACCTCGGCCTCCCAAAGTGCTGGGATTACAGGCGTGAGCTGCCATACCCAGCCTAATTTTAATATTACATTATGTTTGCTTTGTGTGTTTGCTTATGTGTGTGTATACATTGAGTTATAAGTAAAAAATAACTTGAGAAAGTTGTTTTTATTCCTTAAACCTTTGTGGTGCTAATTTTAACAAACCATGCTTATGAAATTATAGACTCAAGGAATCCCTAAGTTTTGAGTATGCCTTAAATATGTTACTAACATATCCAACCTCTATGTACTCGCAGGTGCCATCACATAAACATAAGCTCACCTGCCACTAGCTAATATCTCCCCAAGAACACAATGTGGAAAGTAGTTTCTCAGTCCTGCATTGATTTCCAAAAAATTCGGATGTAGCTATTGATCTCGAGTAAAATCATAATGAATCTTTTTTTGAATTGAACCACATCAACTGGAAGCAAGAATCACAATGAGAAAATAAAATTATGCATGCATAAGTTTGCATTTGCATACATAAAATTATGCATGCATAAAATTATGCATGCATGTCATGCATGTCTTATGCATGCCATGACTGTGAACTTTGACATTGATTGACAATCATCTTTGGCTCTAAACTCACTGAGTCAAAAATGTGTAGTATCTTCTGTTTTCATCTTGGACAGTCATACAAAAACTGAACCTTTTCCACCAGGAAAGTATAGAAAACAGAGTAGAAGAGAGAAAAAGTAAATTTAATAACAAGTGAAACATGTTAGCTGTCCAAAAAAGCATAAGCTCTTCTCAAAATATATTTTGTAATTGCAGAAAATTGTAGAGAGAAAGACAAACCAGAGCTCATGTAAGCACACAGGGCTCTTCTGCCCTTCTATAATGCTGTCCCCAAAGCAGCTTAAACACCTCAATGCTTCTTGTTGCTGAAACCAAGATTTATCCCTCCTGAGAAGTAAATTGGCTTTTATTTTCAGTGTCTCTACATTTTAAAACTGCATGTATTTGTAGTTTTGCACAAAATCGTGACTGGTTTTTATATTTGATTAACAACTCAAAAAAAAAAGGGCAGACAAATCTATGATCAATTCACTAAAATAAAAACAGACATTTAGTTCAGTAGCTTTTTGACAGTTTTTTATTTTTTGGTGAACTGTGTACAGTAAAAATAATTCCATAACAACAGATAAGCTAATAGCAACATTTGTCACATTATGTCATTTTACCCTTTTCATGTTTATGATGGGCTTTTTATTAAGAAATGAGTTTTTACATATATCTAAACTTTCAGGGAACTGAAGAACTGTATTACAATAAAATCCTTAACAAAACACCACATCTGAAATAAAAAAGGAGGATTCAGTGTATTTTAAAAAAAAAAGAGAATCTTTTGCATAAATTTGATAGAACATTGCATTGTAATGCTTGGCCAGTGATTAATTGTGGATTATCTTAAAATGGGTAGGATAAGAATAATCAGCGAATTTTTAATGAATATCATACACAACTGAAGAATGTATCATGTATGTCCAAATACTAGAAGGCCTCTCTGGCTTTCTTATTGTTGACGGTGTATATATGAATCAAATCTTTATATTCAAGGCTTGCATTTACCTCTGCTTCACCTGACAGATGTAATAACTTCCAGTATTTTATTTGAAAAGGCTGGAATTTATAGATACGCATGGCAATTGAACCCCTGAAGCTGACACAAGGGCATTCCAGAAGAATACTGACATTTAAGGCTGTCTTGGATTTTTTTCCCAAAAGAAGAAGCCTTTAAGTGGGTCATGGCCCACAGGTATTGAACTCCTTCCCTTGCTGACAGCTATTTACCAGAGCACAGTCCAGTAAAGGAAGAGGATTAAGAAGCTCCAATTGATCAGAAAATAGCATTCAAAGTTGAACCTCCTTCTACTCCCAGAACTCGGCTTTTGAAAATCTTTTAGCAAAACCATTGTCAAGGGATGGTATAATCACAGAATAGAGTAAGAAGATTTATAATTCTTAAGCAGAAACAAATGCATTGAGGTTCCACGTTTTCAGGGCTCATAGGAAATCGCCATGTGAAACTGAATCACAGGGAGGAGCCGTTGATCCTTTCAAACTACGACAAAAGGTTTTAGAAAAAAATAGATCTTTCCATTATGCAACCCCAGATGAAATATATGCTAGAAAAAAAAAACATGTAAAACAATGAAATTTGCATGCTACTTCATCTGGAATAATTCCCACAAGCAATAAAAATATGAAGTTAAGATTATTTTTACTAACCTGAAAACTAATTTGCCTTGTATATAAGATAATGCAAAAATGTACATTGAATGAGCTATATGCTGCGGCCATTTACTTCCCTGGAGTTTGCATTCAAGTAATTGCTTCCATAAGTTGAAAATAAAATACTTAAGTGAGAGCCAAGGGATGGAAACTTGAAGAGCAGATGTTTTAATGAAAAACTGGGCTTAATCTCATAAGTGCTACATATATTTTCTTTGTATCTTCTTTTTTATGTGTTTTCTAATTGAAAGGCTATTCTTCCATTTTATATAGGTGTGTGTGTGTGTGTGTGTGTGCGTGTGTGTGTGTGTGTGTTTGAGGGAAAGATTCATGAGTTTACTGAGTCACCTCAGAAAAAGAACATTTCCCATTAGGCCCTAGTGAAATGGTCTGAGAGTGATTCAAGGATGACTGTGAAGAGCTGAAAATTTTCCATTGCCAAGATACTCACAATTTTGACAGTTTGGTTTCAAAAAGGAAATGATAATAATAAGATGTGGTAGGTACTGACTGCTAATTGTACTGGGGTCTCGTCTAAACACTGTACATGATTTAGCTCATAGGCAGTCACAAATGCCTACAGAAGGAGGTTCAATTAGTATCCCATCTTACAGAGGAACATAAAAGTTCAATATTCTAACCAAAGTTACATAACCAGTAAGTAATAGCATTGGATATTAAACTCAGGAATGTTAATCCTTAAGTTACACAATTTAAAAAAGAGAATAGGAAGGCACTTTCTGTTTTCCTGCTTGTTGGGAGAACACACACTAGTGGTTCTGAAGTCAGAAGACACATGTACCACCTTGACATGTAACTTCAACTCTGGGTTCCTCTCTATCTATGAAATAAACTTAAGATCACCATCTCACAGCATACTATATGCATTAGATACGATTGAATATGTGCAAGGTGGGTTTTTGTGAATTGTCATATTCTGTATTTTATATAGAAATTCTATATTGTATATAATGCTACATTTTCAAAAGCTCCTGGAATAAGATCACAATTCATTTGAGAAATATTAAATTTCTCCCTTCCTTTTCCCAAGTGAAAGAACAAAATGAGCAACAGCTTTTCTTGGGTATGGCCTTTAGGTCAGAAAAGCAAATTGTGTCTGTATAGTTTGATTAGTAGAACATCTGTTCATTATTTACTAAGTGGATTCATGTAACTCACCAATATAAACAGCATAATTGTTCTGATTTATTTTAAGACCCAGTTTGTCTGTTTCAAAAAAAGATATACTAGACTTTATCTCAAAATATCAGGCAACTTTCAAATCATTGAAAGAAATAGTTTATCATTATTTTTACTGAAGTATTATATTTGCTTACTAAGCCTAACAGAAAAGCAATATATAATAGCTCATCAAAGCAATAGTCCTTGATGTTTCTAAATTAAAAATGTGAAACAACTACAAAAATGATAGTTTATGAGATTTGAATATTAGAGTAGGACCACAGTATGATATGATATTTAAAATTATATAAATGTATCATATAACAACACTGTTTCCATGATAGGCCATAGAGTAATAAATTCAAGTTTCATACACTCTGTGCTTAGAATATTTCTATTTTAAAAAATCCAACTAAATAAAAGGAAATGATTAAAATTTACTGATTTTTCAAAATATGGTATGCATCTTTATAGTGTGTTTCATCTATTGTCAGATTCGGTCATTATAACAGCCCCATGAGGAATATCTTATAATTATTTCCACTTTAAAGGTAGAAGAAATGTGAAGAAAGTTTCCTTAGTTAGCCCATGTTCCCAAAGCTCATGGATATTAAATATATTTAGCTATAAACTAAAGAAATCTCACTCCAGAGTCTGCATTCTTAGTGACTCTTCTTTAGTAAATTGTATTGATTTGTAACATCAATTAGACACAATGTCATAATCCATTTGTTTGATGCATAACCAGTATTCTCAACACATTCTCAGAAAACCAAATGTATGTAGATCACTGTGGTGACTTTATTAATAAAACAGTTTCAATAAACATAGAAATGTAGATACCTCTTCAACATACTGATTTAATTTCCTTTGGATATACGTTTATTGGTATTACTGGATCATATGGTATTTATATTTTTAATTTTTTGAAGAACCTTTATACTACTGTTTATAATGGCTGTACTAATTTACATTCTCACCAAGAGTGTATAAGAATTCTCATTCTCCACATCCTCACCAGCATTTCCTTTTTATCTTTTTGAAAACAGACATTCTAACAGGGGTGAAGTGATATCTCATTGTGGTTTTGATTTACATATCTCTGATGATTAGTGTACTAGTCTGTTCTCATGCTGCTACTAAAGACCTACTCTACATTAGCTAATTTATGAAAAAAAGAGGCTTAACGAACTCACACTTTAACAAGGCTAGGGAGGCCTCACGATCATTGCAGAAGACAAAGGAAGAGCAAAGCCACATCTTACATGGCAACAAGCAAGAGACAAGTGCAGAATGAAGGAGGGAAAAAGCCCCTATAAAACTATGAGATCTCATAAGAACTCACTCACTGTCAACAGAAGAGCATGGAGGTAACTGCCTTCATGACTCAATTACTTCCCACCAAGTCCCTCCCAAACATGTGGGGATTATCAGAACTACAGTTCAAGATGAAATTTGGGTGGGGACACAGCCAAACCATATCATTTAGTTATGTTGACCATTTTTAATATACTTGTTTGTCATTTGTATGTCTTTTTTTTTTTTTTTTTTTGAGTTGAAGTCTTACTCTGTCGCCCAGGCTGAAATGCAATGGCATGATCTGGGCTCACTGCTACCTCTGCCTCCCGGGTTCAAGCAATTCTCCTGTCTCAGCCTCCCAAGTAGCTGAGGTTATAGGCACCCACCACCACGCCTGGCTTTTTAATTTTTAGTAGAGATGGGGTTTCACCATATTGGCCAGGCTGGTCTCAAACTCCTGACCTCATGATCCACCTGCCTCAGCCTCCCAAAGTGCTGGGGTTACAGGCGTGAACCACTACACCTGGCCCATTTGTATGTCTTCTTTTGAGAAATGTCTATTCAGATATTCTGCCCATATTTTAATTATTAATTATTTGTTATTTTGCTATTATGTTATTTGAGTTGCTTATATATGCTGTATATTAACCCCTAGAGAGTTGTACAGATTGCAAATAGTTTATCCTGTTCTGTAAGTTGTGTCTTCACTCTTGCTTATTTCCTTTACTGTCCAGAAGCTTTGTAGTTTGAAGTAATCTCATTTGTCTATATTTGTTGCCTATGTTTTTTGGGGTTATATAAAAAACAAACAAACAAACATTGCCTAAACCAATGTCATGGAGCTTTCCCCCTGTTTTTCTCTAGCAGTTTTGGTCCTACTTTGAGGTCTTCAATTCATTTTCAGCTGATTTTGCAACTGATGAGAGATAGAAGTTTAGTTTTATTCTTCGACATGTGGATATTCAGCTTTTCCAGAGCAACTTTATTGAAGAGACTGTCTTTTTCCTTAATGTGTGTTTTCCGTGCCTGTTGAAAATCAGTGGGCTGTAAATGCATTTTGGGGTTCCGTATTCTGTTCTATTGATCTATGTATCTGTTTTTATGCAAGTACCATGCTTATTTGGTTACTATAGCTTTGTAGTATATTTTAAAGTCAGGTAGTATGTTGCTTCTAGCTTTGTTCTTTTTGCTTGGAATTGCTTTGGCTATTTGAGGTCTTTTGTGGTTCCGTATAAATTTAGCATTTTTTTCTATTTCTTTGAAGAACTTTCTTGGTATTTTGATAGGGATTGCATTGAATCTGTGTATTGCTTTGAGTAGTATTGTTATTTTTACAGAATTAATTATTCCAATTCATGAACATGGACTATCTTTTGATTTGTGTCCTCTTCAATTTCTTTCATTAGTGTTTTATAGTTTTCCTTGTATATTGCTTTTGCTTCTTTGGTTAAATTGATTCCTAGGTATTTTATATTACTTGTGGCTATTATAAATGGGATTATCTTCTTAATTTTTTTCAGATCGTTTGCTGCTGGCATATATAAATGCTACTGATTTTTGTATGTTGATTTTGTATTCTACAACTTTATTGAATTTGCTTATCACTTCTAACAGTGGTTTGGTTGAGTCTTGAGGTTTTCCTAAGTATAAGATCATGTGGTTTGAAAACAGGGCTAATTTGACTTTTTCCTTTCCAATTTGGATGCCCTTTATTTCTTTCTCTTGCCTGATGGCTCTGGCCAGTAATTCCAGTATTATTTTGAATACAAGTGGAGAAAGTGGGCATCCTTGTCTTGTTGCATATTTTAGAGAAAAGGCTTTCAATAGTTCCTTGTCCAGTATTATGCTAGCTATGGGTTTGATATATATGCCCTTTATGATTTTGAGGCATAGTCTTCTACCTCCAGTTTGTTGGCAGGTTTTATCATAAAAGAATGTTGGGTTTTACCAAACGCTTTTTTAGCATCTAATAAAATGATCCCACTTATTTTCTACATTTTGTTAATGTGATGTATCTAATTGTTTTATTTGTGTCTGTTGAAACATTGTGGCATCCCTTAGGTGAATCCCACTAGATCATGGTGAATGATCTTTTTGATGTGCTATTGCCCTCAGTTTGCTAGTATTTTGCAGCAATATTCATGATAGTGAAGATATGGAATCAATCTAAGCATCCATCAATGTGTTAATGGATTTTTAAAAATGTAGTATAGGCTGGGCATGGCAGCTCATGCCTACAATTCGAGCACTTTGGGAGGCCGAGGTGGGTGGATCACTTGAAGTCAGGAGTTTGAGACCAGCCTGGCCAGCTTGGTGAAACCCCATCTCTATTAAAAATACAAAAATTAGCCAGGAGTGGTGGTGCATGACTGTAATCTCAGCTATTCGGGAGGCTGAGGCAGGGTAATCACTTGAACCCAGGAGGCAAAAGTTGCACTCCAGTCTGGGCAACAAAGCTCAACTCTGTCTCAAAAAAAAAAAAAAAATGTGGTATATACCAATGCAAGAATGGATTTTTTTAAATGGGGTATATATATATATACAATGGAGTACTAGCCAGCCAAATAAAATGAAATTTGGTCATTTCTGAACACATGGATGAACCTAGAAGACATTATGTTAAGTGAAGTAAGCCTACCACAGAAAGAGAAACATTAGCTTGTTGCAAAACTATTTACCATTTTTGCCACTAAAAGTTTTGCCACTCTTAATGGCAAAAACCGCAACTACTTTGCACCAAGCTAATTTTGTTGTCTCACTCATGTGGAATTTCAGAAAGTTTATCTCATGGAGGGAGAGAGTAGAATAGTGATTATCAGAGGTTTGGAAGGAGAGGAGGTAAGGGGGAGACTGGGAGAAGTTGGTCAACAAAGTTACAGTTAAATAGGAGGAAAATGTTCTGGCATTCCATTGCACAGTAGGGTGATTATAGTTAATAATAATATATTGTATAGTATTTCAAAATAACTAAAAGAGAAAGTTTTGAATGTTCTCACCAAAAAGAAATGACACATGTTTGAGGTGATGGGAATGCTCACTATCCTGATTTTTTTTTAATTTTTATACTTTAAGTTCTAGGGTACATGTGCACAACGTGCAGATTTCTTACATAGGTATACATGTGCCATGGTGGTTTGCTGCACCCATCAACCCGTCATCTACATTAGGAATTTCTCTTAATGCTATCCCTCCCCCAGCACCCCCATCCCCCAACAGGCCCCAGTGTGGGATGTTCCCCTCCCTGTGTCCATGTGTTCTAATTGTCCAACTCCCACTTATGAGTGAGAACATGCGGTGTTTGGTTTTCTGTCCTTGTGACAGTTTGCAGAGAATGATGGTTTCCAGCTTCAACCATGTCCCTGTAAAGGACACGAAATAATCCTTTTTTATGGTTATGTAGTATTCCGTGATGTACATATACAACATTTTCTTTATCCAGTCTTCCGTTAATGGGCATTTAGGTTGATTCCGTATCTTTGCTATTGTGAATAGTGCTGCTGGGTGTTTCTGGGGCAACAGGCTGCTGCAACCCTTGGCAAATTCAGGCTGAAGTAGGACTACGAGGCTGGAAGCCCTAGCAGGTGTGACTTGCCTGGTTACAAGGGGCGGGGAGTGTGCTGTGAGTGGATTCACCCACCCTGCCATCCGGATGTTTCTAGCAATAAGAGGAGGCTGTGCCTGCCAGCCAAGTTCAAACAGAAGCAGGACCACTTGGCCAGAAGCTCTAGCAGGAATTGCCCACCTGGCTACCAGTGGCAGGAGTGGGTTCAGTTGCCTGCTTTGCTGTGCAGGTGCTTCCCGCCACAACAGGAAGCTGCACCCTCTGGCTGAGTTCACACAAAAGCGGTACTGCTAGCTGGAAGCTCTAGAAAGCATTGCCTGCTTGTCTACCGGTGTCAGAGGGTGAGGTTGCCAGCTCTGCCATTCAGGTGTTTCCTGGAACAAGAGGAGGCTGCAGCCACTGGCTGAGTTCGGACAGAAGTGGGACTATTGGGCCAGTAGCTGGCACTGAGCCTTGTCTAGCAAGGTGAGGTGGAGCAATCTTATTGTTGGCACCACAACTGTGGCCTCCACTGGGGCTATGGCACCAGTGCTGGTCTGCTCCAGGGCACAAGGCTTGTAGAGGTTCCCTTGGAATCAAGAGTTGTCCCGGCAATATGTCCAGTTGACTTTCTGCCTCAGTCTAGAAGTGCAGTGGGGAGACCGGGGATGCCAGGAGGATTCTCTCATTCAGTTTTACACAGGTCCCTGTGGAGAGCGTGAGTGTCCCAAGGGGCTGTCACTCATTCAGTTTCCTGTGTTGGAGAGGTTCTCCTGGCTCCATGCTGAACCCAGACAGGCTGGTGCCAGCTTCACTCTTCCCTGCTTTCTGTGTCCCCTGCTGCCTTAATTGATCCCAGCATGGTTTCTCAGCCGATCGGCCTGCAGAGTCAGTGTTCACCAGCCCCTCTGTTCTCTACGAGAGCAGCACACCTGAGCTGCTTCTATCCTGCCATCTTTTATTTATTTTATTTTTTCTTTTCGTAGCTTCCCTGCCGTTTTTCCTCATCTCTTGTTTCTCTGCACTATTTAATCGGGGCTAGTTTGCCAATTTCTTTGTAATTTGTAAATATACACATGCAAAGTGTCCATGGATAGTTGGAGGTTGGGGAGGAAGATGGGTCAGTATATTTGAACTTAATTCAAGGTATATTTGAACTTAATTCTAATTAACCTACATCCCATCACCTGTTCTTAATCTATCCAGTAATCACTTCCTAATACCTTTGGTGATTAACTCTATGTATGGTACCCCGAACTGATTTTTTCAGGCGAAATAGAATTGATACGTCAGAATCGTATTAAAATATACTTCATTTCAAAACTGATTTTATTCTTTCAGAACACTGCATTAACCCTAGAATGAAATCATCATAATAAAAGTTTGAGGAAATATTTTATCTAAGCTTGGGAGAAATTACCATGGAATATCTGTATAACAAAATAAACAGAGCAGTATTTGAACTCTGATCAACTAGCTGGATGTCCTTGAGAGAGCCAGATAAACTGTCCCAAACTTACCGGGATAAGAAATGTGATATTCAAGGTAGCAATATTTTGGCTTTGTGTGATGCAAGGGAGTTTTTTCTCCTAAGAACATCTAGGAAGTTGTGTATCATTAAGGAAAACCTAGCATTGATTACTTTGAATAATTTATTTAAAAATATAAATAACTACTTTATAGCTTAACTTATATTTGGAGCAAAAGTTTGCAAGAGTGAATGAAAAATATATGTAAGGAGAAAAAAGTACAGAAAACATTTGTCTGGTTTACACAAATAGCAATGTGGTGCCAGAATGTTTTATTACTTATAGTAGATAATCTGCTAGCAAATACGTCAAGCCCATCCATGCCAAAAGCTAATAATGAGCAAAGTAGGATAAACATCGTTCTTAGGAAACAGCCATATCTGATGGAGAGAGCAGATGAAATACAGGATATTTTTAAATAAAATTAATCAAAATAAGACTCAAGGTAACTAAGAAAAAACAATTCATTGATGTTAAAGTAAAACAGTATTATTGGAAAGATAGGAATTTTAACAACACAAAGGACAGTTATAGTAAAGTAGCAATGAAAGAAGAGGAGGAATGAGTAGGAGATTACGTTAAACTAAGGAACAACTTTGATCATCAGAGATTCTTTAAAATAATGTGTCCTGGGCCGGGTGTGGTGGCTCACGCCTGTAATCCCAGCACTTTGGGAGGCCTAGGCAGGCAAATCACTTGAGGTCAGGAGTTCAAGACTAGCCTGGCCGACATGGTGAAAGCCTGTCTCTACTAACAGTACAAAACTTAGCTGAGATCGGTGGCGTGTGCCTACAGTCCCAGCTACTCAGGAGGCTGAGGCAGGAGAATCTCTTGAACCTGGGAGCCAGAGGTTGCAGTGAGCCGAGATCCTGCCACTGCACTCCAGTCTGGGCAACAGAGTGAGACTCTGACTCAAAATAATAATAATAATAATAATAATAATAATAATAATAATAATAATGTGTCCTAAAGTTGACAATCTTCTTTTCTTTTCTTTCTTTTTTTTTTTTTTTTTTGAGATGGAGTCTTGCTCTGTCACCCAGGCTGGGGTGCAGTGGCACGATCTCAGCTCACTGCAACATCTGCCTCCTAGGTTCAAGTGATTCTTCTGCCTCAGCCTCCCGAGTAGCTGGGATTACAAGGTGCACACCACCACACCCAGCGAATTTTCTGTATTTTTAGTAGAGATGGGGTTTCACCATGTTAGCCAGGAAGGTCTTGATCTCCTGACCTCATGATCTGCCTGCCTCGGCCTCCCAAAGTGCTGGGATTACAGGTGTGAGCCACCACGCCCGGTCTCTTTGTTTTTTTGGTTTTGTTTTGTTTTGTTTTGTTTTGTTTGAGACGGAGTTTCACTCTTGTTGCCTAGGCTGGAGTGCAGGGCTCACTGCAACCTCCACCTCCCAGGTTCAAGCGATTCTCCTGTCTCAGCCTCCTGAGTAGCTGGGATTACAGGTGCATGCCACCACACCTGGCTCATTTTTGTATTTTTAGTAGAAACAGGATTTCATCATATTGGTCAGGCTGGTCTCGAACTCCTGACCTCAGGTGATCCTCCTGCTTTGGTCTCCCAAAGTGCTGGGATTACAGGTGTGAGCCACCACACCTGGCACAACTTTCATAATCCTATTTTTTTTACAAGAATTTCTTGATTGTTCAATTGTTCAAATAGCTCATCTAAACAATTGCTGTTAGTAGGTTGATCATTCTGTAACATCGAAGTAATTATACTTTAAGCAGAAAAAGTCCAACAACTATATTATTAACAATCACTATATTACACTAATTTTCTTTTAAATCAGACCTTTAAAGAATGTTATAAAAGATACTACAATGAATGTCAATTATATAAATAGGTCATGATAAGAATTTATTTACATGAACAGGTCATGACAAGAATTTAGCAAACCATTTGTTAAATACACAATTATTCAAAAGTACACAAAATCAATGAATATTTTCTGATTTTTTTTAAATTGAGTAGCTTATAAGAATTTCAAACCTTGAAAATAGGTGCTACTTATAGCATGGGATAATAAATATGAAAAATAAGCCATATGATCCTACAATTCATCCTGATCATCACATATGACTAAGATTCTGATACACATCGATTTATGAAATAGTTAGGGAAATGGAGGTTCTAAGATTTATGATCTCAAAGCTTTCTTATTTCTTGTTACATAGACTCTTTATATTGATGCCAATGAAAATACACATCACTACAGTTTTCTTTTTTTTTTTTTTTTTGAGACGGAGTTTCGCTCTGTCGCCCAGGCTGGAGTGCAGTGGCGCGATCTCGACTCACTGCAAGCTCCGCCTCCCGGGTTCACGCCATTCTCCTGCCTCAGCCTCCCGTGTAGCTGGGACTACAGGCGCGCGCCACCATGCCCGGCTAATTTTTGTATTTTTAGTAGAGACGAGGTTTCACCGTGTTAGCCAGGATGGTCTCAATCTCCTGACCTCGTGATCCGCCCGTCTCGGCCTCCCAAAGTGCTGGGATTACAGGCGTGAGCCACCGCGCCCGGCCATCACTACAGTTTTCTTCTGTGTGAGTTCCACATAGGTAAAATGTGTCTACAACTTTCCTTGAGAATTTTGCCTAGTCATCTATGGTCCCATGGTACTGTGTAATTATAAAACTTATCCACAACAACCCCACAACCTTTACAAGTTTCCCTCATGAAAACATTTTGTGCCTTTGAAGTCATTATCTAAGATCTCTGCTTTCTGTTCTCAAGTGATTTCTAGCTTTCGATAAATCTCTCTGAACTGGGTTACACTGCTATCTACTAAAAATATTTTACATTTCAATAAGAGCTTTAAAGATGGTATCTAGTCTCTCTTTGTGCTGTAATTTTCTGCCTCTAAATCTAACTAGTCTCTTTTTTTTCCATCCATAAATCCAATTTAATTTATACCTCTCCTTCCCATTATTGATTCTTGTCACTTTCATCACAATGCTTTTGTAAATTCTACTGTCTAGTGTCAAGAGATAACACTCCCACATTCAAAACCCTATTTCTATAAAACACGATGACCAATGCTATTTGAATTGGAAAAATAATGCAGTTAGTATAAAAGTTCTGTGCTATATATTTTATATTCTGATGACCATAATACTTAAATGTTCTATGTTTAAAAAATTCATTACTTTTATAATTCATTCAAAACTTCTTTATATACTTAGAAAAGACTACTTTGAGTAAAGAATAAAAACTGCTTAAAAATAGGTTATTCTGCATTGTTATCATCAACTAAACTGTTATCTTGATGAATATCTCTGGGTAAATCTTTTAAACTCTCTGTGCTACAGTTTTTCCATCAATTATATGATCATAGAAATTCTTGCTCCTTCAACATGAGGTATTAGCAAAATTAATTGAAATTTTTAAATATAATGAACTACTTCAATGCAAAGCATTATAACAAAAAGATCATTTTCCATGGGTAAGTTTGTAAAAGCAAATACAGAGATGAATATGTGTAAACCTCAAATGGCCAGCAGTAATTTCTGAGGATCATTTGGGAGACATTATCAGGAACTGACTATAAAGAGAGAATTGACTTTTAGAGTTGATTGTTTTCAACATTTTTAACTATAAGAAAGAAGATTTATAAGAAAGAATTCAGAGCCCTGATTAATTAAAAGATTTCGAAGAAAATCATGTAGACTACTGGGCTTCATGATTTTATGGAAAACAAAAGAATGTTCTACAACGTTTAGCATTAAAGCATTATTTTATAATTATTTGAAGTCATTAATTAAATCTACATAAATTGATATACAGTCATGTCTAACAGAAAAGTTTTCTGATTCATAATTTTCACAATAAATAAGTACATACAAGCATATACACTTTGCATATAATTAAAATAGATTATTGTTTGTTATCAGGTATTTGTTGCTGCTGATTTTCCTACTGTGACTCAGGGCCAGGTATAGCTTATGGTGCTGGCAGTTATTCTTACTGTGAAATGATGAGACGGTATTTGTGATAGAGAGTATAAAGCACCATACAAATATGAAACAATATTAATTACTGTTCCTTAACATTTTTAAAAAAGATGTCTTTTAATTTTACCATTTTCTGGTATAAGAGATGATCTAGAAAGAAATTAATAATGTTTTTTGTTTTTTTTATTATTATACTTTAAGTTTTAGGGGACATGTGCACAACGTGCAGGTTAGTTACATATGTATACATGTGCCATGCTGGTGTGCTGCACCCATTAACTCGACATTTAACATTAGGTATATCTCCCAATGCTATCCCTCCCCCCTCCCCCCACCCCACAACAGTCCCCAGAGTGTGATGTTCCCCTTCCTGTGTCCATGTGTTCTCATTGTTCAGTTCCCATCTATGAGTGAGAATATGCGGTGTTTGGTTTTTTGTCCTTGCGATAGTTTACTGAGAATGATGATTTCCAATTTCATCCATGTCCCTACAAAGGACATGAACTCATCATTTTTTATGGCTGCATAGTATTCCATGGTGTATATGTGCCACATTTTCTTAATCCAGTCTATCGTTGTTGGACATTTGGGTTGGTTCCAAGTCTTTGCTATTGTGAATAGTGCCTCAGTAAACATACGTGTGTATGTGTCTTTATAGCAGCATGATTTATAGTCCTTTGGGTATATACACAGTAATGGGATGGCTGGGTCAAATGGTATTTCTAGTTCTAGATCCCTGAGGAATCGCCACACTGACTTCCATAATGGTTGAACTAGTTTACAGTCCCACCAACAGTGTAAAAGTGTTCCTATTTCTCCACATCCTCTCCAGCACCTGTTGTTTCCTGACTTTTTAGTGATTGCCATTCTAACTGGTGTGAGATGGTATCTCATTGTGGTTTTGATTCGCATTTCTCTGATGGCCAGTGATGATGAGCATTTTTTCATGTGTCTTTTGGCTGCATAAATGTCTTCTTTTGAGAAGTGTCCGCTCATATCCTTTGCCCACTTTTTGATGGGGTTGTTTGTTTTTTTCTTGTAAATTTGTTTGAGTTCATTGTAGATTCTGGATATTAGCCCTTTGTCAGATGAGTAAGTTGCGAAAATTTTCTCCCATTTTGTAGGTTGCCTGTTCACTCTGACGGTAGTTTTTTTCGCTGTGCAGAAGCTCTTTAGTTTAATTAGATCCCATTTGTCAATTTTGGCTTTTGTTACCATTGCTTTTTGTGTTTTAGACATGAAGTCCTTGCCCATGCCTATGTCCTGAATGGTAATGCCTAGGTTTTCTTCTAGGGCTTTTATGGTTTTAGGTCTAACGTTTAAGTCTTTAATCCATCTTGAATTAATTTTTGTATAAGATGTAAGGAAGGGATCCAGTTTCAGCTTTCTACATATGGCTAGCCAGTTTTCCCAGCACCATTTATTAAATAGGGAATCCTTTCCCCATTGCTTGTTTTTCTCAGGTTTGTCAAAGATCAGATAGTTGTAGATATGCGGCGTTATCTCTGAGGGCTCTGTTCTGTTCCATTGATCTATATCTCTGTTTTGGTACCAGTACCATGCTGTTTTGGTTACTGTAGCCTTGTAGTATAGTTTGAAGTCAGGTAGCATGATGCCTTCAGCTTTGTTCTTTTGGCTTAGGATTGACTTGGCGATGCGGGCTCTTTTTTGGTTCCATATGAACTTTAAAGTAGTTTTTTCCAATTCTGTGAAGAAAGTCGTTGGTAGCTTGATGGGGATGGCATTGAATCTATAAATTACCTTGGGCAGTATGGCCATTTTCACGATATTGATTCTTCCGCAGTATGGCCATTTTCACGATATTGATTCTTCCTACCCATGAGCATGGAATGTTCTTCCATTTGTTTGTATCCTCTTTTATTTCATTGAGCAGTGGTTTGTAGTTCTCCTTGAAGAGGTCCTTCACGTCCCTTGTAAGGTGGATTCCTAGGTATTTTATTCTCTTTGAAGCAATTGTGAATGGGAGTTCACTCATGATTTGGCTCTCTGTTTGTCTGTTATTGGTGTGTAAGAATGCTTGTGATTTTTGTACATTGATTTTGTATCCTGAGACTTTGCTGAAGTTGCTTATCAGCTTAAGGAGATTTTGGGCTGAGACAATGGGGTTTTCTAGATATACAATCATGTCATCTGCAAACAGGGACAATTTGACTAGACCACAGTGCAATCAAACTAGAACTCAAGATTAAGAAACTCACTCAAAACCACTCAACTACATGGAAACTGAACAACCTGCTCCTGAATGACTACTGGGTACATAACGAAATGAAGGCAGAAATAAAGATGTTCTTTGAAACCAATGAGAACAAAAACACAACATACCAGAATCTCTGGGACACATTCAAAGCAGTGTGTAGAGGGAAATTTATAGCACTAAATGCCCACAAGAGAAAGCAGGAAAGATCCAAAATTGACACCCTAACATCATAATTAAAAGAACTAGAAAAGCAAGAGCAAACACATTCAAAAGCTAGCAGAAGGCAAGAAATAACTAAAATCAGAGCAGAACTAAAGGAAATAGAGACACAAAAAACCCTTCAAAAAATTAATGAATCCAGGAGCTGGTTTTTTGAAAGGATCAACAAAATTGATAGACCGCTAGCAAGACTAATAAAGAAAAAAAGAGAGAAGAATCAAATAGATGCAATAAAAAATGATAAAGGGGATATCACCACCGATCCCACAGAAATACAAACTACCATCAGAGAATACTACAAACACCTCTACGCAAATAAACTAGAAAATATAGAAGAAATGGATAAATTCCTCGACACATACACTCTCCCAAGACTAAACCAGGAAGAAGTCGAATCTCTGAATAGACCAATAACAGGATATGAAATTGTGACAATAATCAATAGCTTACCAACTAAAAAGAGTCCAGGACCAGATGGATTCACAGCCGAATTCTACCAGAGGTACAAGGAGGAACTGGTACCATTCCTTCTGAAACTATTCCAATCAATAGAAAAAGAGGGGATCCTCCCTAACTCATTTTATGAGGCCAGCATCATCCTGATACCAAAGCCAGGCAGAGACACAACCAAAAAAGAGAATTTTAGACCAATATCCTTGATGAACATTGATGCAAAAATCCTCAATAAAATACTGGAAAACCGAATCTAGCAGCACATCAAAAAGCTTATCCCCCATGAACAAGTGGGCTTCATCCCTGGGATGCAAGACTGGTTCAATATACGCAAATCAATAAATGTAATCCAGCATATAAACAGAACCAAAGACAAAAGCCACATGATTATCTCCATAGATGCAGAAAAGGCCTTTGACAAAATTCAACAACCATTCATGCTAAAAACTCTCAATGAATTAGGTATTGATGGGACGTATCTCAAAATAATAAGAGCTATCTATGAAAAACCCACAGCCAATATCATACTGAATGGGCAAAAACTGGAAGCATTCCCTTTGAAAACTGGCACAAGACAGGGATGCCCTCTCTCACCACTCCTATTCAACATAGTGTTGGTAGTTCTGGCCAGGGCAATTAGGCAGGAGAAGGAAATAAAGGGTATTCAAGTAATGTTTATCTTTTGTAAAAAAAATTGGTGTTTTTTATATTTTTATCTCAAGTAAGTGAAATAAAAGGATGGATATAAATACAAGGTAGAGGTTATTGCTTCCTCCAAGGACTTCTTTCCTCAAGGAACATCAAGGATGAAAAAAATTTAGAAAAGATAATATCTATTTTTAAAGTACTTACAAATAAATTCTAAGTACAGATGAAAGACTCAATTTGTCCAATCAAATTATAATTATATAAGGCTAGATAACTTATGCATGATGTTTAATTTATGAGTTTTTAAATGTATTTATTTAGAAGTAACTAATAGTGCCTTTTAATAATCTTTCTTCCAAATATGTAATTTCTATTTCAAATATTTCTAAAACATTGGATGGATTAAGATGTTTATCAAATGATATAGCTAATATATACCTCCTATTCAGAAGAAGTAAGAGATTATTAGAAAAAAATATTTTAGAAAGCTTACAAAGCAGTTATGTTCCTGTAGGGTAGTAATCCAAACTATAATAATTGTTCTGCAAATAGTTGTGTAAATACACCAGATTTATGACTGTTTACATAGATATTTTTAAAAATCACTATTCTGGATATGTGTCTGCTTCTGTTATCTTCTTTAAGAGAAATGGATATTAAATTACCTAGGAAAAGAGCATCTTAAAACTGAAGATAGAAAAAGACACAAAAAATGGAATATTTAGCTCTCTGATTCTAAGATATATAATACATATATATGTAATTGAACAGTAACAATAATATAAAAATATTTATGCATGTTTATACTTATGTGTGTACATATATAAATGTGTGTATATATGTGCATGTATCTCTGTGTGTAGAGATAGAGATTAGCTATAGATATGAGTATACGTGCAATGTAGATGTAGCTGCAGGTATAGATTATGGTGAGTCTTCCTTTTATTGAAGTAGCTGGATGTACGAACACGTATATGCTATCTTTTTAGAAGGTTGATACTAGCCAAAATAAAATATTTGAAGCCATTTCACATGAAAGAAAAAACAAAGGAGAGATTAATTTAATCTTGCACCGCAGAGCAGTAGTATAACAAATGGATCCATGTGAAAGAGCTCCTTACCCCTGTATTGGACCTGCCAAATTGGCAACAATGGCTTTTCAGAGTAAGTAGTGAGTATCCAATTGCCAGATCATTTATTTTTTTAAAAACAAACTGGACAAATTCCAGAAACTGAAGGACAGATATTTTTCAACTTTTCAAAATAAGAAAAATGTTAATTACAGTTTATCTGCAAAACTCCAAAACAAACTACTCATCATAACATTTTAGGAAAATGTATAAAGTTAATAATAACAGCTAGAAGGTATATCTGAACATACTCGGCCCTTACCAAAATCTGAAATGAGTATTCTTTATATCCTCAAACTATGTTATTTTCTTTTTTTTTTTTTTTTTTTTTTTGAGACAAGGTCTTACTTTCTCACCCAGGCTGGAGTGCAGTAGCACAATCATGGATCACTGCAGCCTTGACCTCTCAAGCTCAGGTGATTCTCCCACCTCAGCCACCATGCCTGTCTAATTCTTTTGTATTTTTTCTAGAGACAGGGTTTCTCCATGTTACCCAGTCTGGTCTCAAACTCCTGGGCTCAAGCAATCTGCCCTCGTCTGCCTCCCAAAGTGTTACAATTACAGGCATAAGCCACCATGCCAGGCCTAAACTCTGTTATTTTTAAGATAAATGAGGCAGAAGTTCCAGAAATTTAATCAAAAAGTTTTTCCTGCTCCTTTATTTTCAACACAAGAGTTGCACAAGATGTGGATAACACCAATTTGGTTTTAATTTGCTGTTCCTGAGTTATTCTCATCAGTCAGCGTGGATTAGGCCATTCTTTTCCATCTTTTGAGACACTAAAATGTTTTAAATACTTACCAGGACAAACATTGCTAGCAGTGGTCAGGTGCAACAATGACTCCATTTCCCCCATTTAAGGTATGTTCAGTGTCAGCATATTGGCTGCTAGTTAGTATTAACATGAAAAAAGTAAACTCATACACTTTCTAAATTGGGATTTTTCACCATGTTACTTATTAAATGTTCAATTTTTTGCCATGATACAAAGTTATCTTTCCGAGAAAGGTACACGGGAATCTTTGCATTACTTACTTGACAAAAATAGTTAACTCTCACAAATAATTAGTCCCCACTTTTTCGGAGAAGAAAAAAAATCACATCATGATTGATGAGTATAAAAACTAGAGAAGAATTTTACTGTTTCCCAAGACATCTAAAATTTCATGACATCAATCAGTTTCCTAGGGTTGCCTAAACAAAGTGCCACAAGCTGGTGGCTTTAAACAACAGAAATTTCTTATCTCCTTGTCCTTGAGGCTGGAAATCCAAAATCTACGTGGGCCGGGCTGTGGTCTCTCTGAAGCCCCTAGGGAAGGATGCTACCTTGACTCTCCCGACTCCTGGTAGCCTGATGCTTTCTTTAGCGTATGGAAGCATAACTCCAATCTCTGTCTCCCATTTCACGGTTCATTCTTCCTGTATTTCTGTGTCTTCACATAACCTTCTTTCCTATAAGGATACCTTTCAGATTTGATTAGGAGCCCACCCTACTCCATTATGTCCTCCACTTAATTTCACTAGTTACATCTGCAATGACCCTGTTTCCTAACAAGGTGGCAATCTGAGGTACTGAGATTTAGGACTTCAACATGTGTATTTTGGCAAGGCACAATTCAACCCTTAACATGACACAAAAGTAAGATTCTATTATTTTCATAATGTTACTAAATATTACATAAATAGCTCAGGAAATTGATGAAGACATAGTGTCTCAAACTACAAATAATAGAAGAGTTCAGAGAAGTATTATCAGAGGAGAAAACTCTTGGAATATGGCTTAAAGGATAAATAAGAGGCCTCCAAGTAGGAAAGAGGAATGGAGGAAATGATAATCCAGAAACCCAAGTGTAAGAGAATACTTTATATGAAGGGATGAGTTCATGACAAAGCAAAATGTATTCAGGAAGCTACAAATTATTCAGAATTAAAGTTTTCAGTTCAGTGCAAGGATCTGAAGATGAAGATAAATGTAAGAAAACTTTATTAAAATTCCTTGAATATTCACCCAATAATTTTACTTATTTTCTTAAAAGTAAAAGAAAGTCATTGACACACTTTAGTAAACATATATACTTTTTCTGTTATAGAAATCAATATGTGGAAGTAGCATAGAAGAATTAGAAAGTGCATTTACCAAAGGTAATTTGGTACATTTCATTTTCATTTCAGAAAGAGAAAAGCTAAAAGGCTCTAGTAGGCATTTTTGATCGCATAGATAAATCCTATATTTTCTAAAGTGGAAAAACTTGTAAAAGTAAATGGAAATTTTAGTAAGAAAAATTTTATGCATATGAGAAATCATTTTAAATTAAACTATTCAAGTTATTTAATTATAATTGCTTTAGTGGACTCATAGTTTGAACACAACTATGCTTTGGAAAAAAGTTCTTATTGGAGAAAAGAAGGAAAAATATATACAATAATTTAAAATGAAATTTAAATTGCCATACAAGCTATTGTTTGAATCAACATATTTAACTACTCTCCTTGAATATCATCTTTGAAAAGACAAAGAAAGAAAAGAAACAGGGGAGAAATTCCGAAGTTTCAATGGAAAACAGAAAGAATGGACCAAGAGACCCAGAATCAAGGGATAGGGCCATGATAAAACTTTACATAATATGGTCAATGTGAGACCATATTAAGAAGTATGTCAACCTGCATAAAATACAGCAATTACAAAGGAAAAACCTGGCTGGAAAGTAAGTACACAGGATATTTATTATAATATAAAACATTTCAGGATAAAAGCAATAACATCCTTGGGCTAGGCTGGTTCTTAAGACATTTGTAGCCTTGATGGAGCACAAATTTTTATTCTATAAACTAACACAGCAAGTATAAAATTCTTTTTCTCTTTTTACTGGGAGACTTTACAGCAAAGAAAAATGGTGATCTGGACAATTTGCTAATTTGCTAATAACAAATGAACTAATGGTCTTGCTAGCTGGAGAGTTCCTTCCTATGGATTGCTTTTAGTCAGATATATCTGTTCTAAGACTGTACATGCTAAGCAAACTAACATGTGTAGAGTTTTGGAGCACATTTGCCTGGAAAATGTCACAAAAGCTGTATAATTTATAAGAATAAAAAGAATGTCTTTTAAGACCAAAAGAACTCTCTTCTATGTAAATAATCTAGCTGCATACATTATTACACATTTGATATATTGTGGACCAGAGTGCATTCCACTGCTGCAAGAAGGGAATATCAGAGCTACATTGGTGGGCCCAGACCTCTCCTTGTTTTCCCTGTGTCTCATGATTACTTGTATCCGGAAATGATTGGAAAACCTTGATCACAAACTTGCATAAGATGAATTTGACAAGCTAATATTTGGTGTTATTGCACCAGCATACAGAGCAGCAGATTGTAGTAATTCTGCTCTTCTTTTATTGGATATGTATGGCATAAGTGATGATTTCGTCAAAGAAGTTTCCTAATAACAATTGCCACACTAGTTGGACAAGCTGAAAAATGCCCAGTTTTGGTTGAGCAACCACCACCAAGATAAAGAATGAATCTATCCCCATAGAATTGAAGCTTCATTCTAGGTGAACACCTTCACCAATATATTTTCTGCTGCCAAAATAAGTAACTAGATCTTTGATCAAGCAACATAAAATTACCCAAGGCAAAACATAGTTTCTTTTTTATGGGACCAAATGTTTTGGACAGATACTACACATCTTTTGAGAGAAACCATTTAAACTATCAAAAACAGAATGCTATATAACCTTCTTCAAGCAGATAGAAAAAGGTGTCACTAATTGTGAAATATGATTATTCACCAGCATTGATACACATCTAACAGTGACTTTTTTGTGACCCCAAATTTTAATTTTAATGCAATATTTTCAGATATTTACTAAGAGGTACAGCTTTCACAAAGACTGATGCTAACATTGTGAAAAGGTGATAAGTGCTAACATGCATCAATCAGTAATAGTAAATATAATGGGAAGATTCATGAGCTGAACATACAACATACATATTTTTAACTACTTGGATTCATGCTCTGGTGAATTAAAACTATATTTAAATTAAGAAATTATTTGAGCAAAAATACATATCTCTCTTTAAAATTCTTAATGGATGTGAAATATATTAAGGTACTCAATGAGAGTAACATGTAGTTGAACATTTTAGGAAGAAAACTAGGCAAAGCTGCAAGTATAGTATAAGTAATCTCAAATTACAAACACTAGAACTAGAAACTTTGTTCATACATCTACGTAGGCATGTTAATTTGTCTTCATGCTGCTAAAGACATACCCAAGACTGGGAAGAAAAAGAGGTTTAATTGGACTTACAGTTCTACATGGCTGAGGAAACCTCAGAATCATGGCAGAAGTTGAAAGGCACTTCCTACGTGGCAGCAGAAAGAGAAAATGATGAAGACACAAAAGTGGAAACCCCTGATAAAACCATCAGATCTCATGAAATTTATTCACTACCATAAGAACAGTATGGGAGAAACTGCCTTCTTGATTCAAATTATCTCCCACTGGTTCCCTCCCACAGCACATGGGAATTATGGGAGTATAATTCAAGATGAGATTTGGGTGGGGACACAGAACCAAACCATATCATTCCACCCTGGCCCCTCCAAATCTCATGTCCCCACATTTCAAAACCAATCATGCCTTCCCAACAGTCCCCCAAAGTCTTAGCTCATTACAGCATTAACTCAAAAGTCCACAGTTCAAAGTCTCATCTGACACAAGGCAAGTCCCTTCTGCCTATAAGCCTGTAAAATCAAAAGCCTAGATACACTGGGGGTACAGGTATTGAGTTAACACAGCCATTCCAAATGGGAGAAATTGGCCAAAACAAAGTGGTTAGGGGGCCCATGCTAGTCTGAAATCCAGCAGGACAGTCAAATTTTATAGCTCCAAAATGATCTCCTTTGACTCCAGGTCTCACATCCAGGTCACACTGATGCTGATGCAAGAGGTGGGTTCCCATGGTCTTGGGCAGCTCTGTCCTGTGGCTTTGCAGGGTAGAGCCTCCCTCCCAGCTGCTTTCATGAGTTGGCATTCAGGGTTTGCAACTTTTCCAGGTGAACAGTGCAAGCTGTTGGTGGATATACCATTCTGGGGTCTGGAGGAAAGTGACTCTCTTCTCACAGCTCCACTAGGTGGTGCCCCAGTAGGGCCTCTGTGTGCTCCAACCCCACATTTTCCTTCTGCACTGCCCTAGCAGAGGTTCTCCATGAGCGCCCCACCCTGCAGCAAACTTCTGCCTGGACATCCAGGTATTTCCATACATATTCTGAAATCTAGGCAGAGGTTCCCAAACCTCAATTCTTGACTTCTGTGCACTCACAGGCTCAACACCATGTGGAAGCTGAAAAGGCTTGGGGCTTCCACTCTCTGAAGCCATGGCCTGCACTCTACATTGGCCCCTTTCAGCCAAAGTTGGAATGCAGAGCACCAAGTCCATAAGCTGCAGATAGCAAGGGGGCCCTGGGACCGGCCCACAAAATCATTTTCTCCTAGGCCTCCAGACCTATGGTGGGAGGGGCTGTCATGAAGACCTCTGACATGCCCTGGAGACATTTTCCCATTGTCTTGGTGATTAACATTTGGCTCCTTGTTACTTATGCAAATTTCTGCAGCCTGCTTGAATTTCTCCTCGGAAGATGGGTTTTTCCTTTCTATCAAATTGTCAGCCTGCAAATTTTCCAAACTTTTATGCTCAGCTTCCCTTATGAAACTGAATACCTTTAACGCACCCAAGTCACCTGACTACTGTAAGGACTCCACAGTCAAATTTGAATTTAAAATTATGCATAGTAGATTGTCAAATCTTATTTGTTGTCTTGCCTTTAAACAATTCTAAAAGAAAGGCTTCATATCTTGCAGAATTTTTAATTGTTAAGTAATATCAATAATTAATAATAACCCAGGAGATTAGTGAAAAGAAGTTTCCCATTGTAACTCTTCATTGAGCAAAAGACTTCTGTCGGTCAATTAAAAACATCTCTATTGCTGGAGAAATAATGGTTCTTTCACTTTCTTATGAGTTGTGTCCATTTCTGTGACTGCCTTACATGATATGTGAATGAATCATAAGTTATTCCTCAAACTCTTAGCTGTGTAGATCAATAATTTAACTACCTGTGTAGAAATAAGACTTATCAAAGCTTCAAATGTTGTGAATAATAACATAGTGGAAAATTCTTTTGCCTTATCCACATTTGGGAAAAAAATGTTTTAAAAAACTCCCAAATTCAGATTTGAAACACTGAGGTGTTTTTTTCTCTAAAAGGTAGAGAAACACTTTCCTGGTTAGAAGAATGATTTGAATAAGTATATTTCTTAGGTAAACAATGATAAAATATAAATGCTCAGTCATGTTTTGATCGGTCAGCCTTTGTGGAAGTAGGTCGGTCCTGAGCAGGTCTATTTCAGATGGTGAAGTAGTAATGAATGTTTTTGCCTGCAACTAAAGTCCCCTATTAACTGTGGCTAAAATAAATAGCTTTTTATTCACAAAGCATAGACCAAAAGGAGAGTTTACATGCATCAGAACAGTTGTTAAAAGAAATAAACAGTTAAGAATTTTATTTATCCATCTTCAGCATGTTGACTTTTATTCCCTTAAATGTAATAGTTAAGTAAGGCAAGGAGAATGGAAAATAAGTGTGTGTGGCTTAGAGGGTTAGACTGACTATAATTCTAAAAAAGCTGTACACTTTCACAATCTGATAAAAACTGGGGCTCTGTTGGCAAAGAGCAAGGAGCGGGTAGATTTTGGGCTACGCAATTAACACTGCATGCTTCAGACAGACACAAATGAGCTAGCGAAGGAGAGAGAAGTGAATCTGTTCTCAGAGGGCTGCTGCCTTATACAACTTACATAAGTTGATGCCTAGAGCCAATCATTTCCTTTGTAAGAACAGCTAATAACCAGTGATATTAATTACAATGAAATGGGCTTCTAATAACATCAATAACATGTTTTTTAACAAACACCAAAAGGGATTAATCACTCTAAACCAGGCATGGCGGAGGGGAGAAATGCAGAGGCGAACACTTCCTTTATGTGTTTGTTTCATAAAATCCAACTGAGACATTTTTTGTTCTTTTTAATGCCTGTGGCAAAAAGAAGACAGTTAGATTATGGCATGTGCGTCATCTAGGAAGAAATGAAATATGTGATCACTAAACTATTAATTGACAAACCGTTTGGCAACACATTTTTTCCACATTCTTATTTTTCAAATGTTATCAATGAAAATGCATAATTTTGAAATAAAACAAATCTTTGACAATGCATGAAATATCATAGGTGAAGTTCAACAGACTTTCAAAATGGAACCAATTTTGTTGACATTACTAAAGTCCTCTATTAACTGTGGCTAAAACAAATAGCTTTTTATCACATAGCGTAGACCAAAAAGAGGGTTTGCATGCTTCAGAAGAGCTGTTTAAAGATGAAAACAGGTAAGGATTTTCTTTCTTCATCTTTAGCATATTGACTTTTGTTTATATTTTGTTGACATATCATGAAGTTTTAATAAAATCAAATAGTTTTCAAGTCAGAAAGTGGAGGTAATTGAGTTAAGCCCCTTATAAAATTTCTTCTCTTACATATCACAGTATTTTACGTGAGAGCTTCATTTTGTAGCCAGATCATGTGCCTGAGCTGGAATTCTGAATCTGCCACTTATTTGCTAAGTGACAATAGATAAGTTAATTAACTATACTACTCCTTGGTATTTTGCATAAAAAGTAGATAATAATAATTCCTACTTCATAGAACACATGAGGATTAAGTGAGTTATTATCTGCACAGTACAACTACTTACGTTGTTTGTCACTGTGAGTGTGTGTTGTGTATAGTTGCTAAATAAGGGTTCGTAAAATAAAGTAATTGTGGGCCCTTGAAGCTGGAAAAGAAAAGGAAGACATCATTACAGAGAAAGGTATGCAGGCTATAAAAGAGTTCTTACAAATATTTAGGAAGCAAATAAATAGGTGAATAAAAAGATATTTTATTAATATTTTGTTAATACTCATAGCACAGAGCCTGGCACAGAGCATAAAATCAATGTTAATGTTTTTCTATTTATCTTTTGCCACCAAATAATGTATTTTTCTTGTATCGCATTTAGGTTATTAAGGGTTTTTTACAGCAAGAGTGCTTGAAGCCCAGAATACTGATGCATCTGAATTATCAAAATATCCATGAAAAATGTGTAGAGATATATTTGGGAGATTTTTTTAAGCATTTTCTCCCAAATGTGGATGAGGCAAAAGAATTTTCCACTACGTTATTATTCACAACATTTGAAGCTTTCATAAGTTCTTATTTCTACACAGGTAATTAAATTATTGATCTACACAGATACATAAATACTTGTTAAGAGTTTGAGGAATAACTTATGATTCATTCACATATCATGTAAGACCATCACAGAAATGGACACAACTCATAAGAAAGTGAAAGAACCATTATTTCTCCAGCAATAGAGATGTTTTTAATTGACCGACAGAAGTCTTTTGCTCAATGAAGAGTTACAATGGGAAACTTCTTTTCACTAATCTCCTGGGTTATTATTAATTATTGATATTACTTAACAATTAAAAATTCTGCAAGATATGAAGCCTTTCTTTTAGAATTGTTTAAAGGCAAGACAACAAATAAGATTTGACAATCTACCATCCATAATTTTAAATTCAAATTTGACTGTGGAGTCCTTATAGTAGTCAGGTTTGCTGATTGCAACAAAACATTAATAGCTAATCAATGTAAATGAAAATTTCCATAAGAATAGTTTTCTGTTGGCATGCAACTACTCTACCAGAGTTTTCTGGAAGACATTTTGGTGTTGACACACCAAATATATATTCTTTTAAATTTTCACTTCTTTACTAACAAATACTATTCTGTATCATATTATTTATCCATTGATAGGGATTACTCTTTTCTTAATGTCTCTGGCATCTTGAATTAATATATATGCATATTAATTCATATGTATTCATATATTCATAAAATTATTATATCATATGTATTCATACATATGAATTCACACATGTATGAATATATAATATTCATATATAATATAATATATATGAATT
This sequence comes from Homo sapiens, assembly GCF_000001405.40. Taxonomy (NCBI): domain Eukaryota; kingdom Metazoa; phylum Chordata; class Mammalia; order Primates; family Hominidae; genus Homo; species Homo sapiens. The sequence continues at coordinate 18,424,900 of NC_000021.9, read as the reverse complement.
AATATATATGAATACATATATTCTCTTAATTCTCATTTAATGTCTTCATTCTTTCTACTGCTATATTTACATCAAGAAAACACAACAAATAGCATATAACTTACTAGTTGTTCTTGCTTTCTTCTAATCTCTTTGCCTAGTTGCAGATGCCTAGCTCTTTTTTAACCATTACTTTATGGCTCATAACTTTTTTACAAAGAATAATGCATTCATTTGCACAGTCCTTTTTCCCCCGGCTCCTTTTGTCGGTTCTTTACATGAATCTGCAGAGTTGGCATTACTTTGCTCTGATCTGAATTAAACCTATCAAGGACTTGCTTATTTTTTGCTTCTTATTTTAAGCAAAACAACATGATGGCTTTTATGAATCAAACGACTAATGAGCCCATCTGTCATATTTTGCAAGAATGCCACAGTGAATCACTTTTTCTGACTTTAACTGGCACTGAGAAATTACTACATGTAAATAGACTCACTGAGATGTCAAAACAAGAGTGTTGCAAAAAGGAATTGCTGTATAGTTTCTCCACAACGTTTGGCTGGGCTGAGAGCTTTACTAGACAATTGGGAGCAGTCTGGGCACTGGAGTTTAAGCAAGATATTCAGATTTGAATAGCATGAAAAAGGACCATTCAGTAACTGGAAAATAGAATCTTCTCTCAAGTTAGCAGAGGTGATGATTTTTGGAAATTATTGTTGAGGTAAATGTAAGCTTAAAGAATAAATGTAGGACCTCAGATAACACTATGAATCTACTGATAAAAAAAATTTAAAACACTTGTTTTCAGATGAAAAGAAAATGGCTTTTCTTTTGAGACCGTGTGAAAGCATTCTCTTTCAGTTAAAATATTTAGGCAAATTATTGATGCCAGGCTGAAACTTCTCTTTCTTTAAATAAAGCACTCTTGAATGTCTCCTTTATGTTTTGCTTTGTGATCATACTTCAGTTAATTTTTCAAGAAGAAAAAAAAGAAGATGAAGATAAGGATGATACTGAACATTACTAAATGATTATAATCTCCCTGCCATTATGCTAATCACTTTGAGCTATAATCTGTTAATATCAGGGAATATTTTATTTTTTAGAGAATCAGTATTTTCTCAGTTTCATAGAGATGCATATGAATTGAGTGTATCACTAGGGAAGCGGAACCACTGAGCAATACAAATGAGGAATTTATTTTAGGCCGGGCGCGGTGGCTCAGGCCTGTCATCCCAGCACTTTGGGAGGCTGAGGTGGGCGGATCACGAGGTCAGGAGATCGAGACCATCTGGCCAACACGGTGAAACCCCGTCTCTACTAAAAAAAAAAAAAATACAAAAAATTAGCCGGGTGTGGTGGCGGGCGCCTGTAGTCCCAGCTACTCAGGAGGCTGAGGCAGGAGAATGGCCTGAACCCGGGAGGCGGAGCTTGCAGTGAGCCGAGATCGCGCCACTGCACTCCAGCCTGGGCGACAGAGCGAGACTCTGTCTCAAAAAAAAAAAAAAAAAGAATTTATTTTACAGACTGAACTCTCCACAATTATGAGTGAATACACAGAAGCAAAGAACAAAAAGGGTATGGTCAGAGGATCAGAGAAAGGTCACTAACAAGGAATCAAGGACAAGAGACAGCGAAATCTATAGCAGGCTGCTGCCTCTGCATTTGGGAGTGGGCAGGCAGTTGGGGGAGGAGGCAATTGTGAATAAAATCTGGACCTAAAGAAAGAGAAATCCAAAGCAAAACCTCAGAGGAGACGCCACAAGAGTAAACTATAAGTCATATTTGCCAGTCTCTGCTTTTCTTATCATTCGTAAATCCACATCTAGCCTTGAGTAACCTGCCTTTGGTGAACTGCAGAGGAAGCTAAGACCCTCCACACAGGCACTGCATATGAGCCTGACCTAAGATTTAAAGAACCTGAAGGAAATCTGCGCTAGCTGAGCCCCATGCAAATGAGACGAGCTAGCAGATCAGCATCAGCATTTGAGACCTACAGTAATTCGGGAGCCCTGGCACCAACTTCCTAATTTCCTGACTGCTATTTCCCATCCACCTGCTAACCCTCACAAGTTTCTCTTATTTGCCCAACCTAGCCCAGAGCTATACAGAAAAGGGTATTTGAAGAATGAAATCAGAATTCAGCTAAATTGACACATGCAAAACTATTGAATTTAGTGTTAAGATCCAGACTATCTGAATTTATTTTCTGAAAATGTTAGTCATCGGCTTTGATACCGTAGGCTATTTATTTAAATGCTTTGTGCCTCAGTTTCCACATCTCATAAATGGGAATAATTGTAGCACCTGCCACGCTACTACTGTTTAACATCATAGGGTTATCGTGAGAATAACTAAATGCATGTAAAATTCCTAGAATTACACATAGTACATAGTCAATGATCATTAACTGTAAGTAATTATCATTATATGATTCATATCATTTTATCCTGTTTTCAAAATAACATCATGAAGTGATGTTTTGGGATCTGTTGCTCAAGTTACATGCATCTTCAATCAGAGGTAAACCACATTGTGATTTTTTTTTTTAAATAAACATAAGAAGGTAAATTATCAAGTCACCAAAGGTTTCACCTTCCATTTATTTTTCATTAAGAGTAATACTTGCCTTCAGGGCTGGGGGTGGTGGCACACACCTGTAATCCCAGCACTTTGGGAAGCTGAGGAGGGTGGCTCGCCTGAGGTCAGGAGTTCAAGACCAATCTCGCCAACATGGTGAAACCCAGTCTCTATTAACAATACAAAAAATTATCTTAAGCATGATGGTGCACACCTGTAATCCCAGCTACTCAGGAGGCTGAGGCAGAAGAATCGTTTGAACCTGGGAGGCAGAGGTTGCAGTGAGCCTAGGTCATGCCACTGCACTCCAGCCTGGGTGACAGAGCCAGACGTAGTCTGAAAAAAAAAAAAAAAAAGAGTAATACTTGCTTTCAGCCCTCTGCCTGAAGACAGAAACTCTCGTAGTTTTAGCTGTCCCATGCCCAAAGCTGTCATTGTAATTTTCAGTGGACATAACCGAAGGGGTGTATCGATAATCATTTTTCTCAGAGCAGTGAATGTTGAAGTTATAGAAGATAATAAAATTTACTTAAAGTCTCCATAAGGCTTAATCCATTATCTTCCTGGGGAAACTTTTGTATCAGAAAAATCTTATTCATGTCTTACATAAAGGAGCAAACCATTCCATAAATAGATTAAGGAGAAGAGCATTCAAAAGACAGAGTACAATCCTCAAACAAAGGAATAGAAATTGCATATGTCAAATATTTTTCTTTAATGAAACCATATAGTTATCTTACAAAAATATATACTGACCTTTGGCATTCCTAAATTAAAACACTGGTTACAACTTCATTAATGAACCCTAAGAAAGAAAAAATTGTTAACTGACCAGGGATAGAAACATCTGGTCTCAAATAACTTTTCTAAAGATTTTCCTTAACTATTAGGTAACTATTATCCCTATAATGTTGATGAGAAAATAAAATTCAGGAAAATTAAGTAAAAACTATCCACAGTTTTATACACAGTAACAAGACGCCAAGGTTTTAGCTCAAAAAATTAGACCCAGAACCAATACTTTCAACCTCTATGCAAACTGCCTTCCCTTTACAATCAGAGTGGAGTACTGAAAACTGTGACCAAGATCTTGAAACACCAAATCAAGATTCTTCCATAATATTTGAAGATTGAGAATCCATTTGAAATATGCTGCATATTTTTACATCATTGCAAGTTACATTGATCCTATATTAGTGCTATGATATTTTCCAATATTAGTGGTATAGTGTTTAGTGATATAGTCCTCCGTGTCATATATGTAAAATAACAGCTACAAAAGAGAATATCTTAGTTTCTCCAAGCTCTCCCTTTTTAGAAATGTAGTGTACATATAAGTCACCTGGAGATCTTAAAATGCACATCCTTATTTAATAAATCTAGAGTGATTCAACATTTCTAACAAGCTTCAGGATGATATTTAGGAATGATGTTTTAAGTGTTAAAGCCATACACTTTTGAAATCCTCCCTAGATACTTCTTGGGGTTGAACGGAGAAAGCCTACATAGCAGAAAACCATCTGACTCTATATTGCTGTGACTCAGTGCAGTGATACCTCTTATCTGAGTAGAGCCAAAGTGACATCTACATTGTGAATCTCGCAGGCAGTATCATCCTCAGTGCCAAAGCCTGGCCATGCTATTTGAAAAACTCTCTTAACGGAACTTAACAGAAAGTCCAAGATAAAAAGCTTATTTTATACAGCAGTAAGATCAAGTGCTTTTGTTACCTGTTGCATCTATTGACCTAGTGTGACAGCTTTAACAATGACAAATATCACTAAGTCAAAGGCAAATTACTAATTGTTTTAGGTAACATGCAGGTTTTACTAAATCCAAGGTATGGCTAGTGGTTAATTTAACCTTCGCTACAACTTGAGAATTTTTATTATACTTCCAAATATTGAAGATCTTTCCCTAGCCACATAGAAATAGAAAATTCAATAGACTTTGTGTTCTATTCAACCACAAACTGCCACCTAGCTACTTAATAAGGAAGTAATAAAAAGAAGGAGATTTCAGCAAATCTAAATAATGGTGACTTCAGCCATGCTTTGAGGTTTACTCGAATCACAGACTCAAAGGATGTTAAAGGTGGCTAACATTGCCTCATCCAAACCATTCATTGCATAGACGCAGAAGCTAGCATTGGAGGAATTCAATAACCATTTCAGGTAACACTGTTAGAAAAATGTGAAGAAAACTTCAAATTTTTCATGTCTAGTCTAGTGCTGAGGAAATTACAGCCCTCCTTTTCCTATACATATTTTTAAAATTACCATATCACTCAGGCTAGGCTACGGTATGCTACATTTAAAAAAATGACTTTCAGGTCCCAGTAGCAAACAAAAACAAATGTCAATTTCTTGTTCACATTGTGTGTCCGTTGTTGATTAGCTGTTACTCTCCTTCACATATCTTCACTTTGCAACCCATGTTGACAGAACAATTGTATCTGGGAAATTACTTTTCTCATGGTAGAAGGGGGAAAAAAGACATAACCAATCACATTCTGATTTGCTTGTATTCCCATTTCTTTATCCAAAAACAGTCACATACCAGGGCAGGATGTATTTTCCACCTACAGGAACGACTACAGATGCATGGCTAAGTTTCATGTCAGTGAAGCAGAGAAGGATACTTTTCTACCAGGCTGGTGTCAAAGTCAAATAAAACGTAGAGGTGGATCTCCATAGTTAAAATTTCGGGGAGGAAAGCAAGAATTGCAATTTGGGACATACACACACACCAGGTGGTCTTTGGTATGTCCAAAGAAGAAAGAGAAGGTTAGAGTTTTTAGAAAAAGAGGAAATGTCGGCCGGGTACACTGGCTCACATCTGTAATCCCAGCACTTTGGGAGGCTGAGGCAGGTGGATCACGATGTCAGGAGATCGAGACCATCCGGTCTAACACGGTGAAACCCCATCTCTACTAAAAATACAAAAAATTAGCTGGGCGTGGTGGCGGGCGCCTGTAGTCCCAGCTACTCAGGAGGCTGAGGCAGGAGAATGGCGTGAACCCGGGAGGCCGAGCTTGCAGTGAGCAGAGATAGCACCACTGCACTCCAGCCTGGGTAACAGAGCGAGACTCCGTCTCAAAAAAAAAAAAAAAAAAAAAAAGAGGAAATGTCACATATTGCTTATCAAGAAAGTTCACTGGCACTAGGAAAGTTTTGGGGAGCTGGTAAGTTTTAATCGGTAAGTGACAACAATGAGTAAGACTGTTTTTGGAGTTGCTTCAGCAACTATTAGATAAAACTGGTTTCAGGTTAAAGTTGGCTGTTTCTACCAGGCTTGCAGAGAATTACATTCTTGGAACAATTGCACATTCACTGAGTGATTTTTCCCCCTGGCTCAACGCTGATTTAGTTGGGTATGACAAGAATGATCTAACTTGTATGGTCGGCTTTCAGAGCAGTATGATAGCATTTTTTAATGAGGCAATCCCATAATTGCAAATAGTATGAACTCCGTTGTTTTTGCATTGATCTACCATGTATAGCATACGCTGAATCAACAGCCATTGTCACAAAGAGGTGCCCATTTCTTTTCTCTGGAGATTCCAATTTTAACAATGTTTTCTAGCAGAGATTGGTCAATATTATTTTTAAATATTTAAATCACAATATTGTCTTCTGTGAACTAAAAACACAGCTATAAGTAGCAGCTATAACGTTTAATAGTTAATAGATTATAGAGCAAAAGAATACGTAGACCAAATCAAAGAGATGAATGGGCAGGGCTACAGGGTAAAAGATGATTGGGGGGGTAACATTTTCCCTATTTCAGCAAGAGGCCACGTATAGATCAATCCCTAAGGGCAGAAAGGTTGACCCAAGTTTAAGGTTGTAGCCCATCCAGCTGATGTAGAGAGGCAGATAACACCATTCGCACACAGATATGGCCACTGTCGCTTCTACGTATGTGGCTGTAAAATTGTTAGTATTCCACAGTACTGGCCGCAGAATGACATTCTCTTTCCACTTAGCCATCGCTACAACAGATAAAAATGATAAGAGATGCAGAAAGACCACAGAACACTTTTTAAAATAAGGTTCTTAACTCTCTCACCTCTAATCCACAGAAGTAAGGTATCCCTTAGACACTGTATTTTGGGTATCGTCTTCCAGCTAGTAGCAAGCATTAAAGTATCTAATGGGTGAAATGAAACCATAGGAGAGAGCCTGTTTGGAAGAGACAGAGAAGTTTCATTTCTTTTGTTTTAATTGGACATGACAGAAAGAACAAATGAGCAATACATTTCATTACCTTTTAGCTGAAGAAAGAGACCAGGATCCAAGTGATTGCTTTTCTTAAATTGCTAGCCAAGCTCAACTTCTCCCAATAGCATAGCTTTTTACATTTTTTTGAACAAATTCCTTGTGAAACAGATATAGCATTTCTGGCAATTATATTCCAAGTAGGTGTATGTGTGTGAATATATGTATGTTTGTGCATGAATGTGTATGTGTGTATGTGTGTGATTGTGTGTATACGTGTTTATATGTGTGTAGGCTACCCTTTTGACTGACACATTGCTGCCTCTGATAACAGCATTCTCCTAATTATTTTCTTAATATGGATCGATTCACATTGAGCAAGATTAGCTCTTGGCAATCTATTTGGATCATTTCACTGAAGAGTTAATTTTATTTTCTAGATCAGAAACATCTAGCAGATACAGACTTCTGAGGGGTTTAGGCTCTATTTTTATCACACGGTTATTGAGAGCCTGAAGTTAATTAAATTGTGAGCACACCAAATCTTGTTCAGCATAGATACTAACTTATGTAGTAGGAGTCTTAAAATGTTTCAAAACGTATCTTCTTTTTTCTGTAGTATCTTGACATAGAAAATTGCATTAACTATTTTAATTGCATATTTTAATTAGATTACTGTGTTTTAGGACATATTCATGCCATCTTTGTTTATTCTTTATCTCCAGAAATCTCAGTCTGGCTGTAATTGCACCTGCTTGTTTGCTGTGGCAGAATGTTTTATATAAGAGAGGGAGACAATCATAGGATTATGTAAAGTTCTGGAATGGTTAATTGTTGCTTTCTTACCCTCACAGAGTAGAGACTTCTGATTCAACTTGTAAAAACATGGCTCTTTTTATGTGAGAAAAGGTAATAGACAATTTAAAATAGAAGTGCCAAATAAATAATGATTAGGTTATACATACTCCAAAATCTTGAAATTACCTTTCTAAGGCCTTTTATGTAAAAATTGGCTGAAATGTTACAATTGACATGATTTTTTTCTTATTATAGTTGGTTTGATATTCAAGCACAGTTAAAATTACTATCTTATACATAAAAATTAATTGTATTATTAGTCAAAATGTAAGTTGACGTGCTTAATTTACCACTATCTTTATGAAGACAGTTGACGTTGACTGCCATGGTGTATCTCAAAATCTGGTATGTATCAGCTTTACTTGAGAATCAATGATTTGTAATCTCGTTAATACAAAGTAAAGAGCATAGAAAATGTGTCATCAATAGATAAGTACATCTAAGGTGTTAGTAGGGCATGAAATGTATGTACTCTTGAATGAATGAGTTTATCATGTCCAATAGCAAAAGATAAAGAAAGTCAAAAGTCATCTAGATAATTTAAACTCATAAACAAGATAACTAAATTTAAAGTTCTTTACAATATGCTGCAAATAGTTTGTGAATTTATCAAAGAGTTTCACATTTTGGCTAAGTATTAGAATTTCAAAAATTAACCAGTATCATCCCCACTCTGTAATGATATGGATAAGGTACAAGGGGCCAATGTCTTCAAGAGAATATTACTAACCAAGGAGATGGAACACTGGGCTGTAAAAACAAATGCCTTATGATAATAGTAAGTCTACAAATTTCTACTGTTCAAAAGATATATAAGGATAATATGAATTTTGCTCTAGGATATTCTGAAAAAGTAAAGTTTAAAATGGAGTATAAAGTCAAGAAGTGTGATGTCTCCAGCTTTGCTCTTCTTTCTCAAGATCTCTTCGGCTACTCTGGGTCTTTTGTGGTTCCAAATGAAATTTAGGATTCTTTTCTCTATTTCTGTAAAAAACACCATTAGGATTTTGATGAATATAGCATTTCACCTGTAGATCAATTTGGCTAATATTTATATTTCAACAATATTAAGTCGTCCAATCCATAGAAAGCCATGTTTTTTTTCATTTATCTGTGTCTCCTTTAATTTCCGTCATCAATGTTTTGCAGTTTTCATTGTATAAGTATTTCACCCCCACGCTTATTTCTAAATATTGTATGATTTTTATGCTATTGTAAATGGAATTGTTTTTTAGCTTATTTTTAGAATGGTTCCTTGTTAATGTTTTGAAATACAACTGATTTTTTGTACGTTGATTTTGTATCCTGCATATTTACTCAATTTGTTTATTAGTTCTAACATTTTGTGTAGGTGGAGTTTTAGGGTTCTCTACACACAAGATGATGTCATCTACAAACAGAGAACATTTTATTCTGTTCCTTTACAATTTTGATTCCTTCTATTTCTTTCTCTTACCTAATGGTTCTGGCTAAGACTTCCAGGACTTTACAGAATAGAAGTGGTAGAAACCATAGTAATTAAAACAGTATGGTACTAGCATAAAGACAGATATATTAAGTGGACCAAAATAAAGAGACCAGATGTAAACTCATACATATATGGTCAACCCATCTTTAGCAACAGTGCTAAGGATACACAATGGGTAAGGAAGTATAATTTCTTCAAAAAGTAGAACTGGGAAAACTAGACACTACCTTCAAAAAAACAAAAATAGATCTCTGCCTAACACCACTCACAAAAATCAAACAAAAATGGACTAAAGACTTAAACATAAGATCTGAACTGTCAAACTTCTAGAAGAAAACATAGGGGAATACCTTCTTGGCATTGGTCTTGGCAAAGATTTCTTGACTATGGCACTAAAATCATAGAACATAAAAGCAAAACTAGAGAAGTGGGACTATGTCAAACTAAAAAGCTCCTGTGCAGGAAAGGAAGCAACAGATTGAAAGGCAACCTATAGAATAGGAGAAAACATTTGCAAAACGAACATCTGATAAGGGATACATTTCAAAACTATATAAGGAACTCACAAATCAATAGCAAAAAGACAAGTAACCTGAATTTAAAAATGGGCATGCACCCTGATAGACATTTCTCCAAAGAAGACACAGAAATGGCCAGCAGGTGTGTAAAAAAGTGCTCAAAATGTCTAATCATCAGGGAAATACAAATCGAAACTACAATGAATGATATTACCTCACACCTTTAGGGTGTCTACTGTCAAAAAAAAACAGATAAGGGCTAGCAAGAAGGTAGAAAAATTGAAACACTTATACAGTGTTTGTAGGAATGTAACATGATGCAACAGCTATGGAAAACAGTACGGAGGTCCTTAAAAATTTTTAAATAGAGCTACCATATGATCTAGAAATCCCACTTCTGGGTATATATCCCAAGAAATTGAAATCAGGGTCACAAAGAGATATCTGCATCTCTGTCCCACGTTTATTACAACATTATTCACGGTAGCCAAGATATGGAAACAACTTAAGTGTCCTTTGACAGATAAATGGATAAAGAAGCATGTGATATATGCATAAAATGGATTATTATTCAGCCTTAAAAGGGAAGGAAATTCTGCTTTTTGCAACAACGTGGATGAACCTGGAAGGCATTATGCTAAGTGAAATAAGCCACTCACACAGGAAAAAATAATTCATGATTCTAATTATATGAGGTATCTACAATAGTCAAACTCATAGAAGCAGACAATACAATAATGATTGCCAAGGGCTGCAGAGTTGGGCAAATGAAGAATTCGATATGTATAAAATTGTAATTATGCAAGATAAACTGGTTATAGAAATTTGCTGTATAACATAGTGCCTAGAGTTAACAATATGATATTGTGCATTTCAAAATTTGGTAAGAAAGAGTTGAAAGCTCACGTTATGTTCAAAAATCACACACTCACACACACACAAGAAGTAAAGGGACACAAAGAAAATGGGAGCTGTTAGGACATGTCTATTCCTTGATTATGGTGATGATTTTACATTGTTGGCATTTGTCTGAACTCATCAAATTGTATACATTAAATATGTGCAGTGGTGTGTATCTTAAAAAAAACTGTTAAAAATGGAGTATAAACACCTTAAATTGTAAGAATTTTAAAAAATTAAAGGAAATAAAAAGGAGAAATAATATCTTAACATTCTAATGACAGTCTATTAAGTTTCTATGCATTCCTTAAGTCTATAATATTTCTATGCTGAAATAGTTACTGGAAGAAAAAGCATGTCATTAAAATATTATAGCTAAATAATTACTACTATCACATAAACAAGTAAGCACTTTGTAAACAAATTATTTTAATTATTTTTTTAAGTGCATTATGAGCCTGTCTCTACAAAAAATAAAAAAGGTGGCCAGGACTGGTGGCATGCGCCTGTGGTCCCAACTACTCAGGAGGCTGAGGTGGGAGGATCGCTTGGGCCCAGTAATTTGAGGCTGCAGTGAGCTATGATCATACCACTGCACTCCAGTCTGGGCGACAGAGCAAGACCCTGTCCTAAAGCAAGAAATAAAGAGTTCAGGACGCGGTGGCTCACGCCTGTAATCTCAGCACTTTGGGAGGCCAAAGCAGCTGGATCAAGAGGTCAGGAGTTCAAGACCAGCCTGGCCAGGATGGTGAAACTCCGTCTCTATTAAAAATAGAAAAAAAAAAAAAAAAAGTTAGCCAGGTGTGGTGGCGGGCGCCTGTAATCCCAGCTACTCGGGAGGCTGAGGCAGAGAATTGCTTGAACCTGGAAGGTGGAGGTAGCAGTGACCCGAGACCAAGCCACTGCACTCCAGCCTGGGTGACAGAGTGAGACTCTGTCTCAAAAAAAATTAGACACATAATGCATCTGAAAGAAAGAAAGAAGAAAGATAGAAAGAAAGGAAGGAAGGAAGGAAAGGAAGGAAGGAAGGAAGGAAGGAAGGAAGGAAGGAAGGAAGGAAGGAAAAGAAAGAAAAGAAAGAAAAGAAAGAAAGAAAAAGAAAAAGAAAGAGAAAGAAAGAAAGGAAGGAAGAAAGAGAGAGAAAAGGAAGGAAGGAAGAGGAAGGGAGGGAGGGAGGGAAGGCAGGAAGGGGAAAATGCATTATGAATTACACTTAAATTTCTAATTCAAACTCATAGTTACAATTTTATTGAAAAAGCAACCTACACATGACCACATCTAAACTGAAGAAAGATTGAAAACTAGGGCAGGTAGCTTGTGGTGCACAGGTAAAATTCAGTTAGTTTCGTCTCTAAAAGGCGAAAGGGAAGAATGAATACAGATAGAGAATGATCACCACCACAATTATATTTATTTAAAATTTATCTTATTTTTACACAACGTTTCCAAGGATCTAATGTAAGGAATTTAACTGAACATGTTATTATGCCGTTTAATTCCCTACACCTAACCAATTTTACCAGGGTCATGCTTCTGTCATTGACTTCCCTGTCGTAAAAAAATGACTTAATAATGCAGCCTTCCTGGTTTTTGTGAGTTATTTTATTTTTAATGTTAATGGACCCAACTCAGCAGCAGCAGCAGCAGCAGCAGGGTTACTAGACACATTAATCAAACACATAATTCTAGGTACAGTACAAATTATTTAAGCAAAATCACACTACATACCTGGCCACTTTGTTCTCGAAACTGACATCGTTAAAAATAAAACAGCAGCAAAGAAGCTATGTATTTACCTAGTACGAAATATTACCCAATGAATTTATTTGGATAGTGGCTAAAAAGACATAGTCAGAAACATGAAATGCAAATTTTTACTTGGGAATTTAGAGGTCCAAACCATGTCAGGAACTTTTAGTTCTTTAATTCGGTGATCTCCTAATTGGATTTTATTTTTATTCTTTCGCTTAGAAAAGAAAACAGAACAAGCTTCCTGGAATTGTGTTAAGACAGAACTTAGCAAGCGGATGTGGAAAACTGATTCTGTGGACAAAGTAAATGTTGGTATAACACTTTGGTGATGATAGCAGGGAAATTAGATAAAAGAGCATTGAGAAAATCTGACAAGTAGGCTCACTCTCTTTCAATATCAAATAATCTTTTGACCTCTGGGCACTGGGATTATTAAAGTTAAAAAGTAACATGGTGAGAAGATAAATCTTGCCTGAGCTACAGATGTGGCTGGCACAACAATCTGAAATCATAGAATTGTGAATTGGTTAGGATTCTGGATACACAGGGGATTTCTTTGAAAATGATCTAAACTAGCAGCTGATTGGGAAGAACATGCTGATATTTTTTTCAAAGCTTCCTACTAACCAAGTAGGATGCTGTAAAAAGTGTGGTAACCCCTACGAGGAAAAAGCAATCTTTCCCAGCCTGGTTCGTGTTTCTTCCCCGAAATACAGGTCTATTTTTGAATACTGCCATGAATAGAGTTCTTCCCTTCAGAAGAGTTAAGTGCTATGCGGTTCAGCATGTTCTGGTATAATGCCTTTCATTCAAAAGTTTCATAATCCACTTTACAGACAAAAGTAGATTAGGGAAATATGCTTGGTGAGAGTGACTTTCATATGGCAAGGTAAAAAACCACATGTGGAGTGGGAACAAAGGATGAAGGGCGAGGAAGCAAGAATTTGCATTAGCAAAGGGAAAGTAAATATGGTTTCACTGTAGTCAGACAAGAGGAGGATAAAAAGGAATTGCAAAGAGAATGAAAGGTCAGTGGGAGATATGAAGGAGAAGATCTTCAGAAAATGTTTTAAAAGATAGTCTCACATAGGTGATTTTTAGGTGAATATCTGAAACAAATCTCAGGGAAAAAAAGACTTTTTAATGTAAAGAGACATAAATCATATACTTTCCTTTGGAAGGAACCATAAAAATCATGAAGTCATAAAATTGTAGAAAGGAAAGTGATTTTAAGATCAATAACTTTGTTCTCTAAAGTAGAAAACTGAAGCTCAAAAAAAAAAAAGTTTTAACAAAATGCCTAAGAATACCTAGTAAGTGTCAATCCTTATATATACAGCTGGGTCTTCTGTCAACATGTCTAGTGATATTTTTCACAACACACCATCCTTTTGAATGGCAAATACACTTTTTAGTAATTAAAATATTTCAAAAAGAATATTCTAGCATGTATCATACTTAAGGACTTCCTTTATGATTAACCTAGAAGTAGCAGAGGAATGTAACTGCTGTTTAATGGGATTGTAAACAATGCAAGAGATTATTATTAATTTAAAGCATTTTTAGTTTGTGAATTTTCAGTTTTCTTGTATCCTTCTGTAAAGTAGTAATCAGCTAAATACTAGATTTGGTAGTATTTTTAATAGTGTAGATAAAATAACTAATGATATTGTCCATGCATACAATCTTAGAGCCAGTGAGGTTTTATAACATCTATATTAATATTTAGGTATTATTCTGGCTGAATAAAGTTGATATATCCTTAAGTTGAATAAAATTGGCATAGTCTTTAGTTCTTTAGGTCAGAAGTTACATGGACTTTTGAATAAAATTTGAGTGGAGCTGAAGCTTAAAACCTCCTTCTCCAGAATATAATTCGATTTTATAAACTGGTTTCAAACCAGTCAAAAAATCACAAAAACTCATCAACAGGAAAACAAAAAACAAATAGAAAAATAAAGTTGAGGCATACACTCCATCCAATAACAAAAATAGTAGGGAATTCAACATGGCTCTTTTTTTTTTTCTATTATTCATCTACAAACTCTCCCCTCCCCATCATTTTGCTGAAAAGAAACTCAAAAAAGTTCTAATTTTCATTAATATTTTGCAGTCTGTAGAAAAACAGGTGACTGGTAAGCAGGCAACCTGAAATAAAGATAGGGAAAATATCTGAGGACTAGCAAACCCTAGGGATCAGTGACTGCTACAGGATCCCAGTGGAGATGGGAGGAGCCATTAGGAGTTTGTCAATTCTTAATGCTACTCATTAAATTGTAGAGAATAGTATGTAGCACAGTGGCATCCCAGTGGCATCCCACACACATTCACAGATAGAATAAACCTCACATTAGTACAAAGGAACCTTTGTACAGGATTTTTAACAAAATTGCAGAAAAGAGAAGGAAATATGGGCCATCAAAAGAAGGCTGTATACAGCCTCATGTGAATTTATACTCCTGCCTCAAAACCTTTCTCTAACCACTTAAATTGCAAAAAAAAAAAAAATGCATATCCAGGTTAATTTCTTCAAAACTGTAGCTCATAAAAATGTAAGGACATTAACCTACTCTATGGGAAAACAATGAAAAATAACACAGGTAGGACTACGACAAGCATGAACCAGATGGAAAGAAACAGTGTGGAAGACATGTGAATATACCTAAGAAGGAAAGACGGAAGGAAGGAAGAAAGGAAGGAAGGAAGGGAGGGAGGGAGGGAAGAAGGAAGGAAGGGAGGGAGGGAGGGAAGGGAGGGAGGGAGGGAAGGAAGGAAGGGGGAAAGGAGGGAGGGGTGAAGGGGGGAAGGGGGGGAGATTGTATAGAAAATATTTCCAAAAACTGATTTTGGAAGCAAACTCAATCAAAGAAAAATTTTCAACAGTACTATTTATTACTTTTAAAACTTAATAAATGAGTTGAAGACAATAAGAACCCAGTAACAAAATCCAGAATTTGAATAAAATAGAAAGATTATAATTATGAAAATCAATTACAACAAAGCAACAGCATTACACAAATTTGTAAATTAGGGATGGCAGAGAACAGAAATACACAGTTGAACATTGCATATAATTGAAATGTATGAGAGAGATACAGATATAATGAAATAATTACAAGAAAAGTAGAGATATAGATAAATGACTAAGATAATTCATCCTAAGGAAAATTGGACCCTAACCCCATTATGAATTCTAGTAAATTGAACAACAAAAACACAAAAAAAGATTTGAAGCTTTAATAAAGGATTTTTTTCCTGAGATAAAAGGGAAACTGAAAAAGGTACATCACATTCTAAGAAAGATTAATTCAGAATAATCAATGCCAATTTACTCTCTTTTGAACTTCAAGTATGAAAACATAATTCTGTAAGCATTCAGGCAGATATAAAACATGTCACATACAAAAGTAAGAAAAAGGGTTAGCATCATACATTGGCACAATTATGTTCAGTGGCAGAAAAAAAAACACACTATTAAAAAAATCTTCAGAATTCCAAGGAAAAAAAACTTGTCACTTACCCATGCATCAATATATTATCAGTCAAGTATAAAAGAAAGAGGAAGATTTCTCACATATGAATGAACTCATGGAATATGGAATCCAGCAGCTCTTCTAAACACACTTCTTTTTTTAAAACAAGCTGACTGATGATGATACATACTCAATTAAAATTGAATTGATCGTTACAACTATAACTCTTTTATTTTATAACAATAAAGGAGGACTAGTTCAATATTCAGTACCAGAGAATAGCACCAAATTTTTATATCCAGCCAAATTTTTCAAGGATCAAAAAAATAAACAAAAATATCCAGTAAGCAAATCTCTTAGATTGCAGTACTTAAGAATCCTCAATGATAAAGACATTTAATAATATTTAAAGGTCCACCTTCTCCTTTGTGCCTAGTTAAGATGTTTATTAAATAGTCCTCAGACTGTGTGTGAATAAAGATGACCACCCCTTTAAAAACCTAAAATACAAAGAATTTGCCAATTAGATCTCAGAATAACATGTTAAAATTATATAGAAAGTCAAAGAAATAATTACCAGTCTTGGAGAAAAGCAAATGTGTATTTCTTAAGCTCATATCAACTTGGAACCATCAATCCTAGGAGTGTTCATTGACTATGGCACTGGTATTTTTGGAGAAAAAAGAAGTCTCTGAAATGTCCAGAAGTATTTTTGACGAAGAATACATATTTTCTTATTTTATATTAGTTTCTAAAAATGTAACTGTATTAGAGATATTTATCTGATTACAACCCAGCCACACAAAATTATTTAAAGGTGAAAGCTGTTTGGGTTTTCTCATCTTGTGTTGAACAGTGAATGAAATTTCACAGAAGTGTTCATGGCTTTAATCTTTAGGAACTCTGCAATTTCTACTGCTACTTCATACAGTCAGAGTATAAAACCACTTATTTGTGAACAAATGAACACTATATGTTGTGCACATGGTCTGTTTGCTTCTATAACATTATCAAGAGCTTATCAGACTCTTAATTTTCTTCTCTGTTCTATTCTTACCCTTTTATTTGCCCTAGGCAAAAATAATTATAATCCACCTTTAGGAGTCTCAAAAACTAAAGCATTGGCTACACCCACTCCATACCCAACTATCCTCAAGTCTCTTTCTACTTCATTATTCACCTAACCAGAATATGTCATTCCTATTACCAAAATGGTACACAACAATTTACTCACTGAAATTTTCTTTAAGTTAGTGATCTTCCCTATCTAGAGCTGTATATTCTCTTTATTTGCCATCCCAAATATGTATTCATTTGTTTCCACTTCACATAAAGCGTTTTATCTTATACGGTTAAATGTCTCAAGTATATGTTTAAAATAATTATCTTATTCTCCTATGGGCATTCAGTGACTTGGCTAATGGGGACATTTTTGTAACTTCTACACTTTTCACAATAGAAAAGCTCCTTCAAGTCCAGCCTGGACAACGAAGTGAGACCTCATTTCTACAAAAAGAAAAAAGCGGGGGAAGAGAAAATTATCTGGGCATGATGGCACACACCTTTAGCCCCATATACTCAGGAGGCTGAGGTGGGAGGATTGCTTGAGCCCAGGAAGCAGAGTTAGTAGTAAACCAAGATCATGTCACTGCACTCCACCCTGGGTGACAGAATGAGACTGTCTCAAAAAAAAAAAAAAAAAAGAAAAGAAAAAAAGAAAAAGAAAGTTTAGCACATAAAGTTTCTTTCAATTTTAATAATTATTTGGTAAGATGAAAATTATTAATAATACCACAGAGACTTCAATCTTATGTCTCCCCTTTAACTTTTGATCTATTTTTTTAAAAATGCAGAATATTAACTCACATGTCCTACTCCTCTAACTGTGTCAAAGTTTATGTGGTTCATTAATGTATTTCAAATATTTTAACAGAAGTAATGCAATACAAATACACCTTGTTGTTCTATTTCTATATTAACCAACCCCTTTTCTGCTCAGAAGTAACCATCATACGGATTTTCTATTTATCGTTTCCGGGTACACTCTTATCCACAGAATTGCATCACTAAACAAATGATTTTCTTTTCTACTTTAGGCTGTGCAACATCACATATAACCCTCTAAACTTGTTTCTTTGCATATAATTTTGTTTTATTATTTCTAGTTTAGTACATACAACTTTAGTTCATGTACTTTAAACTTGTGTATAACATTTTATTCTATAAACATAATACACTTCACTTTTTCATTTTCCTATTGATGAACACTTAAGTTTTCCCTATATTTTGTAGGGCTTACAATTTTATTATAATTGTATTATAATGAATGTTATCTCATTGTCTACTTGTCCCAGATTTAACTGGAAAGAGAATTTGGAGGTCAGATTGTATGTGTGCATTTAGTTTTTCTAGATATTAACCAAATTGCTATTCAACTTGATTATTTGAATCTTCACTCAGACAAGCGATGAATGACACTACTAAGTATTGCTAAGGCTTTTAATTTTTGCTTATATGTCTAAGGTCAGTTTTTTATTTTTATTAGAATTCCATAACTACTACTAACATTGACCACCTATAGACATTTGTGTGCTCCTGTTTTCTTTCTTTTTTGTTTGGTTTTGCCCTTTTTGTCAATTGCCTGCTACTTGTCTTTTATCTGTTAGTCAATAGAAAATCTCTTTAATCTCTGAAGAGTGTTTTTTATTTGTAAGCCATAGCAGCTATTGTAAGGATTCTATACTCACAGGCCCTCTCATTCATCTCTGCACACTGAAGTCAGCTTCCCTGGATGTTCTACTCACACAGAGTAACTCGAAGTGCCAGACTTGACGTCCCAGAAGCTAACCTCAACCAATGAGCATGGCTTTTTGGCAAATGAATATTCCACTCTATTTCCCCCTAAGTGGGATAGCTCTGACACGCGTTCCCACTGTCTCACGCAGGTCCCAAGCAGACTTATGTTCCAGATGCCTATGATGGTAACTGGCTTGATCACACCCAGTCTTCACTGGCTTTATCACCCTCCATCTCTTCACTTCCCAGCCCTTCTCATGGAGGTTTTCTGGACTGCCTTTAAAATAAATGTAAGTACCTCATACCAAAATTTTTGCCTCAGTTCAATTCTGTCATAGCTGAATGAAAACATATGCAGTTTGAAAAAAATTATAAAGAAAAAAACACAAGTCTGTGGCTTAGGGTTTTATTTTTTAGATACACTTTGTTTTAAAAAAAGAAAAGTCAGTGTTACTATTGGCTAAATTTATCAATGTTCTTCATGATTTTTCCTTTTATTTTTGAATCCTTTTCTAAAAATTCCTTCAATACCTTATCATTAGAAAGACATTCTTCTATATTTTCTTCTAAAATTTTTCCGTGCTTTTTATATATGCTTAATCCACCTGGAATTTATGTCTCTTCACGGTGTGAGATGAAGATCTGAAGTTCTTCATGTGAAGATGGAGAACAAATCAATGCGGCGCTATGTATTGAAGAGCCACTCTTTTCTAACCTATTATTAATGCCCTACGTTTTTCATATATGAAGTTTCCATATGCAAATCACACTTATGGGCACTTAATTCCGCTGAGACAGTTTTCTTTGCTGGGACTGATACAACACTCTCTTTATATCACAGCTTTGTAACGAGTTTTGTTACCTGATAGGGCAAGTCCTGTTTTATTTTAATAACTTTTCAAAAAATTTCAAGATATGTGATTTGATTTTTCACATTCATCTGTTTGTTTAATTTCAGTCTGTCCTCCATAAATTATTGCCTTCTTTAAAAAAGCTATTCTTTCACTCATTTGCTTGATACTAAATATAATTATTTAAAACATTATTTGAGGAGAATTTGTGATCGAAAGTGAAAGTTTTGTTTCTGAAACTAAATGCATTATTTTGGGCTTTCAATCTAATATTTTATCCATTAATCCATGCTATGCTTGAAGCAGACATGTGAACTCACTGTCTTCTGCTTTCCTTCTATAAAGTCAAAAGAAATGTAACTTAAAGCGCTATATGATATTCTAAAAAGGGTTTGCTTCTGCACTAGCCATACAAAGAAAACAGTCATTGTGCTTTCACTTTGGCTTTCCAAATTCAAGAGGCGCTTTTTGTAGGTTCCAATTTTATCAGAGGGTCTGGCCTATTGTAATTGTCCCCTAGAATATAAATAAAATAAACTTCTCCCAAGTCCATAAGTGGTGTCTCTGATTTCATATATATATTTCATATATATATTTAAGTCAATTAGCTAAAAATATAAATATTTTCAATGAAATACATTTGTTTACTCATAATTCTATTTTTATCAGCAAAAATTCTTGAGTTTGGGGGCAACAGGCAATTCTCTTCTTTCATGGGTAAAGAAGAAGAAAAGCAGCTACTGTTCATCTTAGCCCATTATAATATGCCACAATTTCAGTGTGTTAGGGGTTTCCAATCTAAAACTTTCTTACCTCCTGCCAGTTTTATTTACCAGAATAAAAGTCACATTGGTTTACTTCAGAATAGATTCGGTTTTATTTAGTTTTAATTTTTGTGTTTTAAAGTTCCTGAACTCATCATTATTCATGGTGTGAATAATCCCAATGCTAAACCGTAATTTAATTATCAGAAAATGACTTTGATTTTTCCATAAAGCATATATCTACAACTATAACTATGATTATCTTAACCTGTTCTCTTGTTCTAATTGGCATATTTAAAGAGATAAAGTCCAGGGCAAGTGAGCAATGTCTTCCCCACCCAGACTATTTTCTTAGAATAGAAACACATATTTTATTCCTCTTATGACAGGTACTACCATTCATTAATAACTGCACAAGGCCATAAAGAGTAGCCATAGAACGCCTTGTTTAAGTGTACTTTCCCTTATGTAATACTGCCTTACATTGCATAACTTCACCTGGGTGACATAACAAAGTTTGCAACACTTTTGATTGTTTCCATAAGGAATACATGTATATGTATATGTACACAGAGAGAGTATATATATGTTAGGCTTTATATACATCTGCACCTAAAAGTTATTTTTAGAAGGTCTATATCAACATATAAGAGAAGTGTCTTAAGAATCATCTGAGTCAGAGGGTAGAAGGTTGATCTGTTAGGAACTCTCTCTATGAATATCAGATGCATGTGCCTAGTGACTAATTTGTCTGTCATGAATTTCACATTTTTCTTAATAGTTCTCAAAATGATAAAATGTCTTTTGTTTACAACATGAATTTAATTTGATTCACCTTGGCAAATGGCCTGTTCAGGTAGTTAACATTTACAACTCTAGGCATCTTTACTCATTTATATCTTCTTAAAGATTAACTACCCTTTTAATGATACTTAATGTATAGAGACATAATTTTGCCAAAGAGACATACACAACTCACTTACACTGACTGGTATGCATGTAGACAGGTGGTTGTTGCTTTACACATCTTTAAAAATTTGAGAGATTTTTCTCTTCAGTTGGTAGAATTATTTATATTCTCTTTCAGTTCTTAAATTAGCAAGCCTTCAAAACCAAAAATGGGGTCGAAAAGAGGCATATCTTCTAGGCATCATTCTCTCAGCTCCTATGAAATCATGTTTGCAGCTCTCTTTGCCATATTGGTAGTGCTCTGTGCTGGATTAATTGCAGTATCCTGCCTGACAATCAAGGAATCCCAACGAGGTAAGTCACATGGAGTTGGCTCGTGAAGGTGCTCTCAGCTGAATGTACACACTTTAGTGTCAGTTATTCTGTAAGTCTATTTTATTCATTGCCAACTAAATGCATTATTTTGGGCTTTCAATCTAATATTTCAAATTAATCTTCATGACAAAATATTTATGTTGCCTTCATGTACTTCTCTGTAGTTCCCTTCAGAGAATATTAGGAAAATTAATTGGTATGTAATTTGAAACTTAATGCAGAATTTAAGCATGAGACTGAGTAGTTTTTAAAATAAATAATGTTAAATAAGTATCTTGGTTTCAACATATAATCAAGTAGATTTCATGGCCCCTGATTTTGTTTTGATATAATTTAAATCACAAACATATTAACATGTTGTTGAATATGTAAGTAGATAAACATGCAAAGTTAACAGAA
The DNA here is from genome assembly GCF_000001405.40 of Homo sapiens. Lineage (NCBI taxonomy): Eukaryota > Metazoa > Chordata > Mammalia > Primates > Hominidae > Homo > Homo sapiens. Next base: position 18,403,057 of record NC_000021.9, on the reverse strand, counting down.
AATATTGTTTATTTCTATCTTCATTCTCTTATCAGTCTAACCATTTTAATTCTACTAATATAAAATAACTTGGATATAAATGTAGACTTAAAAAGGTCACAAACTGAGTAGCAACTCCGATAAACAGAAAAAGCATAAGAAATGATAACTCTTAGTTAGAGCTAACTTTGTACCAACAGCTTTTAAAATACCTTCAAATGTATTGTGTAGCTACAACATATGAAAGCTTATTGGTATGCTCGTTTTACAGATGAGGGATCTGAGACAGAGACTAGAAGTAACTTGCTTAAGTTCACATTATTAGTGGGTAGCAGAAGTAAGATTCCAAACTAGACAATCCCGCTCTGGAACTTATAGTCCATCTTACCACTTATTCATTTATAGGGTAAATTTAAAAAATTGAAAGCATAGCAATAACCTACGTATTAACAGTTTATTTTCTCTTAAAAACAATTTTTTACATTTTTAAAATGATGAACTTTATATATATATATGTGCATATAAATTCTCTCTTTTTTTTTTTTTTTTTTGAGATAGAGTCTCGCTCTGTCGCCAGGCTGGAGTGCAGTGGCACGATCTCGGCTCACTGCAACCTCCACCTCCTGGGTTCAAGTGATTCTCCTGCCTCAGCCTTGCTAGTAGCTGGGACTACAGGTGCGCGCCATCACGCCCAGCTAATTTTTGTATTTTTAGTAGCGGTGGGGTTTCACCATGTTGGCCAGGATGGTCTCAGTCTCTTGACCTCGTATCTGCCCACCTCGGCCTCCCCAAATGCTGGGATTACAGGCATGAGCCACCGTATCTTTCCATTGTGAGTGATTTTAGTTTTACCTATTAAATTCACAATTGTTGGGTTAGCTATTTTATTCTAGTAAATAAGTAAGTTTAAATTAGAATGTAATGCACATGCCATAGTTTTATTAAATAATTTTAGTATAATTCCTGGTCTATTTAAAAACTATAGACATACACACGGGCTATATTTTAAAGGGAAAGAAAGTGTGGATATTTTATAAAATTATACAAAGTACTAAAATACAATACAGATTGAATTAAACTTTTAGAAAAATGGCTGTTTTGGTCTTATTTAATTGCTGTGAATAACTTGAAGGATCTATAAGCATTTGAAAGTCCATTGGAATCCCTGTTGTTCAATAAACATACAAAGGTTAGTTATTTTACAAGTGAAAGAGAAAATAAATATTTATAAGTGATAATACTGTTTAACAGTGAACAGCTAAATATAAAAAGGGATTCGAGTTAATGCTTTACCAATACATCAGAGATCATAATGCATACTGCTATTTTTTTCTTTTTAAACTATTATTTTAGATTCAGGGGGCACATGTGCAGGCTTGTTACCTGGGTATATTGCATATATTGAGGTTTGGGGTATGAATGATCCCATCACCCAGGTACTGAGCATAGTACCCAGAAGTTAGTTTGTCAACCCTTGCCCCTCTCCCACTTTCCCCTTCTGGTAGTCCCCAGTGTCTATTGTTGCCATCTTTATGTCCACGAGTGCCTGCTGTTTAGCTCCCACTTATGCTTGAGAACATGTGGTATTTGTTTTTTCTGTTCCTGCATTAATTTGCTTAGTATAATGGCCTCTAGCTGCATCCATGTTGCTGCAAAGGACATGAGTTCATTCTTTTTTATGGCTGCATCTTATTCCACAATGCATATGTACCACATTTTCTTTATCCAGTACACCGTTGATGGGCACCTAGGTTGAGTCCATAACTTTGCTATTGTAAACTGTGCTGTGATGAACATGTGAGTGCGTGTGTCTGTTTGGTAGAATGACTTATTTTCTTTTTGATATATACCCAGTAATGGGATTGCTGGGTCAAATGGTATTTCTGTTTTAGGTTCTTTGAGAAATAGCCAAACTGCTTTGCACAGTGGCTGAACTAATTTACATTTCTATCAACGGTGTATAAGTATTCCTGTTTCTCTGCAGCCTTGTCAACATCTGTTGTTTTTCGATTCTTTGGTAATAGCCATTCCGACCAGCATGAGATGGTATCTCATTGTGGTTTTGATTTACATTTCTCTGGTGATTAGTGGTGATGAGTATTTTTTAAAATATTTGTTAGCCACTTGTATGTCTTTTTTTGACAAGTGCTTGTTCATGTTTTTTGCCCAGTTTTTAATGGGTTTATTTGTTTTTTGTTTGTGCAATTATTTAAGATCCTTATAGATTCGGGATATTAGACCTTGTCAGATGCATCGTTTGCAAGTATTTCCTCCCATTCCATAGGTTGTATGTTGACTTTCTTGATAGTTTATTTTGCAGTGCAGAAGATCTTTAGTTTAATTAGGCCCCACTTGCCAATTTTTGGTTTCGTTGCAACTGCTTTTGAGGATTTAGTCCTAAATTCTCTGCCAAGCATAATTTCCAGAATGATGTTTTCCTTTTTTCCTCTAGGATTGTTATAGTTTGAGGTCTTAATTTAAATCTTTAATTTATCTTGCGTTAATTTTTGTATATGGTGAAAGGTAGGGATCCAGTTTCATTCTTCTGCATATGGCTAGCCAGATATACCAGCACTGTTTATTAACTAGCAAGTCCTTTCCTCATTGTTTATTTTCTGTCAACTTTGTTAAAGATTAGATGGCTGTAGATGTGTAGCTTTACTTTACTGTGGGTTCTCTATTCTGTTTCATTGGACTATGTATCTGTATTTGTACTACTACCATGCTGTTTTAGTTACTATAGCTTTATAGTATAGCATGAAGTTGCGTAATGTGATGCCTCTGACTTTGTTCTTTTAGCTTAGGATTGCTTTGACTATTCTGGCTCTTTCCTAGTTCCATATGAATTTTTGAATCATTTTTTATGATTTTATGAAAAATGAGTTTGATAGTTTAATAGGAATAGCATTGAATCTGTAGGTTGCTTTGGGCAGTATGGTCATTTTAACAACATTGATTCTTCCAATCCATTAGCATGGAATTATTTCCATTTGTTTGTGTTATCTGATTTTTATAGCAGTGTTTTGTAGTTATCCTTGTAGGTCTCTTTTATATCCTTGGTGAGAGATATTCCTAAGTATTTTATCTTTTGTATGGCTATTGACAATGGGATTAAATTCTTGATTTGGCTCTCAGCTTGAATGTATTTAGCGTATAGAAATGCAACTGACATTGTACATTTATTTTGTATCCTGAAACTTTGCTGAAGTCATTTATCAGTTTCAGGAGCCTTTTTGCAGAGTCTTTAGGGCTTTCAAAGCACATACTACTTTTAACATTTTTTATACTTTTTTTGACTTCACTTTAGACTTATTAAAAGTTGCAAAAATTGTACAGAGTTCTCATATAACCCAGCTTCCTTGGATGTTAATATTTCGTTTATCCACAGTACAATTGTCACAATCAAAAAATTAACATTTCTACAGTATTGTTAACTGAACCACATACTTTATTCAAATTTCACCAGTTTTTCCACTAATGCCCTTTACCAGCTTAAGATCCAATGCAGATTCCTATATAAGATTTAGTTATTACGCTTCCTTAGTCTCCTTTAATCTGTTGTAGTTCCTCAGTCCTTCTTTGTATTCTACATTTAAACATGCAAACTTCAATGTAATTTTGAGTATTTAAAATACAAATGAAATAGTATAAATAATATGTTACATCAATTATGCAATTAAAGCTATTTAGACTATATGCACACATACTGCCTGAATTATTATTTCTAATTATCCTCTTAATGGGATAGTTTGGTGTCAATGTATTATATAGAGATCCTGGGTTGTAGAGTCAGTCATTTCAATGACCAAATTCCAGATCTGTTGCCTAAGACCTTTACTACCTTGAGAAATTTTCTTAATCGTTCTAAACTCCAATTACCCTATCTCAGAAAAGAAGAAACTACGTCTTCTCGCACCAGATTATTGTGAGAATTATATGTCATTATTATTATATTTACTAATGAGTTCATTATTGTGAGTTTCAGTTGAAGCAATTCATTTTAAACATAAATCAGTGTCAATGAAAATATGCTGATAAAGGGATTATGTAGGACTTAATGACACATTTTATTATCCATGTTTATATTTAATTCGTTAACCTTCTTTTTTTACATTTTTTTTTCCTAGTGAGGTTATCTATTTTCTACAGCATTCTAAATAACGTCTTCAACAAAGACAGTCACCAGCTAATGGCACAAGGTCATGCATGCCATTTTTATAATTATTAGAATGAAAGAAGTAGCCTCAAAGTCATGTTTCAAAGTAACCAAAACACTGAAATCTTCACAGGAATTCATATGTCAAAACCCAGTGGTGTCCCTGGATGCTAGGTGTTCAAGAAGTATCTGAAAGCAACTACAAAACTTTTAATGGTTCACTTCTCACCATGTTTCCCTGAGTCACTTCCCATGATTGGTGGGAGTTCATCAGTCCGTGTATCTTCCAACAGGAATCTCAATAACAATAATAATGAAAATTTGGAAGCTTGGAGTGTGGGTTAGACTTCAAAGAAAAGAAAAAAAATGTTGAAAGAATGGAGAAAAGGTTTAGTTTCCAATCTTTTAAAACAATCAGACAGCTGGTGAAAGAAAGCAGCTGATTTTGAAACATGAGACTACAAAGAAAAAGCAAGAACTACAGAGCTAACACATCAGGCGAGAGCTTTACTTCTATGTCTTAACAGAATGTGCATATTTTCTCCTACTCATAATCCAAAATCTTAGTGTTTTTTCCTTATTAATTTATCTAGGTGCAGCACTTGGACAGAGTCATGAAGCCAGAGCGACATTTAAAATAACATCCGGAGTTACATATAATCCTAATTTGCAAGACAAACTCTCAGTGGATTTCAAAGTTCTTGCTTTTGACCTTCAGCAAATGGTAGGAGACTGACAGCTGGTTTCAAATTTTATAACACAGTTTAACTACTTGCTGAAAACACCATTTTCTCACTGTGAAACAACTAGAGAATAAATGTAATATGCCCAAGATACTCAAATGTATGAGCCCCATTACTATGGAGAAAATTGCCCCAACTCTAAGCAGAACATAAAGATTGCTTTGTATAAATTTTTCAACAAAAGTTAAAATCCTAAATTTAGTATACTCATTCAATCTTTTATATTTTTCTAGATAGATGAGATCTTTCTATCAAGCAATCTGAAGAATGAATATAAGAACTCAAGAGTTTTACAATTTGAGTGAGTATAGCTCAAAAATTTTCTACTGATGGAAAATTAGTGATTTTTTTGCTAATATTTGTAAAATAGCATCACTATATATAGGAAAAGAGGAATATTTAAATTTTTCAACATTTTTTGAGGATTAAGCAAAGTGGCACAGCATAAACTTTCATTTTAGTAGCGAATAATAATAACTTTTGATAATTGATCTTATGTTAATATGTTTCTCTCTACTGACAATAAAATCTTGCAGAGACACATGGAGAGGGTACAGATGCAGATATAGTATTTGACTTGCTACGAACATTTGGAAAAAGCTTGCTTGTCATTTAATAAAATAATATTGTATCACCCTGCTTCATTTATACTATAAATACCTAGAGAGAAGGTACTTGTCCACTGTGTACCCAGAGGGCATAAGATTGCTTAAAGTAAAGTAGGTGCTCAATAAACTAACGAATCTTAGATTAATAATGTAATGATGTAATTCCACACTATGAATGTTTGAATCTGTAACATATGGAAATTATGGAAATTTTGTAAGAACTATTTTCTTATTTCTATTGTAAGATCTATTTTCTAAACAATTAGCTTTTGTATTTGTCACAAAAAAAATTGACCTGTGTGTTGTTGTTGCTGTTGTATCATGAAGGAGAGTTTGACAATCTTGCTGACATCTCTCTGAACCTAAAGTTTTCTAAACTACAAACTACCAAAGGGCTTTTGGAATAGAGATACAAGTCAACTGGAAAGTTAAAAATACATGTAATATAAAAGAAAGAAAAATGTAAATTTATAAAATTAAGTTAAAAATGAAAAAGACAAAGGGAGAGGATTCCAAGAAAAAAAAGTTAAAGACTGATCAAGACCTGGGGTAGCTGAAAAAGGGAAGAGAGCAAAGCCTTCACAATAATTCACATTTAAAAAGCACAGAAAGAAAGACAATATTCCAGAAGGTTAGGTAAAACAGAGATCCTATGACAAGCTGGCAAAAAGGAAACTCACTGGTTGAATCTCTATTTCAGGCCAAGCCTTTTGTGACTTAAGATAGATAGATAGATAGATAGATAGATAGATAGATAGATAGACAGACAGACAGACAGATTTTTTTTTTTTTTTTTTTGAGACAGAGTCTCATTCTGTCGCCCAGGCTGGAGTGCACTGGCGTGATCTCAGCTCACTGCAAGCTCCACCTCCCAGGTTCACGCCATTCTCCTGCCTCAGCCTCCCGAGTAGCTGAGACTACAGGTGCCCGCCACCATACCCGGCTAATTTTTTGTATTTTTAGTAGAGATGCTGTTTCACCATGTTAGCCAAGATCGTCTCGATCTCCTGACCTCGTGATCCGCCCACCTCGGCCTCCCAAAGTGCTGGGATTACAGGCATGAGCCACAGCGCCCAGCTGTAAGATGTATTTTCTTATTCACTCCTCACCAAATGACTGTGAGGGAGATGCAATTATTCCGCCTTAAATAACTACGACACCGAGGCTTGGAAAAATAACTTGCCTCAAATCACACAGCTAGTAGGTGTTGGGGAATGTGTTTGAATGGAGTTTTGTTGTTCTGATTCAGCATGTGCTCTCCTTTCATATGAGAATGTTAGAGTAGCAGAGCCCACAGAATATAACAACTTCTAGGGAGGGTGGGTTTGCTTTTCACCATAGATGGGTGGGCTCAAGATGCAATGGAAAAGGAAACTTCTCTTTTTCTACAGAAATAAGAAGGATGACAGTAAATCTGGAACAGGAAGGAGAACAATGAAAGCCAAGATGAGCATGGAGAAAAACATCTAAGTAAGCTAGACTGATGGCAATATTCTTTAGTTACAGCTGGCCATCTTCCATACTCCTTTACCGTGAGAGTAAGTAAGTCTTAGTTTTTAAGCAGCTGCTGCACTGCAGTTGAAGGTAGCTGAAAGCTCCAAGCCCACAATTTGAAATGAAAGCACAATGTACAAGCTCAATAGCAGAGGACAACAGCCTCCCTATGGGTTTTCAAGACACTGCGACCTATAAAACCTGAATATTAATTTTACTTTTATTCATGTATTATTTATTATATTCCAGGGCCTTAAAATTACATATTTTTTGTGCTTTTGTGCAGCTGACAGTCTGATAGAAATTATTACAGTTTTCTTGTCTACATTGTCCATTGATATTTAAGGTTTATGTCTTCAATTAGATAAATAATAAGGCATCATAATAACACTAAAAAAATTCAGATGTTTTACATTTTGCTCCCTAAAAATTACATTATTTTTGAAAAGGTTAAGATACTTTAGCCCTGTTTTTAAAAAGAAAAATGGCAAGTATATATGGACTGATGGTGTTCCTGGTGTACCAATTCATTTAGCAAACTAAATACTCAGTACTAATCAGAAGATCACCACAAGCTTGTCAATTTGTTCTTCTGTGTACCATTACTACCATGTACTTGTGTATGTCACCTAATGCTTTCCTCACTAGGGGTTTGTGAAGTTTTAGATTATCAGTCTGTCGTGAATTATTAATGTGTGGTTCAGAGAGGCTAGGTTACTTTTCCAATGTCAAGCTGCCATTAGTCTGTCTGTCTAAAACATTCATGCTGTCCTCTACTACTAATTTTTATATTAAAAAAGTACTCAAGACAGAGTGAAGCAATGAAAGTTAAGGCTAAAGAGTCACATATTCAGGAATTGTCCAAGCAGTGTTTGCTGTATGTTTCTCAGTGGCTACTCTCCCTCTGGGTGCCTTATTTTGTTCATTTGCTAAATGGCCATAGACCTTTTTCCACGCAAGCCCTGTGCTTCCACCTTTAGTTTTCCTTGTTCTCCACTCTGATTTTTAAAGTTGTGTAGGTTAAAGTGTTCGTTAACTTTATGGGAAAACTGATGGGATAATCTATACTCAGACTAGGGTAAACAGTACCTAAGTTTACAATCTTTTTATTCTCTTATTTTTTTCCTTTTTAATGGTTATGCATGTGTTACTCTTCTATGAATTGACAATGCTAGTTGCTGGAGTTAGCATATAGAAAAATACTCAGAAAGTCAGAGTGGAATGAGTTAAACGAGTGGAGAAATAGCCTTTATAAGAATCCGTCACTGGATTTAAAGGTGTACTGATCTATCCAGAAGTCTATAAGGGGCTTTTTTATCATTTAGATTGTAATACTGTTATAATTTAGTAGGAATGTGTTTTTTTTTCATAATGACCTCATTGTTGTTTTAGTAAAAACTGGAGGCAAGCTGAAAATGAGGTAGAGTCTACAGTATCTCTGTACAGTTTATATGGTTCATGGATACATCAAAAGTATCAAAAGTAAGTGTGTGTTTGTGTGTATGTGAGAGAAAGAGAGAGAGACAGAGAGAGAGAGAGAGAGACAGAGAGAGAGAGAGAGAATGCCATACATGAAGATTTAAACATCTGTTTGGTTAGAATGAAAATTATCATTATTTACTTTTTCTTTACCTCCTCCTGAAAAATGACACATTTTTTTTGTTTCATCTGAGGCTTTTAAAATCAGTTCTTCAAATGTGATATGATAGAAACTAAGTTACCTTGTAGTTTCTGTAATCTTTAGAAAGCAGAATTTTCCTTATCTTCCCAAAATAATCTTCAGTTTATTCAGGGTTAATATCCCTAAAATTCTATGAGAGATACAGCATGCTTTGAAATACAACATAAATTGCTAACTTAAAATCCCCCTATAGTAGAATAAAGATAAAGATGAAAATATAAAATATTGTTCTGTGCTTTGCACAAGGGGAGGGTAGAATCACTAAAAAGAGTACTTCAAAAAATAGGCAAAACATATATTAAAGAGATACTGGAAAACTGAAGCAAATATTTTTATCCTGTCAACATAGAGTTAAATAAATGTTCAGGTAGTCATCCATTCATTTGCTCGCTTATGTACTTAACACACATATAGGGCTTACTTAGAAACAGACATTTAACTAGGTTCTGAGAATACAGATATTAAGAGAAAGTCTTTTATTAAAGAGCTCATTCAACCACTATCATTAAGACATTTTAATTTGTATTGGTATATTTAGAACTGGTTTTCTCTCTCTCTGTTTTGATAGGCTATTTGGTTTTTAATTGCCTACTTACAAAGGGCACCTTTGGGTTAAGTGACTAATTTATAACAGACATTAATAATAAATTAGGCATGAGTAATTTATGTGATGATTAAGGTATAAAATCTCTGCTGTGAGGAATTTAAAATATTGTTGGGGAGATATGACAGAGTCAAGAAATTTTTACTAACGTTATTAGGCATTACATGTCAGGTTGTATATACAGTTTGTGTGATAGTGCAAGAAAAATTTTTTTCTTTTCTTGTGTAGTCTAGCCTTTGCTTGACTGCTTTGAGCTGGAATGCTCACAGACTAAAGAAAATTCATTCTAGTCCAACAAAAGAAAGAGATTCATACTGCTTAAATTTAATTTTCTCATGTAATGTGACTAACAAAAATTAGGAATCTTTTTTCAATATTGCTGTGGACATCCTACAAACAGCCTATTAAATAATCATGATTATTAGTATATTTTGTTTATTATTTATAACTTTAGGTACTAGAACATGCTTTATTATTATCACCAAATTATTTCTTTCTTTGATTTTCATCCACTGATCCTGCTTGTAGTTACTAGTTTTTTAGAGAATAAATGTCTCTCCATCTTCATATCTCACTCCTTAAATACCTAAAGACTTTTTCTAGTGCTATCATACTAAATGCAGGTGTACTGCATGGCTCTGTCACCAAAACACACTCTGGCCTTCTGTTTCTCCTCCCCAACTCGACACAGCGTTCTGCCTCAGTCCTGCCACATCATCTGTACACCCTCAAAACCATCCTGCTTTCTCTCTTTTATCTATGTTTTCGTTACTGGGTGATATGGCTCTGTGTCCCCACTCAAATCTCATCTCAAGTTGTAATCCCGACATGTTGAGGGAGGGACCTGGTGGGAGGTGATTGGAATGGGGGCAGTTTCTCCCATGCTGTTCTTATGATAGTGGATGAGTTCTCATGAGATCTGATGGTTTTATAAGTGGCAGTTTCCCCCACTCTCTCTCTTTCCTGCCACCTTGTGAAGAAAGTACTTGCTGCTTCTTCACCTTCTGCCATGATTTTAAGTTTCCTGAGGCCTCCCCAGTCATGCAGAACTGTGAGTCAATTAAACTTCCTTCCTTTATAAATTACCCAGTTTTGAGTAGTATCTTTATAGCAGTGTGAAAAAAGACTAATTGGCACCAGGAATGGGGTACTGCCATAAAGATAACCGAAAATGTGGAAGTGACATTGGAACTGGGTAACAGGCAGAGGTTGGAGTAGTTTGGAGAACTCAGAAGAAGACGGGAAGGAGTCTTCTCAGAGACTTGTTGAATGGATTTGACCAAAATGCTAAGAGTGATATGGACGATGAAGTCCAGGTTGAGGTGATCTCAGATGGAGATCAGGAACTTATTGGAAAAGGGACCAAAGGTTATTCTTACTATCCTTTAACAAAGAGATTGGCAGCATTTTGCCCCTGCCCTAGAGATCTGTGGAATTTTGAACTTGAGAGTGATGATTTAAGGTATCTGGCAGGAGAAATTTCTAAACAGCAAAATTTTCAACAGGTGACAGAGTATAAAAGTTTGGAAAATTTGCAGGCTAACTATGTGGCAGAAAGAAAAACCCATTTCCTGGGGACAAATTGAAGCCAGCTACAGAAATTTGCATAAGTAATGAGGAGTCAAATGTTATTCGCCAAGACAATGGTGAACATGTCTCCGTGGCATGTCAGAGTTCTTCATAGCAGGACCTCCCATCACAGGCCTGGAGGCCTAGGAGGAAAAATGGTTTGTGGATGGGGCCCAGGACCCCACTGCTGTGTACAGCCTTGGGGCTTGGTGCCCTGCGTCCCAGCCACTCCAGCTCCAGCCATGGCTAAAAGGGCCCAGTGTACAGGTCAGGCCATTGCTTAAGAGGGTGCAAGCTCTACACTTTGGCAACTTCCACGTGGGCCCGCAGGTACACAGAAGTCAAGAATTAAAGTTTGGGAACCTCTGCCTAGATTTCAGAGGATGTATGGAAACATCTGGATATGTAGGCAGAAGTCTGCTGCAGGGGCAGAACTCTCATGGAGAACTTCTGCTAGAGCAGTGCAGAAGGAAAATGTGTGGCTAGAGCCCCCACACAGAGTCCCCCCTGGGCTGACTCTGGAGAAGACAGCCACCGTCCTCCAGACCACAGAATGGTAGATCCACTGACATCTCACACCGTGTGCCTGGAAAAACTGCAGACACTCAATGCCAGCTGTGAAAGCAGCCAGTGGGGGTAGGGGAGCTGTATGCTTCAAAGCCACTAGGGTGGAGCTGCCCAAGACCGTCAGAGCCCACCCCTTGCATTAGCATGCCGTGGATGTGAGACATGGAGTCAAAGGAGATTATTTTGGAGCTTTAAGATTTAATGACTGCCCTGCTGGATTTTGGAGTTGCATGGGGCCTGTAGCCCCTTTGTTTTGTCCAAATTTTTTTCCATTTGGAATGGTAGCATTTATTCAGTGCTTGTAACCCCTTTGTATCTTGGAAGTAATGAACTTGTTTTTGATTTTACATACTCATAGGCAGAAGAGCCTTGTCTAGTCTCAGATGAGACTTTGGACTTTGGACTTTTGAATTAATGCTGAAATGAGTTAAAACTTTGAGGGACTGTTGGGAAGGCATGATTGTGTTCTGAAATGTGAGGGCATGAGATTTGGGAGGGGCCTGAAGCAGAATGATATGGTTTGGCTCTGTGTCCCCACACAAATCTCATCTCCAATTGTAATCCCTACATGTTGAGAGAGGTACCTGGTGTGAGGTGATTGGGTCATGAAGGCAGTTTCCCACATGCTGTTCTCATGACAGTGTGTGAGTTCTTATGAGATCTGATGGTTTCATAAGGGCTTCTTCCCCCTTCACACTCTTCTCTCTTCTGCCACCACGTGAAGAAGGTCCTTGCTTCCCCTTAGGCTTCCAACCTGATTGTAAGTTTCTGAGGCCTCCCCAGCCATGTGGAACTGTAAGCCAATTAAACTTCTTTATTTTATAAATTACCCAGTCTCAGGTATTTCTTTATAGTAGTGTAAAAATGGATTAATATACTGGCACTCTCATTTTCTCTCCTTATTATTGCATCCTTTCTTATATTCCATCCTCACAACCCATTAAGAACCAGTCCATGTCGCCTTCCCTGGGACACTTAACTGACACTCTAGTCTGGTTTAGGTACTTCTTCCCCCTGTGCATTTAGCACCATGTATCTACATTTAAAGTACAATTCTCACACTATAGCATAATTGTTGATTTGTCTATCTCCTTACTAGGCTAGGAGCTCTCTTAGGGCAGAGAATGTATCTTTGATACCTGTATTTTCAGAACCTAACTAATGCCCACCACAGCATATGTATTCTATAAAGTCTTAGCAAATGAATGAAAAATTATTTAGCAGCTGTTATTAACATAATGAATATTATGTTAGAGGTTATCATTTTTTCATTTAATCTTCATCCTATTAATATTATGTTAGAGATTAGCATCTTTTCATTTAATCTTCATCCTATGGCTATAAAAATAATTATACAGTTACCATGGCTTTAACTTTTTGTTACAAGAAATAAACTAACTTGAGAATTCTTAAATAGTTCTCCAAAAGCACAGGCATGTTACTGTGTGAAGGAGTCCCTTGACTTGAAAGGGTGGGTCATGGAAAGTTTTATGAAAAATGTGGGACAGTGTCTGAAAGGCATAGATAGGGACTACTTGAGTGGAGAAGACAAGGAAAGCCATTTCGGATAAAGATAAAAAATAACGTAGCATGTTGAGGATATAATAGAGCTGGCATTGAGGGCTACTAAGAAGATGTTGAGACATCATGAATGTGCTAAATATAAACCTAAGAGTGTGACAATGAACTCGTGCCAAATTAAAGTCATAGGGGACTGGTAGGACATTGGAGATACACAGTGAGCCTGACTTTATAGAAAGGTTAGTCTCACATCTCAGGTAAGGAACAACTGAATCAAAGATCCTAAGGACAAAATAATTGGTATCGGATCATCACAAAAGTTCTGACATCAGTAACAGAATCCTTAGTTTTAGTGACCAAAAAGAGGTAGGAAAGTCAAATCAAAGGTAAAAGAGATTATGCTTAGAAAAACAATGGCAGAAGGTCAAATGAAGCTTATTTAATGGTCAAAAGAAACCTCAGTGCCTTCCCATCTCCTGTTGGAACAAAACCTGATGAACATAGACTTTTATATATAGGCCTGGTAGGCTATGAAAATCGCAGAATTTTTCTTTGATATTTAGTAAATAATCTTTTATTTCTCTAAGTGGCAAATTCACTATATTTAAAATTGTAAATTATTTGAGTTTAGGAATTATTTCTTTCCCCTCTTTATAACTACCAAGGAGGCCAGTACAGTGCTCAAACCTTGATAAATATTTTATAATGATTCTCAAATAATATACTTCATCAGTGTAGAGATGGTTTCCCCTGGTGGTAGCTGTGCTACTATTAAATCAGAGGTGAATTTTTAATCTTATCAAATACAGACACAATGAAAGCTTTATCTTTTTATGCAAAAAGGTTTAATCTTCCTCCCTTCCTTCCTTCCTTCCTTAATTTACTTCTTCCTTCCCTCCCTGCCTCCCTCCCTCCTTTCTTTTTTTCTTTTCTTTCTTTCCTTCCTTCCTTCTTTCCTTTCTTTCTTTTTCTTTTCTTTCTCTTGTCTTTCTTTCCTTCCTTCCATCTTTCTTTCTTTCTCTTTCTCTTTTTTTCTTCTTTCTTTCTTTCTCTTGTCTTTATTTTCTTTATTTCCTTATCTATCATATCATTCTTTACTCTATTGCATATTTCTGACATCTTAATCCCAGGAGCTGCCCCTACACCCATCTGCTGTCTTCCTTCCTACCTACAGTACATAGTCCCTTCCCTCTGTTTCCAGAGTGTATAATCTCTTAGCCTCTTTCATTGGTCCAATATCAGAACTAAAAGGAGAAACACAGACATGCAGGAAAGGTTAATTATTTTAACTTTTTCAAAATGCTAATAAAAATGCGTACTTAGTCTTTATTTTGTGAGTGTAACATTACACGGGAAAGTTTTATTTTTTGTTGGTTCACTTTAAGCTATTTGTCTACGTTGTGGTGAATGAAACGAATTTCTCTTTTCTAGTTTTGTAGAGGATTGAGTCTGGAGAGCTGCAGTAAAGCATCAATTCAGATTTATTTCCAAAAGGCTTTAACCTCCTTTAAGGAGAGGTATTCTAGGTGCCTGCCTCTCTTGAATTGGGCTTTGCCTAGTGAAATCCATACAGAAAGCACAGTGTCCATTGCAGAGTTTATCAGAATAGTTTTGCTAATGGAACCCTTTATGTTTACATGTCTACAACATGCTGGATAACTTCACTTACATTAGGTTGGGAAAATTTGATGAATATAGACTTTTATATATAGGCCTGGTGGGCTACCAAAATCCCAAATTTTTCTGATATTTAGTAAGTAATCTTTTATTTCTCTAGATGACAAAATCACCACATATGAAACTGTAAATTATTTGAGCTTAGGGATTGTTTGTTTCCCCTCCTTTATAGCTACCTAGGAGGCCAGTACCGTGCCCAGACCTTGACAAATATTTTATAATGACTGTCAAATAATGTACTTCATCAGTGTAGAGATACTTCCCTCTGGTGGTAGCTGAGCTGCCATTAAATCAGAAGTGAGTTTTTGAAAAGTGCAATGCAAAGGAATTTCATAAAAACGTCTGTTAGATAAATCACATTGTTGCTCTTTTGGGAGACCTAGAAGAGGAGGATAGAAAAAGGAAATCAGGAGCAGGAGAGAGAGTAACAATGAAACACTTAGGATTACTTTACCTTAAATAATCACCTACAAATATACGTATTCCACTCATAGGAAACAGTAGAAGACTCATTATTAACTTTATAAATTATTTTAATTTAAAAATCCAATTGATAAAATCAGAAACAGAAATAACTGAGTTCTCACCTAACAGTACCTACGTCAACTGTATATCTATAAATCCTTTAAAATACCTATTTACATTTTTGTTATAGATTTTAATTAAACTCACACCATGTATGTGTATATGATCAAATTCTAGCACTCCAATACTAGATTTAGTCATTGAACTATTTTCTCTTACTTTCACAATATTTAATGCCAATCTCTGCCACTTACTAACTTGTATGATTTTGGGGTGTGTGTGCGTGTGTGTGTGTGTGTGTGTGTGTGTGTGTGTGTGTGTATGTGTGTGTGTGTGTAGCTACTCTTCAGGGTAAGCCAATGGTTTGGTCTATTTGGGGAATACTTTCATTCATTCTGCTTTGTGGAAAGTGCTTTCACCAGAACATTTAGCATTTGATTATTTTAATAAAGAACTATTTACCCTTTGTGGCAACATGCAGTTTCTTTTGCCCTTTGAGCACAGATAAGCCACAAAGTTAGGAAAGGAAAGACTTGTTTACTCAGCAGCCCTAAAGGTTACCAATATCATTAAGGAATATATGAGATAACTAATATTTTGCTCTATTATACTCAAGCTTTCTGTACCATAGTAGGATTTCTCTGCCTTAGAGAAAAACTGTTATTTTACAAGGACTAGTACTTTGAAATGAAAATGGTCATTTTTTTTAACCTAAAGGAAGAATTCTCATTTCATTACTAAACAACTAAACAGCTTCAGCTTTCTTATGAGGTGAATCACAAATGATTATTACAACTTTTTTTATTTCTGCTTTATCTCTCTCATCTCAACATTTCCACTAAATAAGAAAATAAATTTTAAAGGCTACAACTTTATGTGGATATAGGATATGCAACTCCTATCCTTGCAAAGTATAAATTATTAAATGTAATGCATAATTCACAACTAAGAGAACACACCTTTCAAAGAAAAATGTTTTATGCCTGAGGATGAACTAATCCAGTTACTTTCAACTCAGTGAAGCAAAATTCCAGATTTGTATTTTCTTTGCCCAAAATACCTTACCTCTTTTACTCCGTAACTCAAATAAAATGAAAGCAAGTGTTCAGTCAAATTGAACCGGTGAAATTACATAGAAATAAAACAGATTTAATCAGAATTTAAGTTTTCTGGTCTGCAACCAAAGATAAAATGAAGATGGGGGATTGGAGAGAGAGAAAATAATTAATATTGTTCACTCTCACTTCATTTTAACCACAATCAATCCTGTCCATTTAACTATCTTGGAAAGTGAGGTTGATTAGGAAGACATAATGTAAAAAAGAAAAAGGAGTAGGAGGAAAAGAAGAAGGAAGAAGAGGAGGAGGAAAAAAGGCAGTGCTCTATCTTTTGGAAGTATTGCAGAAATAAATATCTTTCCCTTCTCCCCAAAAATATCCAACCAGCTGTTTTTTTCATCTATTTGTATATAAAATTCTGCTAACTATGCAACAGAATAAAATACCTGGACATGCCTTTAGGGTAAATGTGCTGTAGCCTCTTTCCTGCTGATAAATAGTTCAGAATAGAATTGATAAAAGTGTTGTTGAGTGTGGGGGGATGGGAATTATATAAAAACACATTAGGGAAACAGATTCCCTAGGTTTCTTTTCTATCTCTGACACTAATAAGCTGTATAACCCTAGGCAAAGTTACCTACATTACTCTAAGCCTCAGTGTCCTCATTGCTAAAATGAAAATATTGGCCAATATTCAGCTTCAAAAATAGAGTAATTACCTTCTGTTCATATAAACATGGAATAGGGGCTGACAGTTGTATGCTTGTTAGAATTTTCAAAATTCCCATTAACAGAATGCATGACTAAAAGTGCCTTAAAAATAAGTGTTTATTGGCCAGGCATGGTGGCTCATGCCTGTAATCCCAGCACTTTGGGAGGCCAAGGCAGGAGGATCATGAGGTCAGGAGATCGAGACCATCCTGGCCAACATGGTGAAACCCCATCTCTATTAAAAATACAAAAAATTAGGTGGGCATGGTGTCGGGCACCTGTAGTCCCAGCTACTCAGGAGGCTAAGGCAGGAGAATTGCTTGAACCCGGGAGGCGAAGGTTGCAGTGAGCGGAGATCGTGCCGCTGCACTCCAGCCTGGCCCCAGAGAGAGACTCCATCTCAAAAAAAAAAAGTGTTTATTATCTGACATCACAAGAAATCTAGAGGTTTTAAAGGAAGTTAATTCAGTAGTACAATGACAATGACATAGTCAGGGCTTTGGGTACTTTCCTTCTTCTGCTACGCTATCTTTGGCTTATCAACCATGGCCTCACTCATGGTCTCAAGGTAGATGTGGCAGTTTCAGCAAATTATGTAGACCTAATAATGTTCAACAACGAAGGGTGGTAATCTACTGTGAGCTGTTCTTTTATTAGATATAAAAAAGTTTTCCAGAAGTTTCCATTAGTCTTCCCTTCAGATTCTGTTGACCAAGGCCAGGTAATACACCCACGAATAAAACCATGTTTGGTATAAAGAATGGTTAAAGAAGATGCCACCTTTCCTAAAAAAAATGGAGGCTTATTCTCCAGTAAAATTAGGGGTTAGCCAGCCAGCACAAGTGTGGAAAAGTAGATGAAAGGTAGTGTCTGTGACGAAATGTATCATTACCAAGGACAACAGTGATTTCATGTATGGGTAAGTTTGGGAAACCCTGAACTAAACAGTTACTAGGGAACCTTCTCATTTACAAGATTTGGCTACTATAATTTAAGCAAATGATTAGAAAGTTAAACCTTCTATCATTTTATATAATTTATTTAATACATGTGAATTATAAAAATATTATATCAAAAATATTATATCATCTTGTTCATTTTAAAAATGAAAGACCAGCTTCCTGGAAATGAATTACTGTGAAACTGAATAGTGCCATGGACACGAAGAAGGAATATACTCCCCCTAGTGGAGATGCTGATCTACTGTGATCTTTCAGGAATATTCTAGTTCTATATCCAGTCATGGAAGAAAAAATAACATTTACTGTAGGTTCTATCAAGATAGATAGATGGAGAGATAAATAAAGAATTCTACTGGACTTGAGAAAATCCTTCAACAAGCTCATAAACTTACATATATCACAAGAATATATAACTCCCATAATTCAAAACCAGCAAACATATCATGCAAAATTTAGTTTGCCCTAGTCTGTGTCTTAAGCAGCCAAGTATACCGTGAGTGCCTAGAGTTTATTGAGGGGTATAGAATAAATATCAGAGCTATAGTTTGTCTCCCAAGTGGTCATACCCTAAAATGATAGCATATGGCAAATAGAAATGTAAGCAGGAGGGCAAAAATCTCCCAAGTATCCCTATTCACCAAAAATTTATTCATTTTTCTCTTTCTTTACACTGAAAAAAAGTTACCTTTTAAAATGCATGGTACAGAGCAGGGGATAAAATCAAGGGGGAAGATGATTAGGGCTATATGGCTGAACTCTAATGCTATGTTTGGAGATCATGCAGGCAAGACAATCCCGACTCATGGACCTGAGATTGAATTTCTTGTGAATCCCTAATAGACCCAGATACCCTTGTTTTCTTTCTATCCCTTGAAATCAGGGCATATTTTGATATTTTATATTAAGCAAAATAGAGAAGAAGAGGGAGATATAGATTAGTTGCCATAAGCTTGCTATCAGGCCTTTTAAAACTATGTAGAAAAATTTTCTTTGAAACCAGTGAAACTACCTTAGATTTCCCCCAACTTAGAAATTATCCATGAAAAACTACAAATCCATACCCTTCTTTTCTCCAAACAGTAAAATCAGAGTAAGTGCAAAGAGACCACGTGATTTTAACACAAGGGTCTCAGGAACATCCTGGCCTGGGGATGAGTACTTGAACGTGGAACTCAGAAAACTCAGATTTCAATTTTGCATCTACTTTGGAGTTTCTCTTCTCAAAAAAGCATTTAGTCTTTCAATTCACTTTTTCTTTCCCTCATGAAATAAAGATAAGATTTGAAGTGACTACCTTACACAGGTATAATGAGAATTAGCAAGATGATAACTATAGAGAATTTCAAAGACATTTAACATGAATTGAACACAAATCAGTGGAAGATGGCTGACTTTTTCCTCTTATATCCTCTTTTGCTTTGCAGAAATGGCAGCATTATAGTCGTATTTGACCTTTTCTTTGCCCAGTGGGTGTCAGATGAAAATGTAAAAGAAGAACTGATTCAAGGCCTTGAAGCAAATAAATCCAGCCAACTGGTCACTTTCCATATTGATTTGAACAGCGTTGATATCCTAGGTATGTGTGAACATTATTTGATTTCTTTGAATCATTAAGCTATGAAATTAAAATTCTAGCAATATACCAGGGAGGAAGTGGAATCATGCTTGACCTTAGGAACATGTCTTATTGCCTGAGGTGACACATTTACATGAGAAAAGTGAAATCTGAAGAAACCGCATTTGAAGAAACTTATCAATGAGAAAAAGTTTATAAAATACCAAATATCAAGGAGATTCTGAGAGTGTTGGCATGCACAGAAGTTTGTGGGTATTATGCATTCCAAGGAGATTCTGAGAGTGTTGGCATGCACAGAAGTTTGTGGGTCTTATGCATTCCAAGGAGATTCTGAGAGTGTTGGCATGCACAGAAGTTTGTGGGTCTTATGCATTCCAAGGAGATTCTGAGAGTGTTGGCATGCACAGAAGTTTGTGGGTCTTATGCATTCCAAGGAGATTCTGAGAGTGTTGGCATGCACAGAAGTTTGTGGGTCTTACGCATTCTTTGCACCGTTCAAGCACACCCTGACTTCAGGAACTCTCTCTAGACATTGTTAGATTGTAAAATCCAGTGGCAAGGTCCGATTTCTAATTGAGGAGCTAAAAAAAGAAGAAAAAAGTAGAGTCAATGAGTTTGATCCCTTCCAGTTACCTATTTATAAAAATTAAGTATTAATTTTTAAAATGATAAATAATTTTAACATAAGAATAAACCAAAAAAGAAGAAATATGGAACATCAAAAATAATAAAAAATACGATTGTAAATGCTTAGATTGTTCCAAATTTTCCATTCTAATTATCCTTCATTCAATTCAATTCAACAAACACAGTGTCCTTATTGAGTATTGTTGAGAACAGTAGTAATTTGCCAAGGTCATCCAGATTCAATCCCTTACCCATAAACCTTGGGACCAAATACATTTTGGAATTCAGAAATTTTTGGATGTTAGAAAGTTAGCCAATACATAAATATCTACACCGAGGGGAATAAAGAGAAACTCTAAATAGCCTAACTATTTAATTAGTTCAACTAATTTTTGCTACAAAATGAGATCAATCGGTATGTTTGCCTCTAAATCAAATACATAAAAACATCCAGGAGTTTTCTTTGTTTATTTTCTAATAGTAGATATGAGATTGTAGATCTCTAGTTGCTTCTCTTCAGAGCATTGTTTCATCAAGCATAGTTTCCTCTTTGATTGAGTCTCCTGCAACATGTTGCAGCTGCTGTTCAGCAAGAAGATAAATTCTTAGTCCTTCCTCTACTGATGGTTTGGACGCATGTCACAGCTGTTTGAGCAGAGACTGTCTATTTTAAATCTTTGATTCAGATGAGCTGAAAACTACTACTGGCTATTATTAGCTAGAACAGGTGGTTTATCTATCAACATTTTTACTCTCTACATTAATCCTCTTATGTGATGTCATTACTATCCCCCAATCAGGGAGAAGACCAAAACACAGATACTTTTGGTAAATGGCCTTTTTCACACAGTCATTTAGACTTAGGCATTCTGACCTCTGTGGTCTGATCCTAATGTCTGCCCTCTTAACCTTTATACTAGTTTGTTTGTAATGTTTTTATCTTTGAACAATTTTAGTTGATTTTTTTCATAGTCATTTTTCTTTTTTGGCATGGAAAAATGAATATTTTCATTTTTTATTTTTTAACTTTTCAGGGTACATATACAGGTTTGTTATATAGGTAAACTTGTGTCATGGGAGTTTGTTGTATAGATTATTTTATCACCCAGTTATTAAGCCTAGCACCTGTTAGTTATTTCTCCTCATTCTCTGCCTCCTCCCACCGCCCATCCTCCAACAGGCCCCAAAGTTGTCATCTTACTATCTCTATTTGAATGTGCATTGGTTTCTGATGGTCTGTTCTGGCAAGCAAATTGACAGATATGCTGAAACTTTTTTTCACGATTTCCTATATTTGGATCATCTGGGGGAAGAGAGTTTGTGATTTTTAAAATTAAATGTTTATTCAATGAAACCATATCCTTTGAGTTAATTTAGAATTAGTATCACAAATGTAATAAACTGTTTTACAACATCAGCCCAAGAATATTCTCAACAAGTAGAAGTTACATTTAACTTGTTGAATTGTGTTAAAACACATTTATAAACACGGTACCAAGTTAATTGTAGGTATTTCAGTTTAATATCCATTTGTATCATGTGAATTTTCAAATTTATAGTTTTAAATTTAGTTAAGAATTACATAGATATCTTGAAGTTGTGTATAATACACTGTCAAACATAAAAAATTTAACCATATTATTTATGAAAAGTCACATAAATTTTATTTTATCTTCAGTGTCAACACTCTACCATGTATCATTTACAAAACTTCAATAGGTTTTATAGAACCAACACAATTCAAAAATGATGAAATGCTGAAATAAACCACCTAGTTAGTAGAAACGAATATACTTCTTAGCCCACTTATCATCAATATAGTCTTGAATAAAAACAAATTCACCACATGACTTTTCATGAGATATGCTTTGATTTCCTTTATATCTTGCATAGGTGAGTCTATCCTTTTAAAACTATCAAACATGTTAAAGTTTGAAGAAAATTGCCAGCTTTTGTCTTCTATGTGCAAAGCACTTTTTACTTATATACCACTTAGTTCCAAGGAAATATTCATTATGTGAAAGATTGTTTTGCAATTGTTACCTTCATATGTTTTAGTGTAAAACAAGTGGTTCTAGGTATGCCAAGATGTGGCGTATCATGTTATATTAGTTGGCTCAAATGTAAATTATTCTATAGAACTATGATTAATAAACGGATATCTTTCTTAAATAGATATAAAATAAAGCAAACTTTTTGCATAAGTAAACTGCATAGAGAGAATATGCAGACTCTGGAAATTTATCAAATGTATTACAACCAAATAATGAATAGGAAGGCTTAGCATGGCAGAGGATAAAATAGGAACTCCAAAGGATCAGATGCCCTTTGAATGAATATTCAAGGTGTACTCAATGTTTTGTAATGTATTTATATCATAAACTCATGTGTTAAATCAACTTTACGTTATTCCAGCATCTTTGGAGAATTTTTCTACAGTAAGCCCTGCAACAACTTCAGGTCAGTGTTTATGGCACTTTTAAAAATACAACTTAGTGATCATCAAACTCTATCACCTAGGAAAATATACATTTTTTTCTTGCAGCTATTTCTGAGGCATTCAGTCTTCATATCAAGTTGTAAGAAGCTTATATTGGTTAGGAATAACATAATTCGTAATATTACAATGTTCCTAATGCCTCATCACTTATGCCAAGGATATACATTTCCAATTTCAATGTTCCTTTCATATTTTAAACTTTATATACAAATATATATGAGAGATATATGAGTGTGTGTGTGTTACATATGAGAGATATATGAGTGTGTGTGTTACATATGAGAGATATATGAGTGTGTGTGTGTGTGTGTGTGTGTGTGTGTGTGTGTGTGACATCTCCATAAACGGCTCCAAATCATGGTGCCTTGGTGATGAAGCTATGGCACTTGGGAGGTCACTAAGGGTGAGATAAAGAAAGACCACTTTCAGAATATATTTCACTTTGGAAAGGAGAATTCAGACTTTATGTTAACTACTCTATTCCAGCATTTTCTTCATCCCATCTTTCAAGCTACAATTTCAAACTTCATAATTATGAAACTATGAAGATATTACTTTTGGTATAGTAATCATGACAATTTTTATAAGACTTGAAGTCTTATTTTTTAAGGCATCCTCTTTAGCCAGGTACTATATTTTACAAACATGACCTATTTCAATTATCAGAATGATTTTGTAGAGAGGTCGTAATACTTTTCTATTTGAAAGAATAAATTAAATAATAAGTAACATGCCCAGGGTCACACAGGTACTAAGTGTCAAACTCAGAAATCAAAAGCAATTCCTCCTGATTCCAAAGCCCATGGTCTAAGCATATCCCACGCTTCTCTTTCATATAACATCAAATTAACCTGGAACATTTACGTCTATGGTCATTATGAGATTAATGAATCCTCGCATTTAGTTATTGATCATTGAATAACCTTGTCTTCTTTAGTTAGAAAATAAAAGAGGAGTTAAAAATCTAAAAACCTCTGTGCTACAACTCTAAAAATCATCAAAAACATAAAAGATTTATTTTTAAATCCAAATACAAATGACATACTTCTAAATGGACACTAATAATGCGTAATAACTTTTAAAATTCTTAGGTTAATTATTATACAGAATGAATATACAATAAATTCCTGGTAATTAGTTTAAAATAGGTAATAATTATTTTAATATAATTTATTTTTCAGACAAGCTAACAACCACCAGTCATCTGGCAACTCCAGGTCAGTTTTAATAATATTATTATTATTTTTTGAAAGAAAGTTTTCTCTTATACATTTTATTTTAGGCCCCTGAGAAGTCTCTGGTGCCTTAGCAATAAATATTGTGCCTATTTTATAGACAAGAAATCAAGAGCATAAAAGTCTGCAGTTTTAGCCCTGGATTTCACCACAGTAAACAACATATTTAGGGCTAATGCCTGAGTTCTCAGATTTCACTTTTATCCTCTGTCTATTATTAACAGAACTGTGATTACCTGTTGATAAGAATATCACCAGTAGTATCAAAAGGTTTCAACTAAGGAAGCAGATTTTATCAGATATTAGGGATTTTTTTTCCTTTGATTATTATCTCTGCATACAAGTTAGACATGCTTGCTTTCTCCTGTTAACACAGCACTTGTGGCCAAAGCAGAACCAAAGTAGCCTTGGATTCATTCATTCATTCAGGAATTTTTTTTAAGTATCTACTTTGTGCCAACTCTCAGTATGTATCTTTGGTGTGCCAATTTCTCTGTATTTCTAGGAATTGTCTGCTGTGCTTCTGTCAATCAGCTAAAATACCTTCTCTGGTCATAACTTAATCTTCATATAAAATGTCCTGGGTGTGTCACTAATCCCTTTAAGTAAATTCAATAAAGGCAATATTGTAGATCTTCAGTCAGCTCCCAACAATATCACTACCATGTTATATTATTAAAATTTACATCAAATATTATGTACATAGAGGGAAAACATTTGTAAAATTATAAAAGCCATTCTTGGCAAGGATAAAGGATTCTTGCATAAAAATTGTTGGTGTAATATTTGAAAAGCAAAGCAATACATGAATCAATCAAAATGCTTTAGGAAACAAGCCATCACAATTCTAAAACCCACAAAGGTCTGTTATGATAGAATAAGCCTTTCTGCAGTTGTATTTAGGTTATATCCAAACAGCACCACAACATATTGACAAAAAACAAAAGAAAGCCTGCCACTGAGCCCACATTCCTGTCTCTAACATGGAAAATTATTTACAGCCTCTCAAATCCCCTTCCAACACACTTTTGAACAAATGCTTTTGGGATTGATAATGGTTAATTCTTTTGGTTTAAAAATAAACTGAATAAGTAAGCTAAATATATTTTGAAAAATGTGCTCCTAAAACCTTGAAAGCCAGTAACAAGTATCCAAATTAATGCCATTTTTCTATTTGTTTATTGGTTCATCAAATGATTAATCTAATTCAAAGTCATTAAGGCCCTCTTAGTTGTATAAAATGTCCTAATAGTAATATGTACAATGAATTAGGTAGAAACAGTGTTTCAAATAAAGCCAGAAAGCACTGGACTTAAAAGAAGGTTTTCTCCTTTACTATTCTGAAGACATACCTGTTAAAAGTATAAAGAATTGGCTGAAACATCTGCCCAATTTTCTCTGGACAAAGAAGGAAATGATGAATGAGGGGTCAGAGAGCATGGGAAAGTATGCCACCCATATTTTTCTCTCCTGATGAGTGGAGCAGAAATCTTCTCTTCTACACGTAAACTACAGAAATGGGGGGCAGTGTACACTTAGCCCTGTCTTTCACATTATGTATAATTGATAGTGAAAATAAAGATCAACAAGTAACATACATTCTCAATCACTAAAAAGACGTGGGTGAATTCACGCATTACCTAATTTCAACAATCAGTCTATATGTATTTGGCAAGCTATCTAGCCTATTTGAACTTTATATTTATTATCTGAAAAGGAGATTAAAATATATTTCTTAGGGGATGATCATGAGAATTGAAAGAGAGATAATACAGATACCACTGTACCATCGTCAACATGGTGACTCCCACTGAGAAGGAGCAGGAGGAACAATGCCAATATTAGATCCCTACTCCTTCCCCCTTCTGAGTTTGATGAAACAGAATTGAACAAAACAACTATTTGGATACTTTCTTTAAAAGATTCATAAAAAACCCTAAATTTAAAACACGATTATTATACTGGGTAATGCTCATTTTGATCTGAACTTTTATTTCTCCAAAAAAACTTTGTTTCTAAACATTCTCCGTTATCAGAGACTGTATTGGATTACCTTAATCAATTCTCAAACTATTATTATAAGGTAAGTAGGTGGTGAAATATCATATTCTTTTTCTTATTAGTGAATCCATGTACTACATAAATGCCCAGTCATCCTTGCCGTTTATTCCTCTCATACGGCAAGATACTATGTATTTATAGAAGGGAACGAGGCAATTAAACATGAAAACTGCATTTTCCAAGCAGTAATTTACTATGAATATGCCTTTCAGGGATGTTAAGTTTATTCTCATTTTTATATGCCTGGAAGACAGAGTTTGAGAAAAATCAACAGATGCATGCATCATATACCTGATATTAGTGCCGTTATAAATTCTGCCAAAGAGAATTTTTTGTGATAACGGTACAAAGTCCATGAGGATTATGCTCTATCATTCAGCTGCTTTTGTTGCCAATTACTTTTAAGCTTTACTAACCCACTTAGAACACTAGAGGAGAAGGACTGGAACTGAGGTGACATTACACGGATTAATTTCTGGAGTGCTACAGCGTGCCTAGAGGGGGTGTTTTGGCAATTGCTCCCGTGTTTGAGGGATTTCTACACTACAGCTTGTTCTAGTCCTTTACTGTTACTTACAGCAATAGCCGCAGAAAACAAAAGTTTCACTGTCATGGGCTTTCTCAATCTCATAAAAAATGTAATCTTGCTACCATTCCACTATGTGAAAGAGTTTGAGAATTGGAGGAAAAGAATAACTGGTTGATTTAGTGAAAAACATGAAATTGGGCCAAAACAACTCAAGGTAGAATTATTTTCCTCGATTTAATTACTTCAAGACTGAGATGCAGAGATTTTACCTGATACCAAAGGTATTGTGACTTTAGGAATCGTTCTTTTTCTGCATTTGAGAAAAGAATATTTATATATTGCTAAGCACTCTCCTCTAATTTAAGACGTTCCTACTCACATGGTATCAAGACTACTAAAGAATCTTTCTACCAATAATTTCATTTGGATTGAAAAGACATAGTCTTGCTTACAATAAAATTTAAAAAAAAAAAACTAGATTTGTTCTACACAGTAAATGAGAATTTCTGTAAGGTGATATCTATTTTCCAATATAACATAGTGAAATAACACTG
Organism: Homo sapiens; assembly: GCF_000001405.40. Taxonomy (NCBI): domain Eukaryota; kingdom Metazoa; phylum Chordata; class Mammalia; order Primates; family Hominidae; genus Homo; species Homo sapiens. Next base: position 18,376,120 of record NC_000021.9, on the reverse strand, counting down.
GCCTCTAAAGGCAAACATTCATGGATGAAGATTCTGCTTTTCCTATTGAGTAAGCTATCAGGATCTTGAGCTTAATTTGTCTTAACCAGTTTTGGCCACCAAGTACTATTATCCCTTTTCAAATTGTAGGGACAATAAAAATCTATGATTTCCAAACCATGGTTTCAATTTACTCATGTTGTATGTAACATCTCTTACAAATTATTTGGAAGGCGAAAAATAATGGATTTTAGTCTTTTTACTCTCCATGATGCCTAGCACAGAGCCTGCTCTCCGTAGGCACAGGAGGTTCCTAATGTCAAATCACTGGAAATTTTTTGGACATTGGATCACTCTGAAATAATCATCTTTGAGTGTATACCGAATTCTTCATGTTACAATACAAATGAATAATTAAAGCCTATTTGCAGAATTCCAAGTAATACTAATCTACTGGTGTGTTTTCATAATATGTCAAAAGTTAGTGTCCTGAAGGTAAAATACCACATAGATTACAGAAAACAAGTGCACTTTTTCCCACTGAGTTAATAATGCCTAATATGAAGGAAATTTGATTAGCTTTTAATAAATGAAACCAATTATTATTCTCTTCATTTACTTTTCTTTAACTAGAATTGATAAACTCCTTTCCTAAAAATTTTCTGTTGGGAACACAATTTGGTACAGACTTCTTAGAAAAAAAGAAATATTAGAACAAAAATTAAGTAATGAAATACAAACCAAGTAATACTGAAGTCAATAATTCTAGTTTGAGAGTGCAAAACCATTTAAATTAAACTGGCATCTGGCTGGGTATAACAGCTAATGTTTTAATTGATGATTTTTCTTAGAAATTGTAATAATATATATTCATGTAGGAAATGAAAGAGTGAGAGAAGACTCAGTAAAAATACAATTTGACAAAAATTTTAAAACTCACTACCATTGCATAAGAATCACATTCATATTTTTCATACTAGTTTTAATACAGAAAACTTCTGTTTCCTCATGGACCAAGTCAGTTGAAGAATGTTTATGAAATAGTTTGGAGAGAGACAGAGTGCAACTTAAAACAATACCTAATATTCCAACTTAAATTCAAAATACTTCCAACTAGACTCAAGTTTCTAACCCCACAATTTGTTCATCTCATAATCACTATTGCGACTAATGGCCATTAGTAACCCAAATGGCCTTTTCAGTAATTCAACTGCCAATTCCTTAGCATCCCATTCTTCACCTCCACTAATCTTGTTCAGAAGCAAACGTAGTCACTGAAGCTCATCAATTTTACCTGTAAAGTAGTAATTGAGTCCATGTCCCATCTCCTCTGCCATTGTGAGAGTTCTAGCCCTCATCTTTCATGTGGACCATTGAAACTGCTTCTCGAGTGGTCTTATTCAAGTGGTGTTTCACATGGTCCAACAATTGCCTTTATGAAACATGGACTGGTCATATTGCAGATATATGTAAAATCTTCCAATGCCATCACCTATTGAAAAGTATTTCTAACACTTAACAAAGATAAAAAGGTTTCCTAGAATCTGGTACCAAACTGCCTTCCTACTATGCCTTCCATAAACATCCCACCATCTATGTTAGTGAGACTCATCTGTTTCTCATATATTGATGTACTCTTTTTTTTTTTTTTTTTTTTTTTTTGAGACGGAGTCTCGCTCTGTCGCCCAGGCCGGACTGCGGACTGCAGTGGCGCAATCTCGGCTCACTGCAAGCTCCGCTTCCCGGGTTCACGCCATTCTCCTGCCTCAGCCTCCCGAGTAGCTGGGACTACAGGCGCCCGCCACCGCGCCCGGCTAATTTTTTGTATTTTTAGTAGAGACGGGGTTTCACCTTGTTAGCCAGGATGGTCTCGATCTCCTGACCTCATGATCCACCCGCCTCGGCCTCCCAAAGTGCTGGGATTACAGGCGTGAGCCACCGCGCCCGGCCTATTGATGTACTCTTCACACATCACTAAATACATTCCATATCTCTCTCCTCCTGGTGCCTTTCTAGGTGTACATCAAAAACTAATTGAAATATGACCATTTCTGTAAAAATGTCTTTAATTCTTGCCTTAGAAGGAAACTAATTGCTTAAACTTTGATGCCCCCATAGCACTTTTTAAATCTCTCTTTAAAATATAATTTGTACATAAACAATTTCCCCCCACTTAACTTGAAGCTTCATAAAAAGAGAGAGGCTCTGCCTTACTCATTCTTTTATCTCTGTCTCTTAAAATTCCATGACAAAAATGTGTACAAAATAAATACTTGTGGGGTCAATAAATGATTAATCATGAGATCAGTCAAGTCCAAGTGGTATGACTTGCTGGTGTGGTTTTGGGGTCTAATCAAGAGTTCAACAGATACTGAACAGAGATGTGATACATCAGGAAGTGGAGCTCCCATGAGAAGCATTAGGACAGCCAAAGTGATATATGTTCCTAGCTGTATCCCAAATTCATCTTTGAAATGCTGAATACTTGGAATTCTATTAGCTACTTGTAAAATAAGACACAGTTTTAAGTATAGTGCTTTATTTGGTTTATTTATTTATAAAGCATGTATGAGATTCTATGAAATATGTGTTTTCTGGATTAATAACTCAATGGTTAAGGACTTTTGATGAATAGCTCTTAAATATCAACAAATATATGCATTTGAGTTTATTAAATAATATTTTTATTATTATTTATTATTCTCCTACATGGGAGTACTCTATCATTTGAGAATGGCTTTGATCTTTACTCTGTCCTATAATTTTAGATGTTGGGCGTTCCATGAATTTCCCATTGGTTTATATTCATTTTAATTACAGCCAGTTACAAATGTCTAATTTAGTTGTATGTAGACTCAGCAAAAATCTATAAAAGTTTTTAATTAAGAAGTAACTTAGTAGATTCATTGACATGGGCATTTTTATTTTCCAATTAATTTTATAGAGCAGAAGGAGAAATTTCAGATTTTCATATTTTGAAAACCCAGCAGATGGCAATACAGTTCTGGCTTTAAGATTAAGAACAACAACCAAAAAGAAAAAAAAATGCTGATGAGTTAAAGAGTTCCAAAACTTTTCACCATCATTGTTGTTATATTCAGAGGCAGAAGTATTCAAATTTCCACACTGGCCTAAAAATTTTTTTTAAAAGTCTTTATCTTGTAGGCATATAAGAATATGGCTTATTTTCAGAATTGCTCTTAAACTTCCCAAGTTAATTTCTAGAAGTAAAATGTGTTTCTTGGTGCATCTCTAGACTTAAGTTTATGAAAGTGGGGCAAGTGAAGGACAAGTCAGGCTGAGAGGTGCAAGTTTTTCGGATACCCTCCAGAAGATGGCATGAAACCCCGCAGGGGTGTGTTTACAGTGTACCCCCTAAGAATCTCTGACCCAAGGAACAAAGAGATACTGAACAGAAATAGCTATTAGGTTTCTTCATTGTTCAATGTCACAATGCACTGGGAATTTTAAGTGCTTATCTTACTTTAAAATGACTTTGGTTGGTAAATGTACTCTACAGAATGGAAACCTTGACTTAAGCCACTATATTTTCAAATAATAAGCTTATGAGTAAATGAAGTGGCTGCTAGATGTTGCAGATGATGTGATAAGCTTTCCAAAATTGCCCCACATGAAATTTCAAAATTTAAAATGCTCTAATTTTACAAATGATTGATTTGCAAATGAAATAAATATTCCTATGGCAGTTGAAGAACATACTTATAAGTAAGAACCCCAGTGGCAAAAAGGCCTATTAAATATTTAAACATTGTACATATCTCATCAATTGGAAATTAATTTCAGTTATTTTTTAAAGGAAATGTCTCAATAGAGTGCCTGCCTGGTTCAAGTCCTTGTACTGATGCTCTAACGTGTATAAAAGCTGATTTATTTTGTGATGGAGAAGTAAACTGTCCAGATGGTTCTGACGAAGACAATAAAATGTGTGGTAAGTTCTCCCCCCTACTCTCTCCCCTTCTGTTTTATCCTCCCTCACTGTAGACACACACACACACACACACACACACACACACACACACACATTCTAATCTCAAATACCTGAAACTACTGAAGAATGAGCTATTTAAATAGCTATTTTTAAAATATAATACAAAATCTTAAAATAATTTTATTAATATTTTCCTAAACTTTATAAATAATATTAAAGATATTAATTAATTAAACAGAATTCCATTTGATCACTACAGAAAGGAAGATGTGATTAACAATGTCTGTCATAAATGTGGGGATGGGTGTTGCTACATTTTCATCTCTTCTCTATATTAAACTAATCCAAACTATTATTAATTTGACTTCTGTGATAGACATTCTCACTTCTTACTAATGGTTTTCATGTTTTTTCACTATCATATCAGTCTTTTTCTTTCAACATTTTAACAGTACCTAACTCACTGAGCACCATATTAAAATTTTGACTGTTCCTTTTATTTGCCTCTTGTAGTTCTATAAATAGTAGAAATAAGATATGAATAAGAACTTAATGCCTCATAAGTAAAACTTCTGTGTTTCATTTGTATATTTTGGCATTTTTTGAGTGTTAATGACAATAACATTATTTTACCATTATTATTACTATTTGACACTTAAGTAGCAGTTACCATATACCAAGCATGGCTCTAGTTGATTTAAACGTATTTACTCTTTTACTTATTTCTTCATTTCATAGCTGGATTCCACTTAGAAAAGTTTACTAGAAAGCAGCATCTAAGTAGGTAATTTGTTTCTGTGTGTAACACATTTAAGAAGATTTCCACATAGAACTACAGTAGTTCTCCCTTATTAGTGGTTTCCACAGTTTCAACTACCTGCTGTCAACCACAGGACACACAGTAAATGGAAAATTCCAGAAATAAACAATGTATAAGTATAAAATTGCACATCATTCTGAGTATTGTTATAATTGTTCTATTTTATTAGTGATTATTGCTGTTAATCTCCTATGGTAGGTGTGTATGTATAGGAAAAAACATAGTAGATATAGGGGTCAGTACTATCCATGGTTCAGGCATCCACTGGAGGTCTTAGAAAATATCCCCTGTGGATAAGGGGAGACTGCTGACTTTGGATAAGTCTAACTGATATTTTGTTTTATTTAACAGTATTAACTGCACATTTTTTGGTATGGCTTATAATCAGTTTTAAAACTGACTATAAATACAGTTAGTGCCCAAAGTGTGTTAAAGACCATAGTTACTATTTGCTACACTTTTCTATTATTTGTTACACTTTTCTCATCTTGCTTGATAGTAATTAAAGATGAATATTCTAATAACGACCAAAGTTTTAAAAGCTACCTATCCACTTAGTACACATTTTAAAAGCCAGGCATTTGGTCTGTTTCCCGGTACCAACTCAATGAAAGGCAACTCTACTACAGAGATTTCCACTAAGCAATCCCGATGCAAATGTTCTTGGATAAAATTCAGACCTTTAAAGTTTAACTACAGACTTTGAAGTACACTCAGAACATATTGGAAGAAAGTGCAGGCTGCGGAATATTTTTAATCTATTTTATATAACTAAGTTACTCAAAGAAGAAGAAAGCAATGTTCTTGCTTTGCTGTGGCTTTCAGGCATTTTCCAAAATCTTTTCAGGGAGAATATGATGCAAGTGTGCCATCATGAGGTAACAAAGGTGATGCTGATTTCTGTTTCAAAAACAATAGTGTATGTCAACTTAGACACATGGCTTTAAGCCAATATAATGATGATCAATATCCTTAAATAGAGGAAAAGGCATAACTACCAAAATATATGAATCAAATAATTGAAAAATGTACTGTACCTATTATTTTGTTATTATGCTCATGGAGTTCATAATTTTCATGATGAACTAATATCAGTGCATATAAAAATGAACCATAGGAATATCATGTAAGTGTGATAATTTGTCCTAAAATAAGTTTTAATGCTATGAATCATTTTTATGAGCCACTCTAAACTCAGGAGATGAGCCTCAGTATTAGAATGGAAGTAATTATCTTAATTTGCTTTAAAAATATAGTCAAACTGCGTTGTTACTTTTTAGTAACATGAAGATTTTTTGTTAATTGAACCTTAGTAGTGACCAGCCTTTCATGTCACTAACTCTCTCAAGCTTACACACCGTCACTTTCCATTTTCTTGATTTTCTTTTTTTTTTTTTTCGTTTAAGTAAGTATTATATCTATTTTGGTAAATAAATTCGAATTATTTGTGGGATAATATTGTTTAAATCAATCAATGAATCTATTTTTATCCAGAGAGAATTTAAGAGTACAAGTTGCTTTATTCATTTTAAGTTGCTTCATTCATTGATTATGGTGAGCCCACAAGCCTAATGACTTTCAGCACCAGCTCAAACTTCCAGCAGCATTATTTCCACCTGAAAGCCACTGTCCATCAATCTATATTCATGGAAAAATTTATAAAACTAATTTAAGAGAATTTTTCCAATATGAAGTTTACCTTTACTCTCTCTCTCTCTCTTATTGATTTATTTATTTTTTTGCTCCAGCTGTGAGCTCTAATTCTGGTTTGTGTTATTGATAGTCATACTAACATTGTCTTCCTCATGCAACTTCCTCTTTTACTCTTTAGTTATTTAGGTTTGCACACTTACAGCTGACTATAGCTGAAACAAGATTTCTTTAAATTGTTTTCGTCTTCTGATTAGAATTACATCAGCAGGAAAGTTCACTTTTTAGCTGACCTATGAAAAGGAAAGATGCTGATTCACAGCCTTTAAGCCAATGCTTAACTCTTTGGAAGTTGGCAAGTGTTCTCATAGTTTGTATGCCTCACGTGTATATGCATAATACAGCTTGGTGGGTGAGCATAGATCATGTTTGATTTATATATCCTGGAGATTTGAATGCCATGAGCAAAGACACAATTAGTGAATATTCAGCCAGCAGAGGGAGTTCTTCGTGGGTCCTAAGTGCTTACCCTTATGTGTTCCATCCTATTACAGGCAACATTTCTGATAGTGCAATCGAATGGCTGCTATAATTTGACAGGCTCATTTATGTTCTACTTAGATTTTTTTTTCTGATGCTGCACTAGAAAGCACTGCACAGTCTAATAAGTCACAATCCTAAACACCCAGTCATCCTACTCATCCACAACTGGGTCATATATTTTTTCCTGAAAACCTATCCTGCTTCATTCATGGTCATTTGCACTATCAGGTTCTCCAGAAACATCCTGAAATTAAATGAAAAAAATGTATAAGAAAGTGCCTTACACAAGCCTCTGTCTTGAGAAGATAATATTTTGGCATTCTGAGCGTTGCTATTAGAAATACTTCAATACTCCTGTAATTTTATTTTAAATACATTTAGGAATATTCTCTATATTTGCTTGAATGCAGGAATTGACTAGAGCCTCGTTAGAGCAGAATTTGACCTGTGGAGTATCCATTCCCACTAAAACTTAGTAACATGATAGAATACTGGACAGGAAAATTGATCATATTCTTTAGGACAGGCTAAATACTATGATAAACAATCTTAACAATAACAGTTTATTTATCACCTATATCACGGTGCAAGAAAGATGGCAAAGGGTTGTGCTCTAGGCATTCAGGATGCCTGCTCCTTACTTGCCACTCTCTCTGCCCCCAGAGTCCTCTACTGGATCCTTCACAACCAGCTGACTGACAAAGGAAGAATGTTACAGATATGTTCAGAAACCATATTTGGAAATAGACACAGTGACTTTTACAATCGTTCATCGGCCAACTCAGTCACATGACCTTATCTGACTCCAAGGGATTTGGGGAAGTGTAGTTTAGTCATGTGCTCAGGAAAGAACTGAAAGAGGGTTTGTCAAACATAGAACCATCTTTGAAACTAGAGACGTAACATGGCTTTCTGGAAATCATGAATCACATTGTGCAGCGCAAAGCTGTTGATACCTTTCCCAAAAAAATGCGTAGTGAACAGGTGGGAAAAATGACTAAAATTTTATCAGCTTTACAAACAGGTTTTTACAGATGCTTAAAGGGATCTTGTTTTGTTCCCTTTCTCTCTCTGTGTGTGTCTCTTTTGCATCCTCCTATTTGTTCTGGAATATTATTGCAAATGTGATCTGTATTCTAACTTTAAGAACATTGAAAAAGATGGAAATCTTTAAAAAATTTTCTGTTTCTTCTTTTATTTATGCTTTCCCCCCTGCTTTTCAGTTCAAAGAGTGGGTGATGTCATTGCGATAGTGATAGATGTATATATATATTGTGATATTAGGCAATATACCACAGTATGCTCTAGAATAAGGCTGCCTTGCTTTAAATTGTTGCTTGTAAGCTAGGAGGCCTTATGGTTGTTATTTAACCCATATGTGCCTCAGTTTCCCCCATAACATCATAGAGTTGTTATGCAAATTACATTCATACATATATAATAACTTTAGAAAATGACCGGCACATAGTAAACACTCTATAAATGTTGGCAGTTATATTTTAGCACTGATAAGATTGAGCACCCTACCTCATTGCTTCCTAAGTATTGTAACTCAAATATAAACTTTACAATAGCAGTAGACTTTACTACACTGTCTACAATCTTTGAGTCCATGTTATTTCTCGACAAACTGTGATTTAAAAGCTTTATATACCACATAAAATGCAAGCAAATGCCATTTTTGTTTTTATGGTCTTTGAATGTAAGGCATTAATTGCCCTGCTTGTTTGGCATGGTTTACAGTGGAAAAGAGCGTTGAAGGTGAGAAAAGAGATTTGCTTTTACAACTGGAAAATTATTTAGCAAGTCATTAAAAAGTCACATATTTTACTATCTATCTTCAAATCATGACAAATTAGCCTTAATTTTCTTTGTTTGTTGCAGTAATCATTATGCATAAGGCAATTCAGTTAACAAACCACTATTTTTCTTTCTTTCCTGTGATCTGTGCCGGATTGTTCAGAATTTAATCCTTGCTTCTTGACTTGTTATCTTTTCTTTTCTTATTTTCGTTCTTTTTTTCTTCTGGAAATCAGGTTACCAAATCATAAGCTAATGAATTAATTCCTAGGCCATTGTTTTTAAGCAGACTTTGAATAATAAACTTAAGTTACCAAAGTAAATTTTTATGCACCTGAAAATATATATATACCAAAAAAAAGCAAAAACCCAATAAACACATGATATTTTAATCAAGATTTCTATTTGCTATCTAATTTTTAATGTATTTATTTTATATACATAAAATATTTTGTCATAAAATAGCTTGTATTATGTAATTTGATAGAATCACTTTATAATTTTACGATGAGCTTTTTCATAGCTCAGTTTAGAATTAGCTTATTCTAAACACTCAGATTCCAAACACAGCAAATTAATTTTGACATATTACTTTGATTTTTCTAACCTCCATTAATGTTTCTCCGTATGAAGAATTTTTAATCTATGCAGAGAAAAAGACACATTGTAAGGGTCATAATTTTAGAATATTGTGTCAACATAACCAAGTAACTAACTAGAAGGAAAATAATGTAAGAAAGACTAAAAGTTGTGAAAATCAAGGTGGATTTTTGCATATACTATACATAGCAAGTGTATGAAAAAAACAAAAATCTCTAAGTTATGGCTCCTGGTTCATGCCTTCAAGAAGATTTTAATCTAGTTGGAATCTATTCAGATATAAATTAAAGGCAACTAATAATGCATGACATTAAGGAGAGATTCATGAAATAAATCTACTATGAAAACCAAAAGAGGAAAATGAGTAATTATGGAAAGCAAAAGGCTTAATCAGGAGTATTGAATGAAAATATAGAAAACATTGAACTAGTTATCTCCCAAAGGAGCAAGAGTAATGAGCTTTAAAAGATGGACTAACAGATTTGTTGGATGGAATTCTGTATAGGCCACTAGTACTAACATTTTCCTGGCCTTATTCTAATCTTTTTCAAGAAAACATAGCACTTTGTACATATATTTGAAATTCACCTAGCTCCAATTTAATTATAAAAATAAGACAAAAAATGACTGGTTATTTGTCTGAACTGGCAGTTTTCAATTCAGATATATTTATTTCCTTGCAAATATGGAAGAATACACTTAAAGTGCAGCTTAGGGAAGGGTGTTTAGAAAGACAATGCTTTTGGGCATGGCGCAGTGGCTCACGCCTGTAATCCCAGCATTTTGGGAGTCCTAGGAGTGCAGATCACCTATGGTCAGGAGATCGAGACCAGCCTGGCCAACATGGTGAAACCCCGTCTCTACTAAAAATACAAAAATTATCCGGGCGTGGTGACCGCCGCCTGTAATCCCAGCTACTCCGGAGGCTGAGGCAGGAGAATCACTTGAACACAGGAGGCAGTGAGCCGAGATCGCGCCGTTGCATTCCAGCACACGCAACAAGAGCGAAACTCTGTCTCAAAAAAAAAAAAAAAAAGGAAAAAAGAGAAAGAAGAGAAAGAAAGAGAGAGAGAGAAGGTAGGAAGGAAGGAAGGAAGGAAGGAAGGAAGGAAGGAAGGAAGGAAGGAAGGGAGGAAAAAGAGAGAGAAAGAGAAAGAAAGAGAGAAAAGGAAGGAAAGAAGGAAGGAAGGAAGGAAAAAGAGAGAAAGAGAGAGAAAGAAAGAGAGAAAAGGAAGGAAAGAAGGAAGGGAGGGAGGGAGGGAAGGAAGGAAGGAAGCAAGGGAAAAGGAAGGAGAAAGAAAGAGAGAAAGAGAGAGAGAGAAAGAAAGAATTTTTCCAAAATATTTCACGATAGGATGTGTATGAGTATTTGAACATGGCTAATAGGTTTCAAACATGAAATCTTACTATCATTTCAGTTTCATAAAATAACCTTGTACAGGTTTTGCCATGAATATTCTGTGAAATGTTTTGCAGCCAATTTGAATCCCAAGATTGTTTTTGTCTAACATTAATTGGCATCGTTTTGCAGCCACAGTTTGTGATGGAAGATTTTTGTTAACTGGATCATCTGGGTCTTTCCAGGCTACTCATTATCCAAAACCTTCTGAAACAAGTGTTGTCTGCCAGTGGATCATACGGTAATACAAGATCTTATATTTTCTGTTCTTAAGTCATAAAGCGTTTTTCTGATGCAACGTCTTATTGCTTTCAGTAGTTTTTTAAAGAATCATTGTTTTCATTAACTATGAAGCAAAAACCTCCCAACTGAAAAACTGTACAAAAAACTATACTATCATTTTTAACCTTTTAAAAAGCTATTCTGTGCTATGAACAATACTGTCTAATAAGTGGGGTCATCTCATTGGGTTCTGAAGCAAGTTTATTTTTCTGTGGTGGACATTATTCATGTGCGGCCAGGCAAACAACATACATGTATGTCTGTGTATCGTGAGAAGTAGAATTTCGCATCTTCTGCATTTGTCTATAAAATATTTTCTTTCTCATTTTGCTGCTTACCATGTGGAAATCTCTAAAGGTGTGATTCAGTTACAGCAGATTAAGAGCAGGGAACAGCCTCTATACATGTCTTTCTTACTATATCTTGAAAGACATTTGGATCAGTCAATATGTATTTCACCTCCACATTCTTAATTCAATTAACCAACCCAATCATGAAGATAATCAAAATAATTAGGCTGCTGATAGCTGATCTACCTTAAAGTTTACCTAAGCATTTTCATAGACAAGGAACACCTTAAGTTCCTTCCGGATATTCCAAGGATAAAAAGAATTTGTACTCACATAAATATAAGAGATCCTGAAATAAACTTATTAAAACTCTTAAAAGTAGGACTTCTTATAGCCTTAAATATGTTAACATGCGATGTAAGTCTCCAATGAAAACTTTCTTGTTAAAATACTGAATATTTCCCCAACAGAGCATGCAGAATAAGTGCTCCATAGAATTCACTATGAAAAATTATATTCTAATTAGTTCATTTCTATTAATAGCTAGATGGGATTATGGTTTACCAGTCTGACCTATAGTATAATTTTAATCATTGTGATTATATTATATTGATGATGATTGATATTGATGATTATATTTATGATACATTATATTGACATATAATAGCTGATTAAAGAAAGTTAAAAGTCAGAGCCTCAGGTTCTTGCCAAACAGTATGAAATGGCCCAATAACTAATCACCCAGGTAGACATATCCCAGAGAGGAGATGTGAGAAAAAGATTGTTCTATACACACTTACTTGGCATTGTTCAAGGAAAGAAGAGTATCCCTTTATTTTTTATTTCGATTTGGAGTGCAGCCCCTTGAGAGATATGTAATACAACTAAAAACACAATTTCCTTTGTTTCCTGCTCTAGATAACATGCTATTGGTGTGTCAAAAATAAGACTATGAATTAAAAATGGCAGTTCTAAGTAATTCTTGCCAATTGAAAAATTAACCAAGTTGGAGAATATTGTTTTCAACCTACATTTGTATGTGTTTATATATCTATATAAAGCATTTTTCTGATGCAGAAACACACACACACACATAATCACTTCAAACTTAAAAGAAGCATTTATAAATGTCTATTAGCATTGGTCATTAGGAAAATAAAATATTAACTCTAGCACTTATTTAAAATGTCAATAGAAAGCTGTAGAAAATCTTAAATATCTTTCACTGAAAATGGAAAGACTGTAACTAATCTGCATAATTGGGTACACAACTATTTTTTATGCAATCTTTGAAATTTTATTAATACCAAATAAAAATAATTTAATTGCTAAGTTCACTTCTTAATAAAGACAGGTCACATTTAGAGGGTTTATGAGCAGAACACACAATAAACTTCTGCTGTAATGATAATGTCCTTTACGCAAAAATTATCCTATATTAATTAAAAATGTTATGGCCCTATTGTTTTTAGTTTCTTTCCATTACTTAATTTTTGAAACTATTTTAAGAAATCTATGATTGATAAATGGATTATTTTAAAAACCTGAAGAACCTAAGATGTTACCCCAAAACAGTGTACTTTATGCTAAAATGATGATTTAATTAATCACACAAATAATCTATTTTTTCTCAAAGTTGATTATTATATTAGTGATGCATTGTATCAAATAGTTGTTTTCTTTCCCAATAGTGATCAGATGAGACTAAAGACAATAATTTTTCTATAAGGTTTAAGATCAATTAAATATAGGAGAAATGTTTAAGATGCAATTAAACTATATTTTGAGCAGGACCAGCTCATCCTTTGAATTACATTAAGACCACAGTTAGCATACAGCCAATAGTTAAGAATATAGTTATTGGAGACAGTTTGTGTGGGTTCAAATCTAACTTCTTCAGATTAAGATCTTCAGATCAAGATCTTCACACATCATCAGATCAAGATGTGTGATCTCAGGCAAATGAGTAAACCTCTTTGACTCCAAATTTCTGTGTCTGTAGAATTCCACATCTCTAAATACTATGTTCAAAGAAGTCATTATTAAATATGATAATGAATGTAAAGTGCTTAGCCACATATTAAATGCTCAATAAAAGTGGTCTATAAAAATATTAACTACTGACACAATAATACAAAGTGTATAAATTAAATTTAAAGAAATTTAATTTAATCCCTTCAAAAAATCAGAAGGTAACTGAAATATCTAATATTATAACAAAATCTGATTATGTTCTCCAATTAATCTTACTTTTATAAATCCCTGTGGTTTTATTGGAAGTGAGTTGAATTTTCTGAATCAGAAGGAGGTGGAAAATCGTCTGCACTTTTTTGTCTCTTCTACCTCCAAATATCTATTTTGGAAAAGCAGAGGTCCTCTGAAAGCAAAGCGTCCTAGGGGGCTCCTCATGCTTGCGTTCCTTAGATTGACAGCTTGAAAACATCAGATGAAAAAACACTCACCATATTCTTGCCCAGGCACACCAGAACTTTAGTTAAGAAATCATCTCTCAAGTCTGCCTCTTTCTTCCATCTCTGTCTATTCCAGCTTGACTCCAGATTCTCTAAAGGTCTCACCAGCAGGCTCACTCCCCCAGTCCTTGAACTGACATAACAGAGGCAGAATTTAAACAGCTTCAAACTTAGCTTTACTTTCCTTCTCTGTCTACTCTGGGATGATCTTCTGCTCTCTCACCTTGATCCCCTTACCTCTGCCGGTGGTTACCAGACATGTCTTAGAGTAGCCATGAGTGTAGCATCTCCTGCATTTACCTATCATACTTCAAGGGCCCTCAAACCTAAGAGCTCATCATAATCGCCCTTGGAGCTTCTCAAAATATACATTCCAAAATACACTCTGGAACTGCTGAATCTGATACTCAGGGCTGAAGTCTATAGGTTTATGCTTTGGGTTTGTTTTTTTTTTAATAACCTACCACCACTCTAACTTTATCTCCCTTACAGCAAACACCAGTAGGTCCAAAAATCTGAGTTTCTGCTTAGTTGTCTTTTAATGCTGCCCTGCTAGTAGCTGCCATTGCACTAACACCAACCCCACTACTTGAAGACTAAACTTCAGCCCTGAACTCCACCCCACTGGCCATAATTATAGTATGGTGTTTGATCAACCTGAGGTCTTGCCACAAATGAACAGTTCTCAACAATGACTTTTAGACTTTCAAAAATTAACTAACTCTGTGAAGAATGTCCTTGATTGCCTTATTGGCCACATTACTGCTGGTGGTGAACCTAAAAGCCAATCTTGCCATGTCCCTGCCTGTAGGCCTTGTTCACTCAGTATCCTCCATGGCCAGAGTCAGAGGCCAGACCACTTCTCAGGGCTCCTGCTTGGCCTTGGAAACTAAATCTCTTAAGTATTACTAGCCTTTTTAATCCTTTCCTGGGTCCATTTGCAGATGATCTAGCCAAACTCATGCCCAAGGAGCCTTAGATGTTTTCTCCCGTACACACTTTTATTTCTTTTAGCCATCTCCCTTCCAAGGAGTTCAGAGAAACTTGGTACTTACAAAGCACTTGGAGGAGTTATTTACATTTCTGATTATAACACTTTAATGAGACAGTGGAGTTGTAAATAGAGGTTCCACTAAGTCTCCCCTCTCTGAAACTATTATCTGAAAATGAAAATAGTTTAAATATCTAATTTAAATTTTCTGATGAACCTGTCACACTTTTCCTTCTATGCTCTTATACCAGCAGCTAGATACATTATTTTTTTATATCAATAGCATGCACTAGTTTCTACAAAGTATTAGATAATACAGGAATGAATGAATTAATCCCTGTCCTTGAGTCATATAAATTCTGTTAGGAAAGACATTTAAGTATGTAAATAACAATTATAGAATATGATAGCTGTCATCTTGATGGTATGAACAATATACATGAATTGGACAATTTAACATAATTAAAATGTTCATACTACCGAAAGTGATGTACAGATCAAATGCAAGCCCTGTAAAATACCAATGGAGGTTTTTTACAGAAATAGAAAAAAAATCCAAAAATGTATATGGAATCACAACAAAACCTGAATAGCCAGAACAAACTGAAAAAATAACAAACCTGGGGTCTCACACTTCCTGATTTCAAAATATATTACAGAGCTATAGTAATCAAAACTGTAACGTACTGGCAAAAAGACAAACACATAGACAGAATAGAAAGCCCACTATAAAGCCTCACATATATGATCAAATGATCTTCCACGAGGGTGCTAAGACAACACAAAGGGGAAAGGATAGTCTTTTTCCACAAATGATATCGAGAAGACCTGAAATGGTGCAGCTGCTATGGAGAACAGTGTGCAGGTTCCTCAAAAAATTAAAAATAGAATTCCCACCTGATCCAGCATTCCCAATTCTGAATATTTATCTGAATGAAATATCTGCACTCCCATGTTCATTTCAGCATTAGTTACAATAAACAAAAGGTAAAAAGAACGTGAGTGTCCATAATCCGATGATTGAACAAAGGAAATGTGATATATATATGAATATTACTCAGTCATAAAGAAGGAAATCTTGTATATCATACAACATAGAAGAACCTTGAGAACATTATGCTAAGTGAAATAAGCCAGTCACAGAGAGATAAATACTGCATGAATTCATTTACATGAAGCATAGAAAGTAGTTAAACTCATGGAAATGAAAGGAGAATGGTGATTGCCAGGGGCTGGGAGGACTAAGCAATGGGAAGTTGTCATTCAGTGATACAGAGTTTCAGTCCTGAAAGAGTTCTAGAGATCTGCTGTACATCATTGTGTTCATAACCGGCAATACTGCACTGTACACTTAAAAATTTAAGAGAGTAGATATCATATTATGTGGTGTTCACCACAAGAAAACACATACAAATTCTAGAATGCATTAAGAAATATGACAACTGTTAAAAATTTGGTAATCTATTTTTTGCTTTTAATTTAGTGTAAACCAAGGACTTTCCATTAAACTGAGCTTCGATGATTTTAATACATATTATACAGATATATTAGATATTTATGAAGGTGTAGGATCAAGCAAGATTTTAAGAGGTAAGTTGAAACAAATATACAATTACTTATGAAAATGAAAATATGTGGGTAAATTTTTGGAGTGGTATGTTTTCCCTTTGATTTTGAAGTGAATATGGACTTGAAACTTATAAAACTAAAAAAAAAACAATTGCTTCTCATTATAAAAATTAGAAAATTAGTGCTCTATGTGGTCTTCATAATAAAGCAGTTACGTTTTAACATTGTCCTCTCCTAATTAATATCTTAAAAATTATGTGAAATTTGTCAAAGGATTATAATTATATATTTGGTTACCATACATTGTTTAAATGTTAGTCCCTATTAACCAAATTCACACAATCCCTGAAAATTACTATTCTGTTTTCTCTGCATTGCGTAGGTTATAAACTCACAGAGGTTCTGTCATTTTTTATGTTCATCCTGCTCCTCGGTCTCCTGCAGGCTATTACTAATAAAGTGGCTAAAACACTGTCTAGCCAAGGAGGTAGGCTAAGTAAATGATAGATGTGGATGGATGGTATTGTTACTATATAACCATTTATCGTTACACATGGACGGGGCTGGAAGCTGAAAAGAGGGCAGGGAATGCCCTAGTAATATGTTTCTATTCATGCCCCTTTATTCCACCGGGCCCCAAAATGCACAGATCTATTCACAGTAACCAGTGAAATTAGGGGCAAAATTCCACGGGGAAATAAAGTGAGGATGAGGTAGAGAATGTGGAAACGAAGCCAAGGGAATAACTAGTTTTCCTCGCATGTTGGAGAAATAGTTAACTGTTCTAGAGCTAAGATAAGGTTGGTGACACCTGTGATTAAATTTTATATAATAACTTTATTTTAAGAACCTTGCCTCTCAAATTGTATTTATACGTAATGAAAAGTGAATCCTATTGAATAATTTTTTACAGATTTAATGATTTGAGAAATATTTAAGCATATGCTAATAATATCTCATTTTTATTAGGTATTGTTGTGTGATACTCTACTGAATAATCAATGTGCATTTTCTTCTTTAATATTTTCAACAAACCTGCAAAATATGTTTTACAGAACAGTAAAATGAGGTATAATATATTAAATTACCATAAGTTCACAGTGTTGGAGGCAGAAATCAAAGCCCAAACTCTCTGACTTGAAACATAATACCATTATTCTTTGTGCCTTAAAAGCCCAAGTAAAAATATCATAATGAGTATATATAAAACATGTGAACTCATGGTAAGTCACATTTGCTCTTAAAAAAAAATGGGCCAACCATTTCATAATCTATTTCTATAGCTGATAGATGCAGTTTTTTAAAATTATGATCAACATAAATATTTACATAGGTGGACAAATAGGTTACTTCATATAAATATTTCCAAAGACTAATGTGACATTAATAAACTTTACCATATATTTTCACCTACACTGTGTAAAGGAGTGTTGTCAGCACTTTGAGTTGACTGACTAAATGCTCTTCCAAACCAATTATGTAGGTGATATTATCATCCCTATTATACAGAAGATAAAATCTAAATTGGTAGAGGTTGAGGGCTGAATAAGTGGTAGGCATAAGATATTCTCATGTTTCTTAACTCTTCAAATACCATGGTCTGTCTAAATATTATTTTCACATGGTTAGGGTATCAGCAATTTGTGAATAAATTTTAAAATGTTTAGCCATAGAGATGTGACTAATATGCAATTAATTGCCATAAAAATATAATAAGAAACTGAATATCCAAGCAGAAAACATCAATGAATATGTAGTTATATTATAATAGGTAGTTGCTTAATTTTAAGATATTCAGAATAATCATTTATTTTAAAGTTTTGAAAATTAAATATTTTAATTATAATCTAAAAATGTGAGAAAGTGTATTGGGTGTTAAATTTTACAATTAAAAATTCTAATTTTTTCTAAGAAAACTAATATTATCTTACAACTGGCATCTAGCACAAAGTCTGGTGTATTGTAGAAACTCAAGGTTTGTTTATTTGAATTTACACCAACTGGGATATATTTCTATCATATGGTATTATAGTGTATAATCAATGGAAACAAGCAGTATTTCCCATAAGTGTAAAGTTAATTTGTATGGTAATAATGCAGATACTTTCATTCTCAAGTCACAAGCTCATCTTTCCCTAAATGTTTTAGCAATTTCTTTATGTGAAAGATGCTTACAAGGTTTGCTTTCATTAAATTCCAATTCAAAATATACAATCTCAAATAGTTATTATTTGTACAATATTGGAAATATATAAATTTTTTACTTAGGGTAAGTGGGATTATATAGAGACAATGTAAGGAATTATCATCATAAAATAGTTGTTATATACCTGATTAGGGGGAAATCAGCATAAACAAATCCTAAAGGCATTTTTTTCCATCATTTTAATCTACAATTGTGATGCAAAAGTTCTCTAACTGCTAAAAAGCATCAGAGAAATACAGACATTGTGTAAAGTGATAGTGCAGTCTTCAAATAATTATGAAAATTGAAGTAAATCAAAATAGAGTGCTGGGAAAGTTATTTCAAAAGTGTTTTCTTTAAGTTGCAATGATGAAGGTATAATATTGAATTCAATGGTTGTAATAATTATTAATACTTCATATGAAAGGGGTAGAAGACGGTGAGTGAGCTTACTTAATTTAGTGGTCACAAAAATCTATAAATGTTTTTATGCATCTTCAAAGAAAGACAACAAAAATGCCTAGGTTAGCACACTGAAAACGGTTTCAAAATGCTTAGCCCAGGAATTGTGTCTCTGAGTGCATAGTTGTTATGCCATTCTTTATATCTCAAGTGCTTAGCTGGTATTCCATTCCCACAGGACTGCTGACAATATATTTCTAATACTGTAGCTTAACATTGTGTAAGGCCATGCTTATCCTGAGGCACACAGAAGTGTGCATAGCTATAGCCAAAGCTATGCAATAAACATAGTGTATATTCCTGAATTGTCAACTTATCCTACAACAAAAATAATCACACTGCATTATGGAATTAAACAATATAGGCAAATATTATTCAAAGTAAAGCATTTTCAACACATTTTGTGCTTTTATTAGGACACTTTTATGTATACTCAGAAGTACCCATTAATTCACTTCTGTTGATAGGGGTATGTTATGTGGAAAAGTTTATTTTAGCAAGCACTAAGTTTGCTTAAGTCATCCCTTCCAGAAATTCTCAAAGATTCGCCAATCATAGTGCCTGGCAAAATTAAAGATTCCTTCTTTGGTACCCCCATAGCATTTTTCCCTTATATAATAATTTTATGGTTATTTTTAATAACTCACCAATATAAATTCTTCTAATAGAGGAAACTGGTTACTTCTTTTCTATGTCATCAGCACTTGGCCCCAGACTAAATTCATAGTGGGCACTCACTAAGACGTGTTGAATATATTAGAAATTATTTTATAATAAAGATGGTACTCTAGTTGCCGCATTTTCACTCTTATAAATTGGATAATATAAGTAGTTTGAACTAGATCTGTTGAATCCTATTCTGTAGAAAGTTGGTCTTCCCCGTCCATTGCCGTCTTTCCAAATTCCCCACATCTGTATCATACTTCTTTCTTCTTTCACAAAACCTATTCACCAGAGCCTTTGCTGTTAGTAGACAAATGATGAGTTAATTCACATTTAAGAGTGACTGCTTGATCAGTCTATGCAAATTAACATCCATAAAAGTTTTGGATTTTTAGTAGAAGACATTGGATTTTCTTAAGGAATGTCTAAAAATTTATCAGTTGTGATATAGGAAAAAAGTCATCCTTTAAAAGATATTAGGTAATTGTTTTCTTTTTCTTTCAACACAAACCCTGTCTCGTTTATGTAGGCAAATTCTATTACTCTGTTTACTCACATCATGATATATGCCCTCAAATATTGATTAAAAATCTCCTATGCTTTGGTACAATGACAGAGGCACAGAAAGCATTAAGTCATGATCTCATCCTTTTCAAGGTTTACAACCTAGTTGGTGAGATAGAGAAGCAAAAGACAGAATTCACTAAGCATTTAGTATATACCAGTCACTGTCTTACATGAGAATTACTTTTACTCCTTATCACAAATCTTTATGGGAAAAAGTTGTAACACTACAGAAGAAAGGCACAGAGTAGTCTAGTAAGACATGGAACCAAGACTCAATCAAATACTGATGCTGGAGCCCCTGCTCTTAACCACTACCCTCCACTACTCCCTGGATTTGTGAAATACATGGCTTTCACTAGATCTGTAGTCCTGGGACTCTTATTAGGCAAGGAGACTTTAAGACTATCTTATGAAAGTTTTGTAAAATCTCTACAGACACATATTCTACACCATTTTAGGAGATTTTCATGTATCTCTGAAGCAGGTTAATGGAATTCAAGGTAAGCTCCTGGACTTTTTAGACTAGCACAGTTCTATTAGATATCGTGAGAATCCAACACACTATGAAATCCAACACACTAAGGGTGTGGTTGAACCACCAACCACATTCAAAGCCAGCCAGAGGCCATTGTCCAAGAGAATTCCATTGCCATGGAATAAAAAGGAAAAAAGAGGCAGATAGGTTTAAAGTTTCTAGAATGTTCACATCCCTTAAGTGACTAACACTTATGAACTCCAAAGGTTTTCAGTATGAGAAGTATTAAAATTACACAGGTATGCATGCTGCCGTAGCAACAGTCTAAATAATAGTTCTTCATAAAAAACATTGAATGCATGACACACATTTTGGGGAAAAACATTAAGATGTGAATCAATGCTTGTTCATGATGTCCTTTCTATTAGATTATGTTGAAATTCCATTGTATGTATCACATTGTTTCCTAATTACTACATAATCACAAGATATCTAATAGTTCATAAAAGTATCTCTTTTCAGAACTCAATGTTAAATAACTCACTGTTATTTCACAGTGGTTCATTGTCTCCTATCTGCAAGTATGGTATTTTTTATAGGCCTGAATCTAATGCCATGCTCAGATTGTCAAACTAAAATGCTAATGCATTGTTTGTTAACACTTTTTTTCATTATCACCTCCACTAAGAGACCATTTCAGGCCTTGTTTTTTTCTAACAGCTCCTCGTGAAAGTCTAATATTTCATATGCACTATATTCTGTGTATCTGTTCGTGGACTGTGGGTATATCTGAGCTTTACACATTTAAAAATTAAAACTGTTTTTCTCCCTCAAAACCAATTTTCACTCCGCTAAAGGCAAGACCACCCCCTTTGAAAATGTATGTGCTGTACATTTTCATAAAAGCAAATTTTATGTAACAATGATTTTGTAAAGCATCATATGGAAGCTTTTTATAATCCTAGTATTATACTAACTCTTGACAATCAAAAATGAAAAAAAAAATCCTCTAAGCAGTTTATACTCAAGACAGACAAATGTTACATCAATATAAAATGCTGTAGAAACAATCTTAAGTCACCTGGTATTATTTTGAGGTCGTATAGTTACAAGCGTAAAGAGCCAAAGAATACTCTTTTGTTTCTGTTATTTTACCCAGATTAAGCCCCTGTGAGTGGGACACAGTAAATACCTGATAAAGCTAAGTTGACTTTAATTTTCAAAACTGCTTAACTAATGTTTCTTAGATGAACTTTGCCAGTAAATGAATGCATCTTTTCTATGTATATATAGTGCATAGAGCTAACAATTAAAAATTAAAAATACCTTTTTTATCAAACCATAAATATGTATAATAATTTGAGGCTTTCTAATGTTTGAGAGAAGAGATATTTTAATTAAAACAAATGTAAGACTAATGCTTTTAGTTAACTAAGTGGTATCAGATAGATATTTGTATAGATCAACTGACAAACTGATAGTTCAGTAGATGGACTGATGGATGGATAGAGAGATGAACAGATAGATATATACATATAACAGTTGTTTATTTTATTTTGTAGCTTCTATTTGGGAAACTAATCCTGGCACAATAAGAATTTTTTCCAACCAAGTTACTGCCACCTTTCTTATAGAATCTGATGAAAGTGATTATGTTGGCTTTAATGCAACATATACTGCATTTAACAGCAGTGAGCTTAATAGTAAGTATTATTTATTTTTTGGCTTTTTAATTTTTAGATGCTTTAATGTTATGATGGAATTTTAAAGGTAGCAGAATCTAAAATTTTCATGATGTAATTTTATAATGAGTATCTTGTATGTGCATCTTTCTCTTCTTAGAACTTAAAAAGAAATGAGAAATTGGACAATGGTTTACATTTTTCAAAGGAATCAAATAACCAATTTGAGAAAACTTATAAATCACTATAAAATCAAATTAAAATTTTATTTGCTGCAAGCATTGCAAGTTAGAAAATACTAGCATAAAACTAATTCAGAGAAAATTCTACATAAACTTAATTTGGATCAAGGTATTAAATTTAGTAACAGGAGAGAGAAAAATATGGAACAAAGTTTCTGTGGGTGAACCAATGGAAACAAGATGTAAAACTTAAAAAATGAGAAACTTATATTTGCTAATACCCTGACAGAGTATAGGAAATGTATTAATTTAACACAGTTGGCAACAAAAAGCTGCTTTAAAAAAAATAAATAGAATGCAACAGAGTTAAGATCAATAAAAAATAATGATTTTGTACATACCACTGAAGTATAAGCTGTATAAGGTTAGATTATTTTCAATACAATCTAATATAACTACTCACATTATGGACTAAATTTTTTTTATTCCTTCTTTTTTTTCATTCACAGATTATGAGAAAATTAATTGTAACTTTGAGGATGGCTTTTGTTTCTGGGTCCAGGATCTAAATGATGATAATGAATGGGAAAGGATTCAGGGAAGCACCTTTTCTCCTTTTACTGGACCCAATTTTGACCACACTTTTGGCAATGCTTCAGGTATAATTCATTTAATTCAGAAGTCAAAAGGATTTTAATTCATAAATCAAAAGGAAAGAGGTATGTGTTGTACTGCAGTGTAAAGTGAGCAGTATTAAATGCAAAAGTCTTTTTGGGTTTTTTAAAAATTCAATTAATTAAATGAAAAATGGTAATCAAACAGGCAAGTAAAAGTGAGTGTGTTTCAAGAAATATATTGGTTTACCCTATATATTTGCAAAATGTTGAAAAGTACACAGAGGTCATTAGAGACAAGACTAGGTTGTCATCCTAGACTTGCCACTTATTATTAACTAAGTAGATTTGAGTGAGGCAATTAGCTTTTCTGAAGTTTGGTCTATTTGTCTTAATTTCGTTTTCTGATTGTACATTGCTAATGCACAGAAATAAAATGGATTTTTGCATATTGATCTTAGACCCAACAGCAGTCCTGCTGAATTTGTTTGTTATCTCCGATGTTCCTTTAAAGAATTCCTTAGCATTTTCAACATACAAGATTGCATAATCTTGAAACAAAGATAGACTTGCTTCTTCTGAGAAGCCCTATGGAAGTCTGATTCTAAAGCATGCTAATAGGGCAAGGTTGTGATTTCTAAGTACATTTTTCATCTGAATGAGATATTAGAATTGATGCCAGGTGGAAATATTAGAGACAATAATATTTTGCTGAGAAACCAGAAATCGTGGTGAAATATTAGAAGCTAAGGAACTTGTAGTGGGAAGATCAATCATGAAAGTCTTGGAACACATATTCATAATACCAAATATAATCACTGAAGTGAGAGTTACAAATCTTAGAAGGAATGTATAAGGAAAATTACAAAAAAACAGTGAAAAGTTGTGAATTTATATAATTTTCTTAGTCAAAATTCATCTTATAATATGACTTGCTGATAAGAATACTATCTCATTCAAACAAACGTTAAAAGCCACCTCTAACCAGCTATGGTTCTAGGCATTAAGGATACAGGTCATATACAGTAACTTCCACAAAGTCTGTCCAAAACTTCCAAGTTGAAATTTTTTTTCCCTTAAATATTCTAAGCACCTCTTCCATTTTTCCTATTATATAGCATTATATTTACTCACTTATTTGTTTCTTTTTACCACAGTATTCTTTTCAGGAACAAAAACCTAGTCTCTTTTAACTTTGAATTAATAGGGCATGTATTAGTCCATTTTCACACTGCCATAAAGAAATACCTGAGACTGGGTAATTTATAAAGGAAAGAGGTTTCATTGACTCATAGTTCTGCATGGCTGGGGAGGTCTCAGGACACTTATAATCATGGCAGAAGGCAAAGCAGACACGTCTTACGTGGCTGCAGGCAAGAGACAGTGAGTGTGTTTAGGAAGAAATGTCAAACACATATAAAACCACCAGATCTTGTGGGAACTCACCATTATGAGAACGGCATTGAAAAAATTGCCCCCGTGATCCCATCACTCCCACCAGGTCCTGCCCTCAGCACATGGGGACTATGTAGATTACAATTGGAGATGAGATTTGGGTGGGGACACAGAGCCAAACCATATCAGGTATTCTCAGTGCATGAATGTAATTAACATGCAAAATTATTTTTGAATATGTAAATAAATATCTACAACTTTGACTCAAGTAATTTCTGAATAAGTTATTGACTGAATAAAATAGTTTCTAAAGTTAACAAAAATTCTAAGCAAATTGGCATTGCAATTTGGTATTAATGACCAATTACGAAGATTAATATTCCTGATTTTAAGACCTGAAAATTAAGTGGTTGATTTAACATAAATTGTGAGTGACATTTAGTTAAAGGACTTTAAAGAGTTAATTTTTTTCAAGATAGAAATATATCTGACTAATCCTACTTCTTTAGAGAATGATATCCCTAGAATATCAAAATATGGTTCATCACACTATTTCAACTTAATAAAAATAGATTTTAGTAAAAAGTGACTACTTTAATATATTTCAGAGTCATCAGTAAAAGCCCCTTCAAATGTATTATTTTGTTCTTTTATTTAAGAAGCATTTATTGAGCTCCAGGCCTTATTCAAGTCATTCAGAATATATCTGTGAACAAAATAAACCAAATTTTCTGCTCTCATGAAACACAAATTCTAGCAAGAAAAAACAGAGAATAGGAAATTATATATATATGTATATATATAATTAATTGTTCCTTGGTGTGTTAAATGTGAATAGGTACTTTGGGAAAATATGAAGCTTTGTAAGAGGATGGGGAGGGTGGGGCTAAGATGCTGTTACAAATTAGAAGAAGATGAGCAGTAAGTCTCATTGAAAAAGTGACATTTGAATCAAAACTGTAAGGAATTGAAAGAATTAGCCACACAGATTATTCCAGGCAGAGGGAACATGACTGATCTGTTGAAAGATAGTTTGTGCGAGGGCAAGAGTGTTGAAAAGAGACTGGTGGAAGGCCATTGCCTAACTAGAGAAGAGGTCATGAGACTCAGATCAGTGGGAGCAGATGTGGTGAGAAAAGGTCAGATTCTGAATATAGTTTTTAACTGAAGCCAACAGGATCCAGCTAAATGAGTCACCAGTGTGGGCCTTCACATAAAAAATGTTCTTTATGTAAATTGCCAACCCCGTAAGACAAAAAAAGTTTAGTGTTGAAAATGATGACATGAATACTCTCATACATAATTAATCTTCTTTGAATAAGTTATTTCCCAGTGCCTGATTCTCCATGGAAAAATCACTAATTACACAGCTGAAAACTAACCCCTACATGATAATCACCCCAACTCTCTGAAGGGGTCTGGCCTAAAACAGTCAAATAATCTGATCTTTTTTTTTCTCTTTACTGTAATTAAAAAAAAGTTTCTACCACACTTGGACAAGAGTAGTTAGAGGAAAGTGCAAAAAGCATTTATATCTATTGACTATGACAGATACCTTTTATGTGGTTGAAATCTCTGATGTTCAAATTATCATTTTTCTGCTCTTATGTCATCCTAATAAGAGATAAAGTAACTCCACTGATATTTGAAGAGCATAAGTACATTAAAGGGGAAAATGTTTTCGGCTTGCCAACAGATTAAATAACTAAGGAAATAAGATGAAACTGACCAAAGTGAAACGGGTTGAATGTCAAGTGGAGGTTTTAAATAGTCGGGTCTGAAATGAAGTCTCAGGAGAAAGCGTAGTAGCAGGAGTTTTTTAAAATTAGACAAGTCATATAATGAGGACAGATGATAGGATTTAATAGGTCCTCTCCAACTCCCATACCTGTGATTTCATAATCAACCAGTCATTCCTCTCCAAAGGGCGTTTTTCTTCTAGCCTGCTTTTTTATGTGTCAGAACATCCTATCTCTGAAATGAAAGAGAATTAAATATTTCTGGATGTTCCTCTTATCCAGGCAGGTTTGTTGTTTGTATTGTTGTTTTGTTCTTTGCCTTTACCTTAAGTGACAGAAAAGACTAAATGAAACAGATAAACTTTGAATTAATACTGCTTTAGGTAAGAACACCTAAGCCTCTTAATTTTTCTAGTCCTTCTGAAGAACTCTCTTCTGGTGAAGCAATGGCTTCTAAATCTCTGTATTGTCAGCAGTCAGGGTTTCTCTGTACCTCTTAGAAGCAAAAGGAATTGGTCAAGAAGGTGGTGTTGAGGCAGGACAGCATCTTGAGGTGCTCAGAAGTGGCCCATTCATTTAGAAGGCTCAGGACAAATGAGGTTCATAATATGTGGAAACTTCAGAAATATAGGGATCGCAGAGGACTACATAGCTCAAATAAAATGTTTCTTTCGTTTCCTTTACCAGTGAAATTGCAATTGTTTGTAATACTGTGGGAGGTAGTATAGTTTAGTAGTAAAAACCATTGAAATACAGACCCTGGAGTCTTAGCCAGGTTTAAATCTTAGCCCTGCCATTTAGGCAAGTTTCCTATCTTCTATTTCTGTCCCAATTCCCTTATCTGGAAAGTGAGGTTGAGGACAATAGGACCTGCCATTAAAGGCATGTAATAAACATTAAATTGATTGCTATGTTTAGAAAAAAACTCTGAAAAATGGCTGACACATAGGAAGTGCTATATAAATGTTAGGTATTATAACTACTTTCTTTTCATACTGCAAAAGTATTCGAGAAACATACATTGGCTGTGGTACTGTTCTAAGTCATATGTTGGGGAGGAAAATAGTCACTCTGCTCAATTTTCAAAATCATATTAGTTCTTTCAGATATCTTCATTTAACTTAGCATATAAACTTTTTCTAAAATAAGTGTAACTTTAATGTTTTAAAAGTAACATTTTTATTTTCCTATCTTTCCTGTGATGTTGAATTTTAGAAAATAATATTACTTTCTAAAATTGATAAAATCTGACTGAATTTAGGCCATGCATCAGTTTAAGCTTTTAATAATATTTATCTACTAGGTTCAGCTAATTTTACATATGTATTTACAAATCATGAAACAATTTGCATCAGCCTATTTCCTTCTTGAGAGGGATTTCTAGGATCTCAGGAAGTTCTACTATCTCTCCAGTTTCTGCTATCTCTATATCAGATCAGCACATGCTCAGAAGTTTTGCTTTTTAATTAGGATGTTGGGTGGAGAGAGACTAGGTTCAATTCATGAAGAGATAAGCAGGAAAAAGTGATGGAAAGGAGTTTTAAGAAAAACCTAATAGTTCAAAAAAGAGATCATTACAAGCTTAAGTAAACAAAGTGTATTCAATTTTCTGGGGCTTATTTATTTGTTTAGAGACAGGATCACTCTGTCTCCCAGACTGGAGTACAGTGGCATAATCATAACTCACTGCAGCCTCAAACTCCTGGGCTCAAGAGATACTCCCACCTCAGCCTCCTGAGTAGCTGGGATCACAGGTGCATTCTACCACACCCAGCAATTTTTTTAAATTTTTTATAGAGATGGGGCCTCATTATGTTGTCAAACTCCCCCTTCTCTTTTTTGTAAAAACAGCCACAGCTATCATTATTATTAGTATAAGGTGGCCTCTTTTTTTAAATTAAGAGATCTTCCTGCCTTGGACTCCCAAATTGCTGGGATTACAGATGGGAGCCACTATGGCTGGCCAATATCCTGGGTTTTAAGTTGACTGAGATTGATTCTAAGAGCTCTAGAAAACATTTCAAGGAAGTCAAAGGGTTTTAGAAGAAATTATTTTTGACCATATAAATTCCCATGTGGTTATGAAAAAATCTCTTCAGTTGTTCCTTTTATGTAGAAATTTAATAAATTTAAAAGCAAAGCAAATCTGTAACAAAAATATGTTAAACAACAGACAGCTAATTCATATCAAGACAGAAAAAAAATGAACAAAGTGTCTTTCTTGTTTCCAAAAGTTCTAGCAAGTTTAAAAAGTCACATATAAACATAAATAAAATATACAACAGGCCAGGTGCAGTGGCTGATGCCTGTAATCCCAACACATCCAAGGCAGGCGGATCACCTGAGATCAGGAGTTTGAAAGCAGCCTGGCTAACATGGCGAAACTCCATCTCTACTAAAAATACAAAAATTAGCCAGCCATGGTGGCGTGAGCCTGTAGTCCCAGCTACTCTGGAGGCTGAGGCAGGAGATTCACTTGAACCACCGGAGGCAGAGGTTGCAATGAACCAAGATTGGCTACCGCACTCCAGCCTGAATGATGGAGTGAAACATCATCTCAAGAAAAAAAATATATACATGACAGAATATGCCGAATGACATCAGAGAAGTACAAAGTGCCACCGAGAATTCAAAAGAAAAAGTGGTTACTTTTAATTGGGAGGCTTTCTGAAGGAGATGACAGTTTGATTTAAATGACCTCAAAAAATTGATACGATTTTAACAAGGTACAATTGGAAGGGGAAGTGGAAGGAGGTAAAAGAGAAAAAAGAAGACACAAAGTGTCAAAAAATTTCTAGGTGTTTGGAAATATTAAAATTATCTAATTTTGCAGAAGTGCTCTATGGAAATAGATGAAGTATAGGTGCAATAGCCGGAAAATGACATTGAGGTCATAACACAGGGGCCTCAAATATCAGACTGTATTTGTATTTGGTTTAATAAGAAATAAAGAGATAATAAAAGATCTTGAATAAGGGGCTAATTTGATTGTGCATAAGAAAGTATTATTGAGCAATGGTGTAAGAGATGATTCCCAAGAAGACTCAGAGAGCTAGAAGTGAGATGCACTTGGAAATAGTGACAATGATGGTCTGTCTTCAGTAATAGTTCCATGCGTTGGGATGTTTCTACTCTGCTCCCTGGTGAGATAGCGCAACAGACATGTTGTGTGAATGTGAGTTTCCATACTTTAAGTGGAAGCAACTGAATGTACAGCTAATTGACGGCTTCTCAAATTAAAGAAGCAAACTGAAACTGCCTTAATAAAATTATTTAAGGAAAAAAAAGTGATGGATAATCTTGAGAAGACTTAGGAGAGATGTAATAGTGGCCTTTAAACTTCTGTAGAGCTAACAAATATGTTATATTGTAAATAGTCCCACAAGGCAAAATTAGTTATAATAGGTGCGTATAAGCTTATTTTTTTAAAAAAGAAAATAATTTTCTAATCATGTTGAAACGGAATGGGATGCCTTGGAATAGAATAATTTCTTCTGCATCTGGCATCTGTTAACCAGAGATCAAGTGATCCCTTAGGGCAAAATGTTATAGATGAAATTTAAGGACAATTAGTGGTTAGACTAAGTACAGTTTTATGTAAACTGCAAATCTCTACTCTTAAACTTTAGCATTTTATGAAGGCTTTTATTCATCTTCTAATTTGTTAACTAAAGAATGTAGCTGATATCACAAAAATAGCAATTTAATGTTATATATTATTTTACTATATTCAATAATATGCAATTCTATATGATATTTACTCTAGGCAAGATTTATAAGGTACTATAGTCTACATAATTAATTATGTTTTACTTGATCACTGACAAAAGAAATCATAGCATCATATTTTGATCATACTGAAAACTCCAAATATATCACTGCTTACTAAGTGAAAAACAGATTCAAACTATTTCAAATTAATTATAACTATTGACTGTGAACATGGCCAAACATAAATAGGAGCATGATGTGTGTTTATATAATTGTAGCTAATTAGAAATTTTTCTGAATAGGCTAACCATTTGAGTATTTATTCATGATATTCAGTGGATTTTTTTTTTTTTTTTTTTTTTGAGACGGAGTCTCACTCTGTCGCCTAGGCTGGAGTGCAGTGGCACGACCTCGGCTCACTGCAAGCTCCACCTCCCGGGTTCACGTCATTCTCCTGCCTCAGTGTCCCGAGTAGCTGGGACTACAGGCGCCCGCCACCACGCCCAGCTAATTTTTTGTATTTTTTGTAGAGACGGGGTTTCGCCGTGTTAGCCAGGATGGTCTGGATCTCCTGACCTCGTGATCCGCCCGCCTCGGCCTCCCAAAGTGCTGGGATTACAGGAGTGAGCCACCGCTCCCAGCCATTCAGTGGTATTTTAATTATTTCTTCCCCAGTTATGTTCTAAGTAATCAAAAGTAAGGTAAATTCAAAAGCGATTTGGAGTTGTGCATTTAAAGAGTAGATTCTGGGACCTCTCTTCTGTATCTAGGCCACTCTTCTCCATGCAGTCATATAATTAGAACACTAACAAAATAGCTAAGATATGTACTCATGAAATATTACAGCATTATATAAAATAGGAGTAATGTGTTAATAATATAAAATTTTAAACACATTATTAACAGTTTGTCATACAAAGCAAATGAATGTGTACATATTACATTTATTAAGCCACTTGACCATAATTTCACCTTGATAAAACACTCATTTATTCTGAATAATTTTTGCCTCACTGGTCTAAATATGCATTGATATACCTATAGGCAGTTCTACTAGCTTCTTTTCTTTATGCCTTGTTCTTACTTTGCATCTCATAAATGAATGAGTTTAAAGTTTATATGCAACATTGCCTATATTTTTCTGTTGCAAAGCACAAGAGAGAAGATGCTTGATTTCAAGTAAACACTAAATTTCATCATCTCATAAAAAATTGCATTCCAATCAAATTAGATTAATCCAACATCACATTTGCTTTATATAATATTTAGTTACATGATTCTCGCTTCCTGTCATAATATGTGAGCAGGAAACTAAGAATAAAATAAATTCCCCTAAGAAAATGTTCAAAATGTTATCCCAACAACCCTTCACAAACTTCAAATGACTGAAATCATTGGTTGGAATAATGAATTTCAGACCAGCAAGCACTTTATGCAGTGGCTTGTGCTATTTTGAAAGTTTTATACGGATTAGCATGCTTTCTGCTTCTCAGTGATCTGATTACTTATCGTTCATAGGAATAAAGAAAGATAAGACTGTTTTAAAATAAGGCAGGTTCTTATTTAGAGATATGAAGTGTTCAGTGAAATATAAAACTGAAAATCTTAGAAACTCTTAAATTTGCCTTCAAATTTGTATTTAAATATATGTGTATATTCTGAGTTAGTCCACCAGCATCTCTAGATATCCTCATGTGAATTAATCAAAATATCTAGTAAACTAGAATTAAGTCAGGAATTGGACTGGATAATTTAGTGACTCATAATAAGTCAGAATTTTATATATCCTTGGTGGTACTCCACTTCAAGACTCTTGTTTAATAAAGTGGGAGGCCCAGTGTTAAGCTATTTTTGTCAATAACAATCTGTTATGGCAAAAATACTGCTTTCTGAGCTCGAGTCTAGTGTCCTGTCCACTATATTAAAATATATTTCCTTAACCTTTCTTCTTAAAGTTTTTCTTTCCTGCTTACAAAGTCTACTTGTCACACAATGAAAATGCAATATTTAAGTGAAATAAATTTTTTTTGATATTTTTACAGGATTTTACATTTCTACCCCAACTGGACCAGGAGGGAGACAAGAACGAGTGGGGCTTTTAAGCCTCCCTTTGGACCCCACTTTGGAGCCAGCTTGCCTTAGTTTCTGGTATGTTGTAGACACCTGTTTAAACGCTGTCTTTTTTAATGGGTAACATTGCCTTGCTCAGGCCACCAGGCTCATATTTCACTAAGATGTTGGCTAAAGTTTTAATGCATATACTATTACTTTTCCCAACTGATAAGCAATAAAACATTGATAGACACCTCTCCCCATCCCCAGCAACTCCAAAACCCAGAAGGAAAAAAAGATTATTTCAAAGAAAGTAAAAAATGTAGAAAAGCTCTGAAAAGGACTTATTCTAATGTTGTAGGAATCCAAACATTTTTGCTTCTTTCCAAACTAGGTATCATATGTATGGTGAAAATGTCCATAAATTAAGCATTAATATCAGCAATGACCAAAATATGGAGAAGACAGTTTTCCAAAAGGAAGGAAATTATGGAGACAATTGGAATTATGGACAAGTAACCCTAAATGAAACAGTTAAATTTAAGGTTTGCAAAATACTTTATTATTTATATTTGTATCCTTTTTGTGGTGGAACAATTATATTTAGAATGATACAGTGAAAAAATTAATGTATTTTCTGAAGATAATCAAGTCACTTTCTCTACTTGCCCAATCTACCTCACATTTTACCTTGGAGTATTTTATTTTTATTTATTCAATAGCCTATTAAAAACCATCATTGAGGAACAATGTACTAATGAAAATACAGCTTATAATGGTCCATAAAATACATCGAAGTCTTTTAGAATATTTCAGCTTCCTTCAGCAACTTTCTAGCATAGGCCAACCATTTATCTCTAAGCCCTCTGCCTACCTACAATTTTCAGCTTTTCACAAATACCACCTAGGTCAACCCTGCCCTTTTCTATGCCTATGCCCATAGGCATCCACCCACCCTGCCCCACTCTGATTTAATCTCCATGTATTTCCTTTAGAAACAAATTATATGAGCTGTAGCATTGGGAAGTCTCTGATCATTTATTTCACATTAAGGTGAATTAATTTTTCAAATAACACTTTAATGTGTTCTCTTCCTGAGGGTCTTTGCAATTAAAATATGGCATAATAGAGGCTATTAGTTTGACCAAATTAATAATGTTTTAAATGGGTAATTTCAAACACAAGAGTATCACTTTCAGAAGATGTATATTTGGACAGACACTGCCATCATCAAAGGCTTCAGATTTTCCCCGTGACTTGGTGTAAGGCAATAATTAATGACTCTCAACCGTTTTCCTCCCATCATTCTTTCTTTCCTTCTCTTCCTTTTTCCTTCTTTCTTCTTCTTTGATCCTTTTATGGGACGTTTCCTCTCCAATTTTGTTTTCTGATAATTCAGAGAAGGGTAAGGGAAAATGGAAAGGCCAGGGAGAAAAGAGACAGCAGAAGGGGAAGTCAGTATTGCAGTGGCCAGATGTGGCTATACTCATTGAGCGTCTTTTCTAAAGTAATATAATTGGATCCAGTTTCTCACAGCTCATGAGGTGGTGCGAGAGAGTCAAGTTCTACAGATACGTGCACTTTGGCTTTGCCATTTTGTTGTGAAATCATGAGCAAGTCACCATAGTCTCCTTGAAATTTAATTAGGTCATATGTGTAAGGAAGAAAATAATACCTACTGGAATAATGTCTGGCATGAAGTAGGTGGAATGAATAAACAAATGAGTGAATGAATGAGTGTTGAAAATTAAATAAGATCAATGTATACCATGTGCCTAGCATAGCAAATAGCATATAGCAGACATTCAATTTATGTCTTTCCTCTTCTACATAGCACAGGATCCAGGAAAGTACAGCTAAAATACCCACTGTTCCTGAGAACCTAATATGTTACCTCTGGCCACTGGACCTTTCTTCCAAATCTCGTTCTGTGTCCTCCGGGCACCACCCTTGCACAGTATCCCACATCAACACCCTGGGTGAACTGTGACCAGTAACAGCTGGCCCTGAATGATCGTTTTACACTCATACTCTCTCTCGTCCCCTTCACCCCCAGTGTGTTTTCTCTTCAGGCTTTGTATGCTCTAAGAAGGAAGAAAACTACCTGAATGTTTAATATTGCTGAAAGAAGAAATTTGGGAGAAAATTGCTTTCTCCTGCCAGATGATATATATGCATGACAGAGTACAATGGAATATGACAATATCATAAGAGAGACACAGACAGAGATATAGAAACTGTAACAATATTGACTAATTCAGAAGGAAGACATCATTGGAAATTTAGCCAGTGTGAACACATAATAAGGGGGTTGGGTTCAGCAGAAGAATTTAAAAAGCATGATCTGTCAAGATTTCACTATGTAGTAACGGTCACCATATAGTTCAAGGTGACAATATTGAATCTCTAGACAATATTGAATCTCTTGGGCTCACAAGAAGAATCAAGTCAGAGAAGATTAGAATGGAATCAAATCGTTTCATATGCCTCTCTGAATTGCAGGTTGCTTTTAATGCTTTTAAAAACAAGATCCTGAGTGATATTGCGTTGGATGACATTAGCCTAACATATGGGATTTGCAATGGGAGTCTTTATCCAGAACCAACTTTGGTGCCAACTCCTCCACCAGAACTTCCTAGTAAGTAACCTTCATGTGTATTTTGTCTTATTAAATCATTAACGTCAGGTGTGGAGGCTCACAGCTATAATTCCAGCACTTCGGGAGGCTGAAGCAGGAGGATTGCTTGAAGCCAGGAGTTTGAGACCAGCCTGAGGATTACAGCGAGACTCTGTCTCTACAAAACAAAACAAACAAACACAAATTAGCTGGGCACAGTGGTGCATACCTGTAGTCCCAGCTACCGGAGAGGCTGAGGCAGGAGGGACTCTTGAGCCTGAGAGATTGAGGCTGTTGTGAGCTGTAATCATGTCACTGCACTCCAGCCTGGGCAACAGAGTAAGACTCTGTCTCTAGAAAATCAAAACAAAACAAAAAACAATAATTATTTTCAGGTAGATCTTCCTTTGGCTTATTATCTCAACCTACTGTTATTTATTTTTCCTGAAAATCAAAGACTTCAAAATATAAACCAAATGGAGGCTAGCAAAATATTACATGTTACACATAAATCCACAATGAAAACCACTCTTCGTTATTGAGCATATTAATGATCATTTTAGTATCTTTCTTATATTTGAAAGTAATAAAGGAGCTGGTTTCCATTTTGTTTTCACTGGAATACAAACAAATGTTGTACTGGCCACGTGGCATGGTCTGTAGTCTTTGGGGAGGGTGCCTTGAGGTTTTTGTGGGCTTCTTAAGGAGTAATTTTAAGAGTTTAGTTAAATCTGAAACCTACTGTGTCTATTTTTAAAATAATTTAATAACAATGACTAATCAAGCCTGGACTTTGAACATACAGACATAGATCACCTAAAATATTTTTGTCCTAAATAGTGGCGGTATTAGTCAGCGTTCTCTAGAGGGACAGAACTCATAGGATAGATGTGTATATGAAACAGAGTTTTTAAGGAGTATTGACTCACATGATCACAAGGTGAAATTTCATAATAGGCCATCTGCAAGCTTAGAGCAAAAAAGCCAGTCCAAGTCCCCAAACCTCAAAAGTAGGAAAGCTGATTGTGCAGCCTTCAGTCTGTGGCCAAAGGCCTGAGAGCCTCTGGCAACCAGGTGTAGGTCCAAGAGTCTGAAAGCTGAAGAACTTGGAGTCTGATGTTTGAGGGCAGGAAGCATCCAGCATGGGGGAAAGATGAAGGCCAGAAAATTCAGCCAGTCTAATCCTTCCATGTTCTTCTGCCTGCTTTTATTCTAGCTGTGCTGGCAGCTGATTATATTGTGCCTACCCAGACTGAGAGTGGGTCGGCCTTTCCCAGTCCCCTGACTCAAATGTTAATCTTCTTTGGCAACACCCTCATAGACACACCCAGGAACAATACTTTGCATCCTTCAATCCAATCAAGCTGGCATTCAATATTAACTATCACAGTACCTTTGTAAGGCTTTGGCATATGTTTCTTTCATGGATCCACTCATGTGTTACTCCTGAGAAGTGACCAAGGTTCACAATGTCCTATAAGATCTTTTAAGTCAAAAGAACCAAATCGAGCCTGTGTCTACTTGTGCTCTTAAGTCAAATTGGAAGCGTGACATTTCAGAACAAAACCCATTACCATTCAAATTATCCATGTCAAAGAAGACAATCACTTCATACTACTTTCAGATTAGGGGTTTGACAGATAAACAAAGAAAAAGAAAAATGCCTATGATAATAAATAATTACAAACATCCACTGACTTTCTATAGGGATTTTTTCACTACACTTGTTTTTATGCAAAAAAAACAATGCTTTTTTCTTTGGATTGTGGTGGTTGGAAGCTGACTTAGCTCTACGGCTTTGCTTGGGTTAAACCTCATGTGTGTTTTGTTCTGCATGGATCTGATCCCACAAACGCAGTACTTTTTCCATTTCTCATTTTCTTTGAAGCACACTTAATACTTTTACCAAATTATATCAGCAAATCAGTTTGGAGAGCCTATCCAAATTTGGTTTACTTCCAAAACTATATCTTTTTCTGCTTCCAATCTTCAAGGAAAAAAAGCAGACTTTTCAGATGAGTGGCTTTAACAATGAAAAGGATCTAAAGGTTAATTATGGGTATTTAAGAACATGTAACAAATGAGCTACCATTAGGTTGAAGACAGTAGTTATATTGTCATATTGATCCCATGCCACCATATTGAATGAGCACTTACATTCCTCCAAAAGATCGGTTTGCTTTTACTATCTTGTGTATTAACATGTTTAGATGCTTATATGAGATATATATGTTACTCAATATTTAATCATTCATTCAAATTTTATAAATATCTGCCATCTGCTAAACACTGCAGATGAAATGTAAGATGTAGCAATAACCATTACTACATGAAAAAATATATAA
Organism: Homo sapiens; assembly: GCF_000001405.40. Classification (NCBI taxonomy): domain Eukaryota; kingdom Metazoa; phylum Chordata; class Mammalia; order Primates; family Hominidae; genus Homo; species Homo sapiens. The sequence continues at coordinate 18,339,088 of NC_000021.9, read as the reverse complement.
ATAAATATTTGAAGCAATGTATAATTATATGCCCCTAAAAGTAATACATGAGAGAAGTAAGTGATAGAGGACTTTGGAGAAAAAAAAAATGTGAGCAGAAGAAGGCTTTAAGGAAGCGTGCAGATAAAAGACGGAATGATACTCATAAAATGGATGCAAAAGCAGGAAAGTACCATACATTCTCATGGAATAATATTGGTCATAAAATTGTGACAAGAAGTGAGTTCCTTCACAGCAAACTCTAGGTCAAATTTACCTTTGCTTTACCAGTGTATGACTGATTCCTAACATCACAATAATTGGTGATCAGTAAATACTATTAGAGACAGACTAAGCCTCTCTCTCTCTTTCTCTCTCTTTATCTCTCTCTCTGTCTGTCTCTGTCTCTCTCTCTTTTGGATATACTCTTATTTTGGTGACATGAAACTTTTGTTAAACAAAATTTTGGTACCAAAACTAAAGTTTGGAAATGATGGTAGGGATGGGTGTAGGAAAAAATACCCACATAAATGCAGTAATTTTGGATTTGGGGCATTGTTTAAAAATAATTGTCTCACTTCATTTTGTGTAGGTGACCCACACCCTACCTATTTATTATATGGAAGAGTTTTTTTGCAAGAACAACATTCAGCATCATTAAAATCATGGCTTGCTTGATAAATAGTAATTATTCCTACAGATACCAAATATCAGCAACATTTTGCTATTTTGATATTTCAATCATTTAACATGATAGATTTTCTTGATAATTCTTTTTGCTAGTTTGTTCCCCTATTTATTCATAAATAATAAAGAAGAAAAATTTTCTAGGAGGAAGTAATATAGTTTCTTAGACCTGATATTTAAAATGTAGCACCATCTCACCATTACCTAAAATAGAAAATTTGAGGTAACTTTTTTACATCATATCATACATAGAAACAAAATTTTAAATATGATTTCTTAAGTTAAAAATGTATCTATATGACCCTTATAGTCTTCATATTTATATTCCAATCAGAAAGAGAAAAAGATAGCACCTTTATGTCAAGCTTGGTGTCCCTGTCTATTTTAACAATAGGGAAATTATAATGAAAGAATAACCCATCTGATTTGAAAATATAAACTTTAGAATCTGCCCGGAGTCTATTTGTTCCAGTTTCCAAATGGTTCACTTCAAGACAATATTTTTCACAGCAGAAAACATTAATTACCATCAAATGTATTCTGAAAAATTTCATTCTAATGCCATTTGCAATTGGTTCAGTGAAATTCTTATTTGAGTAGAGCTTTTTTGGTTCCAGATCAATGACTTGTTTAAGCAGTAATAAAAGGAAACCATGGCTGACTGGCTAATAGCCTTTCTTTGGGTTCGTATAGAGCACTTAAAGAAGAAAACAGTCCCAGATCAGTGACTGAGTAATAACGCTCAGTTTCCTCCCTCTTTCCTGGGAACCCACATTGTGCCTAGTCTGAGGAAATGTAAGTTCGGCTTTCATAACCACAGAGATTATTCCATTTCATGACTTTAATAACTTTCTGCTGCATTGATTCTACAATTGTTGCTCTGTGATGTTGGTACAAATGAATTTAAATGTGGGGATTGCGCTGAGTACACTTTAAGAGAATAAACATTCCATTACGTGATGATCAAGCCAATTTAAAACAATTTTGATGATTCATGACAAGATACCTACTGAATAGAAATAGGTGTATACAAAACAAAATCCACATTTCAGGCCCCTGGCTTATTTCTGGGGCTTTTAAAACTAATTAAAAAGAAAAACAAAAACAAAACACCTAGCTATAGTATTAAATATTTCAATATTCACTCTTTATTTCCACAGTTTTTCTTTATTTCACCATTTTTAAAGCCATTTTCTACTTCCAAATGTAAATTAAAGGTAATTTGGCATGGCCGGGTGCAGTACCTCACACCTGTAATCCCAGCACTTTGGGAGGCTGAGGGGGGCAGGTCACTTGAGGCCAATAATTCAAGACCAGCCTCGCCAACATGGCGAAACCCTGTCTCTCTGGGGAAAAGAAAGAAAAAAAAGTTAATTTGGAAAGTTTTGTAGATGTGACCTAATACTTAGAGCTAAATAATCTAACTTTAGTTCTTCATGTAGATATGAATCAATCAGTACCTGTCTACCTCTCTACCTCTCTTGAAATTGATGGCCATATTCAGCAGAACTGCTTGCTTAGTTGATCAGTGTGTTTTGGGTTGTTCTATTTTGATTTAATTATTTTACCTCTAAAACTAATAGCCTGAGCCAGGCACAGTGGCACATACCTGTTGTCCAAGCTACTCGGAAGCCTGAGGCAGGATGATGCTTTGAAGCCAGGAGTTCAAGGCTCGGGTGCACTACGATCATGCTTGTGAATAGCCACAGCACTCCAGTCTGGGCAACAGAGTAAGACTCAATCTCAAAACAAGACAAAACAAAGCAAACTAATAGCCTACGTTTTTGAGCTCTCATTGTCTGGATTTTTATTGATAACCAAATTTAGAGTACAGAGAATAAAAATCTGAACTTTATTGTTACACATTTAATAAAAATATTTATATCAGGAATGATCACTATAACTTGTTAATGAAAACATAAATTTTGATCAAATGAACACAAAATTTTATGGAACATTTTACTTTAAATTACAACCTAAACTTTTAAAATGCTATTTGTGATACCAAAAGATTTGTGTATCTATTACAATAATGATGAAAAACAATAGCCAATTTTGAAAATTAGCCACTTTTTATATATTCAAACATCGATCAATAGGAGGTATTATTTCTCAAGCTACATCTATTAATTCTATCACATAAAGTATCAATCAAAAATCTATTTTTCCCATATTCTCATTTCTTGTTTTGCCATAAATATCTTTAATTAAAACCCTCTTATTGTAGATGAAAGCTAGGCTCTTCTCTTTTCCACCCCTCAGTAAACACCTCTGCATTAACACACATTTCACGGACATCAGAAGCTTAAGCATGGAGTAAAAAATGACATGCATCAAGGAAAATATCTATCCTTGGCAACCACTTTGCCAAATACTGCATGTTATTTACATAGTATATGCAGTGGAAATCCCTATTGGCATAGTAAGAAATTAATCAGAACACAAGTGTTTGAGAGAACAGCTCCCAGAAAAAAAAAAAAAAAGGAATTTAACACTATAAATGAATATAATTCCCTATACCAGACAGGCTATTTTACTCTCATTCCCTGGCTGAGGATGTTTTACCTAATGGCACAGCATGACTGTGATATTTGGAATTACATTTCATGAATCTTTTGTTTCTCTATTAGAAGCACATGCCACATCTCTGCTAGAACAACATCACCATTAAAATAAATTGTGTCATATTTAGAATGACTTAAAGTGTTTTTACCAATTCTTTACAGTCATTTATATGCAGAGAGTAACTGATCTATTTTATCAGGCCAGGGATCAGAGATGTCTTATTGGTCAGTTATTTGATAATTATGATTTAAATGCATTTCAAAAAGTACTTAAGTATTTTAAAGGGATGCATTTTCCAAGACTTGTGTTTAGTGGCGAAATCCTAAGTAAACTGCCTGCCTTGACAGGCTTAACTATTACACTTGACAACGTTGGAGTTCTTGTTATGTGCTCATTAACATCCTACATACTCATCTTTAAGTATAGCACACTAAGTGTTCAATTATGTCAAAATCCAATGCATTTTCCAAATCTCAGCTATTTACTCTATCAGGAATATAAGGTTTTACATTTTTCCTGTTACTTGAGGATAAAATAAGAATAATGGTAAAAAACAAAAACACAAAAAGATTTTTTTAAAAACCCAGTATTGGCCACTGCTAAATTTGTGAAATAGGAAGTTAATTTTTCCCAGTCTTATATCTGAGTGTAATATTTGTCCCTGAAGTTAGTTAGACATTCCCTCCTTCACTGGTCTCATTAAGGTTTAAAAGAAGTATTTCATAGCAATGTAGAATTATTGAAATTAAATGTGCCATGTGTATGTAGAGGTTATAGGATTGTGGTAGACCCTTCTTCTGAAATCTTTGTAAATTAGTCATGATTTCCTGTTGAGAACTTGCCCTTGTTCTCCATTGTTGTTCCTTCTTTGGTTCACATGCCTTCCTCGGCACCCCATGTACACTCTCTTCTTCCTTCTAGGTTTAGCCATCCTTGACCTTACTTGTCAGTGCTTTCATCCACTGCCCTCCTTTTTTTGTTATGTACGTATCAAGTGCCAATTATAGAGACTCAATTTAAACCCTGCCTATGGCAGTGTGAACCAGATGGTGGAAATTATCCAAAGTTTAATCAACCCAATAGGAGACAGTAAATTACTGTGGGATGAGCTCGAGATTAACCATGATGAGGTCTTGACTTTGACACTAGGTGGCTGTGTATGGCATTAAAAAGCAAGTGAATATCTGTAATTCTCAGATTTTCCATGTAAAACTGAAGTAATAATAGTAATTACCCAATCCACAAGATTGCCTTGAAAACCAGTACTAAGTATGGCAGGTAATGCAAAGGAACATTTCTTAAATTATGTCTAATTTTACAACAATCCAAAAAATCCTTAATATATATCTAGTTGTCTCCAAGACAACTAACTCAGAGCCACAATTTTCATCCACCAGCTCCAACAAATCCTCCTCTTATACATTGCGTTCTCTCCCCATATGAGATAACATGCATGGAAGCACTTTGCAAGATTTGGTAAAACATTTTATTATTTTGATAAGTTCATCTGGGTCTAGACAAACCTGGCCCTGAAAGGCATGAAGAACAGGACCATGCCCTATCTCTTTACAGAACAGGACAGGTTGGCAAAGATCCCAACACTGAGTCAGAGTAATTGCCTTCCTGTCCCATCATATGCATCATGAAACCCAAATCTAAGCAGTGTGTTACATATAAACTTTGAAGATGCACATGAATTTCAAGTGACTTACATAAATAAGGCAGAACATATATGAAAGAGAGATTAAGGAAGAGGGTATGGCTATCAACACTGTCATAGATGTAGAGACACTTAATTATCCCTCCCAAAATCTGATTTCTAGTTTATTGGGGGTAAATAATCTCAGTATTATATGCCTTTCATAATAGAAAAGAATATATTTATTCCAGTTTTCTGCATTCTTCAAATGAGATTACTTTTCTTCTTTTGGTCTTGTTTTAAAACATAATAATGGTAACAAGAATTAGATACAATTAGAATGCTTAAAATAGTTGATTTTTTACATTACTTTAGAATTTGTTTCTAATAAATGAAACAACAAAGTATGTTAAGAATTTTATAAAGTTAATCTACCTACTTAAAGTGTCAGACTCTGAGCTGGAAGACCTCTGCTCTGTTGTTTTAATAAATTTGCCTTAATCATTACCCGTCTCAACCTGGCTTCTGCGCAATGTTGGCTACCAGATCGGGGCATTGATTAAGCATTTATTAAGCAAATGAAGTTTCATTTTGTCTCCCTTTCCTTACTATCCATGTGCAGAATAGTGAAGCTTCCCCTTAAGACTACCAAAAAATAAATAAATAAAATGAAAAAAAAAGGAAAATCAAGAATTGCAGAATTAAATGATTTACTAGCCTTTCTTGTTAGAGAGTGGTAAATATTGAATTTGTTTTATTTTAAGTAAACATTTTCTACAGTAGGGATTTTATATCTTAGTTTATGAAACCTATTTATAAAAGATATTTGACAAAAAAATTTCCTTTGTACAAATAATTTTAGGGAAGTGCTGTGCACTATCTTGCTTTCTTGAAGATTCACAAAGGCCATAAGAATGCTAAAGAAATTTTGAGAAGTTCTTATCTATTTTTTTTTCCAATTTTCTTTTTTACTTTTACGTTCAGGGGAACAAGTGCAGGTTTGTTACACAGGTAAACTCGTGTCATGGAGGTTGGTTGTACAGATTATTTTATCACCCAGCTATTAAGCCTAGTACTCACAAGTGATTTTTCCTGATTCCCCTCCCTCCTACCACTCTCCACCCTCCGAAAGGCCCCAGTGTGTGTTGTTTCCCTCTGTGTGTCCATGTGCTCTCATCATTTAGCTTTCACTTATAAGTGAGAACATACAGAATTTGATTTTCTGTTCTTGTGTTAGTTTGCTAAGGTTAATGGTCTCCAGCTCCATCCATGTCCCTGCAAATGTCATGATCTTATTATTTTTTGTTACTGCATAGTATTCTATGGTATATATGTACCACCTTTTCTTTAGTCAGTCTATCATTGATGGACATTTAGGTTGATTCAATGTCTTTCCTATTTTGAATAGCGCTGCAATGAAAAAACGTGTGCATGTGTCTTTATAATAGAATGATTTATATTCCTTTGGGTATATACCGAGTAGCGGAATTGCTGGGTCAAATTGTATTTCTGTCTTTAGGTCTTTGAGAAATTACCACACTGTCTTCCACATAGTTTAACTAATTTACATTCCCACCAACAGTCTATAAGTGTTCATTTTTTCCCACAAACTGTCCAATATCTGTTATTTTTTGACTTTTTACTAATAGCCATTCTGACTGGTGTCAGATGGTACCTTTTGCAAATTATGCATCTGACAAAGATCCAATATCCAGCTTCTATAAAGAACTTAAATTTATAAGAAAAAGAATAAACAACCCCACAAAAAAGTGGGCAAAGGACATGAACACTTTTCAAAAGGTGACATACATGCGGCCAACAATCACATGAAAAAAAGCTCAACATCACTGATCATTAGAGCTCTTATCTACTTAACTGTATTTTTCCTTTACTTAAACTGCAGCATTTACCCTAACATGACTCTAAAATTTACTTGCCAAAATTTGTATTCTAAGAAATGTAATTGAAAATTCGCTGGCATATGGTATTATCTCTCTGAAATAAACATTGTATTACTGATGATTTCCCATTGCTTTCCTTTTCAGCGGACTGTGGAGGACCTTTTGAGCTGTGGGAGCCAAATACAACATTCAGTTCTACGAACTTTCCAAACAGCTACCCTAATCTGGCTTTCTGTGAGTCATTTCTTTTCCAGGTCATCAGAAACAAATGTCCATATGAAATGTAGATCTCCCCTTGACGCAGCAAAGTAGATTATAAATTTGTCAAACATGGGTACGCCTATCATGTCTACCTATAAGATTGCTTAATATAACAACAAAAATAACAATAATTGCTAAATATATATAGCATTTGTTTCATGCCAGGCACTGTGTTAATGCCCAATATACATTATTTCATTCATTTCCCACAAGAACTTCTTGAAGCAGGTGTCATTATTATAATTCCAAATTTAGAAGTTGAATAACAACAGTGAGAGAACCAGTGTTACTCCAGACACCGCTTTCTAAATCACTCTCCTTGTTTGTGCATATAATGTCTATAGTGTGTTTAACAAGTTTGCAATTTCATAGGACAAAGACAATGGAAAGTATTAAAAAGTAAAGAACCAGTTGTAGCATTCACACTTTTTGCAAATATACACTAGAGCCAATAAAGCAGATAGCTACAGTAATGTAATTATTTCCAGTATAAAAAATAAAATTATAAGAAAGATCACTAAAAAATTTGTCTAGAGAAAATAGTTTGCTAAAACTGCATAAAGACTACCTCTACATCAATGTTCCTAAATAGATAAACTCATATAAAGATACATAAAGATTGTGTTGGAGATGCAGATTCCCTAGCCCATCCTACAAAGGTTCCACTTCAGGAGTCTGGACTGGGTAACAAACATCTTTCCATGGTCGTGCCTTGTTAAGGCCACTAAGCTAAATGGAAAATTCTGTCAATGAAAGAAATGCCTCAGTGGTGGGAAAAATGTGTCTTCAGAAAAAGCCAACCTTGCTCCTTCAGATGATCAAGAGATAAGAGAGCATCACTTTCATAGGTGCATATAGGGCCAATATTGTAGACAAATACCTCATCCCCAAAAAATAAACAGCAACTAATCTAATTTGACTTCTTTGGGGAAACAGAGTTATCTCTGCTTCACACTGAAGACATCTTTTTTTTTTTTTTTTTTTGAGATGGAGTCTCGCTCTGTCGCCCAGGCTGGAGTGCAGTGGTGCGATCTCGGCTCACTGCAAGCTCCGCCTCCCGGGTTCACGCCATTCTCCTGCCTTGGCCTCCCGAGTAGCTGGGACTACAGGCGCCCGCCACCAGGCCCCGCTAATTTTTTTGTATTTTTAGTAGAGACGGGGTTTCACCGTGTTAGCCAGGATGGTCTCGATCTGCTGACTTCATGATCTGCCCTTCTCGGCCTCCCAAAGTGCTGGGATTACAGGCTTGAGCCACCGTGCCCGGCCTGAAGACATCTTTTAAACATCATTTGAACAAAGTGATAATCTGAAAAATCCAACAAGAAGTGGAACATTTAAACAATTTGGAGAAATTTATTAAATTTAAAAATGTTTGTTTATTTGACGAATGTGTATTCAATACTTTATTTCCTTAATCTGAAGTAAGTAAAGAAGACACAAATGTAGCACAGTATAGATGGTGACTCAGATATGTTGTCAGGCACAAAATGTCCAAAATACTGTTATAATAAGGGTAAAGGCAGGACTCTGTGGAGAGTCCTTGACATACCAAAGTAGGAGACAACTGTTTCTTGAATCTCCAAGAAAAATTAAATAATGGTAATGGGTAAAATTAGAAGTGTGAAAGAATTTTACACCATGTTATGAAGTTTGAATTTATTCTGAGAGCACTGGAGAGTCTTTGAATGGTTTACAGGAAAATGGCGATAAAAACGAGCTTGCATTTTAGATCAGAGATCGATGGTAAGGGATGAGAATCATCAGCATCGCCAATTAGGAGATGAGAAACTATAGTGATTTGAACTCCTGTTGTGGTGGCAAGGGACGTTGAGAAGTAAATGGGGTTCAAAGGATGTTGGAGGTAGTAATAACAGGCTTAGGTGATTGATCGGATGTGGTAGGAGAAAGGAGGTCAAGGAAGGTGCTGAGGTTTCAAGCATAGAGAACTATGAGTGGATGATTAGTAGTGCCACTGAGATAGGAAGAATAAGATAAATGAGTTTGCAAAAGAGATAATTCTGCTTTTTCTTTAGAACATGTTGGATTTGAAATATGTACAGCCATATACAGTAAATAAGTCAATAAATTTGCCTGCATCTGAGAAAAGAGCAGAAAATAAAGACAGAAATTTTACTATATAAATATAATTATATTTCTTAAGAGTGAATGAGAAAACTAATACAGAATGAGAGAAGAATAGCCTAGAAAAAAATCTGAAGGTTGAATTATTTACAAAATCAATAAAAACAAGAAGTGTTTATTGATGCTGGTAGTCTTGTTTTATTTTGTTTTTTTAATGAACTAAATGTAAATAAATGCAAAAATTTTAAAATAAATATTAAAGCTTACTTGTCCTATAAAGTGGATTTTAATTACCTAATTTTCTTCTAAATTTGATCATGGAAAATTAAATAAATGAAACTATAATTTTAGTATCCTTTGATATTCATAAATGTTATATTGTAGAGGTAAAATAATATTTGTAAACTTTGATTAAAGTATTCCATTTCATAAAAATATCAATTATACTAATTTCAAATTTAATTGAAATGTTACTATAAATATAATTGACTAAACCAATATATTTTCTTACCAAAAAAAAAATAATGAAAAGAAAAAAGAAACACCTTGAAACACTGATTTTCATGAAGTGGAAAAAAAATTGATTTTTTTTTAAGTTATTTGAAATTCTCAAGAGAGTGAAGCTTTTAAGAGAAATCACCAAGTGTGTTCCAAATTAAATGTTACTTCTTACTTTTTAGGTGTTTGGATTTTAAATGCACAAAAAGGAAAGAATATACAACTTCATTTTCAAGAATTTGACTTAGAAAATATTAACGATGTAGTTGAAATAAGAGATGGTGAAGAAGCTGATTCCTTGCTCTTAGGTAAGTCTGCAATCTGAATATTGTAAAGGTTGTAAAGCTCAAGATGTTGTGCTGATGGAAAGAGCGTTTCTTAATTAATGTAATCACTCTTTTACAACTTGCAAAATGAAAATACAATAGTAAAGTGACATGAGTTTATGTGGAACTTACAATATAGGGTATATTTAAAATAGTGACAACGGAATATTTTTCTTGAACGTTCTTCACAAAGCAGGACTAATTATTTTTACTTTTTAAATTTGTTCTTAATTTTCATGGGTACATAGTAGGTGTGTGTATTTATGGGATACATGAGATATTTTGATACAGGCCTACAATGCATAATAATCACATCAGTGTGAATACTGTATCCATCACCTCAAGCATTTTTCCTGTCTTTGTGTTACAACCCAATTATATTCTTTTAGTTATTTTTAAATATGCAGTAACTTATTATTGGCTGTGGTCACCCTATTGTGCTATCAAATACTAGATCTTATTCATTCTAACTATATTTTTGTATCCATTGATCATCCTCACTCCACCACCCCTCCCAGTAGCCTTTCCAGCCACTTGTAACCATCATTCTACTCTCTATCTCCATGAGTTTAACTATTTTGGACAATATTTTTGAGTCATCAGTTCCTACCAGCTGGTATTAATTGACTACCACAAGCACTACCCATTGGAGACTAGAAGCTAAGGACACCCATTATGTAGTTCTCTTTATGTGTACATCGGATGTCCAAAGATAGCTCTTAAATCAGTTTTTATTTTACTTCAAACTATTCAAATTGTGTTATACAAAATTTTTAATGAGTTTTACTTTACATTTTATTATTACTTTGGCTGTGTCTCTAGTACTAGCTGCTTCTGTGTAGGTACCTGAGAATGCTTCAAAAAATTGACCAGTTTATTTTTCTTTTTTATTTATTGATTATTTTAAAATAAGGCTAGGGAGAGTGTACTCTTGTAGAGGAAATTTTTGTGCTATTACAGAGTGTACTATTATAGAGGAAATTTTGTGTATTCTATAGATAATAGAATACATGCTGACACACTAAAAAGCTATCAGTCAAACATAATAGCTAATATGTTATCTAACTACCACTATTTTTTGCTGTTGCTGTTGTTGTTGAGATGGAGCCTCGCTCTGTCACCCAGGCTGGAGTGCAGTGGTGCGATCTCAGCTCACTGAAACCTCTATCTCCTTGGTTTAAGCGATCCTCCTGCCTCAGCCTCCAGAGTAGATTGGATTACAGGCGCCCACCACCTCGCCCGGCTAATTTTTTGTATTTTTAGTAGAGACGGGGTTTCACCATGTTGGCCACACTGGTCATTTTTAAGAAAAAGGTGTCTCTTGATAAGTCACACATTAAATAAAGATGCTCAAATGATCAATTTTGATGAATGACATGGCACAACTAAAAAGTGTTTTATCGCCCTCCCACACACAAAAAAAGTGTTTTATCTAACTGTGCTTTGGACTTGTATTCATCATGTATTGTAAAATCTGATCTAATAGATATGCAGTCAGGATACAATCACATGAATGCTGCAACTAATCAATGAATACTCCAGAGAAAATTTTCTAGAGCACATCAAGGGACAGTGTGGTGGGGAGGGTTCCCCAACCTTTTCATCAGTCAACCCTTATGTAGAATTCTACAGCAAAATCTCACAAAGTTCTAGAGTGTGAGCTTCCTGGGAGAGGATTTTGGGAGCCACACATAGAACAAATAAAGAAAATTTTGTTGGGACTAGAAGAGTGGCAAGAACTGAGGAATCTGAAATTTGGTTCTTTTATACACCTATAAAAAATTTTAAATAGTTTTTCTATTTTAGATCAAATTATTCTTCAAATAAAAACTTCAGAGTTCTCATCATCTAAAAAATTAAAACGTATCATTTCATCTGTTAATAGTTAAACAAATCATTGAAAAGTAAATAAGAATTCCAGAAAGATCTCTGATTTATTGTTTTAAAATTTGTAGGCAGGAAGGTCTTTTGAAACTGAATCACTTTCAGGGCTTCCAACATATAAAACTTTCTTAATAAATGTATTTTTTAATTAGCTGAAATATAGTAAAGAATGTTTTATTGTTTATGAAATCCCCAAAGCTGAGGGATTAAGGGCAAAAGGTTTAAAAGCCACCATGTAGTTAATATTCCCAATCTCCAAATAATCCATCCTTCAGATTAGGTTTATGATTCCACATACAAAAAAATACTGAATATGTTTGGTCAAAAATTTAGTAAAGGTGACTATAAACTCCATTGTTTTATAAAGGTCTTTATAAGTAGTCAGTCATTTGTCTGGGATAACATGAGCTTTGAATAGCAGTGGTACTAAGTCAGATATATTATAAGTAATTCATCATTACATTATAGAGTTGCACAAACCTCAAGAAATATCAAAATTTAAAGAGAAGTTTGCTTTGTTGAGAAGTGTTCAAAATGTAAGAGAATGTGTGTGTTCATTTACTTGTGGCTGCTCTATGAGCGAGCCATGTAACATGTAGCCCTACGTCTGGCAGAGGGAACTGAGATGTGGGGTACATTTCCTTCTAGATCCAAAGGATCATCTCACTGATTATCTCGTTTTCCTTTGGAACAGCTGTGTACACAGGGCCTGGCCCAGTAAAGGATGTGTTCTCTACCACCAACAGAATGACTGTGCTTCTCATCACTAACGATGTGTTGGCAAGAGGAGGGTTTAAAGCAAACTTTACTACTGGCTATCACTTGGGGATTCCAGGTAGGAGCCCATAAATCACACATTGCATCATAACTTTTGGAGCAAAACAGCAAAGGTGTACAGAATTTCAAGGCCAAAATCATGATTTTAATGCTTTCCTTCTGTGACACTTATTCTTCCTCATCTTAATGAAGATGATTTTTCCTCCTTTACATCTGTAGTACCGTTACCTGAGTTCGTTCAAAGTAGGCAGCCACAAAAGTTTTTAAGCAGACCTACTTGGATTTCTCTGATGTGTAAGGAGTGTTGAATTTTGTTCATTGAAGAGGGCCATGTTAAATGTTAAAAGTAGGATACTTGACCCTCTAAGGAAAGAAGACTGTCATGTTTCCCATATCAAGAACATTTTCAGAGAGCAAAGAAGGAAACAGGCAAGAGAGCTGTTGGCATGCCAACAACATTCAATTAAATAATTAACATCATTAACTTATTGGAGACAACCAGAGTAAAGCACCACAGTGTAGGAATTTAATGCTATTTGCTGACGTGCCCAACCCTCCGACACTAGGTGTTTTAGTATATCCATAAAATAATCAACAGGAGCAAACAAAATAGCGGCATGTTCATCATGGATATATGTATATATGTGTGTGTATATATATGGATATATGTGAATATGGATATATATATTCATATATCTAGTATTTGCATATATTTGCATTCAACAATCTGCAGAGAATTTTTTTGTAACTTGATACTTCACTTGGACTATGAATTGTCTCATAGAACTGCCCGGCAACTCAGTGGTTCTTTCCAGGTGCAAATATGTCAGAAAAACAGAATATATGCTACTTCCTACATCTCTCTTTCTCTTCCATAGGAAGAGAAATATTTATGGAATTGATGTATTTCACTTGAATATCTAGAAAAGAGGTAGGGTTGGATAGTTCATCTTCATCTGGCCTATTATCTAATACAAAATCCAGTTACTATTAGGTTATGTTTATCTTTGTTCCTCCACTCACAACTGACCAGGGCTTTTGACACCATCCCAGAAAGCTGCCTGCCTTAATCTTTATGGCAGATAAAGAGGTCTACCATCTGGCCCTGAAAATGAAGCACAACTGATATTATGCATGCTACTTAGGTAGAAGTAAGTGGTAGCTCAATCGATTAATCTGGATTTTGTGACTGATTTTAGAAGCCAATCTGTTTACTTACAAGCAACAGTGACATGGATCAATAAAAAACAATGAGTAAATACTTTGAGATCTACACAAAATTATAATTTATCTTAGAGTACACTAAAAAGAAGAAATACAGAAAATGACATGATTTTGTTAGGTAAAGAACAAAATACATTGAGATGCAAATATCAATAGATATGTATTTACATAAGCGTGTGTGTGTGTGTGTGTGGCGAGAATTTAACTTAGAAGAAAATTTGATCATTGCTTTGGAAAATGTTAATCAAGATAATTTTGAAAATGTCATCTTGAATTGAATCACTGATTTTGTTTCTTGATTATTTTGTTGCTGATGATTATACTATAACCATGTTTGTTTGCCAATTATTTTATCTGCTATTTCAGTTTCCTTCTGTTTGTGGTGTACCTATTATTTTAATTTAATTCAACATTTGAGTTACACTTTTAAAGTATAGAAGGGTGATGGACATAGCTGAGGACATTTTGGTAGTTAATACTGAGCACATTTAAGATACAGCAGACTTTGGTTATGTAATGTTGGAGAAAAGCTAAATCTTTCTTACTGTTATATAGAAAGTAAATTAGTTAATAGCAAACTTTAGTTGACAGAAAAACACAAAATGTTACCACCAATACTTTTATATGTAAAATTATGACCCTAATTTTTTAAATTATTATATAATATTTGGCTCCTGATAGAATAGTCTTTGCACAGTACCAGCTCCCACAAGTGACGTTACAATAAAGTCTCCTTTCAAGAAATTTGGAAGAAGATGGCCGTCTTTGGCCATAGCAATTTTCTGTGAAACTCTGCCATAATAAAATCTTTCTGATTTGACTAGAGGCCTTTGTTAGCAGTGTGAACCACCTAGTTTTCTGGTCTAATGCACAACAATTCAAAACCTCTTGTGCAGAACACACACATTTCCACAAAAATTGCTGCAGGAAAGCATGATGAAGAATGAAAAAATGATAAGTAAAGAGAGACAGAAACATATGAGAGTCTGTAATGGGCATGCAGGAAAAAACACCAAACCAAATTTGAAAACAATAAACATTCCTGAAATTGAAAACATAAAAGCAGATCAAAACTAATAGTGAAAGATACAATGAAAGAAAAATTATACGCTTTCTGGATCTGAATAAAATTACCTGAAAAATCGTGAAGTCTTAGTGTGTTCAATAAAAAAAAAATTAATGAGCAAGAATCAGTGTTATAACATTTTCTGTGTGAAGTTTTAAATTTCAAGAGGGAAATTTTTCTGAAAATTCTTAGCAGAAAAAGTAAAATTATTTTTGTAAGTATTGAAAATAAGATCAGCTTTATATTTCTCTCAATTATGAACATTAAAACAATGAAGTAATATTTCTCATGTTTTAAGGAGAAAATCCCACAACTAAAAAATATACAAGGTTCAATAACTGCTTGTTTAAATGCAGTAAAATTATGTACTCTCTTCTGCAAAATATCATAAAATAGAGCAAGTAAATACCTAATGCCTAATACTATTCTACTGGAGGCCATCCTAAATTTTTTTCAAGAATTCTGTCAAGGAAAGGATTTTTGAAAGAAGTATTATACTTTTAAAGAAACTGAGATAAATAGTAAAACCTGAAGTAATTGAGATTTTTTAAAAAAATACTGTGCTCTAACAGATAAGGGATTAGATTTATTGAGGTATCCAAACAATTGAAATAATTATAGGTGATTTGGTTTAGCTGTGTCCCCACCCAGATCTCACCTTGAATTGTAATGATCCCCATGTGTTGTGGGAGGGACCTGGTGGGAGGTAATTGAGTAATGGGGGTGGGTTTTTCCTGTGCTGTTCTCATGATAATGAGTAAGTCTCATGAGATCTGATGGTTTTATAAAAAGGAGTTTCCCTGCACATGCTCTCTCTTGCCTGCTGCCATGTAAGATGTGCCTTTCTCCTCTTTTGCCTGCCATGATTATGAAGCTCTCCCAGCCCTGTGGAACAGCAAGTCCATTAATTCTCCTTTTTCATATAAATTACCTAGTCTCAGGTATGTCTTTATTAGCAGCATGAGAACAAACTAACAGCACATGGCATTCCACCATCTGCAAAAGTTAAAGCATCTTGAAACAAAATTTTTAAGAAAAAGTAGGTCTTTAAACCCCTATTTTAAGTTGAAAATGAGAAAGGAGAAAAGACTTGAAAAGAGGAAAATGGATTGTCAAAAGGAAGACAGAGACAAATCTCTTCCATCAAAAGTTACAGTTACAGTTTGTTTAAATTGTGTTTTATGGACTCATAATAATTACACATGTTTATGGAGTATATGTAATATTTTAATACAAGCATACAATTTATAATCATCGAATCTGGGAAACCGAAATATTCTTCACTTCAAACATTTATTATTTCTAAGTGTTAGGAATATTCCAAATTGTCTTCTCTAGTTATTTTGAAATGTACCATAAATTATTGTTAACTATAGTCATTTTATTGTGTTACCAAACACTAGATCTTATTCCTTCTATGTAACTCTATTTTGGTACCCATTGAAACCCTTCTTTATCCTCCCTCCCCACTACCCTTCTCAGCCTCTGGTGACCACCATTCTATTTACTATCTTCATGAAATCAATTAATTTAGCTCCCACATATGAATGAGAACATGCAACATTTGTCCTTCTGTGCCTGGCAATTTCACTTAACATAATGTCCTCCAGTTTCCTCCATGTTGTTGCAAATGACAGGATTTCATTATTTATTATGACTGCATAATATTCCATTATGCAAAGATACCATTTTCTCTCTCTCTTTTCATCTGTTGATGGACTCTTACGTTGACTGCATAACTTGGCTATTAAGAATAGTGCTGCAGTAAACATAGATGAGCAGATATCTCTTTGATATACTGCTTTTCTTTCTTTTGGATAAATATCCAGCAGAGGGGCTCCTGAATTATATGGTAGTTATATTTTTAGTTTTTATATTTCTTAGTTCTTTGAGGAGCCTCATATTGGTTTTCATAATGGCTGTACTATTTTACATTTCTACCAAAGGTGTATAAATGTTCCCCTTTCTCTGCATCCTCATCAGCATTTATTTCCTGTCTCAGATTCTTATAATGAAACTAACACAATGTCAAAGATTTTGAAAAACAATATCAGCAACTTTGATTCAAGATCAAACTCAAAAACAGAGTACAATGTATTTCTCTCAACGCAAAAGACACCAATTTTATGGTGTATAGATTCTTTAGATTTCTTTTGCCTATAGCTAGATTTCATTTATACTGTTAAATTAGTATGTAATGTATGAAGTTATTTTTAAGGGAAAATCCCCCTGATTGAAGCTAGAATGGAGTCTTCAATGCCCATCACTGCATGATAAATACATGGGGAGTGTGGTTTCACATTCCTCCTAGACATAGGACAGATGCTGCTGGGAAGTGAGTAATGGAATGATTGAGTTTTCATCAGCACCGTCTGCTTCCGTCGAGATTTTTTATACCCAAAGACTGAAAAGCAATTACAGAAACAGGGACTTGGCTGTGGAGGCTAATTAAGCTGGTAAGGGAAAGCGAGATTGGACACACATCCTGGCACTTTACTTTGGTGGTTCTTTTAGAAAAAATTATAAATGGGCAACAAAAATCGTTTTTGCGGCCGGGCACGTGGCTCACGCCCGTAACCCCAGCACTTTGGGAGGCCAAGGCGGGCGGATCGAGAGGCAGGAGATTGAGACCATCCTGGCTAACACGGTGAAACCCCGTCTCTACTAATAATACAAAATATTAGCTGGGCGTGGTGGCAGGCACCTGTAGTCCCAGCTACTGGGAAGGCTGAGGCAGGAGAATGGCGTGAACCCGGGAGGTGGAGCTTGCGGTGAGCCGAGATCGCGCCACAGCACTCCAGCCTGGGCGACAGAGTGAGACTCCGTCTCAAAAAAAAAAAAAAAAAAAAAGAAGGAAAAAAATCGTTTTTGCTTCACTTGTCTTCTGGAGCTATTTTAGGGCCACCTTCCAAGCATCCAGTTGAAATTTAACACAATTGTATAGTGTATTTTTGTATCTTATTTTCTTTGTACTATGTTCCTAACATTTCCATTTCTACTGTAATAAAGTATATGTAATATAGATTTATTAAGATCTGTCTCCTATAAATGTCCCCTTATTCCTCTTTTCTGATACTCAGAGTCTTAACGATGGAATTCAACAGTGTTTATCAGGCAACTGTGGAAGTAGCAGCTGATTACATTTAGGGGGTTTGAGCCCTCCCCAGATTGTGTGGCATGTGCTTAGAGATCAATTTCGTTCCATTTTAAACCAAGCGTATGTTACTAAATGAGGCAACGCTACTGGAGACTTCATAAAAAGGAGATGGGGAAATTCAATTCTTAGCAATATTTCTTTTTCTTTCTCTCACCATGGGCATAAAACTATCAGAAATAAGATTTCAAGAGTCCAGAGAGAGTTAAACTGTTGGATTAAAGACTGCTTAATGAAGCTGAACTATTGTATGTTGCAAAAAATCAGAATCCAGTTTATGCGTGTAAGGAAAATTTTGAAAGAGCTTATTTATACTTCTCAGATTTTAAAATTTCTGTTCAGTTCAGTAACAATAGATCAGTTTTCCCCATTCAGCATTTTTTCATCCAGTTCATTCAGCTTATAGAAACAAGTTATTATTTTTCTGGATTCATAGAATATAACCCTAACAGCTTCAGCTAGAGCACAAAAATGAATTACATTTTTAAAACATTTTTATGTTATCATTTAAATTTTAATTCAGATATTTGTCTGTTTCCATTCAACTCGTATGTGATTTTCAAATTAAATGTTGCCTATCTACATTAGTAAAAGGGTAAAATTATCAGTAAATGTATATAAGATTAAATTATTGTCATTGAGAATTCATTTTTTACATAGTGATTTCAGTAAGCTATGAAAAAAGTAATAAGATAATTTAAAAATAAAGGGTGGTGACTAACATTCTGTAAGTATATCAATATAATTGATCATGGACATGTAATTCATGCTGTCAACTTTTTAAATAAAGTATATTAAAATATATATTTAAGACAGAATATATGAATACAAACACTTCTACCTACATTTAAGACTTCCAATTTTCTAAAGGAAAATTAATACCAGAAAGATAAAATATATAGTCAAAGTATTAATGCTGTCTTTAGAATCTGTAATTATCTCTGCCCATTTGTCATCTCACTAATCTGGTTTAAAAATATGTTTGTGAAACAAATTGATAATTACATTTTCAAGAACCTCCGTAATAGCATTATATTTTGAGATATGTAACCAGATTTTCTCATGGTATAAAGGTTTGTAGAAACAACCAGCCATGGCTTTCTAAAAATATTTTCTTGTTAAGGTAACTTAGATTTCAGATGAAAAAATACAGATTTCTTCAAAGCTTAAAGTAGAGTATACAAATAGCTCCAATTATTGTTGTAAGATACTGAGAGGAAAGGATTAGGTATGTTTTCTTATTTATTTTGTTATTCGTAGGGAGAAACAGCACAACTAGCACATGGAGTAAAAATGTTAACTTGAAAAATAGTGAAAGGCCGGGCGCGGTGGCTCACGCCTGTAATCCCAGCACTTTGGGAGGCCGAGGCGGCCAGATCACCTGAGGTCGGGAGTTTGAGACCAGCCTGACCAACATTGAGAAAACCCCGTCTCACCTAAAAATACAAAATTAGCCCAGCGTGGTGGCACATGCCTGCAATCCCAGCTACTTGGGAGGCTGAGGCAGGAGAATCACTTGAACCCGGGAGGCGGAGGTTTCAGTGAGCCGAGATGGCGCCATTGTACTCCAGCCTGGGCAACAAGAGCAAAACTCTGTCTCAAAAAAAAAAAAAAAAAAAAAAATCGGTGAAGAAGATTTTTTTTTACTGTTACTGTTTTTACTGTTAAAAATATTATCTACTGCGTATTCTCTGTATATGTATTGGTATGATAAATACACTTCATTATCTTATAAAATTTGTTCTCCTGACACACCAAAGACAAAAGTAGTATTTACTCCTATTGACAAAGAAACTGAGCCTCAGGCTAATTTCTTTGCCCAAGGTCAAAGAAATATTAAAAGAAATGGCTAAATTGCACCTTCAACCAAGGTCATATTACTTTAAGTCCTGTGTCTTAACCACTATTGAAATTTAACTAAGTAAATTATATCTTCATAATTCATAAAATTGTTTCTTTTTTTCAAATCACTAGAATTACCGTCAGCCAATTATCTTAAATTTTAAACTTTATTTGAAATCATAGTTTTAAAAATTGCTTTATATTACGTTGACTCTATTACTAAGCTTCATACTTATTTTGAGGCATATCAATCTTTTAACATACATTAATTTACTTTATGTTTTAAAAATATCTACTTATTCCCTGCTTTGTGAAAGACATTTCACCAAGACCTGGACATACAAAGATGAGAAAACATGGCTTTATGGGTATTACAGCTGGCATATTGTATATTCAGTTTACAGAATGACTGACCTCAATGACCATATAAGCAAAACAAAAGGTTCATTTGTCTCTATTTTAATTCAAATCTCCTTTTTCGGCTCTGAATATTTCAGGCAGATCTCTACACTTTTTCAGTTACTTCCGGTGTTAAATCATTTTATCTGAGTAACTTACACTCACTTGTAAGTGTTAAAATGAACAGTCAAGTATAATATCAACACTTTTATATCATCTAATTCAAAGCTTCTTTTATCCCTCAACTCAGGCACAGACCTTGGCTTAATAACTTAAGGCAGAGGAGGGTGGAAATATTGTCTTTGTTTTAGTTTCCACTTCCCTTTTTTCCCCATCTTCCCATCGTTCCAATGTTGGAAGATAGGAAGTTTTTATTTTTATTTATTTATTTATTTTTACCATTGTAGTTTTCATTTGGCAAACACCAGCTTCTGGCCAAATGCCAGCTCTGTTGTGAAACAGACTTGTGAGCTCTTCAGAGCATTGTTCCACCAGCCCTGGAATATTGCACTATAGACAATACACCTCTTATAGTACAATAATCTCTTATAAACTGGTTCAGCTCCGAATCCCTAATCCCCAGGTTCCATTCCTCCACTTTTTGTGCTAGAGCCGGGCTTCCCTGCCAGGCAGTTGTCATCTGATCATCTTTCCAGTGTCCACCTTGCCAACTTCCTAACTTCTGATTTCATTTCATAGGAATTGATACCAATCTTTATTTACACAGCTATCTGCCCACAAACTTCAGGAAAATAATGTCACTGTCTCATTAATATTTTCAGTATACTTCAGTTTATCCTGGTATTTATCAAAAACCAGGGTAGTGAAATGAATTTATTTGGTTTCACTACCCAACAAATTTTATGCCTTGTTATGGAATAGAATGGGTTGGGATAGGATGGGATGGGATGGGATGGGATGGGATGGGATGGGATGGGATGGGATGGGATGGGATGGGATGGGATGGAATAGGATGGGATAGGATAGAATGGGATGGGATGGGATGGGATGGGATGGGATGGGATGGGATGGGATGGGATGGGATGGGAAATAATAGAACAGAGTAAAAGCAAATTTTAATTTAGTTACACACACACACACAAACACACACATTGATGTGTATCCTAGAGTTATTACTTAAAATCTGTTTCATACTAATGTCAGAGTTTTAAAAAATCTGAAAGCCCTTACACTAGTCCCATGAAAGCCTGGTCCTTGTGGTTATGCAGTGTAGTCAACTTTTGGCCAGGGAGTTAGATGCTGACCTTGCTTCTTTCAGGCAACTCAATTAGGAATTGATTCTCTTAGGGCATCCCACACTTGGTTTGCTGGATAGCACCACCCTCCCCTTACCCCCATAAAAACACCCCCCCTCAAATACTCTATTCAATATATTTTTTAGAAAAATACTCTAATGCCCTTTTATTAAAAAGCTGAAAATAGATGATGGATATTGATAGTTGCTGGACTACTTTTGGTATTTTTTTCAATAAGTATAGTATGGCTATACTGAGTCCCTCTCTTTAGAAGTGTAATGGTATTTTTCAGTACTCTCAGATGTGAGTCTACAACTTAGATTCTAAAACAACAGGAATAATTCCTTTCAAGTGGCTTTATGTTTGGTCATCATAAATTCAGAAAGTCTCCATGGATATTTTTATAATTTGTTTCTGAAATCATATTAACCTGAACTGAGTCTCCTTGAAAGCAATGTAATAGTAATGTTATTATATTGACTAATAGTCACTAATAGTTTTCAAAATAGAAGCTTCCCTGTTTCTTATTTTTATCAAGTGCTTTTGCTTCCCCATATGATTGTTCACGTGCCATGTAGGGGATAAGACATTGAGCCTCTCCACACCTGACAGCCATCACCATTGTTAGGGAACCAAATTCCAAGTGGCCCTCATGGAGTTCCTACTCTCCTTCCAGCACATAACTGTACCTCCTAAGCCATAATCAGAAAGCACTGGAAGAGGGAAGCAAACCCCTCTCTCCCAGTGATATGAGGGCTCTCCCAGAACAAAACTTTTAAAGACCGAACAATCTCAGGAAACAGCAGTAGCTGCTTCTAAATAAGGAATGTTTCCACTAGGCCTCTTTTTGCACAACCCAAACTCTGGAAACCACCACCAACGGCCTCCAGATCTACCCAGTTTCTTCTTTGCCCAGGTTTTTCATTTTCCTTTTGTGTCTCCATGTGCCAAGCACATGCCCATGCCTCCAACACTGCTGTACTTGTTTGGAGCTCTATCCTCAACTTCTTTTCACATTACCGATACGGCAAAGTTTCCATTTCTTTGTAACTACCCTTTCCTGCCTGACCAAGCTTTAATTGAGCCTTCTGTTTCCGACCCAATCCAACTTTGATCTCACCAACAGACAACTTCCACATTTCTTTCTTACAAAGTTTTGGAAGTATCATTTGGATGGTGAGGCCAGGGGACCTCTCTGTGCTTGAGTAACAGTTCAATGGTTGTTGCTTGTATGTTCGTTTGGGGTGGAGGAGTTTGTTTATTGAAGAGATACTAACGAAATTACGAGGAAGAGGTGAGTTGACAACCTCTCAGCCACCTCTTAGAAATTCCCTGAGTTTTGCTGCAAAAGAGATGTCTGAGGTTTCATCCACACTCTTCTAAAGCTACATACACATCAGCTTGGAAACTATTTCTGAGGCTTTCTGAGCAAACAAGTAGATGGTGTTGCTCAGTATCAAAACTGGCTCCACCTTGAGCTGTGGCAAAGGACTCATGTTTATTATTTTATATATATATATATATTTTATTATACTTTAAGTTCTAGGGTACACGTACACAACATGCAGGTTTGTTACATGTGTATACATGTGCCATGCTGGTGTGCTGCACCCATTAACTCGTCATTTGCTCAGTATCAAAGCTAGCTCCACCTTGAGCTGTGGCAAAGGACTCATGTTTATTATTTTATATATATATATATTTTATTATACTTTAAGTTCTAGGGTACACGTGCACAACGTGCAGGTTTGTTACATGTGTATACATGTGCCATGTTGGTGTGCTGCACCCACTAACTCGTCATTTACTCAGTATCAAAGCTAGCTCCACCTTGAGCTGTGGCAAAGGACTCATGTTTATTATTTTATATATATATATTTTATTATACTTTAAGTTCTACGGTACATGTGCACAACGTGCAGGTTTGTTATATGTGTATACATGTGCCATGTTGGTGTGCTGCACCCACTAACTCGTCATTTACTCAGTATCAAAGCTAGCTCCACCTTGAGCTGTGGCAAAGGACTCATGTTTATTATTTTATATATATATATTTTATTATACTTTAAGTTCTACGGTACATGTGCACAACGTGCAGGTTTGTTATTGTGTATACATGTGCCATGTTGGTGTGCTGCACCCATTAACTCTCATTTACTCAGTATCAAAGCTGGTTCCACCTTGAGCTGTGGCAAAGGACTCATGTTTAAAGGGGAGCAAATGGGATTTGTACTCCAGAATCATCCATTTGTGTTTTCTTTATCCTATACAATAAACATTCTTTCCCCATAGAGCCATGCAAGGCAGACCATTTTCAATGTAAAAATGGAGAGTGTGTTCCACTGGTGAATCTCTGTGACGGTCATCTGCACTGTGAGGATGGCTCAGATGAAGCAGATTGTGGTATGTCTTATTTTTAGGAAAATACTTTTATGACTTTAGCCTCTGCATTTGGACTCTACAGTGTCAAAGAAAGATTATAACTGTGTCTATTAGGACCTGTTTTGATGCTTTGGAACGAGAACATCTCATCTCTGAGATGATTTTAGCACCTCTGTCCCCATCTGGATAGAAGAAAAGTTAATACGCAGGCCTCAGTTTATTGTTTGTTTCAATTTGGTCACACTTATTAACTGTAATTCTAGAGCAACAAATATCCATATAGGAAGCCGAGAATACCACAGAGACAATATTCCAAACCAAGCAGGCTAGCACCACTCATATTGGCTACTGTTTTCTGTTTGTTGCCCACATTCAGAGGCACCTGTGTGCTTACTTATAGTTCACTTTCTCCCCCTGCCCTGCTGAGTTTTCATTCCAGCTCCCCTTCCACACCTCAATAACATTATGAGTAATGGATACTTTTATTATGTCTTTTTATTTCTAAGCAAATATTTAACACTTACGTACTATGTACCATGCACTGTAACTAAGTTAAAAAAAAAATCCACAACAAGAATTAGGTATAGCTGGTCAGGCGCAGTGGCTCACGCCTATAATCCCAGCACTTTGGGAGGCCGAGGTGGGCAGATCATCTGAGGTCAGGAGTTCATGACCAGCCTGACCAACATGGTGAAACCCTGTCTCTACTAAAAATACGAAATTTGCCAGGCGTGGTGGTGGGTGCCTGTAATCCCAGCTACTCCGGAGGCTGAGGCAGGAGAATCGCTTGAACCTGGGAGGCGGAGGTTGCAGTGAGCCCAGATCATGCCATTGCACTCCAGCCTTTGTTACAAGAGCGAAACTCCATCTCAAAAAAGAAAAAAATAATCGGCTATAGTTTACCCATGAGGAAACTACAGCTTGGAAATGATAAGTGGCTGCCAAAGGTTGCACACCCAGTAAGGGCCATAGCTGTTTTTGAACCTACGTTTGTATAATTCTGTAGTCACTGCTCTTAGCTCTTGTCATAATAGGAAAAAAAAGGTAAACAATGTAGCATTATTTTATAGAATTACAACATAGTGTTTGTAGGTAAGACTACAATTACTGATGTTTTCCTCCCTTGATGAACGCGCTTAGCTTGGTCCAGTCCCTACCTGGCCACTAATGGCCTTAAAATTCTGTTCAAAATGGTTGTAAAATGATAAGTAAGTTGATAGAAATCAAATGGTATAAAAGCAAGTACAAAGAAAGTGGTTTTTTTTTTTTTTTTGGTGGGGAGGGAATTCCTAAAGTAATCCCTAAACTTGAGTTTCCTTCTTTCAGAAACTAAGTTTATATATACTCTTATATATACTCTTCACAGATAACTTTATTTTCTGTTTATTTGCTGTATAGATTTGTAATAAACTTGCATATCTCTGCATTTTCCATTTTTATGGTTACATAAAAGAGCAAAATTGTCTACTAAATTTATATTTTTCAAATTAGACCTTCCATCATGCTCTTAAGAAAAACTACAATCAATCTCTAAACTCGAAATATTAAGAACATTGCACATTTAGTTTAGAGGCCATAATTTACTCCTATCAATTTAGGTCAAAATGACCACATGTGTAATCTAATCTCTTTAATGTCTCTTTTTTTGTTAATTTTTCCAAAAAATTTGCTGTATATTTGAAAAATTTAATTCTATATATTTATGGGTTACAATGTGATGTTATTATATATAATATATATTAATAGAAAGTATGGAGAGAGAATGTATATACAGAGAATGTGTATATACATATTTAAAAAGTGTGTATATATATATAGAGAGAGAGAGAGATTGAGGAATGATTGAATTATGCTAATCAACCTATCCATCACCTTAAATACCATATTTCATGATGAGAAAATTTGAAATTTTGCAAAATTTTGAAATATACAATACATTATTATTAACTATAGTCACAGTGCTGTGCAAGAGATCTCATGAACTTATTCCTCCTGTCTAAATGAAGCTCTGTACTCTTTGAACGATGTCTTCCCATACTCCGCACCCTTCAGTCTCTGGTAACTACCATTATGCTCTCTGTGTCTTTAGTGCGTTTTTTCAATGGCACAACGAACAACAATGGTTTAGTGCGGTTCAGAATCCAGAGCATATGGCATACAGCTTGTGCTGAGAACTGGACCACCCAGATTTCAAATGATGTTTGTCAACTGCTGGGACTAGGGTAAGTAATTCTACTGAGTTCCTTTTTAAGAGATTTGCAAACCTTTTTATTACTATCAAATTAGGTTTAATAAGAGCTTTAAAATTTATAAAGTTATGAATTTAGAAAATACACATTAGCAAAAGGGAGAAAATAAAAATCTTGATTAACCCCATTTTCAAGTAATAACCACTGTTAATAACCTTTGTATGAATACTGTATAAAGTACATGTAAATATTATATAAAATACAATATACTCTGTTATACAAAATACTTATGTGTGGGCATTTCTCATGATTTTATATTTTTTGATGATTTTTTAATGAAATATTTCATTTTATCCTATATCATAATATAGATAAATAATCACAAGGGTACTACAGAGAATATGCTTTTGCTATATCTTTGCAACACATTTACAATAGTTTTTTTGGAAAATTTATAGAAGTACAATTGTAGTGGGAGAGGTTATGCAAAATTTGTAAAATATCTTTAAAATTAAAAATTTTGCATAACCTCTCCCGCTACAGTATTTCTATAAATTTTATATTACAGAAGGATAAAGAAAGATATTCTCAGCAAGGATGATGCAAGTAAAAATTCCAATTAATAACTCATCAAAAATGTATTATACCTCCCAGTCTAATGCATTAATAGCTTGCATCAAATATGTAATTTCGCCATATTTGTTTTTTACCTTCCCATCAAGTCTTAAAAGTAATTAAGTAATTAGGTAGAAAATGAAAGTAATGAGCAGTAATAACATACTTATTTTGCATTTTACAACCTGGCAACTCTAACCCACCATTCTGATCCTTAATGATTTTGAAGATTTAGTGATTACTAACCATGTTGGCTCACATGTGGTTATCTTTATAACTTATAACACTATATCATTTAAAGTTTGTTTGTCATATTAAACTATGAGGTCTATAAAGGGAAGAACCATGTCTATTTTGTATTATTGTAATGCTAAACTCTAGGCTAATCCTTGTCTTTAAAAAGCAGTGCCAAATACTTAAGCAATACATTATATATACACTCTATGTATATGTAAATATCCATATACCAATCTATAAAAACATATGCCCAAAGTTTTCTAATTATAAAACATATGCTTTTCTCTTAGGTTGATTCCAAATGTTGGCTATTGTGAATAGTGCTGCAATAAACATGGGAGGGCAGATATCCTCTTTGATATACTGAGTTCCTTTCTTTTGAATATATGCCCAGCAGTGGAAGTGCTGGATTATATGGTAGTTCTATTTTTAGTTTTTTAAGAAACTTCCATAATGTTCTGAATAGTGGCTGTACTAATTTATATTTTCCCCAACAGTCTATGGGTGTTCTTCTTCCTCCATGTCTTCACCAGTATCCCTTACTGCCTCTCTTTTGATAAAAGCTATTATAACAGGGGTGAGAGATATCTCATTGTGGTTTTGATTTGCATTTCTCTAGTAATTAGTGATGTTGAGCATTTTTTCATATTCTGTTGGCTATTTGTATGTCTTTTTTTGAGAAATGTCTATTCAGATAATTTGCCTATTTTTAAAGTCGGAATATATGTTTTTATTTCTTGTCGATTTGTTTGAGCTCTTTATATATTCTGGTTAATATGTGCTTGTCAAATGGATAGTTTGCAGATATTTTCTCCCATTCTGTGGATTTGCTCTTCACTTCGTTGGTTATTCCCTTTGCTGTGTAGAAGCTTTTTAGCGTGATGTGATCCCATTTGTCCATTTTGGCTTTGGTTGCCTGTGCTTTTATGGGCTTACTCAAGCCATCTTTGTCCAGACCGATGTCCTGGAGTGTTTCCCCCAATGTTTTATTCTAGTGGTTTCAACATTTTAGGTATTAGATTTAACTCTTTAATCCATTTTGATATGATTTTTCTATATGGTGAGAGATAAGGGTCTAGTTTCATACTTCATATAGTTATCCAGTTTTCCCAGCATCATCTACTGAAGCGATTGTTCTTCCCCCCCAGTGAATGTTCTTGGTGCCTTTGTTAAAAAAAAAAAAAAAAAAAAAGAATCAGTGGGCTGTAAACATAGATTTATTTCAGGGTTCTCTATCTTGTTCTCTATTCTGTTCCATTGGTCTGTTGTCCATTTTTATGCCAGTTATCTTGGTTACTATAATTTTGTAGAATATTTTGAAATCTGGTAGTGTGAAGCCTCCAGTTTTGTTCTTTTTGCTCAGGATTGCTTTGGCTATTTGGTGTGTTTTGTGGTTCCATACAAATTTTAGGATTTTTTTTCTATTCCTGTGAAGAATGTCTTTGGTGTTTTGATAGGGATTGCATTAAATCCCTATCATTAAATAGGGATTGGGTAGTATTGTTATTTTAACAATATTAAGTCTTCCAATCCGTGAGTATAGGATGCTTTTCATTTGTTTGTGTCCTTTTCAATTTCTTTCATCAGTGTTTTACAGTTTTCCTTGAAGAGGTCTTTCAACTCCTTGGTTAAATTTATTTCTAGGTGTTTGTTTTTTTTTGTGATTGTTGTAGATGGGATTACTTTCTTGATTTCTTTTTCAGCTAGTTGGTTGTTGATGTAAAGAAACTGTAATGATTTTGTTTTGTTTATTTTGTATCCTGAAACTTTACTAAATTCAATGATCAATTCTCTTTATTGGTGGAGTATTTAGGTTTTTCTGTAGATAAGATCATGTCATCTATGAAAAGAGACAATTTGACTGCCTTCTTTCCAATTTGGATGCCCTTTATTTCTCTCTTTATTCTAATTGCTTTGTCTAGGACTTTCAGTGTTATACTGAATAAGAGTGGTGAGAGTAGGTATCTTTGTCTTGTTCCAGTTCTTAGAAGAAAAGATTTCAACTTTTTCCTGTTAATATATTGTTAACTATGGCTTTGTCATATGTAATCTTTATTGTGTTGAGGTACGTTCCTTCTATACCTAACTTAGCTTCTTACAGTTGGACTGAGAGCTTCCAGTTCCTGTTATATTCTCAAAAGCTGTGCATTTAGAATGGAAACTTCCCAGCTCCAAGCCTCATCCAAGTGATGTCAGCCTCATCAGGAACGAAATTCCTATCAAGAGCAAAGAGAGGAAATGAATTTCATTATTCATTATATAAATAATCAGTTTAGTTGAACTAATTTACGCTCCCACCAACAGTGTAAAAGCGTTCCTATTTCTCCACATCCTCTCCAGCATCTGTTGTTTCCTGACTTTTTGATGATCACCGTTCTAACTGGCGTGAGATGGTATCTCATTGTGATTTTGATTTGCATTTCTCCAATGACCAGTGATGATGAACTTTTTTTCATATATTTGTTGGCTGCATAAATGTCTTCTTTTGAGAATTGTCTGTTCGCATCCTTCACCCACTTTTTGATGGGGTTGTTTGTTTTTTTCTTGTAAATTTGTTTGTTTTTTTCTTGTAAATTTGTTACTTCTTTGTAGATACTGGATATTAGCCCTTTGTCAGATGGCTAGATTGCAAAAATTTTCTCCCATTCTGTAGGTTGCCTGTTCACTCTAATGATAGTTTCTTTTGCTGTGCAGAAGATCTTTAGTTTAATTACATCCCATTTGTCAATTTTGGCTTTTGTTGCCATTGCTTTTAGTGTTTTAGTCATGAAGTCTTTGCCCATGCCTATGTCCTGAATGATATCGCCTAGGTTTTCTCCTAGGGTTTTTGTGGTTTTAGGTCTTACGTTTAAGTCTTTAATCCATCTTGAGTTAATTTTTGTATAAGGTGTAAGAAAGGGGTCCAGTTTCAGTTTTCTGCATATGGCTAGCCAGTTTTCCCAACATTGTGGAAGACAGTGTGGCAATTCCTCAAGGATCTAGACCAGAAATACCATTTGACCCAGCAATCCCATTACTGGGTATATACCCAAAGGATTATAAATCATTCTACTATAAAGACACATGCACACGTATGTTTATTGCAGCACTGTTCACAACAGCAAAGACTTGAAACCAACCCAAATGTCCATCAGTGATAGACTGGATAAAGAAAATGTAGCACATATACACCATGGAATACTACGCAGCAATAAAAAAGGATAAGTTCATGTCCTTTGCAGGCACATGGATGAAGCTGGAAAACCATCATTCTCAGCAAACTAACACAGGAACAGAAAACCAAACACTGCATATTCTCACTCATAAGTGGGAGTTGAACAATGAGAACACATGGACACAAGGAGGGGAACATCACACACCAGGGCCTGTCAGTGGGTGGGGGACTAGGGGAGGGATAGCATTAGGAGAAATATCTAATGTAGATGATGGGTTGATGGGTGCAGCAAACTACCATGGCACATGTATACCTATGTAACAAAACTGCATGTTCTGCACATGTGTCCCAGAACTTTAAAAAAAAAAAAAAAGTCTCAGTGTATAGTTTTCTAGATCTTTGTTCATATATGTACTTTTAAACTTTTTATAAAATGGGGTCAAACCACATTCTTTTGTGATTTCTTTCTATTCCTACTTTTATTGAGCATATTTTTTATAAATAGTATGTGTTAAAAAAATCGATTTGGTTTATGCATATTAGTCAGAGCCTTCCTGTACTTTAAATGTGTGTGTGTGTGTGTGTGTGTGTGTGTAATTCTTTTTATTCTACAGTATAAACTTCAACAAAAACTCTTTAAACATGGGGAGCTTTCAGACATAAAGTCTTGGAAGAGGGCAAGTTGTAGGAGAAACAATTTTTGTTGATAAAGAGTCAACAAAACCCAGAAAGTGACAGTTGTTTATTTTCATTTCAAGTAAAGAACTGGGTAAGTGGCATTCATTCCAAGTTCCTACTTTAAACACTAATTTTAGTTCAATAGTGAATTCAAAGAGGTGAGGTCCTAGGAAGCCATTAGCTTCAATTGCTCAGGAGCTGCTGTATAGACTCAGGAACTTAGTTTCTAAAGATTAAGCTAAGGAGACTGGGGACTTGACCTTGCTTCCACAATTGATGCGCCCAAGTGCCCCGGATGACTGGGCTTTCCCTGCCCAGATTTGTGTCTCAATTCATCACTTTTCGCAGATCACCATGTGATTATAAAAAGAGGAGTTCTTTCTATTGTGGTTTGTGAATTTTAACTACATTGTTTCCTGGAGGATGTATTGGGTTAAGATGAGTTATTCACAAAGGTCAAAATGATCAACACTTTACTTTGACAGAAGTTTTTTTCAATTAATTTGAATGAAACCTGTTAGTTGGCTGATAGCAAAATGTGGATCCCTACATTTACGTTCCTTCCAATGAATTGGAAGGAAACATACATCTTTATTACATTTTAACAGTATATCATGTAAATATATTATTATTATTCCTGGGTCAGAAATCTAAGCACAGGTGATGATATTGTATGTGTTCCATGAATAAATAAGACATGGCTTTACATGCTTATGTGGTGATGATAGACACATAATAGATCATTACAATATAATGTGATAAATGCAATGTGCTGTAGCAGAACTTAAGTCAATAAAGGCATGTCAAGGAAGGCTTTCTAGAAAATGGCCTGAGCTGAGTGGATGACACACAGCTCTGTTCCATTTACTTACGTGGTTTCCCCAGCCAGATTTTACTCTCTAGTTCACTGATCCCATTTCCCACGAATCGTAGTCCTTCTAACCAGATACAGAGAGACAAATAACCAGATTTTTTAGTGTCTGTAACACAAGTAGTACATCCCACTGCCTTAGATACAATATTTTTGATGAAGGTCAGGTGCTTGCTTTCTTCGTAAATGAGTTAGGTAATCTCTGCAAAGACTTTAATCTTTGAGCCTGTGCTTATTAAATAGTCTCCATAGTGCTCTAGTAATTGAAAGAAAGTTACATCCTTAATGAGAATTTGTCTAGACTGGTGCATGGTAACTGAAAGAAAACTTAGTGAGTTTAAAATGATGTGTGTTTGCTGCAGTAGAAAGTAATTTGATAGTCAATTTATTAAAAAGCCACTGTAGTCTCTCAAGATTATTTATGCAGATAGGGTACAAAATGCAATTCCCCTCAGATTCTAGTAAATCCTATGAGGCCTATTTCATTAGCCTTTCCTTTTTTTATATTAAACCTTTTCATTTCCTATCATTCATTACATGCATAAATAAAAAGTACCTTGAATAACATTTTCATGTCTTTGATCAAAGTATGAAAGAAAACATTTTATACTGATGCAACAATAAAGGTTAAAAAAACTTAGGGTAGTGTTTTTTTAATGGTATTTCCTAGCAAATAGCATTTCCCTGTTACTAACCCAATATATAAATGATATAGCTGATTTACCCTGCTAAATCATTAAAATCTAGAAAAAAACATCATTTCTGTAAAACTTTAGAGAATTTAGGAAATACTAATATCTCAAAAGTGGAGTTAGTTATTTGTGTTCTAATAAGGTGGCCTATGAGGAATTGGTGTTAATTTTTAAATCCCATATTAGTCCTGTCCAAGATACTTCTAAATATCAGGAACATCAAATTGAGCCTTACATTCTCAAATGCTAATAAGAAACAGAATTACCCCAAGGTTCTTCCATTGCAGCGGTGTTTTGAAAATACTGGGGGAAGAGATTAAAATGTTTTTCAATAAGCCTTTCAAAAACATAGAGCATAATCATTTAAATTCTGATGTAACCACCGCAATGAATTTGTTTATACAACTTAGCACTGAGTTCCGGAACACTGGAAATAGAACCTATGTTTCATCCTAGTTTAAGGAGGTGGTAGACATATAGTGCTTCTGCCCTTGTTCATATTTTCTGCCAATGTCCCAAAATTTTCAAGTATGTGGGGAAAACCTTGACTTATTACAACTCAGACACAAAACAACAACACAGATATGGGAACAGTAAAAAAAAAATGTAACCTTTGGCTTTAGATGATTTCTACTTAATTCGCTAACTTTACACAGAAATAAATAATATTTTACATTTTTAAAATTTTTTGATTTGCAACTTCAGCACAGAAGGTACTTTTATTCTTAGCTATGTTACTGTGGTGGGGTGGGTGAGAAAAGCTTTGGGCAAGGTTGTGGAAGAAATCTTATTTTAATTTGGTTTAATTGACTTAACTACAAAGTCCATCATTTACTTGAAGCACAAATTATAACTCTGATGTTTTCTCCATTTTAAAATTAGAAATGCATTAATTAAAAATAATTAAAGAGCAAATCATTAATAGCAAACTACCATAATTTGATACTTTTTAACATTAATACTTAATAGGTTTAATATCTAGCAGGGTGGGGGAAGGCACAGTGATAAGATAATTATGTCTGCTCTGGGCAAGGGAGTGACAATAGGTGTACCACTGACTTGTAATACAGCAGCTACACCAGCTCTTGAAGGTACAGCCTGGTTATACATAAGAATCACCTAGTCTCAGCCTCAGACTCTTAGATTCAGAATGGTCTAGGTCAGTGGATCTCAATGTGTGGTTTTAGGACCAAATTCCATCCCAGCATGGAATCACCTGGGATAAATTTATAGAAATTCAAGGGGCCGGGCGTGGTGGCTCACGCCTGTAATCCCAGCACTTTGGGAGGCCGAGAAGGGCGGATCACGAGGTCAGGAGATGGAGACCATCCTGGCTAACCCGGTGAAACCCCGTCTCTACTAAAAATACAAAAAATTAGCCGGGCGCGGTGGCGGGCGCCTGTAGTCCCAGCTACTCGGGAGGCTGAGGCAGGAGAATGGCGTGAACCCGGGAGGCGGAGCTTGCAGTGAGCCGAGATCGCGCCACTGCACTCCAGCCTGGGCGACAGAGGGAGACTCCGTCTCAAAAAAAAAAAAAAAAAAAAAAAGTACGGAAATTCAAATCCTGGAATCCTACCTCTGGCCTATTGAACCCAAAAGTCTAGCGTAAGGCCCAGCAGTCTGTGATTTAATAAGTCCTTCAGGTAATTCAGGTGCATTCTAGAGTTGAGAACCACCACCTAGGGTAAGTGCTCTCAACCTTTGTTTATGTGTCATAGGTACTTTTGTCAGTCTGGGGAAACTTAATTTGGAGAATCTTCTTTGTCTGTCGCTCCTACTTCGGCTTACACTTTTTAATATGTATTTTGTCACCCAAGTGAGACTTTGTTGCCAGGAAATTAATAAGAATATAATTACACACAAAAAAGAGTATTTTTAAGTATATAAACTAAAACACACAGAACTACAAAGGAAATTTATTACATTAAAAATAATTATCAAAAATTTTTAAATCCATGGAAATATATATTTCTTTATTAACATATTTAATAAGATACACTGGTGGCTCTAATGACCACTGTAATATCAAAGGTGAACATAAATGATATTTTATATGTATCTAGCAACTGCAATATGATATGAATATATCTGCAGTTCATTTTGGTGACCATATTATAGATGTTGCTAATAATTTTGTGGTTAATCACCTACATTTGTATCAGAAGAAGAGATTAAAGTTAGTAAAAATAAAGATGTAATTATTTCTTTGCCAACTACCAACCTCCTACATGTTATCATGAACTTCCATGGATTCCAAAGAGGTGAAGGACCCTGGCTGGAGTGAGACCCAGAGGTCTTAGTTCTTTAAAAGGCCGAGGTCATTCTGACAGAGTAGTCAAGACACGCACGATCCTTCATATACTCATTTCAGTAGAAAACAACATAGAAGTTATACAAAGCATCCCCAAACTTTGACAGTTTGATTTCACCTGGTAATAAAAACAAAATAAAGATACACACACACACACATATCAAACAACTTTTTTCTACCGTACCAGGTTTAAACACCCTATTGAGAATCATCTGACTTAATCCAGGACATTTCTTAGTTTGTCCTAGCGTACTTTGACTTTGTTAGAACCACCCCAGACCCCCACGAACCCTGGCATAGATGAAATCAAATGGAGAATTTTTTAAAACCTGCATCAGAAATCTGAGAAGGATATCATCAACAGAGTGAAAAATATCCATAGCAAGGTTTTCACCACCCACAGACGGGTATTACTTCTTACTTGGAAAAACATTATTCCTCCTTTCTCCTACTAAGCATTTGAAAATATTTTATTGGAAATCAAGACTTTTGTGAAATGTCGTTTCTTTGCACCACCACCATTCAGGGAGAATCTTCTTTGTCTTTCATTCGTATTTTGGCTTACACTTTTTAATATGTATTTTGTCACCAAAGAGATTCTTTGTTGTCAGGAAATTACTAAGAATATAATTACACACACAAAAGAGGGAGAACATCTTTTATGTTTTGGCACAATTACAAATCATCTGCCAAAAATTATCTGTAATGTATAGGTATTTATTTTGTTATATAAAAACAAGAGAGTATGTTTTCACCCAAGACAATGTCCTTTATCATTTCCTTAGATCCTGTTATTTGGAAAAGAGGAGGTTTCTATATTCTAAAACAGAAATAGGTAAGGACAGAAAACCTCAGCCCTATGAAGCTTATAACAAAACCTTCCTTATTCATTCTGCTTTTATTCTAAAAAGTGCTTCCAACTGCTCAACTTGTAATTAACGCTATATATTCTATGAGATGAAGAACAATTTTTGAATAAAATCGATAAAATCCAATGAAATAATATCCCCTTTTTCCTCCCTCCCTTTAATTTTTCCTTCCTCTTTCTCCTTTCCTCATTTTCTTTCTTCTTTCCTCATATGCTTCTATTCTTTCTTTTTTCCCCCATGATTTTCTTCCATTATCTGTTTTCCAAAAAGGAACTGAGGTCTATATAACAAAGAACATATGCAGTAAAGTTAATAGAATACTACAGAAAAATAAGATCCAAAGAAATAAAGAGGCAAATCTACAAAACATGAAAGGTCGGTGTAATTACTAACACTTATGTCTGAGATTCCTGGAGACCCACGCAAAAAGGAAAACATTAAAAAACCATGTAATTTTCCTGACGAAATAAGATAAATGCTAACAGTTCCAAAGGGATGACAAGTTCTAAAGGACACTAAATTCTAAAGGAAATTTCACTCATGTGTACTTAGAAAGTGATAATGCACTGAGAAAACTTAATAAGAAATGTAGAGGTGTGTGTCATATGCCCTCTACTCCAAACAAACAAACAAACAAACAAAAGGAACTCCAACAGCAGCAGCAGCTAAGGAAATAATGTTAAAGTGGTTCACGTTGCCCAAGGTTTCCAAGATGTTGCCCATGAAGAGATTCTGCCTCTTTGACAATCTCCTAGAAGTATCACTTCTCTCAGACGTATTTTTGGTAGGAAGGAGGTACCAGCAGTTTCTTTCCTTTGTAATACCATTGCATCTGTAAGATAACAGAGAATAGCTACCAGACTAACCCATCAATTTACCTCTTGCTCTTAATACAGTAGCTTGCACAAAAGTAGAAATTGATTAGGTTAAGATAATTGTTTTTATTGACATTTCTTTACTTCTGAGTAAATGCCATCAACTCCTAAGGGTGGAAGTCAGAAAATCTAAAATTAATTAAACTTACCTGTTTGCTAAGAGCTATCACTGGGCTAGGTGTGTGCTAGGTGTATTGTTATAAATGCAATACATGGTTAAATAATTGTAGTGGAAATGTGTCCAGCTCAGAAATGGCATTTCTACCTACCTGCCCACATGCCTTTACTTTCCTAGTGGGATGATTTGCCATCGAATCTCTTCTATCCACCAAGCCTCTGCCTGTAAAATGGTCCCCCTGCCTTCTGTCCTGCTAAATCAATCCCCTTCTTTCCCTCCAATCTGAAAAGAAACAACCGTCCTTCTCCAAAAGCCTTTTCGGGCTAATCCCACCTGGCTCTATTCATTACTTAAACCTTTTGGGGTGTGAAATGAGCTACAGTGCCTAGTTGCAGTATTTGCAGCATGCATTATTATTCTTTTTAGCTTTAGTGTGTCCAAAGGCCTTAAAACATCCCCGCCTAAGCTCCTGCTCCAGGGAAGAATTCTTATCACAGCAAATTCAGCCTGAGAAGTGAGACAAAAGAGAAGAAACCTAGTCAGGGGCTAAGAACAGAGCAGAAGATTTAATACCATGCAAGTATCCTTGAGATATCCTTTTTTACTCCCTAGAATTCATCTATGAGTATATTTTTATACGCCATCTATGACCTCAAAAATAATAATGGTTGCATCTATATGCTTCTTTTCTCACATGGAATAAAGTTTTCCTAAAGTAAGGAGAGCTCTTTGAGGTTATATAACCTATAAAAATGGCAATAAAAGCTTAGAAATAGGTTTCCGGGAGGCATTAGTATGTCAACAAGGTAATGCTATATGGAGTTTCTATGTGATACTAAACTTCTGATTTCAAACAGCTATGTGAATGTGTAATGAAGTTATCTAAATCTGCAAATATGGAACATTTTAAAGATTTAGAAAATGTACAGTCTAGTTTTAATCTTCGCAGAGTGCCTCTCTAAAAATCAACAACTAATTTCCTTGCAAGAAAAGAAAACTGAGGCAGTAAGAGCCTCAGGTGCGTGCTTAAATATTACAGAACTTAATATAATACATTTCCTCTGAATTCAATTTTTTAGTAGTTCTGAGATTTTTGTCTTTCAAAAGTAAATGGTGACTTCACATAGGGTAATCTTTTCTTCTGTGAAGAAGATTTTTAATGTATATTTATTGCCTCGTGATTTCTTAAAATAAGGAATAGTTTGTTGTAAACTTCTGCTGCTTTTTAATCTGTTTACTGTGCTTACAAAGAAATAAATTGTGTTTAGTCAGAAAAAGAATGAGTTTGACTTGACAGGATTTGAAATGCAGGTAGTCCATCACAAATCCCAAATTTAACATGTAGAACTGACATCTGGAGAAACATTGGTATGAACTGAGGGCCCTATACCCTACTCTTATGTTACTGGTAACAATATTTAGTACAAAAATGTAATTATGTGATAATTTTGTAACTATTTTTGAAGGAGTATTTTGTTCAACTACTCTAAATAACCCAAGACGACATATTTATATTTGTTTTCTCATGTTAAATTTGAGACTAAAAATGTTGAAAAGATCATCTCAGAAAATAAGATTACACATCTTTTATCCATGTGTATATGTATCTCCAATTTTCTCTGCTGGATAGTGAAAGTGCCACCCTGGAGCAGCATTTGAAAATCTCGGGGTGGAACAAGTGGCATTTACTGAATACCCATTATTCTTAAAAATTTGGCTCTAGTCATCTTTCCTTCTAGAATAGGCATATGTTTAAAAAAAAATCACTGTCAATCCTATCCAAATGCATGCCAGAAGTAGATGTGTCATAAATAGGCTTGCTTAAAAAATATTTACAAATAATTTTTAAATACTTGTTCAATTTAGTTTTTCTCCAAATTTTGGTGTGAATTTCCAGAGAAATTAATGTATCTGGCCAGGTGTGGTGGCTCACACCTGTAATCCCAGCACTTTGGGAGGCCAAGGCAGGTGGATTGCTTGAGGTCAGGAGTTCACGACTAGCCTGGCCAACATAGTGAAACACCCTCTCTACTAAAAATACAAAAAAAATTAGCCAGGTGTGGTGGCACACGCCTATAGTCCCAGATACTCGGGAGGCTGAGTCAGGAGAATCACTTAAACCTGGGAGGCAGAGGTTGCAGTGAGTCGAGATTGAGCCACTGCACTCCAGCCTAGGCAACAGAGTATCCAAAAAAAAAAAAGAGAAAGAAAGAAGGCAGGAAGGCAAGAAGGAAGGAAGGAGAAAGAAAGAGAGAGAGAGAGAAAGAAAGAGAGAGAGAAAGAAGAGAGAAAGAAAGAGAGAAAGAAGAAAAACAAAGAAAGAAAGAAAGAAAAAGAGAGAAAGAAAAAGAAAGAAAGAGAAAGAAAGAAAAAGGAATGTATCCCTTCGGGCTCTGTCTTAAAAGAGATATCCAAGAGACGGGGGATATATCCAAGAGACGAGCTATAGATAAGTGAAGAGTCTAAAATCCACCTCTCTAACATCTATTTTTAATGATACACCTTTCAAAAGGTTTCCTCATTTAGACATGAGTGCCGTAAAACAGATTATTGGGTAACTAGAAGTCACTTTGTATGTCAAAAAGCAGAGCCTCATGCCAGTAGCAGAAAAAGATGCTATATTTGGCTATAACATGATTTCCTGACTGTAGCAGGCACCAGGATCACCTGGAGGGCTTGGTGAAATACAGATAGCCGGACCCTACCCTAGAGCAGGCCTAAGACTACTGGCTAAGTCGGCCTCGAGTGAGGGTGGAGAATTTGCCTTTGGACCTATGTTCTCTCCTGAGGCTGGTGCTGCTTGTCTGGAAAGAGCATCACTTTGAGAATGTGTCATGGGGAGTCAAGAACGTGGAAAACTACCTAGAAGAATGTTAAACACAGGGCAGGCATTCAGCTGAATGAGGAAACTAGAAATGATCAAACACAAGAAAAGAAGAGAGATGTCTAGAAGACAGGCTGGAGAATGACTCTCCCAACCAACCAACTTTACTCTGGCAGCAGTGATGTTCACGAATCAACGAATTCCAGTGACGTTTCTGGAGCCTGCAGACAGCAAAACACAACTAAAACCTCTTTAATTTGAAATGGCATCCCTTGATATTTTTGAAAGCTGAGATTACTGTGAGGATTTCTACCAAAACCTGCAAGAATGGTGAAATTCAAGGTCCTCTAACATCTGTGTTTATCTAGATTCGGTCTGCTCTAAATGTGTGAGTCCTTAAATACAAGTGTTCTGCATCTGTGAAGTTCTTCATGATCTGGAGCATTCCAGACTTTCTACATTCTCAGCTACCCTTTGACATCTTCACACCTGTTTTGTTTTCTAAGCCATAGCAAATACATTTTATGTAAATATTTAAATGAGATTTTCCTTCTGCCCACTTGGTGGAATAGCATAATCTTTAACAATAGGAATTCCAAGGCTCATCTTTCCCTTGGTAAATCCATTTCAGGCTTTATTAAAGTATGGTAATGGCTTTGTGTGTTTCAGTTACTTTTATCTGTTTACAAAATAAAAGTGCAAGATTTAAATTCTGGAACATTAAATAGACATCTATTGTCCCAGCTCTACGTTCAGTAGATGAAAGTTACTAAACATTCTTTCAGCTTGATGAAAACATTAAAAGAGAGAAGAACCACTTTCTAAATAGTTCGTATCTTCTAATTGATCAGAAAAGCTTTGAATGTTACTTGGAAGTTCCCTGGAAACAGACAGAAAAGGGTCAGTGTTGGCAATAGCCTGGGGAAGACATTGGGGCTTCTTTTAAAGAGGCAATGGGTGGGTCCATCACAGTACTCCAAAAGGTAGAACCACATCATCTCCCTGCTCACTGGTAGAAGAGAGCAGAAATCAGGATGTTTCCAGCCTAAAGGCATATTTTTATATGATGATTAAAATCTGAAATAAAAGGCAAGAAACAAGATTAAGAATTAAAAGCTAAAAGTCTCCAGCTAAGTCTAAAAAAGAGTGTCAGGATAATTAAGAGAAATCTTCAATTAGAGCTCACAGTTGAGAGCATGGGAATTATAGGTTTTCAGGGAAAAGAAAGCCTGGGGCCTCAATGTCTTTGATCACACAGAGGTGTCTCTCTCCACCCTGTGGTGCCTCGCCAATTGACACTTGCAGGCCAAAGCTGCATAGTCTCTCCTTTAGTGCAGTCACATGACTTCCTTTAAATTAGGGCTTGTTAGCCTTTGAATTGAATGAAATATCAAGAACAAAGCAAAATTAAACACTGAAGATAGTCTCTGTCTATGTTGTTATCTACATGCACTTTTAAAAAGATGAGCCAAAAAAAAGATGAGCTATACAACAGGAGAAAAGCTTAATAAATTACAGTGCAGCAATGCTGGGAAATTGTCATTCAAAGCGGTTTTTATGGAAACTATTTGACAACATAGAAAAAATCACATTTATAAAACAGGTAACTAAGTGATATATGTAATGATTTAACTTTGTAAAATAATACATAAGAATGCAAACAAAGACTAAAGATATTACATTAAAGTTAAAATGACATTTCATGGGATTATGGGTAATTCTACTCATTTGCATCATCCTTTAGATAGGAAAACACATGAAGTTTTATATTAAAACGTTCATTTTTTTGGCTGGTATCCCATAATTTGTTTTAATGTCCATAGCATTAAGGAACTGAAAGTCTAACTTATGGTCTTTTCTTTATGCTTTTGTTTTGTCTGTATGCTTTTTTCTTTTTTCTCTAGGAGTGGAAACTCATCAAAGCCAATCTTCCCTACCGATGGTGGACCATTTGTCAAATTAAACACAGCACCTGATGGCCACTTAATACTAACACCCAGGTGGGTCCCTAAATCTGTTCTTAGACTAGTTGTACATAGACATGGCAGAAGATAGATTGTTGAAGCCAGTCAGATTTGAATGCTATTACATACTGGTCATATAATCTTGAAAGTTATTTGACTTATATTATTATTTAAGTAATCTCAAACAGTATCTATTTAATATCTGATAACAGTTTCTAACCCTAATACATATAAGATGGTCAAAAGAAATATTCTGTATGTAAATTTCTGGCACACTCATAGGGATTTGACATGTTTTAATTTTATACCCTTTTTTATCATTAGCCTCAGATTAATAAATAATTAAATCACTTGGAAAGAAATTGTGAGAACTGGGATAAAACAGGTCCAGTGTTGATCAGACTGGAGGCAGACCAAATTAGCTACCACTAAAAGAGAAGAAAGAGGGGAATATCTTGATATTCTTTTCTCTTCCTTGGCAAATAGATCATGAATATTAAATGAAGAAGTCTAGACCTTTCATCGTGTCTACATATTCTCTTTTACTTTTTGATATTAGGTTTACTTTTATAGCCTTTACTAAGGTATTAAAAAGCAGCATCTTTCCTGTATTCAAAGATCTGTTTTAGCTAAATTAAGTCATTTCTCCTATTTGGGTATTAATGGTAATTTTTGTTGAAATTGGCTTCTGAATTTTACAGTTCCATTAAAGAACAGCTGTGGGTGGGAAGAATGTAACTGCAAGAAGCCATAACTACAAACAAGGATTTAAGATGCTTTGCTGGTATATTTTGTTTCATGGTAAAAAATGAAATTAGATAATTATTCAGTTTTTCATGAAAAGTTAACATTTCTGTGAGCTTAACCAGTAAAAAAATAAAAATGGTAAAGGAGTATTTTGAGTACCAAAAAAAGAACTTTGCAGTTGAATGTTTTATATCAATGTTTGCTGGGCCTTGACTGATATTATGAGTCTCATCGGATATGAAGCAAAGCATCTGCAAATGAGAAAGCAGGCTTCTAGATTTCCTTTCCTGTAAGGCGTGTCTAAATTTATATTACCATATAGATCCTGAAGCAGTTTGAACATTGAGAATTTCTTCTTTTCACGTCTTAGAGGCATTTAAAAATTTGTAAGAAAAAATTATTTAAAATCATTTATGTTAATTATATGCATGCTTGAGATCAAAACTAGCTTATTCTATGCTTATCAACGAAATGCCAGTATCATTTTCCATTGACGTCACTATTATAATGTATGTGTGTGCTATTTGAGAGAGACATCATTTATAGACATATTTTAACCTTTCATCACATCAACAAGCCAGTTAATTAAATGTCCTTAATCCCTTCCTTAATTAGCCACATTATATTGGGTTGGCAGAAAATCAGACATATGTTCATTTATTTATTTGGTTAATTTATTTATGCATTTATTATTTATTGCATAGATGATTATGTTTGTATCCCTATGAAAACTGGTGTTTTTGAAAATGCCCTTGCGCTAGTGGTTGTAATAAAAAATAGGTAAAAGAAGAGGATGTCAGGGAAAATG
The DNA here is from genome assembly GCF_000001405.40 of Homo sapiens. Taxonomy (NCBI): domain Eukaryota; kingdom Metazoa; phylum Chordata; class Mammalia; order Primates; family Hominidae; genus Homo; species Homo sapiens. The sequence continues at coordinate 18,296,214 of NC_000021.9, read as the reverse complement.
ATTCAGCCAACTATAAAAATCTACTGACCTATATGCTGATTCTTTATTTTTTTTCTTTTTTTGAGACGGAGTCTCGCTCTGTTGCCCAGGCTGGAGTGCAGTGGCGTGATCTCGGCTCACTGCAAGCTCCACCTCCCAAGTTCCCACCATTCTCCTGCCTCAGCCTCCCAAGTAGCTGGGGCTACAGGTGCCCGCCACCACGCCTGGCTAATTTTTGTGTATTTTTAGTAGAGACGGGGTTTCACCGTGTTAGCCAGGATGGTCTCGATCTCCTGACCTCGTGATCCGCCCGCCTCCGCCTCCCAAAGTGCTGGAGTTACAGGCGTGAGCCACCGCGCCCGGCCTATTCTGATTCTGTAACCTATTGTGAGATATATGCAGACTCAGACCACCACCTCCCACCACAGGGTGAAAAAAAGGGGAGTTAATTGAGACTTCCTTGGGGTGTTAGAAATACATGTCAATATATCTAGATTGATATACATGCATGCACACTAGTTACTAAAAAGATAGACTTCCTTATATTTCAACTAAAATCATTCTGTGTTGTAAAGAATATGCCAGTCATTCAATACGTATACATATGATTTCAAATAAACTTTATCATATATTTTCCTGAAACACTGAATTGCTTTGATTAGACGTGTGGATCTTAGGTCTTATTTACGTTGCATTTTTAAAGATCTAAACAGCATGCACAATTAGCTGTAGCTAAGTATATAAATGTAAGTAAGTCATTACAATTATTTGTGTATCTGCATGTATAATGTGTGTGTTTTAATGTAGCCGATATCTGCAGTGGTTGCATTTGGAAATAGTGGGAGCAAGTACTCTAATTTCTTGTGTTATACTGATCTCTAGTGGCTGATAAGTATAATGCACTGTAAAACAAATTTGCTTAGTTTTTGTTTAAAATGGAATTCTTGACACTGAAAAAAGTTGGTATTTAAATTTCTAAGCAGGTGATGAGTTTTCAGTAATTTTTGCCTGTGCTTTCTTTTATATGTGCTTCTTACGTGTCTGCCTTCCTTGAAAGCAGCACCTGTGACGCATTCATCATTCAATTCCCTGAATGAAGCACACAGCCTCATACACGGTGTTGGGCACGGAATAGTTGTCAGATTGGCAATACTGAGGCATACTCTGTGTTATAGAATGATGAAAACCAATGTCGGTTCAAGTAACATAACAATATCTATCATTTATAGAATTTCATTGTGTATAAGGCCCTGTAATAGTTTTATTGCAAATATTGCTTTTTATTCTCACAACACTCCAATAAAGTATTATTACCCCCATTTTATGGAAGAAGAAACTGGGTCTCAGGGATATTGAGTAACTTCCCTGAAGTCACATAGAAATGGTAGAATAAGGATGCAAACTCACCTCTATTTGACATTAAACTGGGGCTTCTTCGGCTTACAATTCAGTCTCCCTACATTTCATATATGAGACATTAAGATGTCCATTTTACTAAAGCAAAAGTAGGATAACCTATATGATGTTTGACTTGAAAATATTAAATGCATAATTTTAAAAATATGATTGTTCTTCTATTACAGTCAACAGTGTTTACAGGATTCCTTGATTCGGTTACAGTGTAACCATAAATGTAAGTAAATATGTTGTCATATCCCACTTCAAGCATTCTGTTTAAAATTCTGAATAGAGTTTTATGTCACCTGAAGTTATTTTGTTACCACTCAATTTTCACCATCAGAAGAAATGCCAAAAATGAAATAGATGCTCTTTCTCCAATTATTTTAATAGCTTGTGGAAAAAAACTGGCAGCTCAAGACATCACCCCAAAGATTGTTGGAGGAAGTAATGCCAAAGAAGGGGCCTGGCCCTGGGTTGTGGGTCTGTATTATGGCGGCCGACTGCTCTGCGGCGCATCTCTCGTCAGCAGTGACTGGCTGGTGTCCGCCGCACACTGCGTGTATGGGTGAGTGTGATGTCAAGTGTCCCTTCCCAAACTAGGTCACCACAGCAGACACTGCCAAGCGTCCCATTTCATGCAGCATCACAAAACCATCCCACCAGGGAAATCCTGCTGTTTATGACATTATAAACATTCCAATTATTTTCCCATTAATGTCATGTATGAAAATAGAGATACATTTTAAAAAATTATCCTGCATTAGATATGAATATTAATTCTTCTACATTAGATATTACATCATTAGATCTTTTTACACTTTTACATACATAAAAATGGAAACTTTTGCCAATTCAAAAGGTAAGCATTTTTAAGAGCGTGAAATTAGTATTTATTGTATAAATTGTACTGGTTACCATTCAATTTGTCCAATATTTATTGCTAGCAAATTGTCAGTATCAGTATTCTTAGGTAGCCCTCAAATTACAATTATACTGTGCTCTGGAAGTTCATGGATAAGCACTTTGTTGTGAATTAAGATAAAAGTATTTAGTTCTTAAGTCAGATCTATTTTGATTGCTACCTATTAACTGAAATTTAGAACTAATATCAACCGTATCTGACTCTGTTTTATACTATAATAGGACAAGATAATGTTGAATTTTGACATTTATTTTGCAGTCCTAGAGGAGAGAACAGAGTGGATGGAAGGGGGTGGGAGTAAAGGAGGAAAAGCTAAATGATCCTGGACCCAAGAACATGTTCATGCTCCTCTTCCACATCAAAGATGCCACCTCTCTAGATAGTCACATGGTTCTGAATTCAGTCAGGAGAAAAGGGAGCTTCCTCATATAATACGTATGAGCTTGATCTAGGACTCATCTCCTGTCCCTATGTCAGTGAGGTGTCCAGTGAATGACCTTACCCATGAGGATTAGAGTAAGCCTCTCTGTAGCCAGGATCCAGAACCTCAGAGGAAAGAACCATGTTAGAAAGAACCAGGCATTGACGAGGAAAGAACCGGGCATGGACGAGGCAGCCGTAGTTAATCAGGTTACAAGACTCAACTTTCCTTACCCACATAGATATTTAAGATCCTTGGGTAAATGAAGACCAACTGTCAGACACAGAGATTGTGAAAATTTTAAAGGAGATGGGGAATGCCAGGTAGAATGAACATTAAAAGATTGCACTTATGCCTAAATACCCATTATATCAGAGTGAAAGTAGACTCAAATGCATAATCCCAGGACTTTGGAGAAAAAGGACCCTCAACTAGCTCTCAGGTTTGCCAAATAGCTGGTCTCCAAAGGAGCTACCGACAGCACCATCCCATCTACATCTAAAGCTCTCTCTGATTCTATCCATTGAGTGTTACATCCTGGAGACTAAATTGCAGCCTCTCCCTTAACTAAAGTGCACCCTCTTGACTTTGCTGCCTCCTAATAATCATATTGTAATTTATTTTCATACTATAACAAGCGTCTGTAGAGGCAATTTTTCCATCCCCTTCTAAACATGGCTTTAATCTTTACACATGTTGTTTGCGTTGGACATGTCACGGATAGCATAACATCTGTATCCTAACTGTGATGCAAATTAAAGCTAGTTTTAGCTAAAAAGTCAGTGTTTTCTGTTGCACATAGGTAGATCTTAATAAGTTAGCAACCTTGCTATATCAACCTTGAATTTGGCAAATTCCTGTTTAATGTTCTTGCCAAACATATGCTGTCTAAACATCAATCAGGCTCGCAGTAATATTAGTGATGTCTTTCAATTATCTATTTTACAGATGTACTTCTAATAGGTTAATGATACCAATCTCATAGCTTTTCAAACAACAAATATGTGTAGAAAATAGAAAGGCAGTTTTACCTAGTATAAACACATGTCCAATTGTTACCAGAGAAAAGGAATCCAGATCCAGGTGCCAAGAGAGGATTCTTGGATCTCACACAGGAAGGAATTCAAGGCCAGTCGCAGAGTGCAGTGCAAAAAGATCGTTTATTGAAAGCTCCTGAGTCACAAAGTAGGGCATCCTTAGAAAGCAAGAGAAGGAACGCCCTGTCTTTAAGTTTTTCTTCTATGGGGGTCTTGTCTATGTAAATACTAAACTAGGCTGTGTCTACATGAGAGTAACCTTGACAAAATTTATTATTCCATTGATTTGGAGAAAACAATCCTTGACATTGCAGTGTGTAAGTACATCAAAGCATAATTATCTTGAAAGCATATATTGTTATGGGTGTTGATACATTTGGACTTTCCATTGTAGGAATGTGTCCTCGTAGGTATCTTTAGGCTGCTTCCTCAACAATAAACATTTTATGACTATGGGTCATGACCAGCAAGGAATGTGTCTTGTTAGTCTCAAGATGGGGCTGAACTTAAAATGGTGTTACTTTGGCTCTCCTAGGCTCCTGCTTCTCTCACACAATCACATAGGACAATAAAATGTCTTTTCAGTTTCAACTTAAGCACAAGCAAAGGTAAGTTGTACTAGAATTCTGATAAATTCAAAATTATCCTTACCAACCACGCATTTTACTCTCCTTAGGCATTCAATGGAATTATTTTTTTTTTCTCTAATGCCTAAGAGTTTTCTTGCTTTCTACTTCATGTCTCTAACAAAGAAAGTTTCTGATATTGTTTTAGATAGTTTAATCAAAAACTGTTTTATCAGTATGTTAATACTGGCTCTTATCTGTCTCTTTAAAAGCCTAATTGTGCTATGGAAAGCTTAATTTCCTAATAAAAAGAATAACTCAGATCAAGCAAGTTATTAAACTCATGCCACACAAGTGGCTTGCCCTCAGTGTAAACCTGTTCCAGGTATTTTAACCTGCAGGTGGTTAAATGGTTTAATTGAACAGCTCTTCTGTTTAATCTTATCATCAACACTTCATTTGCATTCCTCAGGCTAAGTTCTCCTGAGTGATTCTAAATAACCCTGTGCCTGTTCGGTTTCTCTATCGTGGTATTGTCCTTTCACAACCTTAAAAGAAGGATTTGGAAGTGTGGGCCAACCTTCCTGTGGCTTAAAGGGCAAGTTTGACTTTGAACCAAAGGAGAGGATTTTAATCCTGTATGTCCAACAAATCACATGTGTGATTATGGACAAGCAACTTAGTATCTCTAAGTTTCCGTTTCCTCATCTGTAGGAAGCTCATAAGGATATCTATCTTGCTTGTCAGGACAACAATAAGATGCTGCAATGCTTTTGCCTACTGCGATTCATGCAAGAATGTGCAATAAAATGTTGATTGTGTTGCAGTTCCTGCATAGGAAAGCTCTATGAAAGAAGACGCCAAGTCTTGCACAATAGATATTCAACATATTTATTTTATGAAATTTTTATATTGATATAATTTCAAACATGCATAAAAATTGCAAAAATAGTGCAGAGCTCTTTATACCTTTACTCAGACTCACCAATTGCTTACATTTTCCTCTGTATATTTTATTATCATCTCTTTCTAAGTCAGGAGACTTTTTTTTCTGAACAATTTCGTAGTAGGTTAGATGTATTTTTATACTCTTAAGTACTCAGAGTATTTTTACTAAAAACAGGACACTTCCTACAGAATCACAGCAAATCATGGAAATTTAACATTAATGAAATACAATCCTAATTAATTTCACAAATATGCTCTTTATTTTGTTTGCATGTTTGCCATGTTAGAACCAATTCAGGATAGTGTATTGCATCTGGATGCTACACTTTTTTCATCTCCTTTAGTGTAGAGTAGCCCCTTTCTGTATTTCTTGTTTTTAATATTTTTGAATACAGGTCAGTTATTAGGTAGGAAAATTCTTCTATTTGAAAAAAAAAAACCCTCAAGCTTGCTCCTTTATCAGCCTTAATATAGTCCTACTCTTTGAGAACTTCTTTTATTTTCTGTCAAAATAAGATGTTCCAGGTTAATCTTGTGTGTTTTCTATCCTAGTCCTGAAGTCAACTTTTCTGTAAGAAACCTTATTTCTATTTAACTAATTTCAGTTATTTCTGTATTTTGGTAAACATGATCTTGTGTGCTTATGGCTACTGATGTTGTGTCCTGTTCCTAAAACTATACAGTGAACAAAGCTCTATTATATACCTACAAATATATACTCAAAACAATGACTCCAACTCCAATAGAATACTACAGGATAAATCCTAACCTTGTCTTCTGTATTTTTACATCTTGATTCCAATAACAAAAAACATTGTTCCTATTATCCACAAGCTATTGATGTATTTGCTGAAGTCTGGAAAGCCTGGAACACAAAAAGGAGTTTGAGAATTGCTGACTCATACTACTGCATAAAGCACACGCATCAACCAAGGTTTCATATTTGTTTTCCATTCTTTTTTCCTGCTGACATATAGGAAAATGCATAAACTTAAGTATACAAATCGATGCATTTTTTAAATGCATGCACCTGTTAAACTGACATTCCTCTGAAGATATAAAACATTCCAATCACCCAAAAAGTTTCTCCATTACCTCTTTCTAGTCACTCACATCCCAGCTTCCAGAAGCAAATATGCAGTCACGTGGGTGGGCAATCATATATAGATTTACAGTCTGGATCACAGTCATTGAACGGACATCTATTAAAGATGAAATTAGTGACAGGGAGCCTCTTGCCAAGATCTCATTCTTTAATTTAGCTTTTCAGAGCAGACCAGAGACATCACAGGGATTACCTGATTTCTTATTGAAACAATTCCTTAAAATATGTGTTAACACTCCTGAAATAAATAATTTCATATATGAGGTATTTGGGGCATGGTAAGAAATACAGACTACTATTTATACTTCATTTATTTATTTATTGAGACAGAGTTTCACTCTTGTTGCCCAGGCTGGAGTGCAATGGCACGATCTTGGCTCACTGCAACCTCCGCCTCCCGGGTTCAAGCGATTTTCCTGCCTCAGCCTCCCGAGTAGCTGGGATTACAGGCATGCACCACCACACCCGGCTACTTTTGCATTTTTAGTAGAGACGGGGTTTCTCCATGTTGGTCAGGCTGGTCTTGAAAGCCCAACCTCAGGTGATCCGCCCACCTCAGCCTCTCAAAGTGCTGGGATTACAGGTGTGAGTCACTGTGCCCGGCCTATTTATAATTTATTTAGTACTCCATTTAGTAAACTGATATAACTAATAAAACTTTGAAAATCAACTTTTTAAACAGTTAAGCATTTATAATAAAATAACATTACTTAATTGATACCATAATTACCACTTAAAATTTGGATTTTTTTGAATGTCTCATGCTTTAAGCAGAACACAGGACATATATCAATTCAATAATTTTTAAATACTTAATTTCTTCTTAAACTTATCCTAAAATATACATATAATTAGTTTAATTTTATTTTTCTGTTTATCTACCTAGTCTTATTGTTCTAGGGAGTTAGGCTTGTAATATATAATGTTCTTCAGATTGAAGAAATACTATAATATCATTTTAAGATTATGGTAATATTTGCAGATAAAAAAGAGGAAGAGCGGCCGGGTGTGGTGGCTCATGCCTGTAATCCTAGCACTTTGGGAGGCCGAGGCGGGCCTGAGCTCGGGAGTTTGAGACCAGCCTGGACAACACAGTGAAACCCCGTCTCTACTAAAATACAAAAGAAATTAGCCAGGTGTGGCAGCATGCGCCTGTAGTCCCAGCTACTCGGGAGGCTGAGGCAAGAGAATTGCTTGAACCCGGGAGGCGAAGGTTGTGGTGAGCCGAGATCGCACCACTGCACTCCAGCCTGGGAGACAGAGCAACACAACACTCCATCTCAAAAAAAAAAAAAAAAAAAAAAAAAGGAAGAGCATTTTCTTAGGACAATAGAGACTTCTCTTTTAAATGCTATTTGTGTAAATGTATGGGGTACAAGTGTAATTTTGTTACATGGGTGGATTGCATAGTGAGGAAGTCAGGGCTTTTAGGGTATCCATCACCTGAATAATGTACACTCTACACATTAATTTCTTAATATCCACCCGCCTCCCACAGCGCCATCCTTCTAACTCTCTCTGATCTATCATTCCACACTTTATGTCCACTATACATTATTTGGCTCCCACTTATAAGTGGGAATATTTGAAATTTGTCTTTCTGCATGTGAGTTGTTTCACTTAAGATAATGGCCTCCAGTTCCATCCATGTTGCTGCAAAAGACATGATTTTATTCTTTCTCCTGGCTGAATAGTATTTCATTGCATATATATACCACATTTCTTTATCCAGTCGTCTGTTGATGAACACTTATGTTGATTCAGTATCTTTTCTATTGTGAATAGTGCTGTTATAAACACACAAATGCAGGTATCTTTTTGATACACTGATTTCTTTTCCTTTGGATTGATTCCTAGCAGTGGGAGTACTAGATCAAATGGTAGCTCTATTCTTAGTTCTCTGATAAATAGTCATAGACAGTAGAGATTTCAAGGGTAGGTTAGTAATATTGACTTTGGTTAGAGCTTAGGTCTTGGATCCTTTTCCAAAATATTTCAAGTTTGAGTGCTAGTCATCTTCCTAAAAGTTAATACTATCTTACTGTATCACTAAGACTTTTTAGATTTATGTCTTTATTAGAGGTTATATCAACTTCCAACCTTGTGTTTCCCTGTAAAATTGTGTTTCCTGTAAGTCTCTCTTGACCTATATCGTGCAATCCATTTCCTTGACACCATTCTATTACCACTATTTAATAACATATGTCTCTTTGGCATGTATCTCATTATAATTATTAGTGCACTCAGAAATTTCATTTCCTAAAAGTTTCTATCGTATCTCTCAAGTTACCTCTACTTTGATAATTAATTCATCATCTTGGATCACATTGTTGAGCCACCTTTTTTCTTAGTTATTTTGCATAACCACTTGTTACACAAAGAAGGAATATTTTAATATTTAGAGTTTGAGACTCTAAACATTAAAAAGAAAAAAGAGCTGGGTGGGGTGGGAGAAGACTGAGGAAGAACAGAGAGTGAAATTATGTGGATTGATACGCAACTCTGCCCGTTACCTGGCTGTTATGAGGAACCACTGGTAATATTCATTCCTTCCTGCTCTTGGATTGCTTACTGTTTTTTATATATCCATTCAATCAGATGACATTTGCTGAGCACTTATCCTGTGCTAAGTAGTTTTCTAAGTTTGGAGATGATAGTGCTGTACAGACCAACAAAATCTTTCCTCTGATAAGGTTTATATGACATGTTAAGGCTGAAAAACATTTAAATAAATACTTTAGCAGTGATACATGCAGTAAAGAAAAGTAGTATGAACAGAAAATATGATAAGAGCAAGAAGGTTGTTTTCGATACAGTGGTTGGAGAAAGTGTCACAGACCAATTGAAAATGGAAGGAAAATCTAAAGAAATGAAGGAGAATGTTACACAAATTTCTTTGAAGGTAACAGCAAACTCTGATGCTCTGGGGTAGAAGTGAGGTAGACTTACTCCAGACACCTCAAAAAGCCCTGCTGCTGTTGCCCAGAAGGGGATTGGCAGAGCGGCAGTGACGAGACTGGAACTATGGATCGAGCCCTGGAGAGGTCTCAGGAGGCTAAATAGGTAAATAGGATGAGGGACCATGTGGAGGACCAAAGAGTGACCTTATCCAATCAGGCTAATGTGTGAAGATGGGACTGCTGGGAGGAGCAAACGTGAAATCAGGGACACCAGTTAGGACCATAGCTGAAGAAGCTGAGGAAGTGGCTGGATCTTTTTAGTAAGTTCTGATGGTTAGAGTCATCTGCATTTATTAATGATCACAGATATGGAGTAAGGAAAAGAGAATGGAGTGAGTGTTGATATCATTTACTGAGATGAGGAAAACAGGAAGAAATCAGATTGGAAAGAGAGTGAGAGTTCTGATTTTTATATATTAAGCTTGGGACTGCCTATTAGACATCCAAGTTGGTATCAGCCAATGATGTCAGCCTATGGACATACAAATCTAGACTGTATGGAAGAAGTCAAGAATTAAAATACAAATTTAGAAGTTTTCAGTATATTGTAGGTATTTAAAATAATGACTTGGTTAAGATTATGTATGAGGCCAGTGTAGATATAAAAGAGAAGGCCGAAGGCAGACCCCTGGGATATTCTAAAATTTAGAGTTTAAGATGAACAAAAAAGACCTGGGGGAGAAAAAAAGACTGAGGAGGAACGGAGAGTGAAATGAAAGGAAAATCACAAGTGCATGGTGAATCCTGGAAGTCAAGTGAGGAAAAGAGTTCAAAGATGATTCCTTAAGTTTCAGGAATAATCTACCAAGTAAAATTATGCTCAGGAGTGTTTGGCCTATTTCTGGTTTGCTGTACTTACTTCTGTTTCTTACACTTACACAAATAAGCATATACCCATATTTTAAAAACAGATTTCTACTTAAAATTAAATAAAAATATTCACATATATGAAACTCTTGTCCTTACTCATGAAAAGGAAGAAAAATTAAACATATTCTTGTTGCCTACCCTCCTTTTATAATAAAACTACCTTTTGCACCTGTTAACTTTTCTCTTTTGAGTTTCATTGCAGACACATGGCCTTTCATAAACAACTCTTTTCTTTTAACTGTGGTAATGATAATGATCATTATATGAGAGTCACCTTGCTAAAACTTCGCCAGTGTTATTTCATTTAATCTGGCTTCTTTGTACTTTCAGAATTGCCCGATATTCTTGAAAACTTTCGTACTCTCTGGCAACAACACTATGTTTCAGAAACATTCTAACTTTCAGTTGCCTTAAATATTCGAATTGGCTAGCCATCTAGGAATCCTCATTACATTCAGAGGAGAATAAAAATAGAGACCAAAAATGCTGTGCTGGGTGTAAACATCAGTGTTGGCATGGTGCAAAGTTGTTGAGGTTGCTGTTGTGCCACCTTTAGTAATAGTAAAACAGGAAAAAGGTTTTAATTTACAGTTTTGGATTCCCATTGATTTTATTTTCCCTTCAGCCTGTTGTGATGCTCTATCATAGCTGTCTTACCATATTTGCTTTCTACTGCATTGAAAGTCCCACTTACAAATGGACATCCTGATGCCTAGAGTGGTGAAGTTATTTTCACATCAGCACATTGCCACATATATCTGAGGTACCACTAGTTCATCTTATCTGGTGCTGCTTCTGCATCTCAGGAAATGGGAAAAAAGCATCTTTTTTTCAAAGAAGCATCTTTGGGGTTACAGAGACCAGGAGTGTATGTTTTTCTGCCCTCTCCAACCTGCTGTGCTTCTCTTTCTCTTGCTACTATGATAAATGTCTTGCTTGTGCAGGACAGATGGTGAAATGCAGCAAAAATTCAGCCAACTTCTTTTTTTTCTCTTTTTTTTTTTTGGGCAGAGTTTTGCTCTTGTCACCCAGGCTGGAGTGCAATGGCACAAATTCAGCTCCCTGGAACCTCTGCCTCCCGGGTTCAAGCAATTCTCCTGCCCCAGCCTCCTGAGTAGCTGGGATTACAGGCGTGCACCACCACGCCTGGCTAATTTTTGTATTTTTAGTAGAGACGGGGTTTCACCATGTTGGCCAGGACGGTCTCGAACTCCTGACCTCAGGTGATCCACCTGCCTCGGCCTCCGAAAGTAAATTCAGCCAACTTCTATCTGAAGATGCCCTATCTTTGCGATCTTTATCCTCCACCGGATTGGGGATTTCCTATTCCAGGTGGTTCTCACCTTCTCCTATGCCCATCTATCTTCAGCGCTATAGCTCTTCCTTCCTTTACTAGAAAAGAGATGCTTTGAGACCAGATTTTAAAAACATAAAAAGTCCCATCTCTTCATCTAAAATGATTTTTCTGAAGGCTGTCTTCACCTGCCCCTCAGATTTGGGTATATAAAAAAGCTAGGAAGTTTTCTGCATTGCTCAGTATCCCAACAGTGATTACAAAGTACAGATTGTTGAGTGCCACTCCAACTTTCCAAATTAGAATTTCTGGAAATGGAAACTAGAAATCTAAAGTTTTAGAAACTTCCTCAAGTGGCTCTAGAACTTAAGAACTATTGGCTGTAAGCTCTGTATTCTCCAGTCATTTTCCACCGAGGAAAAGCTCTAAAATTACTGCCAGATGGAGTAGTACTGGTGGTGCTTGTGCTAGTGTTGGTTTTGTGGTGGGGAAGTTAAGTGCATGACAGAAAGGTTTGTGGAGCAGCCTTTCTCTTTGAAGGAAAGATGTAAATGATACATGGCGGCGGAATTTTTCCTATCCATGGTGCTGCTCATAGATACTGAAGTAATAAAAACATGAAAGAGAGGCTATTTTCTATGTGGCACAATAAACAATTTTGGAAATTATCAAGAATGTGTCAGATTAATATTGTTGTAAATTGTATTAAATTAGATGAGTAGCTTGAAGCACGTATATTTAATCTGCACGTTCCTGGTTCATATATTGGTTTTCTACTCAAGTCCTTAAAATAATGAAAGGAAGTGATGATTACTAAACTATGTTACCTACAAGCTCTCTCATATCAGTGATTATGTTGATTAGTTCTCAGATAAAGTATAGTATTTACAAAGAAGAATTTGGGAGTTTAGATGCTCTTTCTCTGAAATACCTTAATTTAACATTTATTTAAATCTATATCAAATAAACTGCATGCACCTCTCTGAACTTCTATATGAAAAATTCTGAAGATAAAATATGTATAAAACACCTGAGGAGACAATCCTATAATTTTTAATAATGACATGTCCTCTGTTAACTCCAACTTATATATAATGATCTCATACACTGTGAGCAAATATTAATAGTTCATTAATATAGGTAATATTTATATAGATAATTTATATACATACACTATAAATTATAAATACTATTACAATACATTGGTTATATGAATATAACAGAGAATATGATGTATAAATAAATTTAATAAAATGCCAAACACAAAACATACGGTATAGTAATTGTAAGATTAATTTTTTGTAAATATTGAGTGAATGTGTGAGGTAAATGTTGAGTAAAAAAAAAATCATACAATTTTTAAAATAAAGTAACTACTTGTTACCTGTCAGTCTTAACAGGCAGGCTACTCAAGTGAAAACTGACCAGTTGAGCTTTAGGAAATATACTTAACATGTGATAGAGAAAGAAGTTCAGAAACAGAACACCAGGGAAGAGATTTGGCTCTGTTCACTCTCCCTACATAGGCTAAAGTAGACACGGGAATCCCAGGGTACAGTGGAAGTGGGGTGCTGTCTGAAATTATCAAGATGCCAAGCATGGCTGAAGTACAGATTCCTCTGACCTGGAGAAGAGAAAGCACGAAGACCTCTTGTCAAGCCTGTACAGCACCATAATGACCTCCTGGCCCAGTCTCTAAGCCACTTAAGGAGCTGCCACCAACCACTAGGAGCAGAGATAACTTCCCCTATGTGGGAGCAGGGAAAGCAACAGCAGAGCTTATCTCTCCCTCTTGCCCCCCACATCTCCAGTCCTTCCTTCTAGTTCTCAATCCCTCCCATGGCACCCCACTCAGAGCTGTATGAGGCACCCCAGTCACTGGTGTTAAGTGCAGGCTCTAAAGTCAGACAGCTCCAATTAAAGTCACCTCCTACCATTTAGATAATCAGCGCCTAGTTTGTTCCCATTGTAAAATTATGATGAGGATTAAATGAAGAGATACAAAAGTTCTCGGTATTGCACTTGGCACCAAGTAGTATTTTGTTGCTACAGAGCACTTAGGTGTATTTCTTCAAGTTCTAATGCAATGTGGTTGTCAGTGGATGCTTTACTGAATGCTTGGACGCTCACTGGCTTTACTGATGACTGCTACCTGACCAAACATAGTAATTTGGTAAATAAAACAAAGTGATAGATAGATGTAAGTAACTTCATGCCCTTTATACATCTGGAAGTGACTTGGACTTTAATATTTAAATACCACATTAAACGAGGCATTTGCGACTGTTAAGAATTGAATCAATAGCTCTGCCTAGGATTGCAACCATTGAATTTTACCTTCATTGTGAATATGGCTTAACTGGCTTAATTCCAGCTGATAATTCCTTTGTGTGAAGAAATCGCAGGCCAATAGCACATTTAAAAGTCCTTGCACACTTTCAAATTATAATATACTACCCAATTTAATCTGTTCTACAACACAAGTGTTATCCTTTACCAATTATTATAGATGGCCAACATTGTATATGGAGATTATTCAAGTTTATATGTTAGATTATAAAAATTATAATAAGGCATACTGTTTACTTTTTTTTTTTTTTTTTTTTTTTTTTTTGAGGCGGAGTCTTGCTTTGTCTCCCAGGCTGGAGTGCAGTGGCGCAATCTCGGCTCACTGCAAGCTCCGCCCCCCGGGTTCACGCCATTCTCCTGCCTCTGCCCCCCGAAGTAGCTGGGACTACAGGCGCCCACCACCACGCCCGGCTGATTTTTTGTATTTTTAGTAGAGACGGGGTTTCACCGTGTTAACCAAGATGGTCTCGATCCCCTGACCTTGTGATCCGCCCGCCTCGGCCTCCCAAAGTGCTGGGATTACAGGCGTGAGCCACCGCGCCTGGCTTGTTTACTTTAACTATATGTGAATTCAATGACTCTCTAAATGGGAAATGCATCTGAACTTCCTTCCATTATACTACAGTTGCTAGCTACAGTTGTCTGAAAAAGCCCTTAACAGGGACACAATTTCCACAGTGAAATGTGACCTAAGGCAGAGGTTCTCCAACCTAGCCATATATTATATATAGTAGCACAAATTTGGAGATTTAATTTTAGAAGTATTTTTTAAATTGTCTGGTGGACTATTCCAGACCCAGTACATTAGAATCGGGGGAGGAGGGGAAGTAGGTGTCAGCATTATTTAAAAGCACCTCACGAGATTGCAATGTACAACCACAGTTGAGAACCACAATCTAGAACTAGAGCTCAGCATATAACTTAAGAGGAGTGAAACAGAGAGATTAGCACTAATTAGGGTTTTCTTTATGTTGTGATCAGAAAAATAAAGATTTGAGAATATTTTTAAAGGATGATTCTTCAGAGAAATTAAAGAACATTTCAGGATAGAAACATATTCTGAAATGTCATGATGAAGATCTTCTAGAAAGGAACTGCTTTGGATGGAGAGTGTCTCATATTTCTTCATTACAATTTTCAGGAGAAACTTAGAGCCATCCAAGTGGACAGCAATCCTAGGCCTGCATATGAAATCAAATCTGACCTCTCCTCAAACAGTCCCTCGATTAATAGATGAAATTGTCATAAACCCTCATTACAATAGGCGAAGAAAGGACAACGACATTGCCATGATGCATCTGGAATTTAAAGTGAATTACACAGGTAAAAAAAAAAAATCACTCTTAGTCATCTTATCTGCCAAAATTAATTCAAAACTAGATTTCAAATATTATCAATGTCAATGCATTAATTCATAAAAGCTAGATAATTTGTTACATAAATCATTGGAACTTAAATGGGATTAGGGAGTAGAGAGAAATATATTAAATTTCTTTCATCAGGATGTTTAAATTCAACTTTCCAGAAAGAACCAGTAGAATAAAACTCTCTGAGCCCTGTATAACAGTAAACTCAAAGGAGAAGCTCAGATAAATAGATGATGTTATTATGCATGCCCTCTCTATTTTTCATGTAAAAGAAAGGTAGGTTCATCTACCAAAAAGCAGAGTAAGACATAAACTGAGAGAAGAACACATGTTCTGTGGGGAAAGTGAGCAAGAATTAAGTTATTCATAGAAGGAAGTTTGGTTTTTTGTTGTTTTGTTGTTTTTTTTTTTTTTTTTTTTGAGACGGAGTCTCGCTCTGTTGCCCAGGCTGGAGTGCAGTGGCACAGTCTTGGCTCGCTGCAACCTCTGCCTCCCAGGTTCAAGCAATTCTCCTGTCTCAGCCTCCCAGGTAGACTACGGGTGCATGCCATGATGCCCAGCTAATTTTTTTTCTTGTATTTTTAGTAGAGATGGGGTTTCACCATGTTGGCCAGGATGATCTCGATCTCTTGACCTTGTGATCCACCCACCTTGCCCTCCCAAAGTGCTGGGATTACAGGCGTGAGCCACCGTGCCCGGCCTTCATAGGATGAAGTTTTTAATGGAGATTCGATAATATTATCTGAGTGACAAATGAAGGACTTCCTCCAAATGCCTGGAAAATGTGCAAGAAATCCCCTGATAAAGTGAATTTTATCATGAAGGGCTCTGCTCAATTCTGACTTTTATTCCTAAGTCTTTTTCAGTGCCCGGTTAGGAGAAAGTGCTGCCATCTCTGTGTTTTCATGGGGTTTGATTTATACATGCATTACAGCACTTATCAAAAGCAGACTATTGCTACGGTTAGTTGTATATCCCTGTCCTTAAGGATAAGCACTGTGTCTTATTCATTTTTGTGTCTGCCCTAGGTCTTACATGCAGTGGGTGCTTAAGGGTGCCAGTTGGCTTGTAAATTGATGCAAGAAGGGCTTTAAAAGTCAGTGACCAATGTCAATGCTTCCATAATTGCCCTGTAAAACAATCTCCTAAAAGCTTTTTTAACATGGTGATAATTGGGGAAAATAAAAAAGTCTCAGAACATTTGCCCAAATTTCTATTAATTGATGCTGAAAATCATCCTTACCATAATTTTCAGAGAACTGGCACCACTTTCTATTGAGCACCATAATTTTATTTAAAAATAAAATATAAATGATTACCTCCAGAACTAAGACATTTTTTACACTATAAAAGAGAAATGAGGGCCGGGTGCGGTGGCTCACACCTGTAATCCCAGCACTTTGGGAGGCCGAGGTGGGCAGATCACGAGGTCAGGAAATCGAGACCATCCTGGCTAACACAGTGAAACGCCATCTCTACTAAAAAAAAAAAAATACAAAAAAATTAGCCAGGCGTGGTGGCGGGCGCCTGTAGTCCCAGCTACTCGGGAAGCTGAGGCAGGAGAATGGCGTGAACCTGGGAGGTGGAGCTTGCAGTGAGCTGAGATCGCACCACTGCACTCCAGCCTGGGCGACCGAGTGAGACTCCGTCTCAAAAAAAAAAAAAAAAAAAAAAAAAAAAAAAAGAGTAACGAGGAGACTAGTAAAAGACCCTAAAGGGCCACCAGTGGTAGCCGATCTATTGTCAAAAAGTGCTGCTCTGAAATGCCTATTTCCCCTAAGACCGATGTCTAAAATTTTTACAGGTAGGATTAAAAAAAAAAATACATGTTTTTTAGATTAACTGTTATTGATTTTTAAAACTTGTTAGAAATGCTTGTAAATCTGTTCTTTCTTTTTCTTCGTTTGTTCGTTTTGCTGTTTGCTTGTTTTTCCAGATTACATACAACCTATTTGTTTACCGGAAGAAAATCAAGTTTTTCCTCCAGGAAGAAATTGTTCTATTGCTGGTTGGGGGACGGTTGTATATCAAGGTAAATTATCAGACTCAAAAAAAAAAAAAAAAAAAAAAACCTTACTGGTGAAAAACAGACTGTCATAATATCCTGTGAATGCTTTCAACATCTTTGCAATTCTTATATAACAGTTTTTTCAATATCTCCTAAAAGTACCGTCAAGCATGTACATATATATATTTAGAGTTGTGTATCTGTAGAGCTTTCAAAGATATACTTGCAGAGTTTTTATATTTGTAGGATTTTGTTTGTTTGTTTTTGAGACGGAGTCTCGCAATGTGGCCCGGGCTGGAGTGCAGTGGCGCCATCTTGACACACTGCAAACTCCACCTCCCGGGTTCACGCCATTCTCCTGTCTCAGCCTCCCAAAGTAGCTGGGACCACAGGCGCCTGCCACCATGCCTGGCTAATTTTTTTTGTATTTTTAGTAGAAACGGGGTTTCACCATGTTGGTCAGGATGGTCTCGATCTCCTGACCTCGTGATCCGCCTGCCTTAGCCTCCCAAAGTGCTGGGATTATAGTCGTGAGCCACCGCGCCCAGCCTATATATTTGTAGAGTTTTTAAAAATTTCTTCAGATTGCATAGAAGATATTATAAAACTATATTCTTTTGACGGGGAATTCAAGTGTCCCCAACCTCAATATCTAGTTTTAGTATTATAAACACTCTGATAAACTTAAAAGCCTCATTAAAATGAATATAAACTAGGGTTACAAAAATTTATTTTTGTAAAGCACATGATAAAGTCTCATCAAAAGCCAAATTATTACCTGTCACATTTTCCAAACTAATAAAACTATCTTTATTTATAATGTGAAGGCCTCACACTCAACATTTTCTTAAAATGAGAATGGAATCTCTTGTAACTTGAACATGCTAATTCTGCTTACTGACAAGAGGGCTCAGATTTGACATGAATCTTACATTGTATCCATCAGTTGATACACCATTCACCCCCAGCATCAACTGCATGTTTTCCAAACACAGAAATCATACATATTAAAAATAATCATACTTTTTTTTGAAAAGTATTCTCGTACTTCATACCCTCTAAATGTAACCACAAGGCTCATTGGCTGTGGAATTTCTAATAGGAGTGCCCTAGCTGGGACAGAGTTTTAACCACTCATAAATAATAAAGCACCAGAAAAGGCTCTGTAGTCTGATAAGAGAACCTGATCCCTGCAGTCACAACAAATTATAGCCATGATGTTTAAAAGTCCTAAATGTATTTAAGATGAAAATGCAGAAAATCTTGTGGAAAGGTAGAGGGTCTCAGAATCAAAGTACTCACATTTAAAATGTCGTTACCTATTATAAGAGAAAGCACAAAGTTCTAAGTCAAATGCTTTTCTGATAACTCCTACAAAAGTTCTTCACAGCAATGACACTGTATTGCTGAAAATGCCTCATGTCTGCTGTCCATCAAGTATATTGAAGTCAAAGACTGTATATTCATATATTTCTCCCTCTTGAAAAATATTATGATTTATTAAACTTCAAATTTAAACAGTAAAAATGATTCCTAGATAGATATTTTCTCTTTTCAGACTTCAAGCTAAAAGACATTTTATGACCACAGTGTAGGCTCTTCAAAAACAAATTAACCAATAACAAAATTTGAAACTCTTTATTTCATAGGAAGTTTTTTTTGTTTTTGGATTTTTTTTAAAAGCTGAGTAAATGTGACTTACGTTTACTTATTGTTACTAAAGATATATGTCTGATTAACTTAAGAAAGTCTCTAAGAGTGGTATGGAGCCAGGAAATAAACTGTATCTGAGATCAATTTCATTTAGGAATAAACAGCTAGATCATGTTTAAATATTTCTTGAGTGATGGTAAGTTTCACGTAGTTTATGAACTTTGCTTTATGACTTCCATCTACTTAATTTCATAAAATCCCAGTTTTCTGGCCGGGTGCGGTGGCTCATGCCTGTAAACCCAACACTTTGGGAGGCTGAGCCGGGCAGATCACCTGAGGTCAGGAGTTTGAGACCAGCCTGGCCAACATGGTGAAACCCCGTCTCTACTTAAAATACAAAAAAAAAATTAGCCAGGCGTGGTGGTACACACCTGTAATCCCAGGCTACTCGGGAGGCTGAGGCAGGAGAATCACTTGAACCCAGGAGGCGGAGGTTGCAGTGAGCCGAGATTGCGCCATTGCACTCCAGCCTGGAGGACAAGAGCTAGGCTTCGTCTCAAAAAAAAAAAAAAAAAAAAAGAATCCCAGTTTTCAATCTTTTGAGTATATTATACTAATTGATTAGCTAGGAAAACCATGAACATATTGTTCACTAGGAAGAAATGAGGTGATACTAGTTGGTTAAATCAAGGCAATCAGTAAACAGACACTGCTCAAATGTTCCTTTACCAAACAGTTTTATCATCTACCAAACAAATTTTAAATCATTGACAAGCAGCAGAAGTGGCCTTGGTTTTTATTGTAAAATTAAAGTCTGCCAAGCCATCCTTGATCCTCATAGAATGGATAACAGTGAGATGCCAAATTTTCTCCTCCATTTTAATCTCTGCAATTCATTTTCTTATAGTCCATTGTCAAACTTGAAAAGTTATCTAGTAATGTTTACTCCATGTTCACTGCCATGCTGGTACCTTGAAATTGATCATTGTGGAAGTGTTTACATCAGTAAAATGAGAGGAAGGCCCATGGGGCTTTCATTTTTCTGGAGAGAAAATTGATATACATTTACCAATGCACTACTGAGTCATATATATCTGTTTTGCATTTAACTACACACACACGTGCACGTGTGCACGAACACACTTTTTTTGCTTCCTTCATCTTTTTAGTGCATGAATTAAATTTAGCTAGAAATGAGGTCACATAAATTTTTTCAGCATCAATGGCTGTCAAATGTACTAACTTCTCTTCAACGTTCTGCCTCTCTTGAGGAACAAAATAGAAATGCTAATTATTAGAAAGTGCTTATCATGTACCTTTTCTGGGGCACTAGACACCTGCTTGTTTCACATCTCTCTTGGGATTAGTATTTCAGCAGAGATTCGTACTTCTAGTGGATGAATCATTTTGTAAAAAGCAGGTAAGTACACTCTGCTTTATTTTTTTAAATGCCTCCTTTCTCTTCACCTGGGTATGCATGACAAGCTGATTGCCCCTAGACCAGGGCATAGTTCATCTGAGCTTTGTCCTCTGCTCGATGTGCACCTGCTCACTCACATAGCACCACAAAGAAGCTGAATGCTATTATACAGAAGCGAGCACCTCCTCAGGTGCCAAATGAAAAGCACTTCTGGATTTCTGAGCTGTTGCTAATTTCCATGAATGAAACACTTTGTGTTGGGGAGCGTTTTCCCCCATGAGCAATCCTGTAACTGTTTAAAATCACAGAAGATGCCCAAAGACCATCTAGTCTAATCCATCGCTCCTACTAGCCCTTCGGTAAAAAAGAAGAGCTTTCCTGTTATCCATTTGGCACAATCCACAGATGGGCTTTATTATGTGCTTTAGTGTGCAAGGTTTAGTATTTAGTTCCATTATATATACACAGTACTTGATAATGAGAGTGAAATGTTGGAATAAATAGGACTGATGGTAGTTCATTCAAGGATGCATGTTGATCACTTCTGACTGGCTGGCTGCATTCTCCATTTTGAGCAGGTACTACTGCAAACATATTGCAAGAAGCTGATGTTCCTCTTCTATCAAATGAGAGATGCCAACAGCAGATGCCAGAATATAACATTACTGAAAATATGATATGTGCAGGCTATGAAGAAGGAGGAATAGATTCTTGTCAGGTAAAGATGTAAAACTGCTCACTGTACCTTTTCAGAAAGCACTGGTGTTATAGTTATTTCATTGCTTAACAATAATTAGGGAGTAAAGAAATAAGCTTCTTTCATTTCTCTTTTACAAAACTGTTACTTTTTGCCTATTTGCGTAATCCTCTTGGGTAGACCTGAGCACTGGAAACAAAAATTATTTTTTAAGAAAATAGGTTACAAATCGATGCTTTTGGAGACTAGACATAATACTTGAATGTGTGAGGCAGCCAGCTAAAATGAGCAGTGGACCTGGGTTGAGCCAGAAAGTGTGCACCTTATCTAAAAGCAGTTTCTTTTCAAATTTCCAATTATTTTAAACCCCATGCAAACTTAAAACAAACAAACAAACAAAAACAGGGCTTGAGGGCCAGTTTAGTCTGTGGGCCTCTAAATTTCAACCCTGAATTTAGAATATCATCCAGGCGTGCAGTAACCTGAAGTAATTTCTTGATGAAAACCTGCATAGCCTCGTTAGAGTCAATTTACAGCTAACCAAAGGGGAAGTAAATAACTTAATAGACTGGCATAACCCTGGCTCTGGCTTTTATATTATCGTTTACACTGTATATTAGAAATGTAGTAACTTGAACTTGCTGTAGTGCTAATGTCAATATTGCAATAAATTTGAAGTGTCAATGGCTCTTGACCTGTGTGACATTAGGAAAAAACTCTTACCCACGTAGTAACTTCACTGAAATATCTTGCCACCTAAGAGTAATGTTCCTATTAGCGCCATGAAATCCAAGTACACACAATAAATAAAAAGGGAAGTTCTGCTAGATTTTAGAATTGTAATTAATTTTTAGGTACAGCATGGGGTAGTCATGAAGAGCATGGATTCTATGTTCAGACTACTCTTGTTTGATCCTGGCTTTAACACTTATTGGTGAGACTTTGGGCAAGTGACTTAGGGTTTATGGAGAGGTTTAAATGAGATAACCCATGTAAGGCATCGAGCAATTACTCAAAAATGTTAACAGTTTTTATTATGAAGCTTAGTAAATAAATTTTCTGGCATATTTTCTATATTTGAAAATTAATAACATATCAATGCTTTAATGTCTGCTGGATTAAACCTGCTAGCATTACTGACCAAACGAATAATTACTAAATGAAGAAATAGCAGTTTATGTCATAGGAAAATGGTTTCACTGTGTTAAAGTGTAGCAACTTATTTTATATATTAACACATATATGTCATACTATCAATACATGACGAGCCATCTAAATTGACGCTTATTCAGATCATCTGTATGTAAGTCCTCTAGTTAAATCAATATCTTCAGTTGTGTTAAACTTCCAGCTTAGTTTTACATTTATTCTGCTTTGATAAATGCTTGCAAATTCAAGACAAATAGGATGGCTTTTTTCTTGTTTAAAATTTATCTTCGGGTCTTATACTTCTTTTTTAAAATGAAAAGTGTGCTAAAGGTAAGATATATTGCCACTTAGAAGGAGATCTATAGAATTCTTGCGCAGAAGGGAAATCAGCTGGACAACTTCAATTACAGCTAATGGGGATTGTGTGGCAGACACCTCACGCACTAGGCAGAAAATATGACGGCTGATGCTATTGATTTTAGGGTTACATTAAGTCATTAACTCATGCCAGGTCTCTGAAATCTTATAGCTAGCTCTGATTCTACACAGTCTAAGCATGTTATTCCTTGGTAAGCAAGAAGTCTCCCACATAAGGTAATACCTTGTATAATAAAATGTTATCATAATTGAGTAATTAATACACTAGACTGTCACATGATTTTCTTTGTTCAACTTTAATACTATGTTTTATAACAGGATTAACTGATTAAATAAGAATGCATTCTTTAAAATTGTGAACACGTTATTACTGATACATTATTTAAGTTCTTTGAAGCATCATTTTTTAGCCTTACAGTGGCAAAGAATGTGCCTTATTAGTCATCCACAACTTCTGACTTACCAAAGGCTTGCCTTTTAGTGGTAGTAGTTTGGATTTCAAGGCAACACCAATGGCTGAAGAATATCTTCTCTACCTAAAATTTAGTGACTGACACTCTACCTACCATTCCAAGCCATATTCTATTCCAATGGCTTTCAATGCGTGGCCTCCAGTCCAGCAGCACCACCTGAGAACCTGCTAGAAATGCAAATTATCAGGGCTCATCACATATCTGCTGAATCAGAAACTATGAGGGTGGGGCCAGCTATGTGTGTTTGTCACATCTTCCAGGAGATTCTGATGCACACTAAAGTATGAGAAGTAATGTTCTCAACAAAAATGGTCACCAACCCTTGCACTCAGACACTCAAAGAAGGTACTGATTTTTATGTTTACTTATAAATATAGCATCTCACTAGAAACATAAATTTAAGGTTAATACTTTATGTTCTGTAAATTCATGCATATTTTTAAAAATATTTATTTACGTATGTATTTATTTATTATTTATTTATTTATTTTTGAGTCAGAGTTTTGCTCTTATTGCCCAGGCTGGAGTGCAGTGGCATGATCTCCACTCACTGCAACCTCCACCTGCCGGATTCAAGTGATTCTCCTGCCTCAGCCTCCCGAGTAGCTGGGATTACAGGCACCCATCACCACACCTGGCTAATTTTTTGTATTTTTAGTAGAGACCGGGTTTCACCATGTTGGCCAGGCTGATCTCGAACTCCTGATCTCAGGTGATCCACCCGTCTCGGCCTCCCAAAGTGCTGTGATCACAGGTGTGAGCCACCGCACCGGGTCCCATGCATATTTTTGAAGTACTCATATATCTCCAAGACAGTGGAAGAATGAAATATTAATATCTTCACTGAACAAATCAGAAAATTAAGGAAAGGCAACAAATGTGAAAAAAAAACTCAACATCACTGATCATTAGAGAAATGCAAATCAAAACCACAATGAGATACCATCTCATGCCAGTCAGAATGGCGATTATTAAAAAGTCAAGAAACAATAGATGCTGGCAAGGTTGTGAAGAACTAGGAACACTTTTACAGTGTTGGTGGGAATGTAAATTAGTTCAACCATTGTGGAAGACAGCGTGGCAATTCCTCAAGGATATAGAACCAGAAATACCATTTGACCCAGCAATCCCTTTACTGGGATTAAATCATTGTACTGTAAAGACATATGCACACGTGTATTTATTGCAGCACTATTTACAATAGCAAAGACTTGGAACCAACCCAAATGCCCATCATCAATGATAGACTGAATAAAGAAAATGTGGCACATATACACCATGGGATACTATGCAGCCATAAAAGGGAATGAGATCACGTCATTTGCAGGGACATGGATGAAGCTGGAAGCCATCATCCTCAGCAGACTAACACAGGAACAGAAAACCAAACACTGCATGTTCTCACTCATGAGTGGGAGTTGAACAATGAGAACACATGGACACAGGACAGGGAACAACACACACCAGGGCCTGTTGGGGACTAGGAGGTGAGGGGAAGGAACTTAGAGGGCGGGTCAATAGGTTCAGCAAAGCACCATGGCACACGTATACCTATGTAACAAACCTGCACATTCTGGATGTGTATCCCAGACCTTAAAGTAAAATGTAAAAAAAAAAGAAAAGAAAAGAAAATTAAGGTAAGGAGAAGTTACATAACTAAACTGATGTGTTATAGTTAGATGACAAGAAGTAATGGAAACAGACTGAGGTCTCCCAATCAGGTAGACCACCCAGCCGATAGGCAACAAGTCTGCCGCAGGATCCTTGAGTAACTGCAACCGACCCAGTATGTTCTGGGTAAAATCCTTATTCTGTCTGGATCCTCTTGTCTATTAAAAAATTAAATTGTTTTAGAAGATATGTAAAAAAACAAGTTACTCCTTTTAAAAATATCCAAACAGCTGAAGTTTATTTTTAATAATTTCCAAGTCATATAAAATGTACTTTGATCCTTGAATATAAACTGTTCCATAAATATTTCAGAACCTATAATTACAGATTAAGGGTTTGGGATGCAGAAATAGAAATCACAGTCCCTGCTTTCAAACACCTTGCACACATTTGTTACACTAGAATGTTGGTAACCTATGGTCGCCAGTGCAATTTATGTTCCTGTGTATGGAGGGGAAAAAAGGGTGCATTGATAGATTACATTTTTTTCTTTAAATATAGGGCCCAAAGATGATAAAAAGGATCAGACAAAAAGTCTCTCAGGATAATTTCTAGCATCGAGCTGGGATTGAAATATTCTATTATACCAGTGATTTCAAAACACATAAAACTTTAAATGTCTTCATAAATATAAAAAACAAATTAATCAAAAAGATTTGCCCAATTAATACAGGAAAAATACTTGTCAATTTTATGTCATTAAATAATGATATTATATGTTTGTATTATCATTGCATTACACAGGAATCACGTGCAAATAAAATCTATGAAATTTACTTTACTAGGATCTGCTGTGATTAATATTCATAAAAATTAAAAATATTTCTTAGTTTGAAATCTCAGATGAAAACATGAGCAATTATCACTAAAAATTATATCACAGACTTCCTTATTTCAGTTGAAATGTTTTTCAAATCGGATGGTGTTTGTTGAGCCCCAAAAAGATAATACTACCCAAGAGAACTAAAATCTACTTTATGTGTGAGTTCCTAATTTTTCCAAAAAGTATATTGTGAAATAATTTGTCTTTTCCATAGTGTCCTTTGTGGCACTTACAGCAGATCTCCTTAAATAAAGTGATTGGCTGTTAATAAATATTTTGTTTGGGATGCTTTTCATAGTTGTGCTTTAAAGAACTTCTTAGTAGCCACCAAAATGCCTAATTAAAGTGGAGAAACTTTTACTAAAAAGGTGCACTGTAAAAATTATAAATGATGTCTTAGTTGTTATAGTTTCTCTGTCTCCTTACTGAGGTTCTCATTCCTGACTTAGAGTGAAAGTGAGAATATATACAGATGACTTGCAATTAAATCATATTTTTTAATTAATTTTTATTTTTTAATTTATTTGATACAAATAATTTTATATGTTTCGATCAATTGACCACATATCTACAATTTTGTTTTGCAATTCACTCTTTAGGGGGATTCAGGAGGACCATTAATGTGCCAAGAAAACAACAGGTGGTTCCTTGCTGGTGTGACCTCATTTGGATACAAGTGTGCCCTGCCTAATCGCCCCGGAGTGTATGCCAGGGTCTCAAGGTTTACCGAATGGATACAAAGTTTTCTACATTAGCGCATTTCTTAAACTAAACAGGAAAGTCGCATTATTTTCCCATTCTACTCTAGAAAGCATGGAAATTAAGTGTTTCGTACAAAAATTTTAAAAAGTTACCAAAGGTTTTTATTCTTACCTATGTCAATGAAATGCTAGGGGGCCAGGGAAACAAAATTTTAAAAATAATAAAATTCACCATAGCAATACAGAATAACTTTAAAATACCATTAAATACATTTGTATTTCATTGTGAACAGGTATTTCTTCACAGATCTCATTTTTAAAATTCTTAATGATTATTTTTATTACTTACTGTTGTTTAAAGGGATGTTATTTTAAAGCATATACCATACACTTAAGAAATTTGAGCAGAATTTAAAAAAGAAAGAAAATAAATTGTTTTTCCCAAAGTATGTCACTGTTGGAAATAAACTGCCATAAATTTTCTAGTTCCAGTTTAGTTTGCTGCTATTAGCAGAAACTCAATTGTTTCTCTGTCTTTTCTATCAAAATTTTCAACATATGCATAACCTTAGTATTTTCCCAACCAATAGAAACTATTTATTGTAAGCTTATGTCACAGGCCTGGACTAAATTGATTTTACGTTCCTCTTAAATAAGTTAATTAAATAAAAGATAAATTAACTGATATAGTCATTGTATATTAGATAAATTTTACCTATTTATTTCAAGCAAGTATTTTTAAGTCTCAAGAAAATAATCAGACATACCAAAGAAATGCACCTATTGCAAATCCTGGTCTTGGTTTATGTGTGTTACAGTGGATATTTCTAATATATGAAAACTTATTTAGACACAGCTGAATCACCCATGAGAAGGTCAAATATGTGTAATAAATGAATTTGCTTCACTTGTTTAATCCCTTGGATCATTTCCAGAATAAGTGCTGACTTCAATTTAGCTCACCACACAGAATCTTTTGATGTATCTGGGGAGAAAAAATTCATAGTTAATAAAAAACACACACACATACGCACCTTCACACACATGCTTGCATGGGACAATTATTTAATAGAAGAGAGAGAGAGTAAGGTTAAAAGGAATTGAAGGAAGGGACCAATTGTATGGCTTGGCCTTATGGAATAAAGGAGATTTGAACTACACCTGGAAAGAATAATTATTACAGAGGCATTGAAGAGGATATTGAGGATCTACTGTGCAGGTGGGGGTCAGTTAAATAGAGAATAATGTGTTGTCATACCAAAAGACTCTCTCTCTGGGAAACAGTCAGATAAAGGGGAAAAAATGTTTTATATGAAGAAGGTGTGGCCAGATGATGGACGAATGCAAATTCCTGTTAAGAAATTGTAGAATTCATTCTTTGGACAAAAATTAGGAGCCACGTGTTTTAGTCCATTTTCTTACTGCTAATAAAGACATACCCAAGACTGGGTAATTTATAAAGGAAAGAAAGACATCATTTAATGAACTCACAGTTCCACATAGCTGGAGAGGCCTCACAATCATGGTGGAAGGCAAAGGAGGAGCAAAGGCATGTCTTACATGGAGACAGGCAAGAGAGCGTATGCAGGAGAACTTCTTCCATTTCCTTTCCACTTTCCTTATCCACTACCATCAGAACAGTATGGGGGAAACCACCCCCATGATTCAATTATCTCCACCTGGCCCCACCCTTGACACATGGGGATTATTACAATTCAAGGTGAGATGTGGGTGGGGAAACAGCCAAATCGTATCACCACTAAACACACGATTCCTTTTAATACCTTTCCAATGGTCTGATTCTAACAACAGTTGGGAAAGATAGACTGACCAGCAGGGTATTATTTGTTTTTTAGTACCTGAAGATTGTTCCACATTTCTTCTGCATTTCAAAACATATAGCAAAAATATATTCTAAAAATGCTAACGCAACAGATACACCATGTATTTTTCATTTCCCAAAGGTTAGCTAAAATTTTAGGAAACTGTTAAGAAGCTAGGATTACTACCATTTTCTAATAAAAGAGAAGTTCATTTTCCACCTCCAGTAGCTTATAGGTTTAGTTGGTGATACCAGAAGAGTTACCCAGACCTAGATAAAGACCAAAGGCAAAAGCCAGGCATTTCTCCATTGATTATTTGCTGCTTTTGCCTTGCAGCTGTTATAGTCCATGGTGGCAAAGACAAGGGGGAACACCCAGTTTTCCTCCAGTATGTTCACACTAGAGGCAGAACTACATGATAGTAGTTTGGAGGAAAAAGGTTACGTCCCAGCAACTGGTCTCCAGTTCTACCCAGAAAGATGATAGATGATATAGGTAGCCAAGAAAAGAAAGAGGAGTGCTGCATGTTGGCAGATCTCAGCTTCAAATGCAGCTGCTCATTCTCTCAGTCTCTGAGCAGCTGAAAATGGGCAATGCCCATTGATTTCTCTTTTGCCTCCTAGCTTTGCCAACCAATGCTAGTTGTGAACTGTGTTGAGGAAAATATTATTTAACTGAAAAGAATTGACAGGAAAAACATTAGACATAATCACGCCTTCCATTATTACCACACTTACTTAAAGAGTAATTTGTTTTCAACTTTATACGTCGATGCAAACATATCTGTACTTGTTTCACATAAAAGAGGTTTAGACAGGACTAGTCATCATTCTTCAGAAACAAGAACTCTTTATTTGGTTAAAAGGAGCACAGGGACATATGAAGACCAGAGAGTTACAACTTTCTCTTGAGAAGAACAAGGCGTAAGCATTGAAGAAACTAGGAGATAAGACAGAAAGGAGCCACCATTTTCTATCTCAAGCAAACCCTCATCAATGAATATGCGATCACTGATGGGTTCCAACCCATTTTCACACGATTTCGTAGTTCCTTTCCTTCCTAAAATGTCTGTGTGCTGTGCTTGTCTCCACACTGATAGTGACTATTCACCTGGTCTCAACCACATGACCTCTTTGTATACTAATATAGTCAGAGGCTAAATACAGCTAGGGAAACCTTAGACTAACTTTGCAACTATCTGCCTCCAGTGTCAATCCCAAACCCCGAACAACCATCTTTGTTTAGTGGGCAAGAGAGGGACCACATTGATTTCAGAACCCTCAGAGAGCTGCTTCTCATTATATAGGCAACGTGTGAAGACATATGATTTATATTGTGTATGTCACTTCTTTTGTTCAAATTGACTGCATTAGTGTTTATGCACCTATTAACAAAGTTACATTATTACAAAATCTGTTTAATTTTAAGCTAAAAATAATTATAAGGCACATGTCTTGCACAATTGAAATTAGACAATCCTTGCCTCTAAGTAAAATGTTTGAGGAGGTTTATATCACACTTAATGAAATAGCTTCTTATTTCTGAAGAGATTTCCTAGACATTGACCAAAAGCAGAGAAGCTGAAAGATGAATTATTTCGAGAAAACAAACTTTTTCTATGGTACTATATTTGTGTGTGTGTGAATTCAGTTGACAACAGTAATAAGTTTCTTTAATCAAAAGAGCATGTATTGAAAAATGAGATGCCATAAAAATAAATATTAGAACAGTTCATTTTTATCAAACACTTATGCAAAGGTAAAATACTTTTGCACACTGTAAATTTCAATACAATATACATTACATTGACTAGATAACAACTTATGAAAGGTGAAAGAAATAAAAGGAATTGCTTCTAACACACATACTCCCGACGTGTTGATAACAACTTTATCTGCATTGTCCATTTCATTTGCTTGAAGTTTGAAGTTTGGGTGCATCCTTTAGCAAAATAAGCATGTCTCACTCCATTATTAGCACAGCATATTCTTTAAATGAAATAATAGACATATAAAAATTACTTTAATATTTGCCTCAAGGGGGAGCTTACAGTTCATCTTGCAGATCCTTTGTGATTTCAAGCCATTCCAAGCTATTGTTCTGATGCCATTCCTTATACAGATCCAGAATTACAAAATTCTGGAACCAAGTCAATGAGTTATTATACTTCCATGCCACTTTCTTTTCTGGTACTCTTTGAAATCCACAGTGTAGACTGGTTTGGACTAGTTTTTGTTCTTCCTTTACTGAAAAACATAAGAAAAAATGTTTAGTGCCTAAAATTTCTTATTAAACTAAGCATGTCTACGTCCAAAGGGAGATATCTCAGACAGTTATTTATGAAAGACTCCCCCTCTCAGCAGTATATTTTCCCATTCTTCCAAAAACTTCTAGATTATTCAAATATGTGAAGATGGCAAACAGTTCTTGTGAATGATAGAGAAAACAAAACATATCTTTTCCTGTTTGACATTTCCTAATTTAGAGTTCATTTTTGTTGTTGCTGTTGTTATTTTAATTTTTTATTTCCATAGGTTATGGGGGAACGGGTGGTGTTTGGTTACATGAGTAAGTTCTTTAGTGGTGATTTGTGAAATTTTGGTGCACCCATCACTTGAGTAGTATACACTGTACCCAATTTGTATTCTTTTATCCCTCACCCCCTTCCTACTCTTTCCCTCTGAGTCCCCAAAGTCCACTGTGTCATTCTGATGCCTTTGCATCATCATAGCTTAGCTCCCACTTGTGAGTGAGAATGTACGATGCTTAGTTTTTCATTCCTGTATTACTTCACTTAGAATAACAGTCTCCAGTATTACCCAGGTCGCTGTGAATGCCGTTAATTCACTCCTTTGTATGGATGAGTAGTATTCCATCATATATATATATGTGTGTGTGTGTGTGTGTGTGTATATATATACACACACATATATATATACACATATATATACACATATATATATACACACATATATATATACACATACATATATGTGTGTGTGTGTGTATATATATATATACATATATATACCACAGATTCTTTATCCACGCATTGATTGATGGGCATTTGGGTTGGTTCCACACCTACAAACATGTGCCTGACACTATATTAAACATTTCCGTTTTATTCACCAATAAATACCTTTATTTTCTTTGATCAATTATTTTGGAAATCATTTTGCTCCTTGAGTCCCCTGTCACTAATGGATGCTGAATTTAATGTCAAATCATCAAAACAATGCTATTATACTATGTGTATGGATGTGCCTATTCCCCTCCTCCCATCGCTTCTCCGGCTCTGCACCTAAGTCACTTGATTTCTGGAAGCTTACTGGTGCCTCAGTCTCTGAAACCAATGTGGTTCAATAGCAGATTCATGCTTTGGTAACATAACAGTTTCTGAGTTCCTCCAGATTTGAGATACAACTTCACCCTTGTCACATTTGGAATTCTGGCCCACATTTCCAGCCTGTGCCTAGGGTTCTGCTATCTTCTGTCTTTCCACAACACGATAACTTTTCAGGCACCTGCAGAAGTTCCCTGTTCCTGAGTTTATCCAAGTCATTCTCTCTCTCTTTTTTTTTTTTTTTTTTTTTTTGAGACAGACCCTCACTCTGTCGCCCAGGCTGGAGTACAGTGGCCTGATCTCGGCTCACTGCAACCTCCGCCTCCCCGGTTCAAGCAATTCTCCTGCCTCAGCCTCCCAAGTAGCTGGGATTATCGGCGCCCGCCACCACGCCTGGCTATTTTTTGTATTTTTAGTAGAGATGGGGTTTTGCCATGTTAGTCAGGGTGGTATCAAACTCCCGACCTCAGATGATCCACCCAAGTCATTCTCTACTGGATGCCCTGTCAAAAGTAGATTTCTTTGGGCTGGTTTCCTCAAGATAATCTCCTGCCTGGACCAAAAGTGTTTGTCCCGGTTCACTGTGTTGTGCACTTACTTGCTCCCTGACCATCCCAGCCCCAGTTCCCAGCATCTGCCTCAGTCCTCACAGGCGTCTCCCCATCCCCTCCTCCATCTACCAGACATTGCAGAATTCCCTCAAAGAGAAAAAAGAACTATTTCTAAACACACCTGACCATTACCCTTTTAAAATATTACTTAATTCACTTAGATTTAGCTGTTTTGGTTACTAATAAAATATTATGTCCAAATTGTATGGTTTGTAGATTTTCATCCAAATAAGTAAGATCAGCACAACTTTATTCTACAGTCATCTAACATGTATGGAAAATAAGCCAAGAAAGTTTATAAAAAGCACAAAAGTGGTCTAAATGGTAAAAAAAAAAAAAAAGGTTATTAATGTGGCTTTTGTGTAGAATTAGTATTTCATTTCAGAATTACTTAATTTTTTTCTGGGTCTTTTGTTGCTTAATGGTAGGGTTTATTTCAGAAAAAGAAGAAGATGAAGTAAGGTCAAAAGAGGAAAATGAATTTGTTTGCAGGTCCTTCCTGATGGAGGCATCCCCTTGATCAGTTCTTATTTAAACCATGCAGACAAAGATGTCTAGTTTATTCTAGCAAACATGCTCTTATATAAACAGAATAGCTTTTCCTTTTTTCCTTTTGATACATATTTATATTTCATTTTTTATTTGACAATGAAATACATTTTCATTATATTGAATTTTGTTTCATTTTTATTAAAAAATTGGCACACATGGAAAAACTTCTCTAACCCAAGGGTACAGGAAAGCAGATAAAAAGTCATAATATTCCCCCAGAAATCTTGCTGGTAAAATATAGGATTTTATTTCAAGATACCTGCCAAAAAGTGGCCTGTTTGAACCGCTGTATTTTATTTCCTGTTCTTAAAAGATCTTTTTGAAATAAAACAGAAACCTGTGACTTGAATTTTGAAAAGTAATACAAAATGAACCTACAAATATCAAGTCTTACATATAGCTTGATGTCTAGATTGAAAAGTTTAGCATTAATTCTTATACTTCATAAACAAAAAACAGTATAATATAGTGCATATGTTGGAAGTTTACAAACATCCAAATTTCAGATTCACCGTGGACACTAACTATGGTACCCAAGGCAGACTAGGTAACCCATCTAAGACACCATCTTCTCAACTGAGAAATACAAACAGAAGGGTAACTGCTTAATAAGTCCTGTAAGGATTAAATAATATATTACATTAATTCTATCCTCAATGTATATCTTATTAGATTGTATGTATAGGATTTCTTAAGGAAAATTAAAATATAATTAACTTTATGCTAATAGTTTTAAAACATTTCTGAAAACCTATTTAAAGTTTTTCAAATTGTCTCTACATATATGAGTTATTTACCTTTTATGCAGCATCTGGAAACAACAGGTTCCAAAAGCAACCAGTATCAGTAAGAGCAGGGGTATTGTTGGTATAACAACATAAATTAGATTGGGAATTATACCTACAAAATAAAACAGTCTTCATGTGAAAAGATAGTTGAGGAAGAATTCTAAAGCAAAAATATGTAAGAATGTTTCAAAAAATTCAGGTGAAATAGAATTTTCAATAAATTGACCCCAAAGTTCTTCTCAAAATATTGAAAAATCTAATGAAATAATATACAGTCATGCACCACATAGTGACATTTCAGTCAACGATGCATCACATATGTGACAGTGGTCCCATAAGATTATAATGGAGCTGCCCTACATAGGTATACCATCTTTTATATTTGATATCCTATTTTATAGATTTCTATGTTTAGATAGGTTTTGATATACAAATTCCATTATGTTACAGTTGTCTACAGCATTCAGTATAGTAACATGGTGCAGGGGTTTGTAGCCTAGAAGTAATAGGCCATATCAAACAGCCTAGATGTGTAGTAAGCTATATGACCTAGGTTCAAGTACACTCTATGATGTTCGCACAATGACAAAATTGCCTAATGGTGCATTTCTCAGAACATGTCCCCATTGTTAAGTGGCACATGACTGTATTCATGTTTTGGTAAAAGTTAAAAACAAAATTT
Organism: Homo sapiens; assembly: GCF_000001405.40. Classification (NCBI taxonomy): domain Eukaryota; kingdom Metazoa; phylum Chordata; class Mammalia; order Primates; family Hominidae; genus Homo; species Homo sapiens. Next base: position 18,262,220 of record NC_000021.9, on the reverse strand, counting down.
TACTGAACGGAAAATTGAATTGTACTGATCTGTAGTGATATCAAACTGTTCCAATTTGATATCCATACTTCCAAAACTATTATTAAATCTACAATTCAGACATGGACTAGCTTTCATTAAGAACCTTAGCTAACTCATTTCATTACTCCTTCTCAATCATTACTTACAAAAATAAGTACTTATTATTAAAAATAATAATTATTAAGATTATTGTAAATATATTGGGTAAGTAATTACCTAGCCAATAAGCTTAGTGTCACGATTCCATACAAGTCACTGGGATTAAAATGAAATATATAAATATTAACTGATGATACAGTCACGACTCAGAGACACGAGACTCCAGCGGCACAAAGACTTGATCTTAATTAAATTCTAAAATGAATCATTTTTTAATCCTGTTCCATCACATTTGATAATGCTAGGTATTCTTAGTAAAATTAAAAAACCGTGACACTGTAATTCCATACAACTTAAAATTAATAAACATCTGCTCAATTTCAAAAGAGAAAAAAGTATTTCTAATGTGATTACTGAATATTTTTTTTTTGTGGAGGGACAGAGTCTTGCTCTGTCTCCCAGGCCAGAGTGCATGGCGCAATCTTGGCTCACTGTAACCTCTGCCTCCCAGTTTCCAGTGATTCTCCTGCCTCAGCCTCCCAAATAGCTGGAATTACAGGGACCTGCCACCACGCCCAGCTAATTTTTGTATTTTTTAGTAGAGACAGGGTTTTGCCATGTTGGCCAAGCTGGTCTCGAACTCCTGACCTCAGGTGACCCACCTGCCTCAGCCTCCCAAAGTGCTGGGATTACAGGTGTGAGCCACTGCGCCCAGCCTACTGATCTTTTTTTTTTTTTTTATCATACTTTAAGTTTTAGTGTACATGTGCACATTGTGCAGGTTAGTTACATATGTAATTAGGTTTAGATGTTCTGAATGGTTTTAAAACCAGGCACCTGAAAAGTGAAAAGCACTAAGCCTTAATATCATGTCTATGCAAAAAAAGCAAATTCAAGAACTATGCATTTAGCTTGTAAATTAAAAGTCATCATCATGACTAATCTGAATAATTCTGGTCAAAGTGGACCAGATGTAGATAAAGCTTTTATCTACATTTAACTGCGCATCACTTCATTTGTTAACAGAAGACAAACTCATGAGCAATAGGGTATCTGAGCGATAATTTGCTGTTTCCTCCCACTCCTGTTTGACTTCAAGCAATTTAAGGATCCAACCAATCCCTAAACATTTACCAGCCCACCCCTGTTTGCTCTCCACTGAATGTGCCAATTTGCATCATGACGCCTACATGTTGTTAGAGAAATTTCTTGTAGATCCAAAGTTCTTTTGTTGTTGTTGGTGGTGTTTTTTTGTTGTTGTTGTTGTTGTTGTTGTTGTTTGCTTTTTTGAGACAGGGTCTCACTTTGTTGACCAAACTGGACTGTAGTGCATGATCACTGCTCACTGCAGCCTCGACTTCCCAGACTCAGGTGATTCTCCCACCTCAGCTTCCCAGTAGCTGGGACTGCAGGTGTGTACCTCCACGCCAGGCTAGTTTTTTGTATTTTTTGCAGAGATGGGGTCTCACCAGGTTGCTCAGGATGGTCTCAAACTCCTGGGCTCAAGTGATCCACCTGCCTCAGCCTCCCAAATTCTTGGGATTACAGGTGTGAGCCCCTGTGCCTGGCCAGATCCAAATTTTAATGTGGATCACTTAGTTTAGTACCACTCTGAAGAAAACAAAACAGGTTTTTCTATTCAAATACTAGCTTAGCATAATTTTTTCTAACCTAGTTCAAAAGTAAATGTCCATAGGACCATACTTAGTGAACCACTTCCCCAGGCAAGACAAGTTTCACTGGGGTCAACATGAAGCAGCGTTTGAAAGTACAGTTCAGTTCTTGATGAAGTTAAAGACACATGAAGTAATTACCTGCTTCAGTAACAACCACATTCTGATGGGTGTCTCCTGGTTGATTTGTAAGATAAGGCTTTTCTACAGGGGCTGTTGGATTAATCTCTGTAAATAATAAGAACCACCATCATATATAATGATTAAACAAGAGAATTGAAAATATATATAAATATGAAATTATATTATAAAATAAAAACATCACAATTTTGATTTCTGAACAGCTTACAGCTAATAAAATACATTCTGAATTTAAATTTACATGAAATTATCTAACTATAAAGTCAACATTTAATTCTCTTTGAATAAAAGATGGAGTTGATATGTTCTCCCTTAAAACTCCAAATTGCAATTAGCAATCAACAGTGGGTCTGTGCTGATGATAGCCTGCTGCAGGCAATAATGGCGGACCAGTCACAAAGTTAAGCAAGGATAACCAAGAATTGGCAAACGTAAGAGTGTGATATATTAAATGCAGTTCAGAGACAAGCAAGATAATTTCTTTACTAATATCAGTGTATTATTTGGGTTTCCCCTTGCAATAATAATCAGCAGATGACTGTATGTGGATTGCATTTGGAATTGATGATTCAAGTAACAACGTTCTAAGCCACATTTCTGTTCTGCATATACAATGCCATCCTTAGATTTGCTTTCCAATAGTGTCTACTTTTAAAAATAATAATAATAACACTAAATTAAAGCTTGCAAGTTGTTTCTTTCCCTAGTTTTATAGATGTCTCTTCAATTTCCACACACTTTATTTTTTATTGTTCTTCTAACTTTTAAGTTCAGGGGTACATGTGCAGAATGTGCAGGTTTGTTACGTGGGTAAACGTGTGCCATGGTGCGGTGCTGCACAGATCATTCCATCACCTAAGTATGAAGCCCAGCATCCATTAACTATTATTCCTGGCTTTTTTTTCTCTTGCTACACACTTTAAAATTGTTGAAGTTTATTGTCATGATTTCGTATTGCTCTATTTTCTATTTTTCTTTTCCTTAAGGAACTATTTGTTAAATCAATAATTCAATGAAAATAAATTGAATTATTTAAAAAAAAGCCTGTAAATTTGTTTCCATTTGTTCCAAAAGTGTAACTCTCTACTTTTATCAATTGAAATAAGAACCCATGTTCTTATATAGTCTTCAGGATAGAGAAGAATTTTAATTTAATGTTTACCATTCTTACATTGCCTTAAAATGTCACAGAGTCCCCCTTTGTTGGAAGTTTAATCATAATCCATTCTGTAGAAATATTTGTTACTCTTGTACACAGATTTAACTCTGACATTTTAATAGCCTCCTCTGGGTTTCAGATTCAGTCCTAGACTATACCTACTCTTCTAGAGAACTTAGTCACTCTATGCCTAGTCAACTGGTATTTTTAAACAAATAATATAAATATTATGCAAAATATCACTAAAAATCAAGCACTGATTACATAACCAAGGAATTTAATCAAACCAACATCCTTTACTAAGCAGACACTAAGCTCAAGGAGGGTTAACTAAATATAAATAAAAAGACAAAAAAGATTAAATCATGAAATAAAAAATAAAAATCCTGAGCACATTAATAAGGCCAACAGTAAACCCGTGAATGTGCTTCAAAACAAAAACTACATAAAATAATATTTTAATAAATATAGATTATTTGAAGATTTGGGTAGAATGGAGAAGATAAAGAAAGAATAATTTTATATCATAAATGCTCTTGCATGAGTAATGTAAACCTAGATTACCTAATACATAAACAAGTAAAGAAGATTGTAAGATTTACAGTGTCCTAAATAATGGCATAAATTTTGATGCAAAAATAAAATAAATATAATACAATGAAGGGTCAAATAGTTGACCTTTGAACTCAAAAGAAAGGAGAAGGCGATAATGTAATATTAAGAATAATGCATAATATTGTACTTGTATTATCCAGTAGTCTTAAGTACATAGAATGTCACAAATTTAAAATATCAGAGGATTTCAACTTTATATTTCTCCAAGAGAAAAATAGAGGACATAAGCGCATAACAGATTCAGCTTTGCAAAGACTTCCAGGAGGGTAATGACGGGTTTAGCAACCAAGATGGTTAAAGAATAAACTCACCAGGGATAAAAAAAAAGGTGGCTAATACACTCAAGAGCAGGATAAATGTAAGAGAAGGGTAAGTCTAATCCAAATAATCCCTTGTGTTTTCTGGTATTATGAGAAAAAGAATCATGTAATTTCAGGAGAATAATGGAAGCAGCAGTACTCAACTATAATTGCCTTCTGTGAACACGTATTATGAGTTCAAGCAGACACCTCTTCAGAAGAGTTAAAATGACACTTCCAAACACTGAGGAGGAGAAAAACAGCAAAAAAAATCTCAAAGCCTAAGGATCTAACTTGACTTTCTAGATGATTTTAAAAAATGAGTCCACAGAGTTTGTATTAGTCCCTCTTTCAGTCAAATATGAATTCAGACGATCCGTCCTAGTTAAAGTAATTCAAATGGACTATTTTTTAAATCCAGAACCCATGCCAGTATAGCTCAAGTCAATGTAAGATTCCCATTTGCTGCATATGACAAGTAGTGGGAGATTTCAAAAGAAAGCTAACTGAGGAGACATATTTCAAGAATAGGAATCATAGGGAGAACGAGTCACATCTTCCTACTTTTTTCCACTATGGGGCAATGAGCTATGACAGTCTTCTTTTTACTGAGTACCACATGTCAAGTATTATACCATAAAATGATAAGCAAATGATCCAGGAGAAAGTGCTTTGTTCTCTTAAAGTCAGATAAAGAAGTGCTGCTCACATGTGTAAGTCTATAGGTGCTTTGGTAACTTACATCTACTTCCCACATATTATAGTAATGTTTAAAATATTTTAAAATATTTATTGTTTATAAAATCTATTTACAAAAATATTTGGTTTTATTGTAAGAAATGATTATTTTTTCTTAAAGACATCTCTCCAGCTGTTTTTATTTACTCTCTTCTTTGAGCTCATTGGACAGTTTGCTCTACAGCATATGATATGCTTCATTACACGAGTGATATGAGAAACTGCAAGGTAATTTTCTATTTCACAGCAGAAAAACAAAAAGAGCCACAGGTAGTCAAAATTAAAGACAAAACTTAATACAATTAAACATGCACAAAATCTTCTATACCTTCTTTTGCTACTGCTTACCTGGTTCATACTTGCAAATATAATTGTGCTTCATGTTACACCTGTCATCATTCCACTGGTAAAGGTAGGGACCCCCAAGGCCAGGATTGGCAGTTGGTTGGTGATACATCACAACACACTTTTCACTTCCGCAGGAAGGTTCATCTGTGTACCAGTTTCTGCAAACAGAGAGTAATAGGAACACTCAGATACATGCCTACTAAATGATTCTGCCTGTCCTACTCTGACATCCTCTACAGGTAACAGAGTCCTCCCTCTATCTTTGGAGTTCCCCAGAGCACCTGCCAACTGCTCAAGATCCATACTCACCGGTACTGGGAATTGCTTCCATCAGACCACTGGTAGAGATCTGGGCAGGCACCAGATGTTTGCCCATCTCCATTCCTCCAAAGCCCTATCCAGAAATCACCATCAGAAATCCCTGTCCCGGGTTTTGTCAGGTTTTGCAACATGCTCTCTATTAACTTCTGTTCTGCTTCATTCTCAAGGCTGAGGAGGACTCCTCCCTCACTCTCACAAGCCAGGCGTGCCTCCTGAAAGCTCACTCGGCTGGACAGTTCATGGAAGTAGGCCATTTTGTAGCAGGGATGCTTGAAGTCAGCAAAACACACCTTTTGGCCTGAAAAAAAAAAAAAGATGCCCATATATTGATAATCGGAACTCTATTTGTAACAACACTAAGAATCAAAATGTAAGAACCAGTCAAAGCAGAAAATACATTACCAGAAATGCTTCTCCCACTGAATTATTTCATAAAGTTTATTTTCTAGCCTATTGCTTGCAATTTGTAAAAGCAAATTTATTCCCTCGTAAACTTGCAACATAAACTTTTAAACCCAGTACTTCAAGCAAGGTTTGTAAGGGAAGTTATAACTCTTCTGGCTTAGATTTTATAAACCAATTAACAAAGCAAATGAAAATAGCTAAAGGAATTTCAGGAGTGTATAGTAAAGTGAGCTAAAACTTAATGAAAGAAGAATAACAATTCATAAAGCAAATTAATTATCAAAAACAAGTAATATATAATGAAACAATTTTATGTAAGGTGTTCTGAAGAAGATACAAAGTGGCAGATTTAAGGTATAAATATTTGCTTTCATTTTTTATACCCGAAACAAATCTATTAAAATTGAAAGTTAAAAGGGGACAGAATGAAGGTAATTGGTAGTAATAAACGATTAATTAATATAATATTACATTGGAAGTGACAAGATAGAGTTCTAAAGTACTCACTATCTCTGAAAAAATCTCATTACCAATTTTTTGAGTATTTTCTGGGGTCTTTGGGGAGATATTGTGTGTAAACTCCAATTCCTAGGCCAATGTCTTCTCTCATTTTACAGAGACATCTCTGATAAGTGATAAATTGCAAATTAAAATCTCCCAACTATGAACTTAAAGAATTAAGTACTTTTTTAAAAAAAGGAATATACTTTAAATGTGAAAAAAATGATGGCTTAGAGAACAGTGGAATGAATATATCATGAAATAAAAGAGCTAGTAAAATCTTATCAATGGTTGTTGTCAATTTCTTACAATTTGGATGGAGACCTGAGTAGGCTGAAATTTGGCCAAACTGGTCTTTCAAAGACAGTTAAATTATTAGCTCAAAACAATTAAGGTAATAAACATTTAGCAGACTTGAAAACAAATTATTTCTCTCAGCTTTAGAGGCTCTACTTATATATTAAACACATATGAAATAACAATGTCTTCCTCTAATTTAACCTTAGAAATGTTCCATTCATTCGTTTATGAGTTTGAAAGTAATAGTATTACATTTTTTAAACCTTCCCTAACTCAGAATTTTGTTAAACTTAAATACAAATTCATTTAAATTCACCTTTTTCTGTAGTTAATCTTACTACTGGTGGTTTTATTACATATTTCTTCAGGAATAAAGATTAGGACCAACCAAATATCTAAAATCTATAAATACATACATAGAATACTCTGAATTTGGAAGGGAAGTTTAAAATCTATTTTTTATCTTAAACCTGTATCTTAAAGGTTTTCATGTTACAGCATTCCATTTAACCACCTAACCACCTATCCTGACATCTATTGATTATGTACAGTCTATACTATACCCAATAAAGTCATTATTTGTAGTATACTGAAAATCAATTTATTTCAAGATATTGGCCAGAATCACAAACAAGCTTAAAAGAATTTTTGAGACGTCATAATGAAATTCTGCTCTAATAACATCTGTGAAGTCTTAAACACATAGGCAAAAAGAGTTTGAAAAAAAAATCTCAAAATTAAATTTCGCATACCTCTACATGTTAAGCAGTGCTAATTTTCCTAATTATCAAGTGAAATAACTGCAAATATGCATATCAGGTCATAATAAAGTCGTATATATTTATATTTACATATATATGCCAGATTAGATAGATAGATAGACAGACGATAAACAGATATAAATAGATTGATGTCAAGGATATTACGGTGTATAGGATTTAGCTAGTTCTATAAGCAATGGACTTTCTATTGTTCTATTGTCTACACTCACCCTTGTTTACCACTAAGAATGTATGGCAAGATTATAAACAATCTCCAGAATGGTCATTCTGTCTTGTTTTGATTTTCACTGCTTCTGCTTTTGTTCACCTCTGCTCTCTGCTGTCAACTTTTAAAACCGCCAAGGATCCCTCTCTGTTACTATTTCTTATGCCCAGACTGCTTTCCATAGTCCATAGCCTCTTCTACTTTCTGAGTCTTGCCCTATTTTAGCTTAGATTTGGACCTGGAAAATAGACTGTCAATTACTTTATGTAAAATTTAGACAAATTACTTTATGCTAAGAAATTAGGAAATAGTTTCTCTACTTTCTTACAATTCATCTCCATTAACATTATTCCTGTTGGTATTTATGGCCTTTTCTACTATGTATTTAATTGTGTAGCCTATCAATAAAAGTTGTCAGTAGTCAGGGATTTCTGGGGGTGGGGGAGATTCTTGTATTTAAATACTGGCAAAAAAAAAAAGCATTCAAACTTTGTACTTTAATTACAGTACATCACACTGAGCCAGTGTATCATATCCATTCCTTTCTGGAGTCAGCAGTTAATGACCTATGATGACACTCAGAGGGAGAAAGGCACAGAAATCAGTGGAAGGTCATTAACTTCTCAACAGTGTTTGAGTGATAGGCATTCAATATCTTGACACAAACTGAGAACAACCAATCATAAAATAGTAGTTCTGGCAATGCAAGCAAGCCAAGAGTTGTTCCCTCTGTTTCGTGACCGTGATCTGGACCCAGCAGCAACACACTAAAAAATCTGAACAAATTAACAGGCTGCCCAAATTGTTAATGAAAAAGAACATATTAGTATGAATGACCATGGGAAATAAGTTAGAGAAACTTCAGGAGGACAAATCAGCCTGAAAATAAATATTCTTTGAGAGATGATCATGAAAGTCCCAAATTAACAGAAAGCCCCAATGGTTGACTCTGAAAATTAATGTATTATTTTAAAATTTCTCCTAATATATTACTAAGTTTTGTGATGATTTCATCATTTAAAATGGTTGTTCTCAGTCAGAGCCTAACAATGCCATTAAGCTTGTATTTTCATGACTGTATTTAGAAGCATGCGGTTTCCATTTTCATCTACTACATCCTTTACATAGTTCTAAGTGTCCAAATATATCTTAATTACATTCCCTTGAGTTTTTAACTTGTTCGATTTTTCACTCCAAGAACTTTCTGCCTTGGATTTTATCCCAGCACTTTTGAAATATTAAATTTCCCTAAGAAGATTGTTTTGCAAGATGTCAAAAAATGTCATATTAAAAAAAAACAAAACAGAATAGCCAGACCTTTCAGTGAGTAAAAAGTTTGTTATATGTAACAAAGCCCCAAACATTCAGGGAATTCCTGGGTATGATGCATATGCTAAAAGTCACTGTTCATTATCCCTGATATATTAAAAAATAAATGCAGCACAGATTTACTCATGATGAGCATACAGAAATGGTGATGTAAATTAACTCATAAAATTAAGATAGTACTTCTAATTAAATGCATGAGAGCTTTAGGTTTCATGTGGAAATTTCTAACACCATTATGTTAGTTCATACAGATATAATAATAATGAAAGAAAAAAACCTAGGGAGAGAGATTATATTTAAAATAACTAACAATCAGTGCTGTCCAGACCCTGGACGATAGACAGCTTGACACTCTCTGTGCCAGGCTGTGTCTCTGGTTGTGGATAATAGAGCAGTCCTCCGGTCCTGCTTGAGGGAGTGGAGCTTGTGATGGCTGCACGGTCGGGAGACTCTCAGGGCATCAAGACAGCAGCCCACCGTCAACTGGAACAGATCTATTAACTCTAAAGTTTGATCATCAGCTGTGTCTACAGAGTTTGAACTGAAAAGTCACTAACAGTTCAGATCTAGCAAGGCAGTTTTCAGGAAATTATAAATATATTGCACAATTTTTATGGGTTTATATACAGTCAGTTAAAGCTGACACTGAATTTCTTTACATTCAATTCTATTTTATTACTGACTTCCACCTTATCGTGCAAATTTGGTCCAAGTTGCAGCAAAATCATCAGAAGCAGCAGCTATTGAACGTCTCACCACTCTTTCAGCTGATCACATTTGGCTACTAATGCAGTGAAACTCCAACAGCTGGGAAACAAATGTTGCCCTAATTCCCAGAAAAGTTTTGTTAATGCAGATCTTCTGGAAGCAACTTTCCCACTTCTGTAAAAGCCAATTTTCCTAGAGAACAATTACAATTACCTCTCGTCTCATTCTGTGAGATAACGTGGAGAATTTCTCTGTCTCTTATTTTCAAATGTTATGTTCAGATAAAATCTTCCATCAACATTTTATGGGATAGATAAGGATTCAGAGAACCATATAACGGGTTCTATTACACTAAGCTTACATTTATGCCGTCGAACTATAAATTACTAAATGTCAACTAGCATCTGCAATTGAAGACATCCTTTTACTGTGGGCTTATCTACAAGAGAGAGAAAAGATCTGCCCAGGATTCTACAAACATATTGAGAAAATAAAATTCAAGATAATTTCTCTACAAACATATTGAGAAAATAAAATCCAAGATAATTTATTTGCTAGATGTGCACTAGGAGCTAATTAATTTTTAAATCTAAAAAGTATTTAAATATGTAAGTTTTTCTGCACTGGATTTTTAAGCATTTATTTTAAGTTCATGGGTACATATGTAGGATGTGCAGGTTTATTACATAGGTAAATGTGTGTCATGGAGGTTTGTCGTATAGATTGCACTGAATTTTTACAGAAATATTTTATAGAATATTTCTTTTATATAAAAGAGGCTTCTTTATATAAAGTATATAAATATTTATTTTATATATTAAAATAAATAAATAAAATAAATAAAATAAATATTTATTTTATATATTAAAATAAATAAATAAAATATTTATTTTATATATTAAAATAAATAAATAAAATAAATATTTTATATATTAAAATAAATAAATAAAATAAATATTTTATATATTAAAATAAATAAATAAAATAAATATTTTATATATTAAAATAAATAAATAAAATAAATATTTATATATTAAAATAATAAATAAAATAAATATTTTATATATTAAAATAAATATTTATTTTATATATTAAAATAAATAATTAAAATAAATAAAATAAATATGTATTTTTATATATTAAAATAAATAAATAAAATAAATAAAATACATATTTTATATATTAAAACAAATAAAATACATTTATTTTATATAAAAGAAATATTCATCCTTATTAGTTTCACACACAGCTACATAAATAAACAGGCCCTTTTATTTAGAGAAAGTTATTATTATTAACACTCCTATCACTGTCACAACAAAGATTTCATCACTCTTTCCATGAATAAGTAGATGATTTTTGTCTTTTTCCTTAGCCATTAAAATTTCTATAGAGCTAACTATTGGCAGAGGTTTAAATGCTCTTGGCAATGATATAAAGTGGGGCCAAACTCATGAAGTCAGGGTAGTTTGCTTTTTCTTTCTGAGCAGAAAGGATCTATAATTTGGTTTTCTTTTTGCTTATATTTGTTTATTTTCTGATAGTTGAGTGCTCAGTTAGTTATGAAAATAATAAATATTTTCTAATATCTCACGCTATAATTATATATTATTAATATTAGATGAATATTGAATTTATATCACTTTTTCAATAAAAATATAAAAGACATATTACAAATTCCTGCTGTTCAATTATGATCTACCATTAGTTGCAAAAAAAAGTAAAAAAGAGCATCCACATGGTAAATATTCCCCAAACCAGACTGAATTAACTTAGAATGTTTTATTAGAATCACACAAGATATTTTTTTCTTTTTCATAATTTCTTCTTACCCCCCTCACAATCACACTGATAAATATGTTGATACTACCATACACAGTGCAGCAAGGACTGTGATACCAGTGCCAACACTTTTGAACTAAAAAGAAAATGACTGGTGTTCAAGTGTTCTGCGTTCAGCATTCAATGTTACACCAACTTCTTAAAATTTTTTCTTATAAAGAGTTTTATTATAATAAACTTTTATTTTTACAACAGAGATTTTATAATGTACTTAATTGCATAGTGCACTATAGCTGGAGTCTATTTTCTTACATTAATAAACAAATTTATTTATAATTTTATTTATAATTTTAAATTAAGTTTATAAATGTAGGTTGTGGTCATTTTCTGGATGGTGGCAGCAGCAGCAAGCCCTACTTTTCCAGTTGGAAAATGCGTAAGCTTTCTGAGAAGAGCATGAGACTATTTTTTTAAAAAATCAGAATATTTACAATGGAGATTAGAATAATAAGTAGTAAACCAAGTATCATTGTGACTTAAGAGTTCATGTAGCCAATCAAAATGAATTAGCTTTGAAACCAAACTCTACACTTGAACTTTGGGTACTTGAGATTATTTAATCACCCCTGGCCTCAGTCTTCTTACTTAAATAATGAGACCAGTTATGAGTTTTATAGAAGTAATGATTCTAATAATAAAAGCCTCAAATTTAGCAATAATTTAGAATGTAGCACCTCATTTCTACCACAATCCATGCTTTGGGATAAATTGGGAAAAGACGACCTCTCCTGGTGAGAGATGGCAGAAAGGTCCCTCTTATAGACTGTTCAACTAGAAAAAGTTGATTTTGCCTCTAGGTAGCTTGAGCTACAGGCACTGGGCTTGCCAAGCTGAGCTCCTTCTCCTGTCTCTTTGGCTTGTACCTCGACACAGTGCACAATCTGCATAACTGTGTTTGAACCTTTTTAATATTCCTAGCAATCCTATGACATAGGTGCTCTTATCTGTTTTCAAAATGAGGCAAAGAGGGCAGTTCACACAGCTCACAAGTGCTGAAGCTGGGTTGTGAAACCAGGCCATCTGGCTCTACACTCCATGCTTTTACCAGGTTTCTATGCTGTCTCCATATGTCTCAAACCTAATATAAAGGTGAAATATTTCATGAACAAAAGGGATTGATGAACACAAACACTGTGCATGTTATCTATGTCAGAATCATAAGCATTAATCTGTTATTGATTATTGGGTGGCTAATATAAGCAAGGCTTGTGCATTGAGAGCTTGTTTCTAAACAGAATTAGATTTTCTGTTACAAATATTTAAATAAGAATTAATGTTGCCTCTGTCTCAGATTTTCAAACCATATATGCCTTTAATAAATTTTTATCTAGTCTTTTTATTTTCCAAATAAAACAAACTAGATCCAAATTGAATGCATTCCACATTACAAAGAGTATAACTTTAGCCAAGTTGTCATCCTGTGTTATATCATGAGGAATATGTTAAAATAGTAAAAGAAACACTCTCATCCTAGAGTCGCACACATCCATCTACTTGTATATGAATTCCTGACACAGAAAGTTGTTGTAAATAGTAAAAATTGTTTGTGAGTGCATCTTCTGAATTTTAACCTTGGACTCCTTTATATATATATATATTATTATATATGTATTTTATTATATATATATTATTATATATATATATTTTATTATATATATATTATATATAGTAAATTATATATAATATATATAATATTATATATATTAATATTATGTATAATATATATTATATATAAATACATATATGTATAATATATATTTACATATATGTATATATTACATATATATGTATACATAATATATATGTATACATATATATGTATTATACATATATATGTATTATATTATAGGTACAATACATATATATACACATATACAATGTATATATACATACATATACAATATACATACATATATAATATACATACATATATACACACATATACATATATACACACATATATTATATATAACATATATACATATATATTATACATATATATTATATACATATATATGTATATATTATATACATATATATGTATATAATATATACATATATGTATTATACATATATATGTATATAATATATACATATATGTATTATATATATTATATATGTATTATACATATATTTTATATATATATATAAAATACATTACCTTTTATAAAGGTAATGTAACAGATACTGCCATCTTTGGGAAAGAGTTATAAAACAAAACCATAAAATGATGACAAACAGCAGTTGAAGAATAATGGCTATGATAAATGGTTAGTTCATTAAATGACTGGTAATAAGATTAATTTGTTCCTTTCATGCCCGAGAGATACTTAAAGTAATTGCATCTCTGAAAACTGCACTGTCATCATTTTATGCTTTTGATGATGTCATAGATTAGTTCCATAGGCTGAGAAAGGCTCAGCAGTTTTTCTTGTATCTCCCTTGGTATATATTATATCATATTGTATTAATGTATGTGCTACTGTTCACCACCCATGAATTTGCAATATTCTATGGTATCCACAGGATAAGAAGAGAGGCCTCTAAATCACCCAGTCTCCTAAATAAAACATGTGCCAGTTTTAATAAAGTTAAACTGATATATATTAAAGTGTCCTGGAGAAATCTGGAAGCACCATGAAATATTCCTAATGTCATTTTGCAGCAAAAATAGGTTGGGGATCACTGCTATGCACACTAGAAAGAAAAAAGGAAAAAAAAAAAAGAAACACATTACTTCAAAACACTTCAAATGTTTAAAAGTATCACTTGCTCTTCAAACATATCCTCCCAACTTAGAGACCTGAATTTGGAATCCTTCATATTTATCCTTATGCCTACAAGTAAAATCCTTTTACCTTTGTCCTAAAGAAGACATCACTACTCACCAGTCACTTCACAAAATTAAATGATTGCAGCTCCCATAGATATTCTCTACACATCTGTGTGTAGTAAGAAATCAGTACAGGTCTAAGCTCCTAAAGGTAGTTTCCAAATTAGCATCATAAATTCAATAAATAGGCTTTGATTACTATCATCATATCACATCTTGTTTTGCATATTCGTACATCAAAATAATCATGACCACTGACCTAGAAAAAATACTTTCTTATTACTACTAGATGCCACTAAATCTCATGGGTCAGATTACGATGACGAAGTTGTTTGAAATGTCATTTCTTGCTAAAATATATCCACTTTATTTTTAGGTAATGCTCTAAACTTTAGAAAAGGTGATGTATTTAAAAGTATTGGAAAGTACCTTATTGAATATTTTAAGGTATTAAATATAATTTATGTGGAGAATTATTTTGTGAGTGTCTATTTTTCTGCGGTCAGTGATTATTTGAGTATCCTACATAGAAATTATAAATTGTTGTACTGAAATTTAACAAATAGAAATATATTCCATACGTTGCAAGTATGTTCCTAATAACAGCCCCAAAGAGGCTCTTACTCTTCAATAAAGATTTGGTGAATGGTCCCAAGTGGCACGAAAAATTGATGCACCAATTCAAAACTTACATTGACCAGGTAGACAATAGATCCATTAGAAACTATTGCTACAAAAATGTCAGGCTTCAGGCTGCTCTGTTCTCTGGCCATTGTGGTCAAAATATATCTTTTTAAGAAATTAGTCTTCAAATAATAAAAGTCACAAATCAATTTATAGATGGTTAAATTTCAATGTGAATTTTATGACCAAAGACAATTGAATTATTCATAAGGAAAACATAACTAATTATTTTAATATCAAATAAACATCATCATTTATGCTAAATCAAATAGATCATGTTCAGTTAATTAGAAATTTTCCAGATGTCACCTACAAGATGCCTATAAATGCTTAATAAGAAAACCTAACAAAAGATTTGGAAAAAATTATGTACTCATAGAACGCAAAATACACCTCTTCAACAATTTTTTAAGCTCTGTTTTTACTTTAGATATTATTTTTCCTCCCTTTAAAATGTTGAGGCCTAGGAACAAGAGCATATCTAAAGGATATTATTTAGGTCAATGAGTAAAAAACATCTTATGTTCAAAGCATGGTCTCTGCTTTTCATTCAGTTGCATGAATAATTCTGATAAATACAAAGACAGATAAGTAATTCACAAAATCAGATGAGTCTATATAATGAATTTTTTCTTTGCAGCTAACTTAGGGAGGAAAAGGATCTAATGTCACAGATTCTGAAAATTCTGAAAAAAGTGTAGAGTGATCGGTAACTACACATGTAAGAACTATATTCTGAAGCTGTAGAACATCACAAATTGCTAAGGGGAAGATCAGTGACAATTAAGCTTAATATGCCAATGTCTAAAGGTCTGGCTTCACAGCTGAATTACTTGCTGTCATCTGTCATCTATTTCTACATCTAGTGACACCTGTTGTATAGGTGTACAAAAGTGAAAAGGGCTATTTGTGCTTTTTATGTTTTAAAAAAACTTTTCACCCTCAAAACACATATATCCAACAAATACTTATTGCAATGTTTCAATGAGCATAGTAAGAGATTTCAATAAAGTGTAGCTATGATCAGCCTTTATGTAAGGCCCTAAGCACATTCACCCTAGGTTGTCGAGAATCTGTATCCTTTTGAAGAGACCGTCCCAAAAAGTAAGGGAGAGTAATTGCAATATAAATCGCTCAACGACAGGACAGTGAGAGTCAAAAAAAGAAAAATCAAAGACAACCTGGGAAGCTTGCCAATTTTGATCGATTTCCCATGCACTGACTCGACCGACTTAATTGTGCACCTACTGTGTGCCGAACCTGCAGTCATTACCAAGTATACCTCGGCCCAACTCCAGCTGACTTCATTTTCTGGGAAGTCCCCAACTTGGAACGCAGTGTGCAAAGGAAAGGCATCTACACGCAATGACCACACTTCAGTTCCTTGCCAGTAGTCCTGCTGAGAACAAAGACCGAATGCCCAGGCATCCGGAGGCGACCCACAGCGAACTGATCTGGTCACAGAAAGCATCCGAGTGAACACGGTGCTGGGACCAAAGTCCAGTCAGAGCGACAGAGGGTGGCATTTCTGCGGTGGCTCTTCTGTCTCTGGGTTCCCTCTGCCTCCGCCCTACCCCACCCCTTTGGCAGGTGCTGAGCCCGGCCGTGTGGTCAACTCTCTCACAAAGAAAGTGGAAATCACTCCTGAAAAAGGCTATGCCGCTCGTAATGAAGCAGAGGCTCGCTCCGCAGCTACGTAAGCAAGCGCTTCACAAAAATTTAAACTTTTCTGCGTGTGTGTTAGAGAAGAGAGGGAGGAGAACAGCACAATCAATTTCTCCCCGCCTCCTCCCGGGTCCTTACACCATGCAGGTTTCCAACGCCCCGGAGAGCCTCCGCCCGAGAACAGGCTGCCCGCCGCGCCCCGTGGTCCCCTCTCCCCGCTCGTTCTTCGGGGAGACGGCCCCTGACTCACCGCTGACCACGCGGCGGCAGAAGGCTCCGTGGCCGCAGAGCAGCGCGGCGCCCAGCAGCAGCGAGACCACGCGGCTCATCGCGGCGCGGTGGCAGCAGCAGGTGTTGCGTGGAGCGAGGGCGGCCTCTGCCCAGGGCGCAGCCCGCGACTCTGACTCTGCAGCCTCCCTGCCTCCCTGCCGGGCCCTACTCCCGCCGCCCGAGCCCAGCTGCCCGACCCCCTGCGCGCATCGCCTTCGGCCGGGACCTGCCGCCTGCCGCGCCTGTGCCGCGCGTGGATGTGCGGGGCTGGAGTTCAAGACTTCGAGGGTGCGCGTTTGGGGGACTGAAGTTAGGGGGTCCCGTGTATGTCCTAGAGGCGAAGCAGAAGCCCCGGCTTGGACCACACCGTTGCGCTTTGCTTCTCTTCCCCGGCCTCTGACAAGTGAGAGGCTGAGCCGGTGCGCCCTGGTCCTGGATCACAGCAGCAGCAGCCGCTCTGCGCTCAGGCACCGTCTTATATACCCACGTCCCGAGGTTCCGGCCCCCTCCCTAGTAATAATTTTTAACTACTTCGTCTCTCCAGCCATGTGGAGCATCCCAGCACCTCCCCTAAACACGGGAGCCCCTTTGAAAACAGTCCAGTCAGCAGCCCGCCTCCTCTGGTCCCCTCCTCCCTGTCCCCTCTTTCCATTCGCTAGCGGACTGGATACTCTTTGTGTAAAATGTGACAGCTTTGCTATTAAACTCTGGCAAAAAGTTGGATCCGTTTAGTTTTCTCAAAGATAAATGTCTACGGGGTTGCCAAGTTGTGTGGCCTTTCTCTTTCTGTGCTAAATTGCTTAATCATATGTATTGCTAGATGCAGGGCACTAGCCACTATTTAAGATGGATTGGTGAAGTGAGAGCCAAAACCTGCTCAGTGAATTATATAATGTGGCAGGTTTGTCCCCACCTAGGTTCTGCAAATAGATTATCTCCAAGCAGGTTGTTTGACGAAAACTGCCACAAGAGCAAATTGAAAGGAATATTTGAAGCATGGTTTTCGAAACTGATTTCACTCTCAGTGTTTGCAACTCCAGAGAAAACCGTCAACACAAAGTAGGCATTCTGAATTCTTGGGAATTTCCTGGAGGTAAAATGAAATGTATGTATTTCTTTGCAATCATCTATCAGTGATCTACGATATACATTAGAAGTAAAGCTCATTGGAAAACCTGCATTTTTCATAACCTGACCTGCTCTCTTTATTAAAACAGTCTACCCAAGGACTGTGATACCTAGTTTCCAGGAATACTGGAGAGAAGTTCTTAAGAATTTAATGTATATCAAGTCCATAGTATGAACTCTGAAAATGTTCTCATAATGAGCTTCAGTAGAATTGGTATTTTCTCATTATGTTGCTTTAAATGCATGAGAATTTGTTAAATAACATTACTTGTCTTATAGGAAGTACACTTTCCTCTAACTTCCTCCTGTCTTTGGTTTCATAAGCCACGGGTACACTGTAAGCATCTGTTGGACTGTTTTATTGGAAAAAGGAAGTAAATACTGATACAATAAGGACAAATCTTCCAGAATCAGAAATTTTAGCACTTGGAAAGACCTTAAAGATTATTAAATGCACCCTACTCGTGACAGTAGAATTCTAGCTCCGTCTGGAGTCCCAGCTATTCCAGAGGCTGAGGTAGGAGTTTGACGCTGCAGTGAGCTACAATCCAGCCACTGCATTCCAGTTTTGGGGACATGCAAAATCCTGTCTCAAAAAAAAAAAAAATAGAATTCTAAAATAACTACAATAATGTCTATTCTATCACTTCCTTTTTCTTATATTCCCTTTAAAAACACTAATTCATTGCAGAATCATGGGCAGTTAATAAATTTGCACCTTGTAGAGGCTATGGATTCTGTGACTTTCACACTAGCTAATTATTCACGAGAAACAGACACTGCTGGGATTCTGAATGAAAAATGGAAAACTGATACGCCTCCAGGCAACAGAGCTATAGCTCAGCCCCGGAAACCATGTCAAAGAGCATCACTGGGCATAGCCATGGTAGGAGAGCTGTCCTCCAGGGGCTCAGAGTCCAGTGTAGAGAAAGAAATAAAATAATAACTCTGTGTATAAATGCTGTAATGGAAGGATGAATCAAGTGTCATGGCTAGCATAGATAAGAAATTCATTTGGAGGCATATTTGCAGGAATTCTTTAGCAGCAGTCAAGGTTGATGGTGGTGATACCCATGGCTTCTCCAAATACCTGTAGAACTAGGGTTCTGAAGGGGATCTCCTTTCCCCTTTCATGCCACCCTACTCTCAGTTACTCATGCCCAGAGCTACTGTAAACAGGTCCTTCTTTGGGAAAGAATACCAGTAAATTACAACATAAGCACTAGATAGATATTCCTATATATCAGTAGGCCCAAATGTCTCTCATGCCTACAAAGCTAGCAAGAATGAAGGCATTTTTTGTCAGGAAGGATCTTCATGGTATTAGTAATTCAGGAAGCCCAAACTATAATAATAACTGTATCCTCAATATGTTTGCACAGACTTCCTAACATACAGTTTCTTATCTTTAGGCTAGAATTATATCAGTTTAAGTTGGCCACATTCATTAACTAAGGCTGTTCAGCAGTTATTCTGGATGTTGTTTGACTTATCAGGAAAATAAATTCTTACAGGTTCTTTTTAGATATGATGTTTTTTAAGGTGACTGGCTGACAAGAACAGCTTTTTTTGTTTGTGTCTCCGTCACTTCAAAACATCTGGATGGGTCATCACTGAGTTCAGAGATCACAGTTTGAGTTGTCTTAAATATAAAATCTGAGTGTTACTAGGCATGCTCTTTGGAGAGCCCTGATGGAAGCTTCTCTTGGCTTCCTTTTTTTTCCCATACAATATGGAAAAAAGTAGGGGCTATGAATTAAAATTTTTCAACAAAATTGTATTTTGGAAAAATGTTACAAGGTTATTGGGAGTTGGGGGAAAGCAACAAATATTCAATAATTTTATTAACAAAGGATTTTAATTTTTCCCTCTTGTGGATATGCATAAGGTGTCATAGAAGACACATGGTTTTCTGATGACACATTTTAGTTCCAAATTAACTAAACAAAATTAGAAGTTTAAGAATTGTTTGCAAATTGATCCAGAAATTAAGGGCTCTTTCTAGGGCAAGCGAGAAGAGACTTTAGGGTTATGTGAGGAATTGTGTATGTCTGGAGCTGGGCTCCAGGTCAGCTCATACCAAACAAGACCATATGACTGGCAGTCAGGAGAGAGGTCCCCCACAAGTTAAGGGTCTTTGTCCATTAAAAAAAAAAAAGACTCAAATGAGAACTTCAAACTGATTAGGCTAAGGAGCTCAGCATCTATTCAACACCTAAAATGCATCACTTTCTTCAAGCCCCCAAATAGAAGGATGATCTCAGTAAAAGTGGCCACAAAGGAATTTCAGGAATAAGTCGATCGCTGAATCTCCAGAGGCTCTGAAACATCAATAGAGAAACACTATTTGGAATCCAACGTTTTCAAAAGTGATATCAGGACTCTTAAGGGTATACTATGGAATCTATATAATATCCCAAATATATCACGAACTCCTTCACTCTCACCATTCACTTTCAAATGTCTGCAATTCCCAGTGAGCATCTGCTTCATGCGCCCATCAATACGTCTCAAGGAAGGACAGCCTAAATTCCAGCCACTGATCTGCACTCAGTGGCTCTTCACATGGGCAACTCCATACAGTGGCTTCAGCCTAAGTCACAGCAGGCTTCATTCATTTGCGCTCCAGATCGAACAGTGACAAATAGGATCTTCAAAGGAGATTTGTTACAATGTTTAAAATTATTACAACTTTACATTAATACATTTGAGATGTTTTCAGAATCCAACATTAACTAACCAATATTATTTATTCTATTATACTTTATCTAATAACAGTTAATGATTCTCCTGAGCACTATCAATAGTATTGCCAGGATATAGAAAAATAAATATTTGAAAGTTTAAAAGTAAAATCATTACTATATAACCACTTCAGCAATAGGCAAAAAGTTTTTTTTTTTTTATCTGAGTAATGCTTGGTTATCACTTCCAGTAAGACAGCATTGAATCCAAGGTTTTCCCTCCCAATATTTTAGAGATGACACCTTGGCATCTGTGTGGGTGTGTAACTGGCTTAAATGTAAGGATAAGCAGTTGGCCAAATTCACCTGAGATTTACTTGCTCTTTTCAAAACATGTCTATGCTGTAGAATACATGACCTACCTCATTCAGGAGCCAGTTCCACCTTCCTCATAATCCCAGAAGTCAGTTTTTGCAGGGCTGTCTAGGGGAATTTCATTGTTCATAACGATATCAGAAATATAATGAAGAATTATACACATTAATACACATGATTTTCTATAACTTGAAGTTAAAATTTCATAACTGTTCAGTCTGTTGCATGCTCTGATCATTCAGGTGATCAGTTAAAAATATTTATAGAACTCCATTACTAGTAATATATCCTATCAGATCTAAAGAATCATATAAATATATGTGCATGTTTAACTATCAACTCAATTAAAATTTCTTTTTAATGCTTCTTTATTAATTTAAAGTAATGAAATCTGTTTCTATTGCTGGTAATCTGGTATAAACCAATACTTTTTATTCTAATCACAGCTTAATTACTAAATCTTGCCTTAATATATGTTAATACAACCAAACAAAATTGAGATAATCAAACAAAAAATGTGTAAGCTAAAGTCATCTTTGCCTCAAGGGTCTGATCTGAGTTATTAGATACATAATTGACTAACTCCTTATTGGGGGTGATATTGTACTACGGTAAGATTATTTGGCTAGCAGAAACATTAATCTAAATTTTTCATTAATCTGATCTTGGTCAACTTTCCTCTTCTGTTTGGTTTTCACTTTATAAATATAAAAAGAATGAATTGGAGAAGTTCTGTGTTTCCTGACTGAATGAGATTCTACTGCAGAAATACTGTTATTTCATAAACTTTCCTAATGTTCATCTTTATTCTACCCAGCCAGAATGTCATATGTTATTTGCATATATGCACTAATTTTCCAAATATATATAGATGCTATGCTTCTAATGAAATGTAAATTTAATTGTAAAATGTCACTTAATTTATAAATCTTTTCCCATATATTCTGATCAATATTTACCAAAATAACAATTGCTATTATGCGGGGTCTGAAAAACAATACGTATGTTAAAAATAGGGCTTCATACTCAAAGAAGTTGGAAATCGCTATGCTAGATATTTCTAGAGTCCTTTTCAGCTTTACAATTTATTTCACTAAAGAAAAAAAAGCTTAACATCTTCCATCTCTTTTTATTTTCTTCCCTTCCTCCCTCCCTCTTTCTTTCTCTTCTATTTTTTCCTATAAAAATGACAATGGTTTGATTTATAATAAATGGCTATATCCTCATTTAATTTCAAAATTGTTCAGAAAATGGGAGTTCTGAAAATTTTCTATGGTCCTTTGACTAATAAATCAACATATCACAGATGCCACAAAAAATGAAAAATCCAAATAAAGCAAAATAAAATTGAGGGCCAAGTTGAGTAAAAGATAATCCAACTAAGAGGCCATAAAACTGTAAATGAATTTTTGATAAAGCAAGATATTTTCTATAAAAGTGTTTTATTTTACTAAAAGGGAAAGGGTGTAAAGAAAAGGAATAGCTAAAGACCTAAAAAAATGTAAAATATTCCTTTGTGGCATTCATAAATATTAAATGTTTCTCCAAATATATCAAATGACTAGGAAACAATAGTGCCAAAGCCAGCCATAATAGCAATAAACTGTATTATGTGAGCTGACATATAAAGTTAGAGGGAATTTAACGGAAAAAAACCAAAGGTATTAAGAAAAAAATCAATTTAAATATCCTTCTGGAGGTACATCTGTCACTCTGCTGCTCTTTCATACATCGTTTCTAAGCGTAAGTAGCTCACATGCCAAATACATGTGTATAATGCAGGACAGCAATATAGAAATTTTGGAAATAATAAGGAATACTCTGTCAGATAAGCCATAGATATCAGCACCCGTAAACCTTTCTTTATCCTCTAGGTTACCTTTTAAAAAGGAAAAGTTATTATTTATCTGCAATAAGGTATACATATTCTACATTCCAAAGAAACTCCTATAAAATAAACATGAACAGAAAGGGAAAAACAACAAAAGTAAGTGTATTTCTATTGCTTGATCCTTTACAGCAGAAAAATTTAACGGAGCATGTTACAGTAAGAAATTTGTGCTATAATATTTCTCTCCAAAGAATGGACACAAAAATTCATAAGGTAGTCTTAATTTTCTAGAGTGTTAAAGAACATCAGAGAGCTACAAAATTATCATGAATGTCTTAGTCATGTACTTCCTGTCTTCTCTAATAGGTAAGAGTCATTTAATCTGGCACTAAAAAATCAGAAGTAATGTTTTTGATGTTTAAATATTTATGATGTTGAATAATACAACAATTACAAAAATATGTATATAAAGTTCTTCATACAAGACTAGGATAATCATAGTGGACTCAGGCCCGTCTGTGCTGAGACTCATTTACTTGTGACTGTAAAGACTTCTGGAAAAAATATTACTTACTGGGAATAAAATGGAGCATAAAGCTAGACCTCACAATCTTAATACTCTAATCAATTCCACCACCCATCCACAGCAACCCCTCCCTGAACTTTCACATAACCACATTGGTATGGTTTGGCTCTGTGTCCCCACCCAAATCTCATCTTGAATTGTACTCCCATAATTCCCGCATGTTGTGGGAGGGACCCACTGGGAGATAACTTGAATCATGGGAGCACTTTCCCCATATTGTCCTCAAGGTAGTGAATGAGTCTCACAAGATCTGATGGTTTTATCTGGGGTTTCCTGTTTTGCATCTTTCTCATTTTCTCTTGCCACCACCATGTAAGAAGTGCCTTTTGCCTCCCACCATGATTCTGAGGCATCCCCAGCCTTGTGAAACTGTAAGTCCAATGAAACCTCTTTCTCTTCCCAGTCTCGGGTATGTCTTTATCAGCAGCATGAAAATGGACTAATATGCGCATCAGTTTACATGGCTTATTCTAACATGTTAAGGACCACTAGAACTCTGGTGTCTCTTCCCAGACTCTATACTGGTTTTCTCTAACCCAAGTTAATAGTTCAGAGTGCTGAGAAGCTTTAGGACAATCATAAAGGAAGTGAAGATACTGTCTTTCTGTCCTTGCCTCCATCTACAGAAAGGCTTTCCCTGACTAATGATCTAAGTCCACCTCTGCTTATCCTCCCCCAGTTTTTTCTATGACTGCATCTATAATTTAACAAACATTTATTGAGCACATATTGCACTTATTCTGTTAAAATTGTGGGCGTATTTATTTAATGTTTGTCCATCTCTACTAGGTTGTAAGCTCTGAGCTAGTTTATTCTCCACCAGTAGGTGGTTTTATTCTTCACCTACTGTAAATAAACAGTAGATGGGAAATTTTTATGTTTATTCAATAAATAAACAGTAGGTGGGAAATTTGGGTTAATTTTAATTAACAAACAGTAGGTGGAGAATACTTGCTATGTATTTGGTAAATATTTATCCAAAACTGAATCTCTGAATTAATGTTTTTTAATCTTCACCTGCATCCAGGTTTTAAAGATTTTTCCCCTGTCTACTCTCTAGAGTGACAAGGGTCGGAGAGAAGAGGGATGTATAATAAGAACTGCAACCAACACAGGAAGGATATTCTCCTTTCTTCCACACTTCCTTACTCCTGTAAAGGAGATGAAAGAAGGCTTTGGCAATTCTGAAAAGCTCCCCAGTACCTTCCTTTCCTTTGCTAACACTCAAGGATGTCAGGCTTGCAAAGGGGGAGGTTTTCAAGAGTAATCCATGTAACCTGCATTCTAGAATCTTAGGTTAATGTTTGCTTCCTATTCTGCAGAAGTCACTGAGTAGCCCTTACTTTCGCTATACGTAATTTCTTCTGAGAGTGGAGATAAATGCAAAATTCAGATGTATATTCCTAGATAGATAGTCTAAATTTTGCTTTTCTACTTCCACACTGCTATATGCTCCCACCAGTAACATCTTCCAAGAATATGGTAACCACACATCTTGTGTTGCCTGACAAAGTACTAATTTGCCCAGAACAGTGCAGTTCATACCCTGATATTTAACATGTGGTTGATTTTCACATCCTACATGAAGCTTACTTTTTAATTTCCACAAAAATAATTTTCTTGCTCTGATTTTTTAAAACCACAGCATATTTCTTCTCCAATAGTTAGCTGTATAAATTATGCCTCTTTATGTGGACACACCAGTCTCCTATAGGAAAAATACTATACTATAACATATTCTGTATCCTCCATGCCTAACAGTGTCTTGCACACTAGGAAGTCAATAAGTGACTTTTTGATTTTTAAGATTTTTAAAAAGACTACAAATTACAACACAAAATAAAATTTTATCTATCTGTTAATAAAAGCACATTTTCATTGAGGATATCTTATAAATATAAGTAGAAAACTTGTCATGTATTGTTCAAGTGGTTATCTGAAATTCATGTCAAAATTATTGAGATTTAAAATATTTTACAGATTTTTAATCAAATTTTGCAAAATTTTTTGAATTATGAAACTGCCTGCTCACTTTCTGAGCTGCATCATTATAATTTCTAGTGTGGTGTTGAGGTAAAACCTAAAAGACATGGAAAATACTGGAGTCAAGTGGCCATATGACCGTACTTCCTTCCAAAGAAACCTTAGAGATAATTTGTGAAATTCTTAGGATTCATAGAACACACTTTGAAAGTCAGAGTTTCAATCAATAAATAGCTATAATATCCTGAGATAAGGGTCTAAATGCTCAAAAGCTACAAAAAGTAATCAAAGCTTGATATGGTTTGGCTGTGTCCCCACCGAAGTCTCATCTTGAATTGTAGTTCCCATAATCCCCATGTGCTATGGAAAGGACCCTATAGGACGTAATTGAATCATGGAGGCGGTTTTCCCTTATGCTAGTCTCATGATGTAAGTAAGTTCTCACAAGCTCTAATGGTTTTATAAGGGGCTTCCCACTTCACTTGGCTTTCATTCTTCTCTTTCTGCTGCCCTGTGAAAAAGGACGTGTTTGCTTCTCCTTTTGCCATGATAGTAAGTTTCCTGAGGCCTTCCCAGCCACGTGGAACTGTGAATCAATTAAACCTCTTTCGCTTGTAAATTACCCAGTCCTGGGCAGTTCTTTACAGCAGCGTGATAATGTACTAATACAAAACTCATAGATGAGAAGACTTCTGAGATTCAGAACAAAAAGGAGGACAATTGATTCATCTTACTTAATAACCAACAGATGATGTAAATACACTGGACATTCTAAATCTATATGATGCTAAGGTAGAAAACTATTCATTTCTGAACATGATAAGAATTTCCTTTCCTCCCTGGATTTATAAGAATTAAAAAGGAATACAATTTAGCTAAATATGAACTATTTGTCTGTCTTTTCTGTCTCACCTTTAATGTTCTAGTTTCCAATTGCTGTTCCAGGTTGTCATAGCAACCAAATGCTATTTTCAATAAGTTTTAGTAGAAAACCTGTTTGGAACACGTAATTTATTATAAGTGGAATGCATTCAGTTGGCTGCATGTGTGACAGATTCTTCTATTTTATAAGAAATTATTTGATCATATTATCCTTGGTGACTACTACTTCTTAACTCTTTTATAACAAAAATAACCCTTAAATTTTATAGACAATAACAGGAATTACTTCACTGAAGATATGCCTGTAGCCAATCCAAAGAGTTAACTGGGGTTTAGGTTTAGTCTCCTCCAGCCCAGTACAGACAATCTTAATAATCAACACATTGTTTTGTCTAAAATATAGATTAATCATATATTCAGTATTTTAATTTTTTAAATTTTCTTCCAATGTTAATATGAATATACTTGCAGAAAATCTAGTACAAAATTAGAAAAAAATGCATAATGCTACCATCAGAAGGTCCTATTAAAAAAACATGCACAGGCTTTTACATATT
Source organism: Homo sapiens (assembly GCF_000001405.40). Classification (NCBI taxonomy): domain Eukaryota; kingdom Metazoa; phylum Chordata; class Mammalia; order Primates; family Hominidae; genus Homo; species Homo sapiens. The sequence goes on along the minus strand of NC_000021.9, from coordinate 18,235,256 downwards.
CATCTGCTCTAAAGCTTTTAATTACACTCTAGACTACAGAACAAATTTTGGGCTTCTTTGTCCCTCATTTGTGGCCCTTCAAATTCTGACCCTCTTTATCTTTTGTACTTCATGTCCACATTCTGCTTTCACAAATCAGCCAGCAACACCAAGTGACTGTCTTATGTTATCTTACCACACTGGGCACCTCCATAATTTTCTCTGCCTTTGCAATGCCTGGCTCTTATGTTATTATTCTCCTAAAATTGTCTCTTCTTTTCTCAAATAAGCCACATCAGGCCACTTTATTTCTTTCCTTTTCCAGATGGATAAAACTAATTCATTTAGTACTTGAAGAAAATCTACCTTCTGGAACTTTTCATACTATTTAATTTTTCAAATTACTTAGCTGCTTACATGTACTTATTTTACCTTCTCAACAAGAAGGTAAGTTAACCCAGAACCAGAACCATGTCTGGTACATCATTTTCCGACTCAACGCCAAAGATGTCTATTTTATTTAATAAAGTTTCTTCGCAGAGCCTTCAGTGCAGAAGTTTTGTTCTACCCCCTTCTTATGTTCCAGTGACATGTGTGGATAACCCACTTTGTGCCCATACATCAGCAGCCTCATGGGACCACTTCTGGTAATCAAAGGTAAAGGGGTGGATTGTTCCCTGCCTCCCCTTTTAGTTGCATTATCCTCTTTTACCCCAGATATTGCGTAAATGTTACAAAGAACCATTTCTTTCATGAGTTACCCATAAGAGACCTTAACATACACTCAAAATATGCATAATGAAAGCTTTGAAGAGGACTGAAAAGGTAGGAAAAAAACATGTACCAGAGAGAAACAGGTGTTTCTTTCTGGCTTAAACGCCAGCTGTGCCATTTTGAGGCTTCACGGCCAGTAGAGGGCAAGAAAATAGTCCACACTCTGCTTCCATTTCCTGCACACCTAAGGAAGTCACCTGATAACCTTCCAAGAGAGGGCCTACCTCAGCAAGTAACGCTCTGTAGGGAATAGGCTACATTCATCCGGCAAACATCACTTCCGCTCACAGAGGGGACTCTGATGGCGGTCACAGAGTAAAAGTAGCGCATTCGAACGAGAGAACATATTTGTTTTCACGCCAAGTAGTATTTATTGTCTTTAAGGTTAAAATAATAAGGTATGATTTGTTTTATTGCACTTATATTAATGTGCACAATTAACCAAAAAGCCTTGGACATGGTAAATTTCTTTCTTTATTCCAGCATTTTAAGAAGTTAATGCTCTATTGATTCATTGTGTGAATAATATAATCTGGAATATCATTCTTCAGTATGTCATCAAAAAATTAAAATATTATGCATTCTGCATTATATGTTTTAAGAAGTTACGGTTGGAATATAGACAGTATTTTATTGGCTTAAACTTTTAAACCTTGATTATATTTATTGTTGTAAGTCACACTGTAAAGTAATAAATGATAAAATTTCAGATATGAAATCTTTTAATTGGCTCTTTAGAGGAGAAGAAAAGGGAATGCATAAAGTCTTACCAGAAGCAGCCTAACCATTATGAAATAAGGCCAAATTATCTTATTTTTTTTAAAAAAAGGCCCCAAATATTGGCTCCGGTGTTTTAGCAAAATGAAAGCTGAACTGTTAAAGCTAAACTTAGATCTTCACACTGGATAATGTTATCGAAAACTCTGGGACTTAATTTGGCCTTCCTGCTCTTAGGAGAGTAACTATAACAATAATAACAACAATTAATAGTTACCATGTATCTGGCACTGTTTTGAAACATTTAATATATTAACTTGTTTCATCCTCATGAATGTCTTATGATACTATAGCCATCCCCAGTTTTAAAGATAAGGAAATTGCAGCAAAAGGATGTTAAGTACCTTGCCCAAGGTCATACACACAGCAAAAGGGTGGACAGCTGGTATTTCAACCCAGGCAGTCTGGCTCTAGCATCTGTGTTCTTAAACACAATGTCAAACCACCTCTTAAGAATGTGCCTTTCTTTATGATGAATGAAATAAGCCAGGCACGGAAAGACAAAAACCATATGTTCTCACTTCTATGTGGAATCTAAAGCAATCCATCTCATAGAAGCAGAAAGTAGAACAGTGGTTATCAGAGGCTGGAGAGTGGGAACAATGGGAAGATGTTGGTCAAAGGGTACAAAGTTGCACTTAGACAGGAGGAATAAATTATAAGTATTTAAGGTTATTGATATGTTAATTAGCTTGATTCAATCATTCCACACTGTGTGTGTATATATAGATGGATAGATAGGTCATATATATACATATATATATATATATATATATATATATATCATAACATCATGTGGACCCCATAATTATATGGACCATTATAATTATATGGACCCCATAATTATTTTGACTATATAATTTGTCAAAAACATTTTTAAAACAATGTAAAGCATAAAAACATAATATATCCTGCTGTGCTACAGAACTAGTAAGACTGGAGACTCCACTAACCATTATTTATTTCCTCCTTCAGACACCTAATTCTTCAGCCATCACACAGCCAAATATCACCAAGACTAAACCAATGTTTCCCAAAGGTGACTGAGATGGTTTAAGGTTAGATATAGATTTTTAAAAATTTAATACTGCTATCGTCTGAATGTTTGCTCCCCACAAAACTTACATGTTGAAACCAAATCCACAATATTGTGGGTACCTAAGAGGTGGGGACTTTGGAAGATGATTAGGTCAGGGAGCTCCCCTCTCATGAATGGGATTAGTGCCCTCGTTAAAGAGGCATTTGTTCATTCCTTCCACCATGTGGAGACACAGTCAGAAGGTGCCATGTATGAGGAAGAGGCCCTCACTAGACACTAAATCTTTCAGCCTCTTGATCTTGGACTTCCCTGCCTCCAGAACTGTGAGAAATAAATTTCTGTCATTCAGTGACCCAGGTTATGATATTTTTGTTATAACAGCCAAATGGAATAAGACAAATAGTTATATATTTATTTTATATGTATTAAGAAATCAGTATAATTAGCACATCGAAAATGATGATTTTATAAATATTACTGCTTGAATAAGACAATAAAATAGTGAATAATTTATATCATTTTAAAGAAAAACTATTAAGTAAATAATAGAACTAATGGTAAACAAATTGAACAAATGCTAAGTTAAGAATTAATGGTAGAAATGTTGAAGACAGCATGTGTCTGATGGAAGCTTGCCAAACATCAAGTTCAACAGTGCTCTTCTCTCTGAGCTAAATTTCCGCATAGACCAGGCCTGGAGTGTTCCAGTGAAACTGGGGCAGGATCACTAGATCTGTGTTATAGTATGGCTGGCCCTCCCCATCATTTTATTATATAAAACTATATACAAGTTTCTCCAGCGGTAACTACCCAGGACCACCAAGACAGTTATCCCCATTACTGTGCCGTGGCTTGGGAAGCCATTATCCATAACCCCATACAAAGCACAGTAGGACTAGTCTCTGCCATCCTCAGAACACCTAACCAGGCCCTTTGGTTAAGGCCTGAGGAGCAAACAGACGGAAAAGAAAGGACAGATGAAAAGACTCTGAAGCTGGATGACTTTTGCACTTTACTGTAGATACTGAAGAAGGGAAGTGATACAGCGTGGATGAAAAAAGGGTGCAAGAACCTTGAAAAGGTATGTATCAGATACTCTTTTCAATAGGTTAAAAAACAATGCAAGGCAAGCCACATAGTCATGAACCCTGAACTACAACCTGGATATTTGAATGGCCAGTTCAATGCTCTGTCTAGCCCCATTTTTGGAAAGGCTTCAGGCTTTAATGGAAGTTATAGTTGGAAAAGAGGCATGTTTAAATTAAGTCAGATGGAAGCACTGCTGTGCCAAGTCACAGATATAGCACACGCACAGTGGCTGGCAATCATGGAAATAATTTCTGCTGAATAGGTTATAAAATAAATAGGCGACTGCAGGACACTCTCTGAGCAGTGTCATTTCATGACGTCGGATCCAAAACCCTGAGCATTTTAGTGGGCTGGCAGGGAAAGGAGCTGAAATTTACCTTGTCAAAATGTTTATTGGAATACCGCTACTTTGTTATAACATTGACTAGTTCTTTCTTCAACTTAAAAGCTGAGTAAGATGGTTTCTTCAAAAGCAAGCTACAATGCCCATATTCTCCCCAATGGACTATAGTATCACTAAATTAAAAGGCCACTTTTGTCCTTAAGGTGTTCCGCCCATGGTCGGGGCTACATAAACATTGGTTGAATTGAATCAAATTCATTATAAGGGTTGAAACACCTGTGCAGGGATAAATGAAAATCATCTAAGTACGAATGAAAGAAAAAAAATCATAAAATAGAAAAGCATTTGTATTTCTAGCAGTTTATATTTACTTCTTTTATAATCATCTTTTGAGAAAGTCATTAGCATAAAAATAATTTTAGTCTATAATGACAAAAATTACGCCAAAAGCATTATAACTATGATTGCTTAGTGATTCTTAGTCATACATTTTACCTTTTGATTGGTATTTTAACACATAATGATGCTATTAAGAGACATATTAGCCCACCTTTTGACTCCATACAATCCTCTTTAAACAAGCTTTATATTTATGAAATGCCACTAGACATAAATTTTCTGTTAAGTTCTTCTTTGCATTCGTATTTCCTTCACTTTGTTTCTAATATTCCATAAAAAATTATGAAACCATATTATATGGTATCAACAAGCATCTCAAATAACAAAATCCAAGTAATCACAACTCTCAATAGCTGACATTCTTTTTAGTTTTTATTCCTCTTTCCCCTTCTTAATAATCACAGGAATGTAAGAATATTTAATTTAAAAATCACAATTTCACAACAAGTAACTAATAATGCTAATTTTGTGATTCTGAATGTAATCCTGAATCTTGCATGATTGCTTCATTGAAAATCATCTCTTCTATGTCTTCCATGTAATAAAAGAATAACTGTCTGTGGCCTAAAATTTGAATGATTTATATCATGTGGTTTCAGGTCTTCCCAGCTCTTTTCAGCAAGAAATTTTTTAGCAAAGCAAACTTCATGTGGAGCCAGGACTAAGAGGACCCTGAATGGCACTGAGAAAATTATCAAAGGAAACGAGACCATTTTAACGGTAACAGTTTTCTCAGGGTAAGTACAGAAACTTTTTTCCCCTGAGTTCCACAACTACAACCTACTTAATCATTTGAGGTACACTGTATGACTGCGCAAAAAAATTTACTTTTTCCTCACACCTTCTTTGGGAGGAGTATAATTCCCCAATTAATTGATTTGACAGTCAAGTCGCTGCTTGAAAGAAAATCTAAAATTCATGGTATTGGCTTTGGGGCCAAATGTAGGTGACCAGGAAACTTCTTCTTTGCGAAGATTATCCTTTCGTGTTCCATGATTGAATTCTGGGACTGAAGAGAAAACATGATGTAGCGATTATCACAAGATTTAAGACTTAAGTCTGATGCTGTAAAAGTGTACAACTTTGAGGGGATGGACGTGTTGTTTGGAGTAGGGGTGAATACATTCTGTGGGCAGAAGAAAAAGAAGTTAATATTTGTTGCCCAGAAAACAAATTGTGGGTAGTTTGTATTATTATTCCACAAATATCCATTCTCCCCCACCCTAACACTGAAGAATTATGAGCGTCCATCCCATTGATACTGGCTTGATTATGTGATTTGTTTTGACCAAGGAAATGAGATAGGACATGGCATACACTTTTTTCACACAGCAGCTTTAAACATGCTTACACATTTTGGTTTGGTCTCTTATTTATTCCCTGCTACCATGAGAAAAATATGACCCTGTTAACCAGTGTTTCTTCAGCCTGGATCTCAGAATGCCAGATATATCGAACACACCTAATGCACTCAGGGCCTGGAGAAGAGATGCCTCTGCCATCCCACAGACCTGTGAATAAGCAATAAAAACTTTGTGATGTAAGCCATTGAAGTATTGTGGGTTGTTTGCTATTCAAAATTATCACAGAAAATCTTACGAATACACAAGTTCATGAGCATCAAATCAGCAATCTGCACATATAAGAAGGCAAAAGTCATATTTCACCTGATTTCATCTGATACTGCCCTCTTTATACTTTCTTCCATTTTTATATATTTTATATGCTCCATCATATATTGCAAAGGCATACTTTTGCTATTGTCTGTTGTTTTTACTATATGTCCCTACAACATCCAAGAAGCTACAGAAGATTCATAAATAAATTATTGACCTCATGAGTTCAACCTAGAAATTCTCCCAGACATACTTTATAGACATTTAATCTGAGAGGATTTGTCTTTGTATGGTAAATTAGGAAGGCATTGGTAAAAACTGCACACTAGCTGCTATTTTAAGTTGGTGAGCTAAAATACAAAACAACAATACTTGTAATTGAATTTAGTAGGGCTCTCGTTATTTAATTATTATTCCACTATATATTTTATCTCATTATGTCAACACTTTTAGTTAAGATGAAGCATCTTCTGTTTTACAATAATTCTAAATATCACTAATCAAAACTAAGAAGAGAAAATTGTTGATAAATCAATCAATCTAAATGAAAGAAGGGAGTCAGGGCAGATAATAGAGTTTTGGGATGTACAAGTTCTCTTCTAGCTGCTCACAGAATTGCCTAAAGGATCAGGCTGGCCCAAGAGCATCTTTCCATGCCAAATTATACAGCAGAGAACTGAAAACACAGCTGGGATGCTTGGATTATGTGTGTGACAAACCCCCGAGGAACTGCCAGCCAGATGCCTGCAGTAAAGCCAGTGTTCCTTGCGTAGCACAGACATGAAACTAACGATGCATCCCATGATGCAGCCATTAAGATAAAACCATCTGTGGGTTTATTTATTCACCATTTTGTCACTTATAGATGTACATTAAGAAAAAAAACATGACAGAGAAAGCGATTTACATGAGAAGTTTATTAGTACGTAGACATGGCCTAATGACTACTTGTCCAGAAATTTGAAACTCTCTATCACTCTGCTGTCTCATGTTGCAACATCCACACTCTTGTGTGTGTGACCCCAGTAGCTTAAAAAATTAAACCATTGGCAGCAATGAGTAAGCTATCAAATTAATTAATTTTTAGTGTGAAATATTGATGCAGTACATAAGAGGACTTCAGGGAAGTCAATCTTAGATTAATGTCAATAGTTTTTAAAAACAGTGGACAAATGGCAGTATCACACAAATGGCTAGGTTGGTTCCCATCCAGTCAAAAGATAAAAAACTGAAAAATTAGTGTGGTCCAACCATAGCCAACTTATTATTGTTAGTTGTCAGTTATATAATAGTGATTTCAAAACAAAAGTCTTGTTCTTCTAGAAAGTTAGAATTTTATTTGTATTTATTGCAAAGCAATATTTTCATTTAGATATTGTTGCTATAATTTTTCCCTGCAGAAAAATATTCCCAACAAAGTATTGCAGAGATTTATTTTATCTATACCATAAGCAAGTGAATGTTTTATAAATTATTACAATTTATTAAATGTTTTATACAATTTTATTATTTAATTCCATTAACTATCCTGTGTGTATTAGATAATGTCATCTGCACTTAACCATGAGGCACCCAAGACCTGGACATATCAATTTCCCTGTCCTCCCATGTCATTGCATAGATGGTAACTGGAAGAGGCTAAACTTGAATATATGTATTTTCTAATCAAATTGACTTTCCACTATGTGAAGAGAAGATTTTATTTACTAGTTTAATGATCATGTTTGTCTTCTTCATATGAGTATTACATAGACAAGGCAAAATTAAATACCCACTACACACAACATATATGTTGTAAAGTTTTAAACGAGGTGTTTAAACAATGTTTTAAAATGTACATATCAGACAAAGGAAATCTTGACAGTTTTTATGTTTAGAATCTTGGTTTCATAGCAGAGCTATTTATGTTAAAACTTATTGCAATTAGAAAATTCTATAGTATTTAAGACAATTATTGCTACAGTCTGAATGTCTGTGTCTCCCCAAAATTCATATGTTGAAATCCTAACCCCCAAGATCTTGGTATTAGGAGGTGAGGCCTTTTTGGAGGTGATTAGGTCATGAGGCCAAAGCCCTCATGAATAGAATCAATGTCCTTACAAAACAAGCCCCAAAAAGTTGCCTTGCCCCTTCCACTATGTGAGGACACAGTAAGAAGGTGCCATCTGTGAGAATATGGGCCCTAACCAGACACCAAATCTGCAGGAGCCTTGGTCATGGACTTTCTAGCCTCCAAAACTGTGAGAAATGTCTATTTCTACTCAGTTTATGATATTTTGTTATCGCAGCCGGAATGGACTAAGACAGCTATTTCACTTAAAATTTGTTTGGCAGAAAGATGCAGATAAATAAAACAGAATAGCTTAGCAATGTTTCAGAAAATGTAAGCTTTTTCTGTGTAACCATCATTTCTCTCTCTCTCTTCTGGAGAAAAAAATTACTACTACTTTAATCAACTGGTTTAAATATATTAATCCATATATTTACTTTATTCAAAATGACAGAAAACATGATGTTCTAGAGGGCTGTGATTATAAAAGATCAATTTATATAAAAATAAAAGATAATATAATAATACTTCAATGAGTATTGCTAAGAGACAGGAAGAGTATTTTCTACTTAGTATATAAAATGTAAAACATGGCCAAACGTGGTGGCTCACACCTGTAATCCCAGTACTTTGGGAAGCCGAGGCGGGCAGACCAATTGAGGTCACAAGTTCAAGACCAGCCTGGCCAACATGAAGAAACCCTGTCTCTACTGAACAGAAAAATTGGCTGGGCATGGTGGCATGCACCTATAATGCCAGCTACTTGGGAGGCTGAGGCAGGAGAATCCCTTGAACCTGGGAGGTGAAGGTTGCAGTGAGCTGAGATCACGCCACTACACTCCAGCCTGAGAGAGCAAGCAAGACTCTGTCTCAAAAGAAAAAATACTAATAAAACATTTCCTTTTCAATCATGACTCATTTTATCTATAACTTAAAATCATAAATCTATTCCTTGGAACTCTGGGAGAAATACATAATATATCCTCCCAAGTGTGAAGGAAAAGTCTGTGAAAATTATACACTTCAGTTTTTTCTCAAAGTTGGTAGCCATCACAGCTATTGTAACAAGAGCTACCTTACAAGGCAACAAGATTCTCTTTTGGCTCCTGTCTGACATCTTTTTTAGATTCCTCCTTCCTCCCCTCAATTTTTCTCCCCAACGGGCTAGATTCCTTTGCTTACAGGGTCATTCCTCCAGGAGGTGTATATTATCTCTGTATGTCTATGATTTGATATGAGTCTTGAGCATAAAGGCCCCCCAGACCTAGAGAATTCATATTTTAAGAGGTTTATTATAGACTTGTATGTTTTTTATTTAATTTGGAGTAGGCAGTCTATTTATATTTTTCAATAACTGGGAATCATAAAGATATTTACTGTTATGTGTCTGGTTTCTACCTTGTTCCCAATTTCTCCTGTTCCCATCCATCCCACCAAAAAAAGCTCATTTTTATTACTCTCTTATGTTTTCTTTTAGATATATTATAAGCATATGTAAGAAAAAATAAATATGTATTCTCTCTCCTTACCCATTATTTTTTACTAAAATAATAGAGTACCATATATAAAGTTTTTTATGTTGTCTTTCTTAAAAGTTCACAACATGCTTTGGATATTTTACAATGAACTACATAATAGATTTTTCTTTTAAATTGCTACATATTTACTTTATTTATGTTAACAATATAAAAGGTGGATATGTCTCCAAATTAGTTTAAATGTCAAATAGAATAATAATACATAATTAAGTTACACAGTTTTATCAGATTTTTTTCTAATGGTGAGCAAATTTGAGTCTATAAGGTGACAACTATAAGTGAAAAGCAATCGTCCTTAAATGCAAGACCAAACACTTTTGTTACACACTCAGAAGTAAACAAAAGATAATGGCTATTTTTTGAGAATGGTTACATTTTCAGCTAAGATAATCTAAGTTTTATTCAAGTTAAATATATCACCTCTTAACAATTGCATCCTTATGGTTACTACATTCATGATAACGGCTATTTTATGTAATAACACAAGTTATAAAATAATGTGTAGATGTGCTTAAACTTTCCAATCTAGAAGAAAAGTCAGCACTACAATGTAAGGAACACCAGCCTGCAATTCCATTCAAACTTTCTTATGAATTATAACATACTGTACACACAGGAAACACACCTATTGAAAAATCACCTTCTCTATAAATGTCTAGTCTATAAATTTACCGTCACAAAGTGAACACATCTGTATAACCAGCATTCTAATAAAGAAATGAATGAATAATACCAGCCTCCCTAAGGCCGCCCTGATGAAAAGAACAAGCAGTGGTATTATACTGACTGAAAACAGAACAAATATTTCTTATAAGAAGTTGAAGGAAAAAAAAAACTACTATAATCCTGAAATATTAACTCTAATACTTCATTCTCTGGCTATACCCTACTACCTTCTCAGCTTTCATACTAAATGCTATAAAAACAATTTATGTTTAAAACCAAGGAAATTGCAATTTTCAACAATGGAATATATATGGGAAGAACACATAAATCCATATTCCCATTCCCAAGAGGAATAAGCTCTATACTAATTTGTGCTCAGAATTTAAATCCCAGAGACTATACCCTAAATAGAGATCCAGGAATAGTGTCAAGGCTTCTGGTGGGTACCATCCCTCAGCATCTTTTGGACACCTGTGCAAAAATAACAATAATAATGAGGGAACTTAACCACACTGAATATTGTAGTTTTATGCAAACTGTTTTAAGCACTTTACATGATAATCTTATTTAATCTTTGTGTCAACTCTTTGAGGTAAGAATAATTATTATTCAAATTTTAAAGACAAGAAAGTAAGGCAGAGAGGAGCTAGTTATATAAAACAATTAAAAGTGTGTCATCCAGCTTGGAAAAGCCAGGATTCAAAACCAATCAGTCTTATTCTAGCCGATCAGTGGCTCAGAAAGTGTCTGTCAAGGGGGTCTAAAAATTCCAAGAATCAGCCTTACAAAAAGTGGTGGAATATATGAGAGACCTCAGTCAATTTGGTAACAGCTTATGACAGAGCTCCAGACTGAAGGGTTCAGGGAACTGGAGTACAAATCAGTATTCAGAGTCCCAAGAAGATTCAGCAAGAGCCGTATTGGGCTCTTCCTCATTTATTCCATTGTGATTTCCCTTTAAAGTAGTTTTAGATACAGAGAGTCTCCCTGATTGAAGCTATTTCCCTCCAGCAACTAGTATTCTCTTACTCTATCGCTAACACTGGGCTCTTGGTAATAATCGGCTCCATTTATTTTCATGATTCTTGCTACTGAAGTATTATTCTAAATTGACTAATGAATATACCCTTTCCTATTGGAGGAGATCATTCCCTGCCTTCTTGTATTAGTCAACGTTGGTTCGAGTAACAAACCCTTATATTTCAGTGGCTTTAGACAACAGAAGTTTATTTTATTATCATAGAATCAGATGTGGGTAAAGTAGCCTTTCTCCTTTTTTTAATTATGCCATTTGGTGCTGGTGGGTTTGAGGTCACCATGAAAGAATGAGAGAACGACGGGAGAAACACACCTACTGCAAATCACCTTGTGCTCTAAGTCCTAACTGCAGTTTAAGCTGAGAAATATAGAGGCATATATTTAGTAAATCGTATCTGCCTACCACATGCAGTCTGACCCTTCAAAAGATAAGGAAATTCCTGTTACCCTTACTTATTCTGGAGTATTGATCTTAGCATTCTGGTTGGTAAATCGTAAGTCTCGAATTTCATGGACCATTTCTCCTAGGAGGCCTCTGAGCTCTTATACAAGTTGTATTTCTCGTAGGGAATGCTATGGACATGACCTTCTGCAAAAAAGCTACACTTTAATGTAATTTAAATTAATTTAATTTTATAATTCAGAGAGCTGGGAACATCTTTTCCATCATTTTCTTCTGATGCCAGTGATAAAATATTATAGCTGTTGGAGATACAGTAGCCTGGAAAATACACTGATTGAATTCTTCCAACAAAATGCTTTGGTTCTAAATTTCCATGACTTTTACTGATTACCACTCCATAATTTCTGATCAGTTTTTCCCACTTATGTTATTACATACCTCCTAGTCACTGGATCATTTTACTTTTTAATATTTTCTGATCAGTTTTTCCCACTTAGGTGATTATATACCTTTCAGTCATTGGCTCTTTTTACTTTTTCATATTTTTTCTACTTAATTCCTCAAGTGAAATTTATAATAGTTTCATATCTCTAATATGGGACTGTACTGGCGGAGAATCTCCTTGCATCCTTGTGTTTATAGTAGTCTTAGAAATTTTATCTTGACTTATTGCATTCAAAATTCATTATTTGGGGAGAGATATCCTCAAGATGACTGACTTGAGACACACAGCAGACTTGCCTCCTCCACAAAAAAAGACCTAAACATCAAGTACATAACTAAATGTCAAACAGAGCCTCTATGGGAAAATTCTAGAATCCAGCAGGGTAGCAACAGAGACCCTCTGAAGTTCAGAAGCTTAAGATTGCAGCACAGTGAGGGAAGCAAGGCAGCTGGCCAAATCAACTCGAAGCCAGGAGAGACTCCCCCTTGCAGGAATTAGGTCAGTAAGAGGTCTTCAGCAGTCCACATTCCCACCACAGACAGCTGCAGCCCAAGCCACAAAAAAAGCCCCTCAGCTCTCACAGGCCCTGAGGATAGTATAAGGAGCTGCCAGGACATCACACAACTGCATTGTTTCAGAGAAGGAATTAGTGCAGGTTCCCACCTTTCAGTGTCCAAGTTGCTGTAGCACACCACTATTTTCTGAGTAAAGCCCATACTAGACTACATCCTGCCCTGAAGCCAAATAGCTCTTGCATTTCCAAATCCTCAGGGACCCACAAAGATCCCCCCACATTAGTGCAGAGAGCCTCAGGATTGCAACCACACCACCAGCACCTGAGCCCACGCAGTACCCTATAACCCAGGATAGAGACAGTCCAGCACATCAGGGAGGCTCTCCTGAGAACATAGATAACTAAACTGAAGCATGAGCTCCTCAAAGCCTGAAAGCCACCAACCTGAGGCCACTACCACCAAAAGCAAACCTACCTCCCTCCAGCACTGGAGTCACTGCAGGCTTATGCATCCCACTTGGGGTCTTGAGGAGCAGTCTGTCCACCTTGCCACCCATCCCATTGGTGCTGATGCACCCTACACAGAGGCTGACAGAGCAACCCCACTCCCCCACTGCCAATACTACCAGTGCTTATGGGTACCTCTCATAAACCCAAGGATAGACCCACCATTCATTGACACTACCAGTGCCCATGCACATCACTCTGGATCCTGAGGACTGGCACAACTGTCCTGCTGCCCCTAATGGTGTCTGTGCACCCTGCTCAGAGGCTCAAATATGAGACCAACAGGGGCCTGCCACCACTAATGCTGATACCTGTAAGTGCCATCTAGGGTCCTGAGGACCAGCTCATTTGGCACACCCATTGACAGCAAAGCCTTACCAGAGTATCCAAACAACCGCAGCCTGAGACACTAAAGAATTCACAGACATAACGTGTGTTGCTTATAGCCAAATAAATCATACTAAGACTATACTATGGTACCTAACCAGGAAGAAAATGAAAGCATTCTATCTAATTGAGATGATTGAAAGAGAGAAGTCTCTACAGAACCCACTCCATAAAACTAAAAGAAGTGACAATTACACAAGATGTGCACATATCAACATAAGGAAGTAAGAAACATTAAAAATTAAGGAAACATGGTATCTCCAAGAGAACACAATAGTTTTTCAGTAAGAAATCCTAAAGAAAAGGAAATCCATAAAATGCCTGAGAAGGAATTCAAAATCATGATGTTAAAGAAACTCAGCAAGATATAAGAGAATGCAGATAAACAATATTTAAAAATCAGGAAAACAATGATCTCAATGAGAAATTCAATAAAGAGATATAAAAAGGGACCAAACATAAATCACAGAACTGTAGAATTCAACAAACAAAATTTAAAAATACAATTGAGAGCTTCAACAAAAGACTAGATTAAGCAGAAGAAAGAATTTCTAAACTTGAAGACAAGCGTTTTGGAATAATCCAATTAGACTAAAAAAAAGAATTAAAAAGCATGAAGAAAACCTATGTGACACATGGGACACCCTCAAGTGAACAAATATTTCAATTTTGGTAGTTCCAGAAGGAGAAATGATGGAAAAAAGCAAAGAAAACCTATTTAACAAAATAATGGCTGAAAACTTCATAAGTCTTGCAAGAGATATTGACATCCAGATACAGGAAGCTCAAAGAACCACAAATGAATTGAACCCAAAAAGATCCTCTCCAAGGCACATTATAGTCAAACTGTCAAAAACCAAAGACAAAGATAATTCTAAAAACAGCAAAAGAAAAGCATCAAATCACATACAAAAGGATTATCATCAGACTAATCACAGATATCTCAGCAGAAAGAGAATGGGATGATATAGTCAAAGTGCTGAAAGAAAAAAAAAAACTGTGAGCCAAGAATACTATATCCATCAAAGCTATTATTCAAAAATGAAAGAGAAATAAAGTTTTCCATGAACAAACAAAAATTATGAGAATTCATGACTAGATCAGGCCTACAAGAAATGCTTAAGGGAGTCCTATATCTGGAAATGAAAGAACAATATCTACCATTGTAAAATACATGTAAGTATAAACATCATTGGAAGATCAGATAAATAAATGAAAAAGAAATCAAACATTGTTAGTACAGAAAGCCACCAAATCATTAAGATAAGAAATAAGAGAGAAAGAAAGAAACAAACAAAAATATATAAAACAAGAAGAAAACAATTTTTAAATGACAAGAGTAAGTCCTTACCTATCAATAATAAGTTTGAATGTAAATAGTTTAAATTCCTCAATTAGAAGATGTACACTGGCTGAATGGACTTAAAAGTGACTGAACTATATGCTACCTACGAAAATCTGACTTCACTTGTAAAGACACACATAGACTGCAAGTGAAGGGATGAAAAAAAGATATTCCATGCAAGTGGAAACCAAAAGCATGCAAGAGTAGTTATGCTTACATAAGAGGAAATGGACTATCATATACAAAAATCAAATTTAAATGATTAATAACTTAAATGTAAGACCTGAAGCTCTGTAACTACTAAATGAAAATATTGGGACAGCACTTCAGGACATTAGTCTGGACAAATATTTTGGGGGCTAAGATGTCAAAAACACAGGATACAAAAGTAAAAATAGACAAATGGGATTACATCAAGCTAAAATGCTTCAGCACAGTACAGCAACAATCAACAGAGTGAAGAGACAACTTACAGAATGGGAGAAAATATTTGCAAACTATCTATTTGACAGGGGACTAATAATTTTAATATATAAGGAACTCAAATAATGCATCAGCAAAAAAAAAAATACAACTAACCAATTAAAAATGGGCAAATGAACTGAATAGAAATATCTCAAAAGAAGACATACAAATGGCCAACAGGTATATAAAAAATGCTGGATATCCCTAATAATCATGGAAATACAAATCAACACCACAATAAGACATAAACTTATCCCAATTAAAATGTCTATTATCAAAAAGACAAAAAATAACAGAGTTTGGGAGGATGTGGAGAAAGGGGAACTCTCATACTCTGTTGGTGAGAATGTAAATTTGTATAGCCACTATATAAAACAGTATGAAGGTTGATATGGTTTGGCTGTGTCCCCACCCAAATCTCACCTTTAATTGTAGTTCCCATAATATCCATGTGTCTTGGGAGGGACCCTGTGGGAGGTAATTAAATCATGGGGGCAATTACCCCCATGTTGCTGTTCTCCTGATAGTGAGTGAGCTCTCTTGAGATCTGATGGTTTTACAAGGGGCATTTTCCCTTTTATTTGGCACTTCTCCTTCCTGTCATCATGTGAAAGACATGTTTGCTTTCAGTTCTGCCATGACTGTAAGTTTCCTGAGGACTCCCCAGCCCTGTGGAACTGTGAGTCAATAAAACTTCTTTCCCTTATAAATTACCAAGTCTCAGGCAGTTCTTTACAGTAGCATGAGATTGGACTAATACAGTAAATTGATACTGCAGAGTGGGGTGTTGCTATAAAGATACCCAAAAATGTGGAAGCGACTTTGGAACTGGGTAACAGGCAGAGGTTGGAACAGTTTAGAGGGCTCAAAAGACAAAAATGTGGGAAAGTTTGGAACTTCTAAGAGACTTTGAGGGCTAGGAAGACAGGAAGATGTGAGAAAGTTTGAAACTTCCTAGAGACTTGTTAAATAGCTTTGACCAAAATGCTGATACTAATATGGACAATGAAGTCCAGGCTGAGGTGGTCTCAGATGGAGATGAGAAACTTGCCGGGAACTGAAGTAAAGGTTGCTCTTGCTATGCAAAGAGACTGGTGGCATTTTGTCCCTGCCCCAGAGATCTGTGGAATTTTGAACTTGACCGGTGGAAGAAATTTCTAAGCAGTGAAGTGTTCAAGAGGAAACAGAGCACAAAAGTTTGGAATTTTTGCAGCCTGGCAACGAAATAGGAAAGAAAAACCCATTCTCTGGGGAGAAATTCAAGCTGACTGCAGAAATTTGCATAAGTAATGAGGAGCCCAATGTTAATCACCAAGACAATGGGGATGTCTCCAGGGTATGTCAGGGACCTTTGTGGCAGCCTCTCTCATCATGAACCTAGAGGTCTAGGATGAAAAAATGGTTTTGTGGGCCAGGCCCAAATCCCCCCTACTGTGTGCAGCCTAGGGACTTGGTGTCCTACATCCCAGCCACTCAAGCTGTGGCTGAAAGTGGACAAGGTACAGTTCAGGCCATGGCTTCAGAGGGTGCAAGCCCCAAGCCTTAGCAGCTTCCACATGCTGTTGAGCCTGCAGGTACACAGAAGTTAAGAACTGAGGTTTGGGAACTTCTGCCTAGATTTCAGAGGATGTCCAGACAGAAGTCTGCTGCAGGGCAGAACCCTCATGGAGAACCTCTGCTAGGTCAGTGTGGAAGGGAAATGTAGGATCACAGCCCCCATACAGAGTCCCCACTGGGGCGCTGCCTGGTGGAGCTGTGAGAAGAGGGCCACCATCCTCCAGACCTCAAATGGTAGATCCACTGACAGCTTGCACAGTGTACCTGGAAAAGCCACACTCAATGCCAGCCTGTGAAAGCAGCCCAGAGTGGGACTGTACACAGTAAAGCTACATGTGTGAAGCTGCCCAAGGCCCTGGGAGCCCACCTCTTGCATCAGTGTGACTTGGATGTGGGACATGGAGTCAAAGGAGATAATTTTGGAGCTTTATGATGTGACTGCCCCACTGAATTTTGTACTTATATGGGGTCTGTAGCCCCTTTGTTTTGGCCAATATTTCCCCATTTTAAATGGGTGTATTTACCCAATGCCTGTACCCCATTGTATCTAGGAAGTAACTAACTTGCAGGCTCATAGGTGAAAGGGACTTGACTTGTCTCAGATGAGACTTTGGACTTGGACTTTTGGGTTAATGCTGGAATAAGTTAAGACTTTGGGGGACTGTTGGGAAGGCATAATTGGTTTTGAAATGTAAGGATATGATATTTGAGAGGGGCCAGGGTGACATGATATGGTTTGGCTGTGTCCCCACCCAAATCTCATCTTGAATCGTAGTTCCTATAATCCCCACCTCTGCTGGGAAGGACGCAATGGGAGGTTATTGAGTCGGGGGGGCAGTTACCCTCATGCTGCTGTTCTCATAATAAGTGAGTTCTCCTGAGATCTGATGGTTTTGTAAGGGGCTTTTCCCCCTTTTGCTTGGCACTTCTCCTTCCTGCCATCATGTGGGTAAGGATCTGTTTGGTTCCCCTTCTGACATGATTGTAAGTTTCCTGAGGCCTCCCCAGCCCTGCAAAACTGTAAGCCAATTAAACCTCTTTCCCATATGAATTACTCAGTCTCAGCCAGTTCTTTATAGCAGCATGAGAATGGACTAACACAAAGATTCCTTAGAAAACTAAAAATAAAACTACCATGTGATCCAGCACCCCCATTGCTGAGTATATATGCAAAAGAAAGAAAATCAGTATATCAAAAAGATATATGCACTTCCACATTTATGCCAGCACTGTTAACAAAAGCCAAGATATGGAACTAAATTACTTGTCTATAAACAGACTAACGAATAAAGAAAATGTGGTATATATTGTAATATTTTTCAGCAATAAAAAAGGATGAAATCCTGCTGATATGGTTTGGATCTGTGTCCCCACCCAAATCTCATCTTGAATTGTAATCTCCACGTGTCATGGGAGGAACCTGTTGGGAGGTGATGGGATCATGGGGGCGGTTTCCCCCATGCTGTTCTTATGATATTAAGGGAGTTCTCACGAGATCTGGTTGTGTGATAAGTGTCTGGGACTTCCCCGCTTCTCTTTTTCTCTCACCTGCCACCTCATGAAGAAGGTGCTTGCTTCCTTTTTGCCTTCCACCATAATTGTAAGTTTCCTGATTCCTCCCCAGCCATGTGGAACTGTGAGTCAATTAAACCTCTTTCCTTTATAAATTACCCAGTCTCAGGTATTTTTTATAGCAGTGCGAAAACTGACTAATACGCTTGTCATTTGCAACAACATGAATGAGCTTGGAGGACATTATGTGAATGAAACAAGCCAGGCACAAAAACACAAATACAGCATGTTCTCACTCACATTTGGAAGCTAAAAAAATGAATCTCCTAGAAGTAGAGAGTAGAATTGTTGTTACCTATGAGTGGGAAGTGTAATGGGGAAGAATAAATGAAGAGAGGCTTGTTAATGGGTACAAAAACACAGTTAGATAGAAGAAATGTGTTGTAGTGGTTTATAGCATAATGCGAGGACTATAGTTATCAAAAATTTATCGTCTATTTTAAAATAGCTAGAAGAAAAGATTTGGTATGTTCTCATCACAAAGAAATGATAAATATTTGAAGTAATGGATATTCCAATCACCCTGATTTAATCATTATACTTCATATGCATATATCAAAATATTACACGTACCCCATAAATATGTACAATTGTTATGTATCAATCAATCCAACAAACCATAAAAAAACAAGAAAGAAAGGAAGGAAATAAGAAAAGGGAACATAAAGTAAGAAATTAACATATAAGAGAAGAAATAATGTAAATGTATATTTTGCATATCTTAGCATTGCAAAAAAAGGAAAAAGATAAATAATACCAAAGGAAAAAAATTATTTGACTCCAAAGCTAAACAATATTAAAAACCTCTTTGTTAATTGCTTAAATGGAGTTTAATGGTAATTTCACCCAGATAAAAATGTCACTGTATCCTCCCCATGCAGAGAGACCAATTTAGTTAAGATTTCCCAAGAAGTTTGAGAGTAAACTCATAGATAGAAGTAGCGAGTTCTCCAGATGTATGCCTCTTCAGGATTAACCAGTGTTTCATAATAGTTAGGGCTCCAAATTCCAGAACCAACCAAATCCTTCAGAATAACCATTAGGAGGAAACCCAAATCAAATGGCAAATTCAAGAATTAACTTGGTCCCTGAATCATCGATGACTTAAGGACAAGCTAAATATGCTAAATATAAGACTGAAAGAAAAAGCATTAATCTGGATTGCTGTTCAGATGTAAGTATATATTTCAACTCAAACTAACTTAAGGCCAAAGACAATACAGTAGCCCAACATACCTGGGAGTCAAGGAATTGAACTAAATTTGAAGAAGGCTGAATGAAGGGATTCAAAAGATATCGTCAAGACCATGCCTCTTTATATATCTCTCTGCTATGTTTGATCTTATTATTAGACGTATTCCTTCCACATAAAATAAATTCCTGCAAACCTGATTGCTCCTGCTTTCATGCTGGAGAAGATCAATTGCCTATCTCCTGAGGTGGAAGTTTGTAGGTAGGAGGACTAGCCCTACCTGGACTGCACAAGATTATCATAGAATGAAAGAAGAGGAGTTCCCAAAGCAGGAGATTCTGATAAAACCTTTTTTTTTTTTTCATGTTTGAGAAAGCAAATAAGCCTGAGTTCTCTCTTCCTTTTATGGATTACCTAAAGTGAGTTCAAACTGGGAGACAATTATGAGGCAAGACGGCTGCCAATCATGGACAGTCACAGAACAAAGTACCTTCTTTGTGAAAATTATTTATTTAATTTTTCTTAGATTTATTACAGTTGTTTTATCATGAATATCTTTGCTTATATTTTCTTGTTAAATATCATTTTGGTTTACCATTTTTATCCTTTTGGATGCTATGTTTTCCTCTAACTGTATGTATGTATGTTGTTAATTTTACACTCTTATTATTTCTATACTATTTTTTAAAGAATCTTTCAAACAATGCAGCTGTGTGTGAGATTGGTCTACGCTGTAAGTTAGGGACATAAGGTGACTATCGCCTAAGTGATTCTGGCTCAGTTCAAATGTTCTCTGTACTAAGTTGGCCCTGATAAGACTCTTCTAGTAATTAACAGTACCTAGAAGAGTGCTTGTCAAATTTTAGATGTTCGAGACGTACGTGATGAGTCTATAACTGCTGTTCCTGGTTCTTCCATATATGCATTCCTTAAGTCTAAAATTATTTTACATATTCAGTGAAAGTAGATTGCTTCCTCAATTTGCAAATGAAGAGCTAATGGCAAGACAGGCAAAAAATCTCTCTGAAGACAATAAGTGATTGAACCAGGCTTATAATATGTGTAGATAGGTTATAATCTGATTGAATAGACATTTATTGGCGTGTACTGTATGGGAAGAATTTCGCTAGGTGCTAGAGCGATTGAAAGATAATTAAAACACTAGTCTTATCCATTCTAAGCATGCAGTCTAGTAGGAAAAATATGGAACAAACTGAACCATATTATAAAATAATTACTACTTAAAGTAACGAGAAAGGTCAGAGGAAGGTGTGATCCAATATAATGAACAGACATGATAAAGCTTTAGAACTGAGGTGACTTTCAACATTTCTTAATGGATAAATAAGACTTATGAAGGTCAAGAGGGGAGAATATCAGGCTAATGTAATAATACAAGTCAAAATTTAAACCAGTAATAAGGAAATTGGATACAGGGAAGAAATAGGTGGATGACAAAGTTGGCATTGCAAATTTATTAGAGTCTACGGATAGAAAAAAAGTGACTTTAGACTCATTGAACTTCTTGAGAAAAGACTTGGCATTGTTCCCCACATATTTTAGAATTTCTGGCTTGCACCTTCCCAGTATAGAAGAAATAGTTATTAAGATGAAAAAGTTATTAAGGGTCTTTCCCTCCTTCCCACTTGTCAATCCAGATCACTGGAAAAAACTGGTGGGGATAGTGACTGCCTGAACTCTAACATTTGATAAATAAACTCATTTTGACTTGACTCATTTCCTATTTGCTGGTCTCAGCTCTTTTTCCTGCTGCCTCAATTTTATAGATAAAAACCCCTATACTTGTATACAGTCCTAATTGAAATCTCCATTGACTATGCTAGGTGGCTTTGAAGATACCCAGCCATAATTCAATCAGATGACCCCAAGTTCTTAGTATCTAGTCTTATTTTCTCCATCCTTGTTCAAGTTTATACTCCAATCTCAGCTGGGCATCCTTTACACCCAAGTCTACCTCAGAGTATTTTCTTTTCTTCTATCTTTCCATTAATTTCATCCACCCCAATTTCATTCCCAGTGAATGACTAGAAGCATGCTACTGTACTCAAACAATGTTAGTTGCAATAACTGAAAAGTGTTTTTTGTGTCCCAACACAGGCAAAACAGAACTGGGCAATAATAGCATTCGGTTGTTTAGTTGGTGTATACTAAATAAGAGAAAATGTTCAGTACCTTTGGGACATTTTGTTTGGATTCTAGGTCAGGAAAGATTTCTTTCTACCTCCTTAGAAAATGTAGGCATTTTAACTTGCTAATAATCATTTTATAAGCAATAAGTAATCTGTACTGGTACAAGCCTTACAGTTATTAAAGGTTGAAAATGTCCAAATAACAATCTAAACCAGTAAAGCTGACTAAATTATAAGAGTGTCTCAAAAGATGTATCTTCGATCAAATCATTACTTGCAATTCCAGTAACATATGCTGAAAGAAGAATTGTTCATATGTCAGATTTGGACCCAGATCATTTGTTTGACATTACCTAACTTCTTCGAAAACAAACAAACCATCACATCTCCATCTCTATTAGTGTTTCCTAAATGCTGAATGCAATCAATACAAGCAATTGCTCTTTAAATGATAATGCCATCACTTCCTCCAAATAACATGATGGACATAGGCTTTTTGCTTTCATCTTTGTTTGTAGTTCCAGCTAAGATAAGCATGGTATTTACACATCTCATTGCGGGATTATTTCCCTTGGAGAGAAATGTTTCAAACATGACATTGTCATAGAAGAATATCAACACACAATTTTTATATAGATGAAGAAAGAATCAAAGAAAGAGATGAATTTAGAAATTCTCAATTCAAGTGAATATTTACAGAAAGCTTTCTATAAAACTTTTCCTGATTAAATTTCAGGTATTAAATATTGTCCCAGTTAATTTTTTATAATTTACTTTTTAAACTATAATGTAGATAAATTCTGAGTGTGTTTAGAAAATTGTTTAGCTGTGGCTTTATTAATTATTGTAGTTTAATAAATTTGTACATCCAATGAAAACACCCAAAGCCTCATGAAATTTAAATAATATATAATAAAATTGTAAATGCATGTTTGTACTGCTTTAAGTCTAAAGGTATAGGCTTTAAAAATAAGAATTCACTTGTTTCTATTTGTTTTTCAAACTAATTCTAAATTTGTCTGGGTTGTCATGATCAAAAGTAACCTTTTCAAACTATGATGTGTGGTTCAATACTTGTATCTAAAACCAAAAAGAGTCTCTTATTGATCTATTGATTTCTGAGAGCAATTATGGTGGCTTCAGACATCAAAATTGCTATTAACTATGATATTGTTTGGGCAGTGGAAAAGTCATGCTATTCGTTAACATTCAGACTGATATCGATTGGATTTTTTTCAACAATAAACATATTAGACATCAGTGTTCAGCTATTTCTTTCTGACAGTTATAACCATAGCAAAAAGAAAGACTCAAAGCATGTATTAAATGACCATTCCCATCCCCAAAGCAAAATTAATTACTGCTTTATTTTTGTCCATTTAGTACTCTGCATATGCTTCTAATGGAACATTTATTGTGTAACAATTATGATTTATTTTTCTGCATGGATTCTAAGTTCTTTAAATTTCACTACCACTCTTAATAGATAGACTCTCATATATTCATCATGGAATAACTGTTTTCAAATGAATAAATTTATGGTGGACAAACAAATAAAAAAATGCAACTAGCAAAAACAAGCCTAGAGAGGCACGATCAATAAAACTTTGTGCAATGATTGAAAAGTTCCAGGTCGGTTCTGTCTAATACAGGAACCACTAACCATATGTGACTATTGCACACTTGATATATGAATTCTTCAAAATTGATGACTTTTGCCATCATGATTAATTAGTAAGCCCCAGAAGTGGGGGAAAAAAAGTAAAGTAAATGTGAAAGATAGTAATGGCCAATATGGTTGGCAACTGAAAAGCAGTGACTTATCAATCCATCTTGAAACCTGTGGGTCTCAGGCATAGAATTTCCAGAATGTCCTAGTCTAACTCACAATGTCCCAAGACCACCAAACCTCTTCCTGACCTGTTGAGATTCTGATGCTAACTTTTTCCTTTTGGACTCATTGCTGGGCCATTGATTGTTTTTAATTTGACATGCTTTCCTCTAGCTTAAGTAACTCATTCATTCAATAGTTATTGAGTATCACCTATATGCTGTTCAGTGTCCTAAATACAGGTACAGATCTGAACAAAACAGAAAATCCCTGCCTTCTAGAGCTCAAAACCAGAGAGGGGGAATATACAGTAAATGAAGAGACTATGTAATTAAAACACATTTTATGCTACTGAATGACAAGTGCTATGGAACAAAATACAGCAGGAATGCGGCCAGGGTGTGAGTGTGAGTGTGTGTGTGTGTGTGTGTGTGTGTGTATCCATGTGTAGGATGCAAGGGAATAAAATATATAAATATTTAAAGGAAAAGAGGCAGGTGTATGAACAGGAGTGGTGAGGCTTGGGTGGGAGTCTTTGAGGCAGAGGCATGCCTGGTTATTTTGAGGCAAGTCAAAAGTAATGTGTAGCTGGAACAAAATTCAATCAGGGATGATAGTAGGAGGTGGTTCAGAGAGGTAACAAGTGCCAAACAGTGTAAACTTTGAAGGCCATTTTAATGACTTTAACTTTTATTCTGAATGTGATGGAACAACTTTGGAGAAGTAATGTGAGTTTTGATAGAGTTACTCTGACATTCTGGCTACTGTGTTGAAATAAGACTGTGAGGGGTCAAGAGCAAAAGTTGCTTTTGCTTCTGTTTAGTAGTTCATGATTAGGAGACTTTGCAGTAGACCATGTAAGAAATGATAGCAGCCTAACCAAGGTAGTAGCTATGGAAGTGATAAGGAGGAATAAATTTCTAGATGTTTTTATGTACAATAAATGGATTGGACTGGATGGGTCTACTGGAGATGCGAAAAGAGGAGTCAGAGTTTTTAACCTGAGCAGGCAGAGCAAGATAATTGAATACAAGACTTCACCAGTTGTCCTCCCCACAAGAACATCACACTGAACAACTATACACACAAAAAAGCACCTTCATAAGAACCAAGCTAGGTGAGCAATCACATACCTGGTTTTGACCTCATATCGCTGAAGGAGTCACTGAAGAGAGTAGGAAAGAGTCTTAAATTGCCAACACCACCTGCATCCCATCCCCCAGGCAGTGGCCATGTCGCACAGAGAGAGAATCTGTGCACATCGGGGAGGGGAAGTGCCGTGATTGTGGGACATTGCACTGGAACTCAGTGCTGCTCTGTCACAGCAGAAAGCAACATGGAGGATAACTCAGCTAGAGACCACAAAGGGAGTGTTTAGACCAGCCCTAGCCAGAGGAGAATGACCCATTCCAGCAATCAGAACCTGAGTTCTGGCAAGCTTCACCATCCTGGGATGAAGTACTCTGGGATGCTAAATAAACTTGAAAGGCAGTATAGTTCACAAGGACTGTAATTCCTGGCAAGTCCTGGTGTTGTGCGGGGCTCAGAGCCAGTGGACTTAGGAGTCCTTGCACCACTTATACCCCAACCCAAGGCAGTTCAGCTTGCAGCTTGCAGCTCCAGGAGAAAATTCTATCTTCCACTTGAGAAAAGGAGAGAGAAGAATAAAGAGGACTTGGAACTTGGATACTATCTCAGCCACAGTAGAATAGGGCACCAGGCAGAGTCCTAAGTCCTCCCATTCCAGGTCCTAGCTCCTGGACAACATTTCTAGACACACACTGGGCCAGAAGGGAACCTACTGCCTTGAAGGGAAGAACCCAGTCCTGGAAAGATTCCTCATCTGCTGACTAAAGAGCCCCTGGTCCCTGAATAATGAGCAGCAATACCCAGGTTGTACTTGTCAGCCTTGAGTGAGACTCAGAGCTGTGCTGGCTTCAGATGTGACCCAGCACAGTCCCAGCTGTCATGGTTATGTGGAGAGTGTCCTTCAGCTTGAGAAAAGGAGTGGAAAGAGTAAAGGAAACTTTGTCTTACAACTTAGGTACAAGCTCAGCCACGTGGGGTAAAGCACAAAGTAGCCTCTTGAGGTTGCCAGTTCTAGGCCTTGGCTCTGGGATAGCATTTCTGGACCTCTCCTAGGCCAGAGGGGAGCCCACTGTCCCAAAGAGAGAGTCAGAAGCCTGGTAAAATTTACCATAAGCTGGCTGAAGAGCCCTTGAACCTTGAGTGAACATCAGCTGTAGCCAGGAAGTACTCACTGTGGGCCTGGGTCAGTAGTGGCCACGAGAAGAGACTCCCCTCCTTGTAGAAAAGGGAAGAATGAGCAGGAAGAACTTTTTGTCTTGTGGCTTGAGTGCCAGCTGAGCCACAGTAGAATAGAGCACCACAGAGATTTCTAAGGTTTCCAACTCTTGGCCCTGGCTCCTGGACAGCATCTCTGGATCTGCCCAGGGCCAGGGAGATCTTGCCATCCTGAAGAAAAGAATACAAGCCTGGCTGACTTTGACACCTGCTGATTGTAGAGCCCTAGGGCCTTGAGCAAACATAGGCAGTAGACAGGCAATGGTTACCATGGGCCTCAGGTGACAGCCAGTACTGTACTGGCTTCAGGTATGATCCAGCACAGTTCCGGTGGTGGAGGCCACAGAGCTGCTAGTGTAACCCCTTCACAGCTCCAGGCAGCTCAGCACAGAGGGGCGGGGGTGGGGGGGACAGAGAGAGAGAAAGAGAGAGAATGACTCTGTTTGGGAGAAAGTAAGGGAAGAGAACAAGAGTCTCAGAGAATTCTTCTGTATCTTACCAAAGACAACCAAATTTGTACCTCTGAGTCTGCAAGAGCCATGTCATTACTGGGCTTGGGGTGTCTCCTAATGCAGATATGGCTGCAGTGACCAAAAAGATAGATTATAATACCCAAGTCCCTTTGAATGCCTGGAAAGCCTTCACAAGATGAATGGATACACACAAGCCCAGAGTATGAAGACTGCAATAAATGCTTAGCTATTCAATGCCCAGAAAGACACCGACAAACATTCACAAGCATCAAGATCATCCATGAAAACATGACCTCACCAAACAAACTAAATAAGACATAAGGGACCAATTCTGAAAAGACAGAGATATGTGATCTTTCAGATACAGAATTCAAAGTAGCTGTTTTTAAGGAAACTCAATGAAATTA
Source organism: Homo sapiens (assembly GCF_000001405.40). Classification (NCBI taxonomy): domain Eukaryota; kingdom Metazoa; phylum Chordata; class Mammalia; order Primates; family Hominidae; genus Homo; species Homo sapiens. The sequence goes on along the minus strand of NC_000021.9, from coordinate 18,208,396 downwards.
AAGATAACACAGAGAAGGAATTCAGAATCCTATCACATTACTTTAACAAAGAGATTAAAATAATCAAAAAGATTCAAGCCTAAATTCTGGAGTCGAAAAATACAATTGACATACTGAAGAATGTTTCAGAGTCTTAATAGAATTGATCAAGCAGAAGAAAGAATTGGTAAGCTTGAAGACAGGCTATTTGAAATTGCACAGTCAGAGCAGACCAAAAAAAAAAAAGAAGAAGAAGAATTAAAAAGAATGAAACACACCTGCAAAATCTAGAAATAAACTCAAAACAGTAAATCTTAATCTAATTCAAGTTATACACCTTAAAGAGGAGATAGAGAAACAGATAGGGATAGAAAGTTTATTCAAAAGGATAATAACACAGAACTTCCCAAACCTAGAGAAAGATAATGTTCAAGTACAAGAAGGTTATAGAACACTAAGCAGATATAACCCGAAGAAGACTCCCTCAATAAACAAAGTTTTAATAGTCAAACTTCTAAAAGTTAAAGATCAAGAAAGAATCCTAAAAGCAGCAAGATAAAAGAAACAAATAAAATAAAATATATCTGCAATACATCTGGCAGTAGACTTTTCCTTACAGGCCAGGAGAGAGTGGCATGAGATATTTAAAGTATTAGAGGAAAAAAATTTTATCCTATAATACTATATCCCATGGTAATATCCTTTAAACATGAAAGATAAATAAAGACTTTCCCCGCAAAAAAAAAAAAAAAAAAAAAGCTGAGAGATTTCATCACCACCACCAGACCTGTCCTACAATACTGAAGGGAGTTCTTCAGTCCAAGAGAAAATGACATTAATGAGCAATAAAAAATTATCTGAAGGTATCAAACTCACCAGTAAGTACACAGGAAAACACAGAATATTATAGCACTGTAATTGTTATATGTAAACTAATCATATCTTAAGTAGAAACACTAAAAGTTGAACCAATCAAAAATAAGAAGTATGACCACTTTTTGAAACACAGTATAATAAGACACAAACAGCAAAAGGTTAAAAAGTGGGTAGATAAAATTAAAATGTTGAGTTTTTATTCGTTTTATCTTTGTTTATGCAATCAGTGTTGTCATCAATTTAAAATAATGGGTTATATGATAGACTGGATTAAGAAAATGTGGCACACATACACCATGAAATACTATGCAGCCATAAAAAAGGATGAGTTCATGTCCTTTGCAGGGACATAGATGAAGCTGGAAACCATCATTCTCAGCAAAGTATCACAAGGACAGAAAACCAAACACGGCATGTTCTCACACATAGGTGGGAATTGAACAATGAGAACACTTGGACACAGGGCGGGGAACATCACACACCAGGGCCTGTCAGGGGTTGGGGGCTGGAGGAGGGATAGTGTTAGGAGAAATACCTAATGTAAATGACGAGTTGATGGGTGCAGCAAACCAACATGGCACATGTATACCTATGTAACAAACCTGCACCTTGTGCACATGTACCCTAGAACTCAAAGTATAATAAAATAATAATAATAATAATAATAATAATAATAATGGGTTATAAGATATTATTTGCAAGCCTTATGACAACCTCAAATCAAAAAACATACAATGTATAGACAAAAAATTAAAAGTAAGAAAGTAGAACACCACCAGAGAAAAACACCTTTACTAAAAAGAAGTAAAGAAGGAAGAGGAGACCACAAAACAACCAGAAAACAAACAACAAAATGGCAGGAGTAAGTTCTCACTTATCAATAATAACAATGAATGTAAATGGACTAGATTCCTCAAGCAAAACACAGAGAGTGACTGAATTAAAAAAAAATACAAAGAAAAAAACACAAGAGCCAACAATCTGTTCCCTAAAAGAAACACACAACACCTATGAAGACACACAGAGACTAAAAATAAAGAAATGGAAAAAGGTATTTCACACAAGTGGAAACCAAAAAAGAGCAGAAGTAGATATACTTAAATCAGACAAAATAGATTTCAAGATAAAAACTATAAAAAGAGACAAGAAAGGTTACTATAAAATGATAAAGGGGTCAATTCAGCAAGAGGACACAAGAATTGTAAATATATATGTACCTACTACTGCAGTATTCTGATATACAAAGCAAATATTATTAAAGCTAATGAGAGAGATCAACTTCAATACAATAATAGTTAGAGATTTCAACACCCTACTTTTAGCATTGAACAAGTCATCCAGACAGAAAGTCAACAAAGAAACATTGGACTTAATCTGCACTACAGACCAAAATAGACCAATCAGATATTTACGGAACATTTTATCCAGTGATTCCAGGTTACACATTTTTCTCTTCAGCGCATGTATTATTATCAAGGATAGACTACATGTTAGGCCACAAAACTAGTGTTAAACTTTTAAAAATTGAAATTATATCAAGTATCTTATCTGACCAGAGTGGAATAAAACTAAAAATCAGTAACAAGAGGAATTTTGAAAACTATACAAATACATGGAAATTAAAAGTATGCTCCTAAATTAGCCAGGCATGGTGGCACATTCCTGTAATCCAAGCTACATGGGACGTTGAGGCAGAAGAATCACTTGAACGTGGGAGGCTGAGGTTGCAGTGAGCTGAGATCGCACCACTGCACTCCAGCCTGGGCAACAGAGTGAGACTCTATCTCAAAAAAAAAAAAAAAAAGTATACTCCTTAATGATTAGTAGGTCAATGAAGAAATTAAGAGAGAAATTTTAAAAATTCTTAAAACAAATGATGAAGGAAACAATGGACCAAAAATGATGGGATATAGTAAAATCAGTACTTAGAGGAAAGTTTTTGCTATAAGCATCTACATCAAAAGACTAGAAAAACTTCAAATAAACAACCTAACAATGCATCTTAAAGAATTAGGAAAAGAAGAGCAAGCCAAATGCAAACTTAGTAGAAGAAAAGAAATAATAAAGATCAGGCAGAAATAAATAAATCATTATCACGATCTAGTGAGAATTATCCCAGGGATACAAGGATGGTTCAACATATACAAATCAGTCAATGTCATACATCATATCAACAGAATGAAGGTCAAAAAACCATATGATCATTTCAATTCATGCTGAAAAAGCATTTGATAAAATTCAACATCCCTTCATGATAAAAACTGAAAAACTGGGTATAGAAAGAACATACCTCATCATAATACAAACCATGTACAACAGATCCACAGCTAGTATCATACTGAATGGGGAAAAGCTGAAAGCCTTTTCCCCAATATCTGGAACACCACAAGGAGGCCCACTTTCATTGCTATTATTCAACATAGTACTGGAAGTCCTAGCTAGAGCAATCACACAAGAGAAAGAAAGGGCATCCTAGTGGCACCTGTTAGGTAAACTACACCCTTTCTACAAAGTTTCAGTCTCACTAGAATTAAGCAATGTGGTTTTCTCAATGGACTTATAGCCAGGATTCTTTTGTGAAGGTATAAAATATACGTGACACTAGAGTTTTCTTTCTAAAAATTACAGGCTCGTTATGATCCCAGAAAAATAGTTTTCAGGGGTTCCTTTGTTTGTACCCATAAATGAATGAAGAAGAAAAATATTTAATATGGTATATATTTTGAAAAATTGAATATCTATGTTATTACATTAAGTAGGCCAAACTCTAGTGTTTCATCATTTGAAATTCACTCCAGGGTTATACTCAGGGGTGTTAAGTGATTTTCCAGATACAGAAACTCAGATGGAAGTAAGAAACTACAGTGGGTAACATGAGCTATGTTTCATATCAAAAATATGCCAAGTATCATAGAATGACAGAATCTGACATTTAATGTAGTTGCAATCCATTTGTGGAAGTATTAGTATCATTACTGACATTTATTTACCTATTTCCCGGATAACTGCAGTACTCATTTGAAAACAAGGTTATAGGTCTATGGTATGACCTATGGTATGACCTAGAGATAAGCATCCATCATGGCATCTTAAATAGTTGCCGGTAAGGGTTTCTGTTCCATTTCAATAGTTATACTAGTTTCTTAAAATATACAACATCTTAATTGGTAAGCTGCAGAGATGCTTCGAGATATTATCCTAAAGTTTTAAAAATTAATTTGTCAATAAAACACAAAAAAGAAGATGCAGGGTTTTTAAAAGATATTTTCAATAAGCTGATGTATTTAAGGTTTTTTTAGTCACAGACTCGCTAAATAATTATGCCTTGCTCAAAGTATTGCTATGAGTTCTTTCATTTCAAAATATGTTCTCTTAGCTATCACGTTAAGCAGTATTAAAAATGTATAACAATAGACTTTAATTAATTTGTTACTTTTAATAGAAATGTGTTTTACTTCATTTCCAAGATACCAAATGTTATAACAGCTTTTGAGTAAAAATGAGATGTTAGGTAATAAAAGACACTATGTTAGGTTATTTTAGCATATAAAGAACAGAAATAGAATTTGAAGATTTGTATCAGTTGTTTTCAAGGTGGCATTTTTCCTTGAGGGAATCACTTAAGATAAGAATGGAGTCCACAGATTAATATTTCATAATGATCAATCACAGCCATGTATTTGCTTACCTTTGCTTTGGTTCAAACTTCCCAGGTTATCTAAAACACCAGACTGCTTTTCTTTTAACTGAAATTATATCAGCCCAGTGGCCAGACTGAATATCTTATGTTGATCAGAAGCACATTAATATGTTCCTTTGATTAATGTCAAATTAGTTAGGCTTTATTTTCTAAATACTATATATTCGGTGAACAAAATCTTACCAAGTGTGAGGTAAATGAGAGAAAGTAGTAAAAAAATACTCTTGTGGTGAAAAACTTGGGAATGACAGACAGTGTTGTAAGTATAATTACAGACCCAAATTAATATAACTGAAAGCTTCTTTATACTTTCAATTGTAACAAGAAAATGGAATGTGTAGCTAGAAACAAAACTTAAAATTATAAATTAATAATGTTTTGATGGAGATTTAAATGCAACTTAGAAGAAACAGTGTTTGAAGTTTTAGAACGAACTGCATGCCTATTTATGCACACATTTTTACATGTAAGCTTTTTATTAATCACTTATGAATACTGCAGAAATTCTTTCAAAACTTGATTTTAAAAGTTATATATTAGCCCTCTAAGCTGACATCTTCCTCATATGTCAAAAGCTAGTGAATACTCAAATGGTTCCTACAGATCTTTGCTTGTCTCTTAGCTATTTCCCTTATCATGAAAACTTTATCTGAGCCAGAATCGTCTCAGATTTAAGCAAAACAAAGTTCTTGTAAACCCAGAAACACTAAATAATGTAAGTGAATAATTTTGACAATTTTAAAATTAGTTTGGTTTGCAAATACAAAAAAACACTGAATTTTAAACAGAGTTTCATTTAATAATTGGATCATTCTTTACCATCTAAACTACTATTTTTTATGTATATCAGACAGCATTCTCTAACAAAGATTTTTCGAGATGGATCTTCCTTTTAAATTATTCACGCTAAGAACTGACATTGAACGATAAGCTGGCTTTGGTAGATGTAGACGTAGCCAGCATATTTACTGTCTATGTTAAACTGTGCAGAATATTACACTTTTAAGGTCAAAGATGCACCAATATGAAAATTTGATGTCACTGTATTAAAAACCAAATGGTTTTTCCATTGTCTTCAGTTCATTTGGTTAAAAGTGAAATTTATATAAAATCACTAAGAAACATGATCAGTTAAGGACTAATTTTGTGGTTACATGCTGTTTTAGTCTGTTTGGGCTGCTGTAACAAGACACCACAGACTGGATGGCTTAAACAACAGAAATTTATTTTCTCACAGTTCTAGAGGCTAGGAGCCCACGACAAAAGGGCAGACTAATTTGATTTTTGGTGAGGGCTCTCTTCCTTGCTTGTAGACAGCCACCTTCTTTCTATGTCTGAAGACGTATGTATGAAGAAAGGCATGACCTTTCCTTGATGCATGTGCCAAGGGTGGAGAAGGGGTGAGAGCTTCCTGGTGCCTCTTTTCATAAGGAAACTAATTCTATTGAGTTAGGGTTCTACCCTGTGAACTTATTTAATGTTAGTGATTTCCTTACTCCAAATACAGCACACTAGAAGTCAATTTTGGGGAACACATGCATTCAGTCCATAATATATGCTCTCCTTTTTTCATCCACATTATCAATAAAACATTCTAACTTAAAATGTATTAAATGATTAATTTCAGAAACTATCCATTTCATTTTCTCAGAAATTATTTGAATACAATTTTCTTTTTATAACAATTGAAAGAAGCTTACATGGTAACCTTGTGGACTTTAATAAAAAATGTCTGTAGGCCGGGCGCCGTGGCTGATGCCTGTAATCCCAGCACTTTGGGAGACCGAGGCAGGCAGATCACGAGGTCAGGAGATTGAGATCATCCTGGCTAACATGGTGAAGCCCCGTCTCTACTAAAAAATACAAAAAATTAGTCGAGTGTGGTGGCGGTCGCCTGTAGTCCCAACTACTCAGGAGGCTGAGGCAGGAGAATGGCGGGAACCCGGGAGGCGGAGCTTCCAGTGAGCCGAGATCGCGCCACTGCACTCCAGCCTGGGCGACAGAGTGAGACTCCCTCTCAAAAAAAAAAAAAAAAAAAAAAGTTTTTAAAAATATGAACTTTATTCAAATGTGCTTCTGTCTTTTGCTGGTCTATAAGTCACAACACGTAACTCAAATTCTTTCAGGACACAACCTCTAAAATCCAAAATATTTTCTGCATTTAAAGAAGTCTACTTTTAGATTACAGATTAAGTCAAACAATTCATTATGTCAGTTGTTCACTGTTTTATTAGAAATGTTTCCTGTCCTAGTTTAATATACCAAGGAAAGAAAAAAACCTTCAAAATAAGTCTCTATGAAATGTTTGGTTGTACTTTTCCCTAGCCAAGGAAATTCACTTATCTTCTGGCCTTCAAACTAGAAGTCTTTTTTTTTTGTTATTAAATTAACACCAAATTAATAAGCAAAGTACCCTATGGGAACTGAGTTTAAATATAATGAGGCTACATTTTGATTACCTATTCTGAAGCAAGTAAATGATTTTGTACCATATAAGAGTTTATTAAAATAAAAATTTATATGAACATTTTAACAATTCCCCATTTATAAAATCTAAGCCCTAAAATTTTTAGGCAATAACATGCTTACAGTAGTGAAATAAAAAATAATTGCCAATAACAAAAAATAAGTAACATTTATAGTTAAGGAATAAACTCAGCTTCATTAATCCGATAGCCTGGTTCATATCTTTGTGTTCCTGAGAATAAGATGTTAACCAGATATTATTCAGATATTAAATATTACCTATTTTTTTTAGTACGACTGCATAACATATTGCCACAAACTGGGTGGCTTAAGACAACAGAAATTTATTTATTCACGATTCTGAAGGCCAGAAGTCTGCAATCAAGGAGTTGGCAGGGCTCTGTTCCTTCTGACGGTTCTGGGGAATAATTCCTTCCTGTTTCTTCCTAGCTTTTGGTGACTCCCAGCAATCCTTCCAGTTCCCTAACTTGTATCTGCATCACTCCAATCTCTCCCTCTGTCTTCACACGACCTTCTCTCTCTTTTTGATTGTCCTGTCCTCCTCTTATAAGTATACAAGTCATCGGATTTAAGGCCATCTCAAGATGCTTAACTAATTAAATTTCAAAGACACTATTTCCAACGAAGATCACATTCATAGTTTCCAGGGGTTAGGACTTGAATGCACAATTCAACTCACTACCGGTTCCAATTAAGTAATTGGAATAAAAAATTGAGCTGCTTCAATCTTTTTTTCCATTCTAAGAATTGTTAAGGTTTTGTGAAATGTATCAAATGTATGCAATCTGTGAGAAATGAGATAGGAGATATTAAGAGGAAAACCAGTTATCTTTGTTTATAATTACTTCTCATGTTCACATAACTTCCTCTGAAATAAATTATATTTCTAACGGGATAAAAAGAGAAAGACTTCCACAGATAAAAGTACTTTCCTTGTGAAAGAAACAAAAAAACTGGTGGAAATATTCAGCTTTAAGGTTATTATCTTGAGGTAAACAACTTACTTGAAAGCTCAATTTAATAGATTATTGAATTTATATTGCAAATTTTATACATTTTGTCAGTATAATTCTTTAGATATAACTATGTCTACAATTTTTACTTTTTGTATTTGAGTCAATAGATTTCACTGCCTTCATGATATTATAACTATGCAAATTAAAACAGATTTTTAAAAATACCCAAATCAACACTAAGCCCAAATCTCTAATGGCTGAAATAAAAAAAAAATTACAATATCAAATGCTGCAAGAATGCAGAACAAATAGAACTATCATTCATTGCTGATGGGGATGAAAAATGGTACAGCCACTTTTCAAGAGTTTGAAAGTTTCTTACAAAGCTAAACATAGTCTTTCCAGAAGATCAAGAGATCTCCTTCCTGTATACTTACCTAAATGAGTTGAAGGTTTACATCTGCATAGAAATCTGTGTATGAATGATTGATTACAGCGGCTTTGTTCATGACTGCCCCAATCTGGAAACAACCAAGATGTCTTTCAAACAGTGAATGGACAAACAAACTGGTATATCCATAGGATGGAATATTATTCAGTAATAAAAAGAAACAAGCTCTTAAGCCATGAAGAGATGTAGGAGAAACTTAAACGGATAAAGAAGCCAGCCTGAAAAGACTATATATTGTAGGATTCCAACTATATGACATTATGTAATAGACAAAACCATAGTTATAGGAAAAAGTTCAGTGATTGGCAGAGATTTAGGATAGGAGAGGATGGATAAATAGGTGGAACAAAGGGGATTTTTTAGGTAATGGTGGATATATGATATATATGACACTATACATTCATCAAAAACTACACACTACACAATACAGAGTGAATCCTGACATCAGCTATGGATTTTAGTTCATAGTAATGTATCAGTATTGATATGTCAATTGTAAAAAATTATCACATTAATCAAGATGTTAATAATAGAGGAAACTGTCTGGGCAGAGGGAGTATATGGGAAGGAAACTCTCTCTGTGCTATCTGCTCAATTTTCCATAAATCTAAAACTGTTCTAAAAAATAAGTCTATTAAAAAGTAATAAGTTTTGTTTCTTTTATCCTAAATCAAGTTTGATTGAAACGATACCGCCCTTAAAAGTTACTGTGGATTATCCTCCTGAGACCATGCTGCCTGGTTTATGAGCAGTCACTTTATTTTCCTCTTTTGCATATTTTCTGGAGTTCTGTTACTATGATATCTAAAAGCTGACAAATAAATCAAATCTGTTATTTGAGAACTAAATCTCTGAATGTAAACTTATTAGCATTTTAAGTTTTCTATCCAGCAGGAAATTACTTAATCAACTTATTTTAATTCCTTGGCCTGTAGTATCTCTTTCAATATATTTAAAATGGTAGTAGACAGGGACTGAAAAGTTTACTTTTAAACCAAAATGCTGTTTCCTAGTAATTTTATAATATTGTATATTTAAGAACAATTGTTTGTGTTAAATGACAATATCGAAATTCTAATATATGCTTAATTTTTGATTTCCACTCTCTTACTTTGGGTGGTCATACAACATGGCTGTCCAGAGCCACAGAATGTAACTTTTCCTTTTAATGATGTAATTACTTCCTTTATTCGAAGTTTTCCATGTTTATGTAGTAAAAATATGACATATTAATATAATGGGCACATCCTGGAGTCACAGAGAAAAATTAATTCTATCTCAGGAATGTCTTTTACCCTTCTACTATTCTACCACAAAACACCACCAGAAATCTAAAAGTTGCAAAACATTGAGAAATTCTGCTCTTTGGGAGTTTGGAGATTATATTTTGTTTTGTATAGAGACAAATTATCCCAAATAACAATGTCGAATCATATGGGTTAAATTTATTATGGTATCATAGGATGTTATATTATTCTTTATTTTGAATAACTATAATGCTGCCTTCTATTTTTAGTTAAAAAATCACTGTTTTACAATAAAACTTTATAAATTATATGTTACCATTTGAGACACAAAGGAGGAAAAAGTACAAATAGTTGATGGAAATACAGTCTGTTTTAATATGGTTGAAAATATTTACATGATCTTTGGGAACAAAGAGTATAATCTTGCTGTTGATTTCCCATTTTATCAAGATTAACAGAATGTAAGGCATCCATAAACTATTGTATCTACCTAGGGAATATGGAAGTTCTTTGTATAATGCACTGTATAGCATCTAATTGAAAAATCTAATTAGGTAAAACTGTAGATGCTAAAGGAATCTATGTGCTTTCAATTGTCTGTGCTATTTGCTGACCTGTAGATAATTTTCAGCTTGCTATTTTCAAATAAATAATAAAGCTACTAATAACAATGGCTTTTCATTAACTAAATGCTTTGTGATGGCCAACTCAACTGTATGTCTCTCTCTTTAATGATGACTTGAAATGCTTAGGTAAGTTTAAACTATCGTGAAATATTTATTTGGTTGCATTTGCAAATTATATGCTCATGTGAGTAATCGTAAGGTTGACAAAGCTTTCCTTTTGGCTTTTACAGTTTCTTCTTCTTCCTCCCATTTGATGGTCCTTTGCCCAGGTGACTTTTGCCTGTATATCATTTCCTGGGCTTTCTTGGGACCCCAGTTTTGGAATTCAAAATGGCACCCAGTGTGCTATCAAGTTGGCTATTTTCTCCCTCGGTTTTACTCTTCAAACCTCATCTGTCTGTTTCATCTCTTCACAGTTTCTTGAAGAGTTACAATAAATTTTTGTTTTGTTTGGTTTTTTGAGATGGAGTCTAGCTCTATCACCCAGGTTGAGTGCAGTGGTGCAATCCTGGCTCACCGCAACCTCCGCATCCCGGGTTCAAGCAATTCTCCCACTGCAGCCTCCAGATTAGTTGGGATTACAGGCATGCACCACCACCACGCCCGGCTAATCTTTTGTATTTTTTGGTAGAGACAGGGTTTCACCATGTTGGCCAGGTTGGTCTCGAACTCCTGACCTCAAGTGATTTGTCCACCTTGGCCTCCCAAAGAGCTGGGATTAGAGGCATGAGCCACTGCGCTCAGCCACGATAAATTTTTTAAGCTAATTGGCACTATGTTAAATTGAGAATAATGGTTTCATACATTATCCTTCATATTACAGCTATTTAACACATCATTCTCAAATTTTATTAAAGTATATACTTAAATTTATATTTACTTCAGTATATTAGTTATATTTATAAAAGCACACATTTATATTTTCACCTTTATTGAGGTGCAATTGACAAATAAAACTATACATAATTCATGGGTCAAATGTAATATTTTGATGTACATATACATTGTGAAATTATTACTATGATCAAGCTACCTAACATATTAATTACCTCACATTGTTACTATTTGTGTGTGTGCTTGTGTGTACGCACGGGTGTGTGTCGTGAGAACATATAGGATCTATTTTCTTAGCAAATGTCAAGTATACATTATTATTAACTGCAATCACTATGCTGTACATTAGGTCTCCAGAACAATTCATTGGCATAACTGAAACTTTGTAACCTTTCACTAACATCACCCCATTGCTCCCACCCCCAGCAACCACCATTCTAGTCTCTGCTTCTATTAACTTTGACTTTTTTAGATTCTGCATATGAAAGGGAAGAAAATATGTGTAATAATAACCATAAAATCCTATTTTTATATGATGCAATATTTAATGGAAAGATGTTCAGAAGAACATTGCTTTTTCAATTTTAGTTTCACACTGTGTTTTCAGTAAGTGGGCAAAAACTGAGTGAAGATATTTGTATTTCTCTAAACAACTCTACTTTCCGAAATGGATTCATATTGAGTTTGCGAATGCTTTTCCTCCGCCTCCCCGCAAAATAATGTGTTTCTGTCAGTTGAACTGCCAGTCACCAATTACTGTTAATTTCCTACAGCAATGCTATAGCAATGCTGTAGGAAACTGAAATAAATATTTCCAGCAAAAGACAGAAATACATTTTTGAAAAGTCCCCCACCTCAGTAACAGGAAAAAATTTCCTAAGATTTAGAAACATTATTATCTCTTCACTTTATCTTAATCAAAGTTCCATGTTGAAAATTTTATAGCAATAGTAAGAGTTGTTTGAGATATAGTGTATAACATACCATGTTATAAGAGCTTATTAGAATATCTCAGGCACATGAAGGATCTCTGTGTTGATATGCATGATATTCTTGCTGTTACAGTTCAAAATAGAGATTGATACAGATACTTAGTAATTACAGCTACTGGAATCTTAAGGTACAGTTCACATTTATTTATGAAATGTACATATGTAGAGCTGGAAAGCACCTTGGACATAATTCTGATCCAACACTCTTATATTACACACGAGGAAACTAAGGTGATGAGGATATCCATATAACTTGTGTATGTCACATGATGTTCACCATGGTCAGAAGGGTTGTCACATGCCTCTGACCTTCTCCTCATAACCCACTTGGAAGGGAGATAATATGCCAGTCACTAACAATCTGTATTTTCATTAGTGTGGCCATAAAAAAAGACTGATTTATTTATTATTTAAATACTTTTCTGTGCCAGGTAGTATTACTGGCTGGGGATACAGTGGTGAACAATACAGGTAATATATAACCTCCCTGCTTTCATTAAGTTTGCTTTCTATTGGGAAGAAACCCAAAACAAGTAAATAAATTATACATAAATCAGAAACCTGCAAAAATGCCAAGTGCCCTGCAGATAATTGAAACAGATATAATACAGAAATTCTGTCATATGAAACATGGATAAACGTGGAGGACATTATGCTAAGTGGAATAAGCCAGGCACAGAAAGACAAATACCACATGATCCCAATTACATGTGAAATCAGAAAAAGCTGAACTCATAGAAGCAGGGAGTAGAATGGCGGTTGCTGAGGACTGCGGGTGATGGTGAGGAAATGAGGAGATGTTGTTCAAAGGGTACAAAGTTTCAGTTAGAAAGGAGAAATGAGTTCAGGAGATCTACTATATAGCATGGTGACTATAGTTAATAATAATGCATTGGGCTGGGTGCGGTGGCTCACGCCTGTAATCCCAGCACTTTGGGAGGCCGAGGCAGGCAGATCACGAGGTCAGGAGATCGAGACCATCCTGGCTAACACATTGAATCCCCATCTCTACTAAAAATACAAAAAATTAGCCAGGTGTGGTGGCAGGCACCTGTAGTCCCAGCTACTCAGGAGGCTGAGGCAGGAGAATGGTGTGAACCTGGGAGGCAGAGCCTGCAGTGAGTGGAGATCACACCACTGCACTCCAGCCTGGGCGACAGAGAGAGACTCCATGTCAAAAATAAATAAATAAATAAATAAATAAATAAATAAATAAATAATGTATTGTATTAATAACAATGTATTGTATTCTTGAAAATTGCAAAATGAGTAGATTTTAGGTTTTCTCCCCACAGAAAATGATAAGCATGTGAAGTAATGCATATGTTAACTTAAGCTCAGTGTAGTCATTCCACAATATATACATACTTCAAAACAACATGCTGTACACAACAAATAAGTGCAATTTTTTGTCATTTTAAAAAAAGAGAGAAAAAATAATGTATTGAATACTCGAAAATTCCTAAGGAATAGATCTTAAATTTCCCACAACGAAAAATGATAAGTATGTAAGGTGATAGATATGTCAATTAGCTTGATTTAACTATTTCAATGTATACCTATGTGAAAATGTCACCTTATACACTGTAAATACATGCATACAATTTTTATTTGTCAAATACGCATTAGTTTTTTTTTTTTTTTTAAGAGTAACTCAGTGACTAATTTAAATTGAGGCTCAGGGAAGGGCTCTCTGATAAATGACTTTAAGAGATGACTTGAAACACAAGAAGTTTTATTTACGTAAATAAAATAAATAGCCGTGAGAAAATCAGGAGCGAGACATCTCGAGGAAAATGAACCAGCTAGTGCAAAGGAGAAAGCTGGGGATGAGCTTGGCTCCTTCAGAGAACAGAAAGGGCAAGGGGGCTGAAGCATGGAGACCTAGAGTCAGGGGAATCAAACAGGATGAAGCCACAGATGTGGGCAGGGGGCTGATTACAGGCCTTGGGGATAGGAAATCTATTTTATTTTAAACACGATTGGAAACCATTGAAGAATCTCAATTTGGGGAGAAGGATGGGGAAACTGAAAGGATATGATGATTTGAGATTTTGATAATTTTTCACAGTTTCTTTACAGAGAAGATTGGACAGGCAGAAGGAAACAGTGAACGGAGGGAGGCTAGTTAGGTAGCTATTTTGATAATCAGGGCAAAAGATCGTTGTGTTTTTCACAGGGGGGTAGCAGTGGCAATGGAAAGAGGTGTGTGAGGATTCAGGATATGCTACAAAGGTAGATTGGATTGGACTTGCTCTACTAAATGGCAGGAGAGAGTGAGGAAAGGAGACATTTCAAACTGAAAATTGAATGACGATGGATAATGGTGTCATTTACCAAGGGGGGGCAGGTTTCTAGGGCGAGAAAGAAAATCACTATCGGTAGGTCTGAATACTGAATTCCCTTCTCAGAAAACTGAGAAAGTTTGGAACCATTGTAAATCTTGAATGATGAGTTTACTAGCTGGAGGATAAACAAAGGACTTTTTTTTAAGTTTATTTTTTATTTATTTATTTATTTATTTATTTATTTATTTTATTTTTTTTTTTTTCTGAGACAGAGTCTTGCTCTGTTGCCCAGGCTGGAGTGCAGTGGCATAATCTCAGCTCACTGCAACCTCTGCCTCCTGGGTTCAAACAAATCTCCTGCCTCAGCCTCTCAAGTAGCTGGGATTACAGGCATGGGCCACCATGTGTGGCTAATTTTTGTATTTTTTTAGTAGAGACTGGGTTTCACCATGTTGGGCAGGATGGTCTCAAACTCCTGACCTCGTGATCCGCCCGCCTCAGCCTCCCAAAATGCTGGGATTACAGGTGTGAGCCACCGCACCTAGCCAAAGGATTTGTTAAGGTTGCTGTGTAGTGATTTCTACGAAATGCTTTGAGTAAAATAATCCTGATATGCCTAGATCAGCCTTTCTCAAATTTGTACACTGGAAGAACCCTTAAAAAACATTGTGGATCTCAGGGAACCCCTACATAAATATAGTCATTTCAATATCTTGTATAATTACATAATGAGTATAATAATTCAATAATAATTTCATTTATTGACTTTAGCCAACTTGTCCTTCTGTTTTTCTGTGGTTATCCCTTCTCACAGATACTATTAATTCTAATGCTAGTCAGTATTTAGCCAAAGAAAACTTCATATTTTCCTTTATTTAGTTCACATTTGACTATATTTTTAGTGTATCTACGTAGACCTAAATGTCTCACCACAATTTGCTACTATACAAGATGCTAAAGAGCAATGCTATGTGGTATAAAAGTAATTTTTCTTCCAACTTAAATAGCTTTAAAGTTAATGCCTACTCTTTTTAAAAAAGTAGTAGAGCTTATTTTATGATTCTTGAAATTAATCTCTTTCTTTTCTTTTCATAAATTTTAAAGGCTCATGAGGACAACATAACAACTAGCTTGAGCCAAAATGGGATTACTTTGTTCTAAAGATGAAGTGAGTAGATTTAATTTTAATAAAGATATAAAATGGGTTTTAAATAATTTTATTTACATAAATAAAATTTTATTGACCATGTTGAATAATAAAGCTACTAAAACCTTTAGCCAAAGCAATACAAACAAAAATATAGCCTAATGTCTCTTTTTATACAAGACTTTGGAAATACATTTTCAAAATGATATGTCCAAGTTAAAATATAGCACTAGTAAACCTATGTAAATGTGTTGATGTTGTGACTTTTTGAATTAAGCTATATAACCGTAACAAGTATTGTGTTTTAAACTAAAGATAGGACTTTTGCCTTTCATGCGAAACTTATGTTTATTTTGCTGCAAAAATACTCATTTGAAACCAAACTTGAGATGCATACACATTTCTTTTTCAACAGAAATGAAGTGATTTTCTTCCTTGTTCATGATGCTTATAAAAGAAGAAAACTCTTGCTCATGCATCTAACAAGTTGGAAACTGCAGCAAAAAAAAGTTCATTACTGTCCTGTGAATGTCTGGATACCCTTCATAAAAATCCAGAACTTGTCTGGAGTCAGATCAGTATATCTCATACTGACTGTATGATCAGATTACCATCCTTCTCTTAAAGTCAAGTTCCAAGGCTGAGTGGGAGAAGCAGAGAAAGGATCCTCCCTTGCCATAAGCTTGTGTTGAGAAGGAGGGACAGGGGTATTCAATGTTATGTAGTTCTTCCAGAGGGTTTCAATGACACCTTACACATAACACATGCCTTCTCTCAATACTTGCCTTCCTCTTTCTCAAACCCAAGCAGCCAAGGAAACATCTAAAGACTTTCATTTGCAACATGATTTTCACAAGTTTCCTTTTTTAAACACTCAACAAAATTTTAAGTATACAATACAATACTGTTAACTATAGGGAGAGTGTTACACAGCAGATCTCTAGAACTTACTAACGTAGCACAAATGAAACTTCATACCTTTTGAAAAACAACTCCCTATTTCTCCCTGCCCCCAACCTCCTGGAAATCACAATGCTACTCCCTGATTTTGTGAGTGTGACTATTTTAGATACCTCATATATAAGCGAAATCTTGCAGCATTCATACTTCTGTGACTCTGACTTCTTTGACTTAAGTACTTCTACACCTCAATCACAAAAATCTAACAACGTGATGAAAACCTGGGCTAAA
This sequence comes from Homo sapiens, assembly GCF_000001405.40. Lineage (NCBI taxonomy): Eukaryota > Metazoa > Chordata > Mammalia > Primates > Hominidae > Homo > Homo sapiens. Next base: position 18,191,622 of record NC_000021.9, on the reverse strand, counting down.
CACTGTAGTAAACATTTTTCCAAAGATGACATACAAATGACCAATAGGTTCTACAAAAAGATACGCAGCAACATTAATCATCAGAGAAAGACAAGTTAAAATCACAATGACATATTACCTCACATCTATGAGGATGGCTATTATCAGCTTTAAGTGCAAGATTCTTGCTACTTGAGGTCAAAACATTTTCCCCAGAACCTTGCAGAGCCCTGGCAACTGTTTCATATGAGGAAAAGTGTGTTAGCTGAGTAGGTTATGTTCTATAACCATTTTTTTTATCTTCAACTGACTCAGCAAAATTTGGCCTATGCTTTTCTTGAAAGCACTCCTACACTTACTTTTCAGACCTCTGCCTCTGCTAAGATAACAAATTGCTACAGCACCAGGAGGACATTTATGTGCTCTGAGTTCAGGTTTCTAGAGTTTTTAAATCACCCTTGAATGATAATAAAATTAATTAATACAAATTAATAAAGCCAACCATTTGATGGTTGATGAAGTTGATAATTTTGTACATTCATCTAAAATTTTTAAAAACTTTTATCTCTAAGAGTTTTTATACAAACTCTTCTCTGAAGAAATCAGGGGGTTATTACTGGGTTGACACAAATATCTCATGGAGCCAGTATTGATGACCTACCATTTGTACTGATGTAAGCAAGGAACCTCCAAAACAGGCCTTTTATTTCCAGACACGAAAGAAAATTAAATCTATCTTGGACTTCACGAATATCAAGTAACTCTTCCCAGCAAAATATTTTTCTTGGATTTCACCATCATATTACAAATCTTACAAATACTACAATATGACAATTATTGGTGAAATCTGTTGACACAACAACCTAAATAGAAAACTTCTTATTGTTTTTATCAGATTGCTATACAAAATCTCTTCAGCCTTACGTGATATGATGACATATCAAACCACTGCAGAGAGGAAATGTCTCAACTTTCCCTAGAATTTCACTCCCCATAATTGTACACACTACCATTAGTGGGTTCTCACCAACATAAAGTTTTCTAAGAAATAAATTCTGCTTCTGCTACTAAATAATGTGCTTCCTGAGCCTTTTTACTGAGTAAGACATTTTCAGCAAAATCTTTACTCTCTCTTGAGAACCCAATGACTTAAAATAATCAGCACTTTTACTTTTCAGATGATTAGGATTTGCCGTGAAGTGTCTTTTTTAATTGTGCAGAAGCCATTGCTACGTTCATCAATTTTTTTCCCACAAACAGAGCATGATGGAATAGGAATGGAATTCAATGGAACTGGATTTCTAGACAACAAAAAATCTACCTATAAGTAGCTTTCATTCAAAAGGATTTGTGTTGTTTCCCTTGTTGCACTGGTGCAGCAAAATTATTCCTAAGATTGTGTGTACACCTAGGCCTAGAATCTTCCTCTCTCATCTCACATATTTTTAAAAATCATTGCCTTGGACTACCAGACACATAAAATACAGAAGTTAACAAAATGTAAGATAGAAGGGCATAATAAATACATAAATGAGAAAAATGCCAATTATATGAAAATTTCATGACATAAATAATTTCTAACTTATTCATATTTTGCAATGTTTTTGACAACAGTGGTATGGGAGCAGCTCAGCCATGAAGAAAAAAATTATTATTGGAATGAAAATATCCTTCTTATTTTCTATTGCACTTTAAAATTTGTCCACTTCAGCCAGGAGTGGTGGCTCATGCCTGTAATCCCAGCACTTTGGGAGGCCAAGGTGGGCAGATCTTCTGAGGTCACAAGTTCAAGACCAGCCTGGCCAACATAGTGAAACCCCGTCTCTACTAAAAATACAAAAATTAGCCGGGCATGGTGGCATGCACCTGTAATCCCAGCTATTCAGGAGGCTGAGACAGGAGAATCGCTTGAACCAGGGAGGCGGAGGTTGCAGTGAGCTGAGATCGCACCACTGCACTCCAGCCGAGGTGACAGAGCGAGACTCTATCTCAAAAAAAAAAAAAAAAAAAAAAATTGCCCACTTCTATTAGTTGATCTGAAGTGCATAGGGTAGGTTGTGCAAAGTAATTAATGAGTGACAGGCTGACATTATCTCATAAAACTCCCTCCCATGCAATTCAGCTCTTAACAATTATCAATGTCCTCCCCAATCTTATATCAAAGGTTGAGACTAGACTAAGTTAAATGAAAATGGTCTTCATGCTGTGATATAGGACTGAAAGGCCACCAGTGAAATTGTCATGTCCAGCAATTTGAGCACAAACAACATATGGCATACACAATTCAAAAAAATGATTTTTTAAATCTCACTTGCTTGTACAATTCTAAGTTTCTTGGAGACCCTGGTTAAGAAGCTAAAATATAAATTGACTATCATTTTGAACAAAACTTTATAAATGTAAAATTTCTGGATTTAAGGGATTCCGCTACACTGAGAAATGAAAGTTAGTCATGTGTGAAAATTGTGCAACTCAAAATGGAGTCACTTGTGTTAAATTAAACAAAAAAGAGAGAGAGAATTCTGATAAATAGAGCCAGGAAAAGCCATAAAGAGAAAGTCCTCACACTTGTATGCCTGACAACAAACTATAAAATATGACTTTGCAAAAACCATTATTGCGCACAAGGGCTATTGCAACCTTATACAAAAAAATAGTACTGCAAGGACATCTGCCCAGCAATGTCTGTCCAATCTTGAACTGGCATCACCCTCGTTATTGGTCTTGGTAGCCAAGCATAATTATCTCAAAACAATTATGTAATCCTCATTACTTTTCTTTATCTCTCTGAACACGCACATCGTTTACTACGGCATGCCTATTCCCCATTCCTTGCAATGCCCCATTCCTAAACAAATGTCATTTTCTTAGAGAGCCTCTCTCTGTCTATTATTTAGGTTGACACACAATAACAAATATGAAAGTTGGGTGTCCATAACACAATGGCTTTTCCCAGTGACTTGTAAATCATTCAGATTGTGTTCTTTGGGGATCCAAGACCAAAACGTCAACATATCCCAATTTGAAAACACTATTCAGGAAGTTGCTTCTGATGGTGGGAAACATCCCAGACAGCAATGTGGCATGTAGCACTACTTCCTTCTTTTATCTTTCGTTAATCATCAATAAAGATTTCTATTTTGTTTGAATCATATAGATTATAAACCATCTATTTTCCTCTCAAATATAATTTGGTCACTTGTGGTAATTCTGGGGGAAATTAAATGTTTTATTTTGGTCTTGTTAAGTTTGAAATGCCTATTGAACATCCATGTAGAAATATCAAATAGGTATATGCATTTGCAAGCCTAGAGTTCTAGTGTAAGTCAGAGATGAATATAGATGAGTATAAAAATGAATTAAATAAAACAGGGTAAAAAATGTTCAAGAATTAAGATCAAGGGATTACAGTAACTTTTGGGATGAAATGAGGGCAAGAAACAAAGTAGACTTACATGGGGTAGCCAATAAGAAAGTTTAGGGTATTGTGATGAAATCCAAGAGAAAAGTATGCTTCCAAAAGGAAAAAAAAAATGATCAATTTTAATAAAGGCTGCTAAAATATCAAGAAAAGGAAAGGGAAAAGTATGTTGGATTTAGAACCATAGGCAACCTAGACAAGCATAATCTTCGTGTAGTGCTGGGGTCATTCCAAACTCACTAATCTGAGTTTGGTAATGAGGAAGTACAGAAAAAGATTATGGTGAACCCTTTCAAGAAGTTTTGCCTGAAGGTAAACAAAGAAAAAAGATGATAGCTTAAATGAGACTTCAAGTCAAGGAGGCATCTTTTATTCAAGATAAGAATAACAAAAATGTTTATATGCTAATGGAAATAAAACAATACAGAGAGGAAGGAACCAATGATAAAAGGGCAGCAGAGATGATTTCATATTCAGAGCACTTAAGTCATAGAGGAATGAGATTTGCAATAGAACAGAGATAATTTCATCTCAGGTAATAGAAAGAAAGGTGGAGTATAGATGGCCATTTTCTTCTGGGAATATAAGAAAACATCCATCAACTTCTATTTTCTCAATAAAAAGAGGCAGCCTTGAGAGCTATTATTAAAGAAGGAACCATGTAAGAGGTCTAAGTGGATGGAAGAAGAAGGAAACAGTAAACTATAATATCACAATAATTATAACGCAAAAATGACAGGATAAATGCCATGGGAAATAGCAGAAAATGTGACGGTGTCATGAGAGAGAGAAATCAAATCCAAAATGTAAAATGGAAACCTTAAAGGAGGAGAAAGTGCTTGAGCTGAATATTAAAGGAAGGTATCAGAGTGGGCTTGACATGGGACATACAGTCCAGGATGAAGGAACAGAATGAAGAGAAGAATGAACAAGGAGGAGTACAGTTTAGGATGGTAGTTCAATGCCAGCTATCTTATCTGGCTAGAACACTGGGTGTATACAAAGGAGTGGCAAACTCAAAATGAAGATTTGAATGAAGCCTAGAAATGTCATTTAAAAATTCTGAATACTATTTAATTGAAAATGAGAACCCTCAGATAATCCTCCACTCTATTCTGCCCAAACTTTGCATTTTTACCTTGCTTACAGTACTTGCTGACTTTTGCTGTATTATAGTACAGTAACTTTTACTGTTAGTTATATGATCATAAATCTATTGTTTTCAACAGATTGAAAACTTTTCAAAAGCATGGTACCATCTACCAATAGCCCTAGAGCATTGAATGTTTTTGGAATATAATAAATGCAAGATAAATTTTATTTTATTCACAATTAAAGCTGGACATTATTAGGACTTATCTAAAATAGCAGCAACCATTCAAACACAATTTGAAAAATGAGTCACTAGAAAAATATCCACCAGGTAGAAGGTGATTTCATAAGTCTTGGGGAGATTAAGATTCTAACCTAACCTAGAAATATTATTGTGTGGATTTAATATGACTCTAAGCAAAATGATAACAAATCGAATGCTTTCAATGTTTGGTATTATTGAGACTCCTAAAGTATGCACTTCACTTTAAAACTACAAGGTAACCAAGTGAAATGTAAATATGTGTTTTGATTTTACTACTAAAAGAGACAAAGAATCAGTGGTATTTTGCCCCTCCATATCCTATGCAAGCAGCCAAAAACACTTGTGCTCTAAATTTAAAGCCTTTGGTCTAAGCAAAGGGACATAAGCAGATGATTTATATTTCTGGGACCCTGCTAAAGAAAGCCCTGCAGCAGTGAACATGACTTTTTTTTTTTAATTTTTTTTTTTAACTTTTCTTCCCTAAGGAGCAACTTCTTTCCTTATTCAGATCATTCTGATGGAATTTGTCCTATGCCGTGTCTCCTGGCCTGGCCAATCCAAACGTTTTTCTCCCTGGTCTCAGCGGTCACTTCAGGAATGAGCTTATATTCTAGACCAATCAGAACATTTTCTGAGACTTTTGCAAAAACTAAAAGTAAAGTGAGCTAAGTGCTGCTAGAGCCACCTCTGCAGTCGGTAGGGTCGTTCTGCTGGAGAAGAAAGCCCACATAGAGAAAATGAGGTCAAAGAGCAGAAAGAAATGGATGTTGTGTCAACCTTTAGTTACAAACATGCCTAAAGCCAGGGGTACTTAGGGAGCTCCTACTTTATTAAGGCAATTGCTATGGTCTGAATGTGCTTGTCCTCCTCACCCTCAAAATTCATATGTTAAAACCTAATCACTAAGGCGATGGTATTAGAAGGTGGGACCTTTGGGAGATGATTAAGTCATTAGGGTTACACACTCATGAATGGGATTAGTAATTTTATGAGAGACCCTAGACAGCTAGCTAGTCTTTTTCTACCATATAAGGTTAGTGAAAAGACAGCCATCTACAAACCAGGAAGCAAGCCCTCACCAGACACCAAATCTGTTGGTGCCTTGATCTTGGACTTTCCAGCCTTCAAAACTGTGAGAAATAAATTGCTATTTACAAGGTATCCAGTCTGTGATATTTTATTACAGGATCCCAAACAGATGAAACACCTAAACTCCCTTTATGTGCCTAAACAAGTTTGAGTTTTGATCTTGTACTGTGCAACTGAAGGAGCCTGACTCACACAAGCCACCACCAGGATTATTTGGAAGGTGGAGATCTACTGACAAAAGAGGGATCCCAAAGGATTGTAAGTCATTCTACTATAAAGACACAAGCACCCGTATGTTTATTGCAGCAGTGTTCACAGGTAGAAAAGACTTGGACCCAACCCAGATGCTCATCAATGATAGGCTGGATAAAGAAAATGTGGCACATATACACCATGGGATACTATGCAGCCATAAAAAAGAATGAGTTCATGTCCTTTTCAGGGACATGAACGAAGCTGGAAACCATCATTCTCAGCAAACTAACACAGGAACAGAAAAGCAAACACTGCATGTTGTCACTCATAAGTGGGAGTTGAACAATGAGAACACATAGACACAGGGAGGGGAACATCACACACTAGTGCCTGCCAGGGGTAGGGGGCTAGGGGAGGGATAGCATTAGGAGAAATACCTAATGTAGATGACAGGTTGATGGGTGCAGCAAACCACCATGGCACGTGTATACCTATGTAACAAACCTGCACGTTCTGCACATGTATCCCAGAACCTAAAGTATAAAAAGAAAATAAAAATAAAAATAAAACAAAAAAAGAGAGAGACAAGTTGTTGCTGGCAGTTCCCTGAACAATAGAAAAGTGACTCAACCAAGAAAAGAGGCTGTGAGTAGTATTTGCAACTTGGGGTGATAAAAAAGGTTTGAAAGTTTCCATAAATAACGAAGAACTAGGTCCCATTTGTTTGCAGCTCTCCAGATAGGAATGGTTTTCAAGCTGTGCCTAGGGAATCTGTATACCAGTTACTGGGCTTTAGAAATCTTGGTGAAAATCCCTGTCTCCAGTTGACATAGAAGAAGGTTGGCCCACCTCTGCCCCTGATGTACTAAAAACCAAAAATTCCTTCAAATCTGGGGACTTGCAAACTTTACAGAAGTTTCTCCCTCCATGGTGTTCAATACTGGGCATTGTCCAGCCCTGATGACTTAGAACTTAAGAGTCAGACTTCTTTCAACTTAGAATACCACATTGTTTTATTGTTTTATATACTTGGGGATTATGTAGAAATTTTATATCAAACACATATTTTTAAACCAATGCCTATTTCAGACTCTCTAAAACTGAAACCAAATGTGCTTATTCCTATCATCATTTAATTCTTCAAAAATATGATATTAATAATATAAGCATTTTAACTTGATTTTTCTCAAATTCCTCATCAGTCTAAATTTCACTTAGTATTATACTGAAAGAATTTACATACATTCTGTGTTTCAAAACATAAGGTCAATATTTTTCAAACATTTTCAAAATTACAGATATGTATTTATATAAAAGAAACTTTCAAACACTGAAATTAGTCACCTCTGCAGAAATATCATTTCCAGTTACCTACTTTACTCAAAATCGCTTTTCTTCCCCAAATCATCAAATTACTGATTTTCTTAGGATGCTTTGTATGCTATTTTTAGCAATACAAAATTAGAAAAGTACGTGAAACTGTAAGTCTATTATTAGAAAGAGTAAACTAATTTCAAATCACAATTCATGTAATTAAATCTCATTTTGAGTCCAAAGTAAAAATAAGCATTTGAAAAGTAAACCTTTAATACTACACTTTTAATGAGGTTTTTTTAAAAAAAGAAAAAAGTCATGGGGAATGTGTTTTCAGGCTAAAAAACAATCAGACTTTCAAAAAGCTAGAACTTCGCTGTTGCAAAAGAAAGTTCACATTCAAATGATACAGATCACCACAACATTCAACTGATCGTTTCTTTTTCTTCAGATTCGAATATTGAACACAGAGTTCCAACCTTACTCTGTGGCCTCTTCCCCCAGTTACTTAAGTGAACCATGAAAAACACTCGATCTCGTTAAGATTTCTCTTTGTTACATTAGTGTGTATAAAATTATGACATTTTGTGGCACAAATCTATCTGCAAATCCACAACAAAATGGGGAAAAGCCTTACTTCCTTCTTTTTCTGGATCTAGGCAACTTGAATCAATGTTTTTTGCTTATAAGTAACAGAAATTCAAGGTATCCCAGGGAAAAAAAGAGAAAATTATTAAGAAAAATCAAGGACATCTCACAAACATCAAAGGCAGCTTTGAGATTCAGCTTCTCAAGGAGGACTGGAATCTCTTCAAATCCTCTACTTTGTACATCTTCATGTACAAGGTGCAGAGGCACTTAGATGACATGGTAGAAGACAGTTTGCCACAATTCTTAATTTGCACAATTTATCCCAAATGGCAGCTAGAATCCCTTAAACCTGATTTTAAATTTCCGGAAAGCAGGACAGTTTGGCATAGGTTGAGCCAAGCCCTGGTTCAATCTCCTATTAGAAGATAATAGCATCATATAAACATAGGCATATAATATAAACAAGTATTTTAGGGGCCACCCCCCAAAAAACCTGATGACAGATGTGGGGGAGAGTGAAGTGTGTTCTTGGAGAAAGGGATCCCCAAATGCACCTATTCTAAATACATTTTTAAAGTGTATTTTAAAAGGAATGAGGTTTTTAGTGGTTGTCCTCTTTTCAAAGTGGCTTTTGTATTTAATCAATAAGGGAGAATTTCCTTCTTTTCTGCATGATAAGCCTTGTATGATATAGGCTTTATGACCTCAGAATTACAGTGGCAGGAAGCTACCCTCTTGGCCTACCTCCATATACTTTGGGTTGTACTAACTCTTGTAGCACAAATGTGGAGAGAGTGGGTGGCAGGCAGCAGCACCCAGAATACTTCATTGTGACTAAGTTCCACAGAATGACAGAATAAACAGGGATTTTTTTTGCACCTTGTATTTTTTTAAAAAATAAGAATAAAGTAGTTCTAGGAAGGACTAATGCACTTACTTTTACTTTGGAGTCAGTTTACATAAAACTGATTGGGCATAAATTTTTTTCCCACTGAGATATGGGATTTATTAAAATAGAATTTTTACATCTTTCCATAAGTGTATTTTTATTAGGCTTTATTAAACTATGGGACATAAAATCATAAAAAGCAAAGTGTGTTTTAAACAGAAAATTAAGGACCAACAGATCCTTTTTTTCCAGCTTTATTGAGATAGAACTGACAAAATTGTACATATTTAAGATGTATAGTGTGATGATTTTACACACTCATGCATTCTGAAATGATTACCACAATCAAGTCAGTTAACACATTCATCACCAGACATAGTTACCGGCTAATGTTTCTTGAAGACTTTTTATGCCAGTGGAGAAAGAGCACAGGCCTTAGAGCCAGCTAGAGCCAGGCTCAAACCCTGACTTCTGCCTTCACTTTATTCTTTTGATACAGCCATGGATGATCATCTTAAATTGTCTGAACCTCAAATTTTTTACTCATATTAAATTTCAAGAGTAGTCTTCAAAGTAATGCTGATATCAATTCAAATTGATACCGTATGTTGCTGATGGGAGGGTAAAGTAGTACTCTCCCATCAGCACTTCCTCAAAAGGTTAAATAAACAGCATGAACATATTACCCAGCAATTCTGTTCCTAGGGTATAGGCTCAAAAGGATTGAAAACATATTTCCACACAAAAATGTACACACAAATGTTCATAGCAGCATTATTAATAATATTCAAAAAGTGAAAATAACTCATATTCCCATCAGCTGAAGAATGGATTAAAAAATGTGATATATGCACATGATGGAATATTAATGGAATATTATTTAGCAATAAAAACAAATGAAGTGTTGAAATAAAGTATTGATATATGTTACAACATGGAGGAGCCTTGGAATGAATTAGCCTAAGTGAAAGAAGTCAGTCACAAGAGACCATCTACTATATGATTCCATTCATATAAAATGTCCAGAATGGTCAATGTGTAGAGGCAGAATGAAGATTAGTGGTTGCCTAGGAGGAGGGAGAATAAGATGTGATTCTTGGCTGGGCGCGGTGGCTCACGCCTGTAATCCTAGCACTTTGGGAAGCCAAGGCAGTCGGATCACGAGGTCAGGATATCCAGACCACGGTGAAACCCCGTCTCTACTAAAAATACAAAAAATTAGCCGGGCGTGGTGGCGGGCGCCTGTAGTTCCAGCTACTCGGGAGGCTGAGGCAGGAGAATGGCGGGAACCCAGGAGGCGGAGCTTGCAGTGAGCCGAGATCCCGCCAGTGCACTCCAGCCTAGGCGACAGAGCGAGACTCCGTCTCAAACAGAAACAAAAACAAAAACAAACAAAAAAGTGATTAATAGTTACAGGGCTTCTTTTGTATGCACTGTAATGCTCTAAAACTACATTGTGGTGATGGTTGCACAACTCTACTAAAAACCATTAAATTATATACTTCAAATGGGTGATTTTTATATGTGAGTTATATTCCAGTGCAACACTTTCACAATGTGATAATGTATGAACATATACATAACAGTTCACAATTCATTTGTGCCAGGTTAAATTACATATCACCCTTCCCTTCACATTCCTATTCATAACACTTCACCCTACCTGAGAATAAATAGGAATAGGAATAAAAGAAATAATAACAAGTACTCTAAGTACTATTTAAATGCCTAAATAATATTAGTAACATTGACTAGTAATGACACTACTAATAAAAATCTGTTGCTATTGATTATAATTTATTTAGCATTTACTATGTTCTAGGCTTAGCATTTTGTATTCAAATTAATTTAATACTCCTAACAATCCTCTGACAAATAAGTGTTATTAATATGTTTACACATGGAGAAATTGAAGTTCAAAAAGTTTTGATTAATTGCCCCAATTTATAAGCCTAGTAAAGAGCAGAAAAGATGAAGGTAATTCTAGCTGATTCCATATGCGAAACTCCTAAACAATATTTGGCCTCCCCTGCAGTAGCCTGATAAATATGTGTAACTAGTTTTAAAACACCCTGTTTGATCACACGTTTAGAATTTGCTCCAGTATTTATTTGCACCAACTGGGTGAACACTGGGATCTTGAGCAACACACAATGCCTCATCCACATTGGCAGGAGTCCTTCTGAGATAATATTGTGTAGGCAAATTAATAACTACGTAATAATGTACCGTAAGAAGATACAAGGTTACTTCTACTTTGAGCTGTGGATTTTAAAAAATTTCTGTAACAGGAAACATGCAGTTTCTCAAAGTACAGCTTTGTCTTAAGATGTTACCAATAATTGACCAGGAGCAGTAGCTCATGCCTATAATCCCAGCACTTTGGGAGGCCCAGCAGGAGGATTGCTTGAGCCCACGTGTTTGAGTCCATCCTGGGCAACATAGTGGACCCCATCTCTACATAAAAATTAGTTGGATGTGGTGGTGCGTGCCTGTGGTCCCAGCTACTTGGGAGGCTGAGGTGAGAGGGTCACTTGAGCTTGGGAGGTCAAGGCTGCAGTGATCCGTAATTATGCCACTGTACTCCAGCCTTGGTGACACAGCAAAAGCCCATCTCAAAAACAAACAAACAAAAAGGATGTTACCAATACTAATAATAGAAGTTAACATTCATCAAAATGCTAACTATAACCTAGGCATTGGTGCTTTACATGAGTCAGCTCATTTAATCCCTACAACAATACTATAAACTAGGTACTATTATTATCTTCTTATAGATGTGAAATATGAAGCAGAATAAAGTAGCAGAGCTATGGTATCACTAGAGCCCATACCCTTAATATCTACCCTATAGTCACTCCAAATGCTTCAAATTTGTTTCAGTTAATAAAAATTATTAAACAATGTCACAATTAAAATACATAAATAAGAAGGTCATATGTTGTCAACAAAAATTAAAAATTACAGTGTTAAGACAGGTACGTTGACAAAAAATGGAAATATTTTAGACATTTTAATTTATTCATAAATATATATCTAAACATTCCTGATGTTGCTTGTGTAAAGAGTTTACATTTAGAAATCTCATGAGTCCTCTGTGAAGTACAAGGAAAAGGAGAGTGGAGGAAAAAGAAAGGTCATTATCAGACATAATTGGTCCCTACATACCAACAAGAACAGGAGAATCAAGATAAAGTGAAGGCCTCTTGATTTACTTATCCCCAAAAGCTGTTCTTTGACTAAAGGGTAAAACTGCCACAACTCTAGAGTGGTAGAAATAAGAGGACTTGCAAAAGTTTCTACCAATTGAGAGTAGGCTGATGAGAAATACTAAAGCAAGAGCCGTAACTGGCTTAGGTTGGTGCTAGCAAATCTGAAACCAGAAACCACATAGAATCAATTCAAAATGGTGAGTAGAATGACAGAAATGATTTCAAGGTGGTATTCTGAAAAACAAAGTAATTAAGACAGGAATCGACGAACAGAGGCTGACTCCCAAGTGTTTGGACTAAAGACAGAAATGGGTCAAGTGGGTCAAAGGGCAAGTGGAACAAATAGAGACCAAAGGAGAAACCTGACCGAGATTTTTTCCAAAGCAAATGGGTAAGTCCTGCACCACCTCAAAACTCCACAAATGGCGGTTTTCAACTTGAGGCCTCAAGTTTCTTGAGGTTTCAAAGGTTTGAAAGCAATATCAAGGATAAGTTTATGTGCTTGGGGGTGGTTAGCTTTCTTTTTAACAATATTTAATTCTTATCAACAGAAGAAAGGGTTTTGGAAAACTGGCAAGAAACAAGATAAACTTCCAGAAGACATTACTCTATTGGCTCCATCCTCTGATGCAATCCCATAGTAAACAAATAGGGTATGTGTATCAAAGCTGAAACTCAACAGTAACAAAAACAATTGATAACCACAACACTTTCTAACATACATGACTAAACTCTATGGTTGATGCTTAAACAACACAGATTTGAACTGCACAGGCCATTTATATACAGATTTTCTTCCACCTCTGCCACCCCTGAGAGAGCAAGACCAACCCCTTCTCCTCTTCTTCCTCCTCAGCCTACTCAGCATGAAGAGGGTGGGGATGAAGACCTGTAGGATGACTCACTTCCACTTAATGAATAGTTAATGTATTTCCTCTTCCTTATGATTTTCTTAACATTTTCTTTTCTCTAGTGTACTTTATTGCAAGAATACAGTATATAATACATGTAACAGATAAAATATGTGTTAATCAATAGTTTATGTTATCACTAAGGTTTCCAGTCAACAGTAGACTTTCATTAGTTAAGTTTTTGGGGAGTCAAAAGTTATACATAAATTTTAACTGGAAGGGGGGCCAGCAATGAATACCACATTGTTCAGTGGTCAACTGTAGTTATGAGTGTGATATGAATTGTGATAATCTGAAATAAAAACTTACTTTTGGACATGGAAAGGAAAAAGATAAAGCAAACTACTGCAAAGCAGAAAATAGTACCTGTAGTTACCACTGTCACCTCATGTCACTAAAACTCATAAAATCTAAGGAAATACTGTAGAATACGGACTTTTCAAACAGCCTCATGAAAATAATTAACTTGTGTCTGGTATATAGTTAGGAAATTTATATCACAAAGTATAATTTGAACTATATTAGAAAATTATATTGTAAAAGTGGTGGCTTTACACTTAATCAACTAGGAGACCTCTAAGCTAATTATTAGCAACCATGAGACTGATGCCTAATACTTATCCCAAGCGAATTTCTCAAGGTTAGATCTACTGTGGAAATTGGAGAGGAAATGAAAATATTGAGAAACATCACAGCAGTGCTCTCAATGAAAATAGATATTTTTATTTGGACCAAGTAAATAGCTTTCTCAAAGATTAACAAATTTGTTTATTCTAAACCAGTTGAATAAACTCAAGTTTATTCCTGAAAATGTATTATAAATAATTTACCAGTGATGTGCCACTCTAAACCAATGGAATAAACTCAGTTAATTTTTCTTCAAAGTGTATCTTAAATAATTCATTAATGTTGTCAAGTAGATAATATAACATTAAGTAAATCTTAAAGTGAACAAAATTTTGATAATTAGTTTAACCTAAAGAAACCTAACTCATTGACTAGACTGGTACGATTTTGTTCACAAATGTTGGCACATTTTCTGGCATTATCCCTCTGTCTATGAAGTATCTGTGCATTTCAATTTTGGGTCAAAAGATAATTTGTTTGTGAAGTAGATTGATACTAAATTGCCCAATGTGTCAGATCATCATGGATTCCATTGAGATAAAGTCAAAATATAATTTTGTAAATTTTGTGTGCCATGAATTATGCTGAAGCTACATACACAGAAAAATATAAAAGAAGCAAACAATAAATATCTATATAAAGGAAAGAGCTAGACTCTAGAGTAAGAAGAAACTGGATTATTTAAATCTCAGTTATTCAGTTTATTTGCTGTTTAAGAATGTTAAACAATTTACATAAACTTTTTCAACCTGTTTACTAAACCACAAAATAGGTTTACTAATGCCTGCCTTGCATTTGTAGGATTTACCATAATATATTTAATTCTCTTAATGTGGTACTTAGTATATACTGAATACTATAGCAATTTCTGCCCTTGTTAGTGTTATTATTTGTATAATTATTATCACACTTTGGACTTTTTTGATGAAGAAGTCAGAAATTGTGGTGTATTCTTGATTTAAATTCTTTATTTTTTAATATAATTTTAATAACATTTTGTTATTAACCTCATAGCTCAAGACTCTCTGCAAATAATGGATTCCTTCTAATCCCTTACCCCAACAACCTATAATTAAGTTTTATCTTCTTTCTGCAATGAATGTTGTGTTTATTTTCCTTTTTGTCTTCCTTATGTTGCCTGTCTCATGGGTCACATGTTCATCCCCTCTTGATCATCCTTGTACTCTTGCCTCCAATTTCTCTTCTCCTACCCCTCCTTCATCCTATCTATAAAATAATTTTCCTAAATTACATCTTTGATCATAACATTCCTCCATTTCAATAAACCCTTTTTGGTTTCAAATTGCCACTAAAGTTGAATCTACTTATCCTTGGGCTGAAAATACATTTAGTTCAAGCATACTTTTCTGCAATAGTTTTTAATCTTTGGAAAAAATACTAATTTTGCTTGAACTCAAGGACAATAGATAGCATTAGATAAACAAGCTTCAAAAAACTCAAACAAAACTTCGCTACTCTGAAGGAATTAATTGTATTTGCCAACACAAGGGAGGCAATGGTACATTTTGTTATGCATATCTTAGAACAAGAGTAAATCATGAAGTTCATTTATATGTGTTCATTTTTATCTGTTGTTTATAGTAACTATTGATGTCTTTAGCTATAGTATATAGATATGCACAATGAACATGAAATCTTACCATACTGTTTTAAGAGGCTCTAGCCTTTGATTTTATGAAACAGATATAACTAACAGACTACATGAAGGTCTTAACTGTATCCCTAATAATGGACCTAGAGTAGCTGACCTCACACTCTCCAGATTTTCTTAATCTCATTAAGCTTCTTTTTCACATATTTCTTTGCCAATTCTTCTAACTTATCTCTAAATGTTTTTGTTCCTGTTTTTTCAGTCCTTGATCTTCTTTTTATAAACTTGTTCCTTAGGTGATCTTATTCAGTCATATGGATTTAAATATAACCGGCATGTCTTTATTTTCCAATTATTTCTCCATCCTCAGACTCTTTTGAGTTTTAGATCTATATATTTAATTACTACTATAAATCTCTTTGGATGTCTAAAACACTTAACAAAATTAGTATTTGTAAAACTGAACTTCTAATCCCTTCACCAAAAGAAAAGGTTTGTTTTCTCCATTGCCACAATGATGTTGTCTTTAGCTCTTTTCACAAGCCAGGGTCTTTCTTTCATGCCTTTCTTTCACATGTCTAGAATCCTTTGCCAGCCACTCTCTGGCTCTTAAAAATTCAAGGTTAGTTTGAATGTCATCTCCTCAAAGAGGACTTTCCAGATTATCCAGTAACAGCCTCTCTTTTGATACTCTCTATCTCAGTACCGTTTGCTTGTTCCATATAATTTGTTACAAGCTGTATTCCATTTATTGGTTACTTTTTCATCTGTCTCCTTTATCTGATTATAAATTCCAGGAGGGAAGGAACAATATCTTTCTTTTTTTTTTTTTCTCCAGACAGTCTCGCACTGTCGCCCGGGCTGGAGTGCAATGGCGCCATCTCGGCTCACTGCAACCTCCGCCTCCCAGGTTCACGCAATTCTCCTGCCTCAGCCTCCCGAGTAGCTGGGATTATAGGCACACACCACCACGCCCAGCTAATTTTTTGTATTTTTAGTAGATATGGGATTTCACTATGTTGGCCAGGCTGGTCTCAAACTCCTGACCTCGTGATCCATCCACCTTGGTCTCCCAAAGTGCTGAGATTACAGGCATGAGCCACCACTACCTGGTACACAGTGGCATCTCTGAAAATATTTGCCAAATGAATGAATAGATGAAAAAGACAAAAAGACACTGGATGGGTATGTAAGATACCATGGTAAATGAGGATTCCTTTACTGGGTATCATTAATGCATCTGTACTGCAATTTAGAGAGCCTCAATACATAAAAGCAGAAAAATCACACTATAAAGTAAATGTTTTAACAGAAGATAATAACCAGTTCATACAATATTCACATTAGTCTAAGTGCTTCACAGAATTAACTCAATCCTGTCTACAAATGTATGGGATATCAACTAGTATTATATGCATTTCACAAATAAAGAAACAAGGGGGAAGTTTGTCTTGCTAAAAGAAACATAGCTGAAAGTGGAAAATCAAGGATTTGAGCACAGATACTTTTTCAGAGTCTGCATGCTAAACCACAATGATTTACTCTAAGAATTTGCTAAAATGCCTTTATATCTAGGCATCTATCTTACTATTTTAAATTTGGTTTGATCTGCAAAACCACAAAGCACAAGTAAACCCTCAGAACTACATCTGTGGCACAAAATAAGGTACAATTTTATCCTTGTCCAGGCCTGACAAACAAGCTCTGCCAGGTTAGAAAGTGAGTGTATGTTTCCCTAATTGATTCAAGTGGAACTTTCTGGTCCAGTTCTTTCTGATTAAAAAAAATCAATTTAATCATTTTAACATATTTTTTGCACACTCATACATTCATCCATTAGTTATCTCCAAAAGCCCTGTCAGCAATAATTGTATCTTCAAAAAATGACAAATTAAGAAAAGCTTATAAACTTGGCCTTAAGTATGAAAGTTAATGGCTAAGAGTGACTGTGTTTTATAATCCAATGTAGTCCTTAAAGAATTTTAGAATTATTGATGTCATAAAAATTTCATTTAATTCAAACTTTAGCATTAAATTTCAAAGAAAACTAGTAGATATCGAATCCAATTCTTGGAATAGCACTTTACCTAGTATAAAAAAATTGCAAGAAAAAATTATTTTGTGTGCTATGTATATATGATTTTCAAATACAATCTCCATATCTAGCGTTACATTATTTTTTAAGTTTGTTTTTGAACACAGGATTTCCTTTGATAATGTAAATGAAAATAACTGAAACACCACTACTCTGAGAGACTTGATTTTATATATATATATATATATATATATATATATATATATACACCAAGATATATATATATATATATCCTGTATTTGTTTCCCCTTCTACCTCCCTGCCAAAAAACTATTTATGAACAGTACGGATGGTTATTTAGATTTTTTTCTGTTTGAAGGTATTTTGGCATTTCATTTTAGAAACTCGTTTTTAAAATTTTTATCAGGGATAAATAGTAGTGTTATAAGTACCTTACAAACAAGTCAAGATTGGGTCAAACATGTACATTATAATTTTCATTTGGTTGCATAATTTTTTTTTAATTTAGCCTTTACTTACATCTAAAAGGGATACCTTTATCCTGTGAAGCTCAACATTGCTCCTCATATAAAACACTCTGAGAAAATAACCCATTCATGGGAAACTTGGTATTAACAATATAAATATTTTCTCATCCCGTAGCAAGAAAATATATTTACATTGGAAGAAGACCAATGTAGATAGCATAGACTTTTGATTATTGACTAAGGCCTTGAGAGCAGAATTAAAGCAGCAAAATATATTTGTGTAATCAATAGCAAATCCCCAACCTAAGCAAGCCCTGAAAAGACCATACTTTACAAGAACTTGCTCTTGTCACACTGAGCATTAGATTTTGACTACATTTGTCATTTGGAATATAGTCAGTATGCTATTACTCTATAGTAATGCTTGATGTGATTATTACATTATGAAGATACAAAAATATAAATTAAAATGACTGAACCGATTAACAAAATAAAAACTTCTTATAATTTACTATAGGAGGTAGACAGGATGCTATGACAATCTCAATGGCCCGTGACCTTGGATAATGCCTTCTTCATGAGTATGTATGGGACCTATAACTTGCTCCTGAAAAATGAATATGACAAAGGTGATGAAATATTCCTCCTGTGATCATATCGTGTTAAGTGACAAAGATGAAGAGATTCAGAAGGTGTAATTAAAGTCTCTAATCAATTGAATTTAGGTTAACTAATGGAGATATTATCCTGGATGAAGCTGCATAAGCAGATAAGCTTTTTAACAAAGGGTATAGAGGTCAGAGACGTAAGAAGTGAGAGGGATATTATATTTCTGGTTTTAAAAAAGCAAGCAGCCATGTTCTTAACTGCCTATAGCGTGGAGTGGCCTCTAGGAGCTGAGAGCCTCAGATCTAAAACTGCAAGGAACTGAATTCCACCAGTAAACTAAATTCTGCCAGTAAACTGAATGGGCTTGGGAGAGGACCACAGCTCCAGATGAGAACCTACCCCAAGATGACACCCTGATTTCAGCTTTTCAGAAACTCTGAGCAAAGAACCCTCCTGAGCAGTACTCACATTTCTGACCTTTATTAACTGAGAGGCAATAAATGGGTGTTGTTTTAAGTCAAAATTTTTGGTTGTTACACAGCATAGAAAACCAAATAGAAGATGGGACTTCTGCAATGAGGGAACAAGGACTTCTGAAGATCCACTCTTCTGTAAAAATGATAAGAACACTAGTAAAAATTGTCAGAATCAACTTTTTCAAAACTCTGTAAGTAACCAAAATAGTACCAATTTGAAGAATGTTTATTCCATTAAAAAAAAAATGGCTGAATCTGGGTAAGGAAAGCTGTCTTTGTTGTATTTCAATGTGAATTAATCCCATAGCTATCTCTCTACCTCTGAAGTGACCCTGAAAAAATAAATAGGTGTACAATAAAGTTAGATATAAGAACTCTAGCCTAGCAGCCACTGATTGGGGCAAAAGAGGTTTAGAACTGTTTTAAACCCAAAAGTCTTATTCCCAGAGAAATATCATTATTGGACCTGTCTGGCTGCTCTCCGGAAACCTCCACTCACAGGACTTGTCTTTATTTAACCTGGTTCAGAGCTCACTCACTGTGAATAACATTTTCCTAAGGTTTGTCAGAAAAGTAAAACAGTGGCAACTGTCTAACACAACACCTGCTTAAAGCAGGGATAATAACTGGAGCAAATAAGAGGCTCAAAAGAAAAAAAAATAAAAGGAAAAGCTGTGGGATGAGATGCTCATAGGGGAATTTGAAAAACTCTGACATATTCTTAGGAATTTAAATGGTCATGAAAATATGTAAGGCTGTGCCCCTGCCTAGGAAAGACATGGAAAGTCCCTATCTTCTCACATGTGGCTAATCTTGAGGATCTGTACAGGTAGAAAGTGAAGATTAAGGCACAGTTGTAAATTGCTGGAGCATTGAAGGTATGCACCAACACTCTTAAAGAGTCCCTTGGAATAAGGAAGGAGACATACTTTCAAGGCTTTTAAGGAAAACTCTGTCCAATTCAATCATTAGCTGGCCAGTAAGCTAACTGAGAAGAGACCTAGTGGACACATATGACAAAGAATACAGACCAGCAACAGCAGCAGCAACTACAAGAGCAAAAAAAAGAAAAAAAAAAAAACTGAAGAGAATATGGGGGAGAAGTATCTAATTTTCAGAGATGCCATATTATCTAATATGTCCAATTTTCCACCAAAGAATTGTAAGACATGCAAAGAAATAGGACGAATGGCCCAATACCAGGAAAAAGAATGAATCAGTAGAAACTGTCCCTAATGATATCCAAACACTGAAGTTGCTAAACAAAGATTTTAAATTGGCTCTTATAAACATGTTGAAAGAACTAAAGAAGGCCGGGCGCGGTGGCTCACGCCTGTAATCCCAGCACTTTGGGAGGCCGAGGCGGGTGGATCATGAGGTCAGGAGATCGAGACCATCCTGGCTAACAAGGTGAAACCCCCGTCTCTACTAAAAATACAAAAAATTAGCCGGGCGCGGTGGCGGGCGCCTGTAGTCCCAGCTACTCGGGAGGCTGAGGCAGGAGAATGGCGTGAACCCGGGAGGCGGAGCTTGCAGTGAGCCGAGATTGCGCCGCTGCAGTCCGCAGTCTGGCCTGGGCGACAGAGCGAGACTCCGTCTCAAAAAAAAAAAAAAAAAAACTAAAGAAAACCATGTCTGAAGAACAAAAAAAAAAAGTATGAGAACAATGTCTCATAAAACAGACTATCAATTAAAAAAAAAAACAAATTCTGGAGTTATAAATTACCAAAATAATTGAAATAATAATCCTAAAATAAGACTGCCAAAGAAAAATACCACACTCAGCAAAATTATCCTTCAAAAACAAAGGAGAAATTTATATATCTCCAGGTAAACATAAATTAACAGAATTAACACTAGTACAACTGCCCTACGACAAACACTAAAGAAAGAGTGTCAAGCTAAAATAAAAGGATGCTAAACAATAACTCAAATCCAAATGAAGAAAATAAAGTGTACTAGTAAAGTTAACTGTCTCAGTTAAAGACAATATAAATGTATTTGTTGTTTGTAATTATTTTCTTCTAACTAATTTAAAAGACAACTGCATAAAACATCATAGATAACTATTTTGGTGGATTTATAATGTATAAAGTCTCACATGAATGACAATAGTTCAGAGGATAGAGAGAAAATGAGGTTATGTAAGAGTGAAATTTTGATATACAATTGAAATTAAGTTGGTATTAACTGAAATAGAGTGTTATAAATTAAGACGTTAATTGTAATCCCCAGGACAACCAATAAAAAGATAAAATAATACGGAAATTACAAGGAATTAAGACAGTACACAGAAAATACCTGTTTAACCCCAAATAAGCCAGTAATAGAGAAGTACAAAAGAGACATAAAACTTATAGAAAATAAAAATTAAAGTGGCAGATGTAGATTCTGTTTAATCAGCAATTATATTAAATGTAAATGCTTGAAATATGCCAATCAACACACAGACTAGCAGAAGGAAAAAAGTGACATCTAACTATATTCTGTCCACAAGTTTAGTTTGAAAGACACAAACTAATTGAAAATAAAAGATGAAAAAATATATACTATACAAAGAGCAACCAAAGGAGAACAGCAGTGGGTATACTTATATCGAAATAGGCTTTAAAACAAAAACTTATTTCTAGAAAAAAAGATATTTTATGACAGTAAAGGAGTCGTTCCATCAGAAAGACATAAAAAAATGAAAATATACATGCACCAAAAAAGCCCCAAAATGCAAGAAATTAAAACTGATAGGATTGAAGAGAGACATAGACAATTAAAGAAAATGCAAAATCCAATGCCTCATTTTCAATAATGGGCACAACTAGTACAAAATTCAAAACTGAAATGCGAGAATCGAACAACACCATAAAATAACTGGATTTAATAGCTAGAGATCAATAACAGAAGGAAATTTGGAAAATTTACATTTATGTGAAAATTAACACACTCCCAAATAACAAACCAGCCAAAGAATCAATCACAAGAAAATTCAGAAAAACTTTGAGATGGGTGAAAATAAAAACTAATCTAGCAAAATTTATGGAATACAGCTAATGTGGTGCTTAGAGAGAAACTGATATCTAAAAAATGATCATATTTTAATCGTATTTTAAAAGAAAACCTAAAATCAAAAACCTAAACTTATCCGTTTAAAAAATTAGATAAATCAGTGGAAATAAACAAAAATAAGCAAAAGAAAGTAAAGATTACAGCAGAAATAAATGAAGAATAGAAAAACAATAGAAACAATTTTTAAAAAGAAGTTGTATTTTGAATCATGTGGTTCCAAAGACTGACATTTCCTGACTTCAAAACTTACTACAAAGTTACAGTGCTCAAGATACTGTGGTCTTGGCATAAAGATAGATAAATAGATCAAGATAAAAAAAAAAGATCAAGAAAATGGCAAAACTTTAGCTAGATTAATCAAGAAAGAGAAGACTCAAATTACTAAACCAGTAATGAAAGACGGAACATTACTAGTTACCTTACAAAAATAAGGAGAATTAAAGAATATAATTCACAATTATATATTAATGAATTAAATGAAATGGACAATATTCTAGAAAGACACAAAAATGTACCAAAACTGACTCAAGAAAAAATAAAACATCTGAATCAACCTCCAACAAGTAAGGATTAAATTAGTAATCAAAAAATTTTTTACAAAGAAAAGCACAGCCTTTGATGGTTCTACTGGTGAATTCTGTCAAACATTTAAAGAAGTAAGACCAATTCTTCACAAACTCTTGCAAAAAAAGATGAAGAGGAAACACTTCCCAACTTACTCTCTAAGGCCTGTATTACCAGAATTCCAACACCAAAGACTAGAACAACTAGATATCCACAAGTAAAAGAAAGAAGTTGAACCCCAATCTTACATCATATAAAAGAAGTGGTTCAAAATAAACCATAGATTTACATGTAAGAGCTAAACCTATAGAATTCTTAGAAAAATATACATACATAAATATTTGTGGTCTTATATTAGTCAATGTTTCTTAGACATTACATAAAAGTGCAAATAACAAAAGAAAAAAGCAAGACATTTACTTCATCAATATTAAAGCATAGATTCAAAAGACATCAAGAAAGTCAAAAGACAACCCATGTAATGGAAAAAAATATTTGCAAAGCATACATTTGATAAGGAACTGGTATCCAGAATATATAAAGAACTCTTACAATTCAACAATAAAAAGACAACCACATTTTAAAATATGCAAACTATTTGAATATAGATATTTCTCCATAGAAGACATACAAATGGCCAATAGGCACAAGATAAGATGTCTAATATCATTAATCATTAGGGAAATGCATATCAAAACCACAATGAGATTCCACTTCACATGCACTAGAATGGCTAAAACAAAAAAGACAGACATTAGTGTTGACAACTCAAGTTCTGGAGCAAAAATGCTTGGATTTAAATTTAAGCTCTGCCACCCACTGACTATGACCATAGGCACGTTAGTCAGCCTCCCCAGATGTATTAGTCAGGGTTTTCTAGAGGGACAGACCTAATAGGATAGTTGTACACATAAAAGAGACTTTATTAAGGCATATTGACTCACACGATCACAAGGTGAAGTCCCACCATCTGCAAGCTGAGGAGCAAGGAAGCCAATCTGAGTCCCAAAACCTCAAAAGTAGTGAAGCCAACAGGGCAGCCTTCAGTTTGCGGTGGGAAGGTCTGAGAGACCCTGGCAAACCACTGGTATAGGTCCAGGAGTCCAAAAGTTGAAGAACTTGGAGTCCGATATTTGAGGGCAGGAAGAATTCATCACAGGAGAAAGATGGAGGCCAGAAGACTCAGCCAGTCTGGTCTTTTCATGTTCCTCTGCCTGCTTTTATCCTAGCCACACTGGCAGCTGATTAGATGGTGCCTGCCCAGATTGAGGGTGAGTCTGCCTCTCCCAGTCCACTGACTCAAATATTAATCTTTTTTGGAAACACCCACACAGACAAACCCAGGAACAATACTTTGCATTTTTCAATCTGATCAAGTTGACACTCAATATCAACCATCACACCAGGTCTCAGGTTTCTCATTTGCAAAAGGGTACAAATAGCCTACTTACATCATAGGCTTGTTTTAATGTTAGTTTAAATAACAAAAATAAAAGAAAAAAATAAACAGATACAAAGATAAAGTGGTGAATTTTAAAATGGTAGAAATAAATCAAAGAGCTGATCCTTCAAAAATCTTAATAAAGGCCGGGCACGGTGGCTCACGCCTGTAAACCCAGCATTTTGGGAGGCCAAGATGGGTGGATCATGAGGTCAGGAGATTGAGACCATCTTGGCTAACACGGTGAAACCCCATCTGTACTACAAATACAAAAAATTAGCCGGGCGTGGTGGTGGTCGCCTGTAGTCCCAGCTACTCTGGAGGCTGAGGCAGGAGAATGGGGTGAACCTGGGAGGCGGAGCTTGCAGTGAGCTGAGATCACACCACTGCACTCCAGCCTGGGTGACAGAGCAAGACTCCGTCTCAAAAAAAAAAAAAAAAAATCTTAATAGAAAACACTTCAGTAAAAACTCTTTCCTGCCCCTTCTTCCAAAATACACACACACACACACACACACACACACACACACACACACACACAGAGAGAGAGAAATGGGAATGGTGAAATAACTTTTTATTTTAAAAGATTAAACAATTCTAAAATTGGATATTTGTCTCACCTGTATACAACTATATTTAAAAATCTGATTAAATAAACATATTTTTAAAACATGAATTACCAAACTGACTCTGAAATAGAAAAACAAAACAAGTTGTTTTACCAGAGGAGAATCTAAAAAAAATTAAGAAATCTACTTCCATTCCTACAAAAAATTCCACAGAATTACTAGGCTTAAATATTTTCATAGGTACATATTAGCAAGCATTCATGGAACAGAAAACTCCATTGCTGTTTAAAACACTCAAAGTATAAGATGGGAAATTCTTCACAGTTCCACATGACATTGGTCCCCAAACTAAAAGACAGGACAATAAAAGGAATCTATGGGATCAAGGATATCCACAAATTATGATTTAAACTCCTAAATAAAATTATAGTACAAAAGAATTCAGTAATATCAAGTAAGGTAATTTCAAGAATATCAAGTTGATAAAATTTGAAAATATATTAATATAATTTAACATAATAATTCACAAGACAAAGATGTATTGTGAAATAGAAATAGATACCCTTTATATCAGACAGACGTACTCACATACATCTCAAACCCCGAATTAGCATTGTTTAATGGAGAAATGTTATAAACATTCTCTGGAAGGCAGAATTTTAAGACGGACCCCAAGATTTCTACTTCCTAATGTTCATACCTCATACAACTGCCTCCCTTTGAGTGTAGTCAAAACCTGTAATGATAAGGGGTATCACTCCCTTGATTGTACCATGTTACATGGCAAAAGGGATTTTGTATGTATAATTAAGGTTACTAGTCAGTTGATTTTAAGTTAATCAAAAGGAAGATCCTCCAAATGAGGCTGTCCTAATCATAAGAGCACCTGGAACTTCCCTGGAAGATACATTTGAAGCGTAAGAGGGTCTAATGGAGAGCTTGTGGGGCACATGTGGCAAGGAGCTATAGGCAGATCCTAGGAACTAGGAGATCCACCAGCTGACAAACAGCAAGAGAACAGGGTCCTCAGCCCCGAGCCACACAGAACTGATTTTTACCACTAATCATGAGAGCTTAAATAAGGACTCCTATCTCCAGAAAGGGTGCGGCCTGGCTGACAGCTTAATTCCAGCTTTACGAAACCCTGAGTAGAGAATTCAGCTAAGGTGAGCCCAGATTTCTGATCTACAGAAACCACAGAATAAATTTTTACTGTTTTAAGCCTCAAGTCTGTAATAACTTGTAATATAGAACAGAAAGCCAGTATACATTCTAAGTTAAGAACAAAACAAAAACTTCCAACTTAAAATTCATCTTAAAATAATAGTGTAGCAGGTAGTATTTTCTAAAAATGGCCACAGGAGTCATTTAGATTCAATACACTTGTCTAGGACTTTGTCATTCTCTCATTAAAAGGTGGAGATTATTTACCCTGCCACTGAAAGATAGAATATTTTTGTGACTCTCTTGATAAATAAAACTACAACAGAAGTGACACCGTTTGAATTCTGAAGTTAGGTTCTGAGGAGCAATTTGGCTCCACGTGGCTCCCTCCTTTTTGAGGGACTGTGTCTTGGAAGCTAGCTACCATGTTGCAAAGCAGCCCATTGTCCAGAGTTTTAGCCATCCCTGCTGCCCTGAGCAGAGCAGAGATGATCTGTCCTTACCAACTGCTGCTCAAATTGCAGATTTGTGAGCCAAATAAATATTATTGCTGTTTCAAACCATATGTCTGAGTTTCTATATGCAGCAATAGATACCAGAATGTATAATAAATGTCAAAGGAAAAACATTTTAAAGATTAAAAGGAGGCAAAATTATCTTTATTTAAAATGATGAATCACATGATTATAAAACAGAAAAACTTAAGTGGATCGACGAAATAAAAACAAATATAAAATACCACAAGTGAGTTTTGTGATGGTGATTTTTTCTGTCAAGAGGGGATGATGGCTTGTATGAGTACAGCAGTTCTCAACTAGAGTAGACTTGTTTCTCCCAAATGACGATTGTCAATGTCTGGAGGCGTTTTTGTTTCACAACTTGGGGAACACTACTGACATCTAGTGAATAGAGGTCAGAGATGCTGCTAAACATCGCACAATGCACAAGACAAGCCCCATGATAAAGAACTATCCGTTCCAAAATATCAGTACCACTAAGCTTGGAAAACACTGTACCAATGTGATGGCAATAGAGATAGAAAAAAAGAGGACATGTTCCAGATATTCAAGATATATATCAGAGGTGGAGTTAACAGAATTGTTTGAGGGAGAACATGGAAAGAGAACAGTAACTCCTGGCTTTTTGGCTTGAGCAGCTGGCTGGATAGCGGAAGCATTCCAAGTGAGAAGAACTGGGACACACATGTTCTGGGTTTGGGGTAATCGACAGTTTTGTTTTAGCTAATTTAAGTCTGAGATGTCTATCATAAATCCAAGTAGAGATGTCAAATAAGTGGTTAGACAGTTTTGGAGATGAGGAAATGACTAGATGAGGAAATGACCAGGGCTAATGACACAAACTTGAGAATCATTAGGATATTTCTCGTTTAATCCTCACAAAAATCTTATGATGTAGGTGTTATACTCATCCAACAGTTGAAGAAACAGAAGCTACAGGAAAAGTTAAGTCATAGAATTAGTGATTGCCAAGGCTAACCTTTGAAACTAAATTTGTCTAATTCCAAAGCCTTTGCTTTTAACCACCAATAAAAAAAACTGAAGTTGACTACACTAGCCTAAAGCACCAGACTCCTAAGTTGTCTAGAACAGAACCCTTGACTTTTGAGTGGTCTAGATCCTACTTATATTGTAGTTATTTTTAAAGTGCCACTGCAATTTTTTAAGCTTTCTTGAGATTGAATTCCTGGCTTCATGCTTGCAATGAATATATCTTAATTAAATCCCTCCTGAAGATATGAATTTACTTGCCATCTGGATTGCAAGAGCAGCTCAGAGACTTTCAATTTAATTGAGGTGCAAGCCCTTTTGTTTGGCCCTGTGCTGCTTGGCAGCCTGGGTCCTGTTGCTGTGTCTGGGGCAAGCTTTCCTTCAGCCTGCAGTCAGCAAAATGAGACATCAGGAATAGTGCTGATGCCTGGATGACTACAACCCAAAACCACTTAATTAATATAAAAGTTTAATGCATTTGGTAATTAAAATTCTTTTAAGATAGACAATAGAAACAACTCCTTTTGTAAGCCTTTAATCTATTGTGCTACAACAAATGAAGTTGCAAAGGGAATTTAAATGGGGTTGTTCTTTTTTTAAGCATTAATCACACTGGGGATCAGTAAAATGATAACATGTGTTTAGCTGTGGTTGATTGATCAGTACTCTTGCTAAGTTTTGAGGCTTCTCTTTATAGTGAAAGCCTTTTTTTTAACACAGAAAACCTGTACATGAGAGATTCCCCTCTAAAAATGCAGATTATCAATGAAATATAAACAATACCTCAAGAAACTTAAAATAGCCCCCAAACAAGCAAAAACGTGAAAACTTAAGTTAGCAAATGTACTATAATGCAAACCATCTTTTCATCCTCCTGACACTCTTAGGTTTAAGTAATTTACCAAATATTTTGTAATATAAAATTTAAAAAGATAATAACCCAGTACCCATTTAGTAACAAAGTATAGAACCTACTAGAATTTTGGTCCTAGCTATATCTTCCTCAAAACAAAAAGAGCTTCCCTGTCAAATATGAGAACTGTCTTTCACATTTACTCTCTAGGGGAAAAAAAAGGCAATTGAAAAAATCCTGCAGTATAAGAAGAACAAACAAAATGGTTTAATTTGTTCAGTCCAATATTTCCAAATGTTTTCAGTCATGTAACTTTTTTAGAAAGTGACACCCATTAAGATGCTACAAAACTAATATTCTAAGAAGCAAGTTTAGAGAAACACTTGATTCCTCCACCCAAACTTTGACACTTGTTCATTTAGGAATGCTATTAAAGTATAAATAAATCACTTTCCTGCCTTATCATAATTCAATTGTTCAATAAATATTCACTTACATATATGTACCAAAATCCATGTACAAAAATTTTTATAGTAGCACTATATGTTAATAGCCCCAAACTGTAAACACTCTAGTATCCTTTCCAGTAGAATGGCTATATAGATATAGATGATATAGACATAGGTATAGATAGCTACAAATGTAGACATAGACACATAGATATATATGGCATAAACATTCAGTGGAACACAGTATAGCAATCAAAATGAATGAATGGAACTGAGCATGTTGGTGTACACCTGCAGTCCCAGCTGCTCAGGAGGCTGAGGCAGAAGGGTCTCTTGAGCCCAGGAGTTTCAGTCTAGCCTAAGCAACATAGTGAGACTCTATCTTGAAAAGAAAAACAAAAATAAAGAAAGAAATGGAAGACTAATAACACAATATGTACAAGTTGCATTAATGTAATAGCAAATCAAAGAAGATGACACAGAAGAATATATGGTATATAATTCTATTTAATTGAAGTTTAAAAATAGTTATTATGGGTGGAATTATCTCTTCTACTTCACATTCAAATGTTGAAGACCGCACTTTCAGCACCTCAAAATGTGACCTTTGTTGGAAATAGGGTCATTGCAGATGTAATTAAGTAATATGAAGTTATAGTGGAATAGTGTGTGACCCTAATCCAACGTGACAAGTGTCCTTATTAAATGGGTAAATTTGGACACAGACACAGACACACACACTTACATACACAGAGAGAGAGAGAGAAAGAGAAAGAGAGAGAGAGAGAGAGAGAGAGAAAACACCACGTGAATATGAAGGCACAGATCAGGCTGATACTTCTACAAGCCAACAAATACCAAAATTGTCAGCAAACCACCAAGAATTAGGGAAGAGGGATGAAACAAATTCTTCCTCACGGCCCTCAGAAGGAACTGTCTCTGCTAACACCTTGATGTTGGGCTTTTAGCCTCCGTAACCATGAGACAATAAATTTCTGTTGTTTATGCCACCCATTTTGTGGTGCTTTGTTATGACAGCCTTAACAAACTAATACAACAGGCAAAATCATTTCATGGCATTAGAGGTCAGGATAGTGACTATCTTTGGGTACATACAGGAGGAGAAAGAGGGGTTAGTGGTTAGTGACTTGCAGAGAGCATAAATTACAGGTGGAGGGTGGTAGTGCGCTTCTAGGGAACTGACAATATCTTGTGGGTGGTAATAACATGTGTATGTCATTTTGTGAAAGCTCAACCAGCTGTACACTTAGGATTCACATACTTTTCAGTTTGTAGGTTATACTTGAATACATGCATTTGTTTAAAAAGGAAATATTTACCAGTGAACGAACACAGTCCTACCCTTAGGAGCTTTCAGCCCAGAGAGAGATGTAGACAAGGCAAGAGTGAAATAAATTCTGATGAAAGTTTCAGTACAAATGCAATAGAAATACTCGCAGCCTGTGCTGGGGTGTAGGGAGGATTAGAAGAATAAAATTCCCCGAAAAAGTTAATGACAAAAATCTAAGACTTGAAAAATGAGTAGAAACAGAGAAGTGAACAATGTGTTCTATCAGAGCAAACAGCATGCACAAGACTAAGGAAAAAAATAAAAAGTAAAAAGTAAGAGAAAGCATGACCCATTTAAGGAACAAAAAGTTGTTCCATTTGGCTGACTCTCAGAGTGGAAGGTGTGAAGTGTGAAAAGAGAAAGCGGGAGAAATGGACAACAGCTAGTAAATGGGGAGCTTTGAAAGAAAGAAGCTGGAAAGCATTGTAGGCATGATTACAACTTAATTGGAAATCAAATATTATATCTTAAGGTGTTTATGAAAGAACATGTATAAATGTATGAAAACATGTCTTTCCCTTTACAAGATGGAATTAAACTCTGCAAATATCAGGAAAAGATTCTTCGTTCAAGCTAATCATAGTGTTCACGTTTTACAAAAAACCAGTACCAAAGACAGGGTATGTGTTTTATGCCTTTACATCTATAAGGAACTTAAACAAATTTACCAAAAAAATCCCACAAACTACCCCATTAAAAAGTGGGCAAAGGACATGAACAGACACTTTCCAAAAGAAAACATACATGCAGCCAACAAGCATATGAAAAAAAGCTCAACATCACTTAAGAAACGTAAATCAAAACCACAATGAGATACCATCTCACACCAATCAGAATGGCTATTATTAAAAAGTCAAAAAATAGCAGATACTGGCAAGGTTGTGGAGAAAAAGGAACACTTATACACAGTTGGTGGGAATGTAAATTAGTTCAGTCATTGTGGAAGACAGTTTGGCGATTTCTCAAAGACCTAAAGACAGAAATACCATCCAACCCAGCAATCCCATTACTGAGTATCTACCCATATGAATATAAATCATCTGTTATAAAGACACATGCATGTGTATGTTCATTACAGCACTATCCACAATAGGAAAGACATGGAATCAACATAAATGTCCATCAATGATAGACTGGATAAAGAAAATGTAGTATATATACACAATGGAATATTATGAATCCATAAAAACAGAAGATTATGTCCTTGCAGGGACATGGATGGAGCTGGAAGCCATTATCCTTAGCAAACTAACACAAGAACAGAAAACCAAACACTGAATGTTCTTACTTATACGTGGACGCTAAATGTTGAGAACACTTGGACACATAGAGGGTTGTACCCTGGGGCCTTTTGGAAGGGGGAGGGTGGGAGGAGGAGGAGGAGAAGGAAAAATAACTAATGGGTACTAGGTTTAATACCTGGGTGATGAAATAATCTGTACAACAAACCCCCATGACACAAGTTTACCTATGTAACAAACCTGCACTTGTACCCCTGAACTTAAAATAAAAGTTAAAAAAAAGAAGAGAAAAAAGAAAAGGAATAATACTCTTTTACCCCCAAAATAATTTAGGGATCAGTTCTAAGAGCACTGGTTTTTAAATTCTTCTTCCTTTGAGACCTTGTCCCTTAACTTACCAGTTATGTAACCCTGTGTAGATCACTTTATCTCTCCAGACATTAATTTCCCATCTGTGATTTAAAGAAAATGATAGTTCCTTTCTTCTAAGATTGTTGAAAGGATTAAATGAGATATGCAATAAATACTTGTATGAGTTTACTGTTGCTACTATAACAGATTATCACAAATTTAATAGTTTAAAAGAACACAAACATTTTTATATCTTACAGCTATCTAGATCTACATTCTGATGAGGATCTTTTCAGGTTAAAAGCAAAGTGTTAGCAAAAATGTGTTCCTTTCCGAAGACTCTTAGAATCCAGTTCCTTGCCTTTTCTGTGTTCTAGAGGCTGCCCACAGTCCTTGGCTCATGGTCCTCTTCCTCTGTCTTCAAAGCCAACAGCACCAGCAGGTCGAATCCTTCTCATGCTGCCATCTATCTGATTCTCTGACCACAGCTGGGAAAAGTGCTCCATTTTTAAGGACTCACATGGTTAGATTTGGCCCACTTATAGATCATTTGTATCCCAAAGTCCTTAAAACCAATCACACCTGCAAAGCCCCTTTGGCCATTTAAAGTAGTATTCACAGGTTCTGAGGATTAGGGCATGGGCAAGGTTGGGGAATGATTCTGCTTCCCAAAATACTAAACACAATCCGCAAATGTAGAAAGTTCTCGAAAATCATCAGCTTGTTTTTAAATTCTTTCCTTTTTTGACAATTAAGTCATGAGTTCGTATAACAAATTCACTCCAATAATATTTCAAGTTCTCCTATAAAACTGAGGGTTTCAATATTTAATACCGCATCTTTAGAAAAAAAAATCTCAAACAGCAGAAAACTTTTCAATTAATAGTGGTGGAGGGGAACAAAATAGTTCCCATATTAAATCATCACTATTTGCAACTTTATATACCAGTTAAATCTCTGCCAAACGTTTGTGTTTAAACATACTTTGAAAGTTTTCTTACCTTATGCCAGGGTTTGTCAACCTTGATGATATTGACATTTTGTGCTGGATAATTCTTTGTTGGCGGGAGGCCTTTCTTGTCCTGTGCATTGCATTGTGTGGCAGCCTCCCTGGCCTCTACCCACAAGCTGGTGACAAAAATGTCTCCAGATAGTGCCAAATATCCCCGGGGTAAAAAGTGTCTGCATTTAAGAACCACTGCTCCAAACTAAAATGTATTAACTGTCTGGTTAATGGAGTCACATTTAAGGAATTCCACTGAAAACAAAAACCAGAAAGTGCTGTCAAATGTTGGTAAAAACCGAATCTACTTGTGATATATGGCACATTTTTATTTGCCTACATGCACAATACACTAAGAAAATTGAAGAGTAAATATACATTCTGATGCATGCCTTTCTTTTCTTCTTCTTTTTTTTTTTTTTTTTAAGACGGAGTTTCACTCTCGTTGCCCAGGCTGGAGTACAATGGCAGCACCTCGGCTCACCGCAACTTCCGCCTCCCGGGTTCAAGCGATTTTCCTGCCTCAGCCTCCCGAGTAGCTGGGATTACAGGCACCTGCCACCACACCCAGCTGATTTTTGTATTTTTAGTAGAGACAAGATCTCGCCATGTTGGCCAGTCTGGTCTTGAACTCCTGACCTCAGGTGATCCACCCGCCTCGGCCTCCCAAAGTGCTGGGATTACAGGCATGAGCCACCGTGCCAGGCCGCATGCTTTTCTTGAAATGTCATTTTTCTCAGCAATAATATTTCTTAAGAATATAGGTAAAATGAATAGAAAATGTAAATGGAAGATGCAGGTGCTAATTAACATGAAGGTCTGTCTTCTAATTAAGTCTTTTGAATAATCTATGCTTCTGTGTTACACCTCGCAAAGCAACATCAATAATGACTTTTTATGTGAAGCACCTTCTGTTACCACTTTTAAAGTTTCAGGCAGATGCTAAAAGGGGCCATCTTCATAAAACTGAAGTTTGACTAAAGAAAGGATGAATGATTTAATAGTACTCAAGATTGAAAGAGAAAAAATGATCTGCACAAAACCTATTGTATACCAGGCTCTGAATATTTTTCTTGTTCATGAAATGCAGTAATTGTCTTCCATTTTCACTACAACTACTCAAAACAGCTTGCTTCTAGTGTCCTAGAAGTTCCACTAATGGCAAGCACCTGAATTAAAAAAAAAAAAAAAACCTTTTGGAATCTTGCAAGATTGAAATGAATCCTCAAAGCACGCTATAAAACCATCTTAATGTTTCTTATTGCCCAATTTATTATTGCCTTTCCTTTTCTGTCTCTTTTTTTTTTACTTCTTTTCTGGAATAGATTTATTTTCAGTTTTTTATCTATTTTGGCAATATCGTCTTTAAAAATGGTAAACCCAGAAAGTTAGAATTAATAATTATTGTATTAATCCTATGCCTAGATTATATTATATAGATTATGACCATTTGGTATATGTCAAATTGAATAGAGTTGTATAATCTATCCCAAAATTTAGCAAAATAGTGTTACTATAAACCAAGCCTTCAGTACTTAGGTCTAGCCAATATAATACACAGCTATAAAAGACTTGTGTAAACATTGGATGTTATCCAGTAATTACTAGAGATGATGAGACAGTTTGGAATATGGCATTTTTTGCTCACATGTTATGACCCAAATGAGAACATCTGCCTAAAGGCATTATGGTTAGGCCATCTGCTGTTTGGCTGACACAACCTGCCTTAATGAAGAGAAATAAAGCCTTCATGGAGAATATGTACAAATGGAATATATCTATAATGTTACGAGTGAACTAAATAACAACAGTGTCATTGCACTTTTCAATTTAACATTTGTTCTTCTCATCACTGTTATCAGAATATGTAATCTCATTTCTTTTTTGACCACAAATAAAAATGTTTTTCTGTATAGTTACCAAGTGCATAACGGTAATAATGGCAATATTGATGGTAGTTAGGAAGATACTCTCAATTGGATAATAAATAAATACACCATAAACATCATGACAGATTGTGTTTCCAGAGATACCCACAACGTATCTTCCATCTCACAGATCCTTGCTTCTGCAAGCTAAACTTGGCACTCCTCCAACTGAGAGGTGTATATGAACACAGTCCCTGTGCATGTAAGCAGGTGTGTGACTCGCCTGTAATCAACAGAAGGGGTGACAATGAAGGGAGTGGTACCACATAGCTTCTAAGGTAACTTCTGCCTTCTTCGCCGCAACACTTAAACTTGGAACTTTGAACTTGCATGTAAGCTGCCATGTTGTGAGGAACTTAAGCCACTCAGAGAGGGCAAGGATAGGCATACTTGCTGTCACTCCTAGACTCTGGGTCTTGCCAGCCAAGGATCAACATGAGAGTGAACAAGTATCAGCTGACACTAGGACCCAGACTTCCCTCCTAGCTATCGAATCTTCTAACTGAAGGCCCAGACATGTAGAGCAGAGAAGAGCCATGCCCACTGTCCGTTTCAGAAACTCCTGACCCACAGAAGCAATGAGCACAATTAAAGCTCTTTTTATGCCCCCAAGTTTGGGTTGGTTTGTTTCATGGCAATCGTCGTGGAAGAAACAGGCTCACCATAAGCAAACATATTTTAATTTGATGTTCATATTAAATTTAACAGGAATAACAGCAACAAACCCATAAGCAATATTGAGCTTCATTGATACCGTATTGACCCAGAAAGTAGACTTTAAAATCAGGTTCCTCCAAATTTTGCATTGACAGTTATATGAACGATCATTTTTATTTTTTAAAATTATTTTTTAAAACGTTAATTTTTAAATTTTATTTTTAATTGACAAATGATAACTATATATGTGTGTATATATGTTTGTATTCATGTATACTTCACGACATTGGGCTGGGCAAAGATTCCTTGAATGTGACTCCAAAAGTCAACAGCCAACAAAAACGAAAATGAACAAGTGAGATTGAATCACACTGAAAAAATAAAATAAAACTTTTAAATCCTGAATCTGTAGGCCAATGCTAATTTTCAACTGTAGCTACTTTTCTTCTTTCCAAGATCAATTGATTGAACGTAAGTTGCCTTTAAGAGTATCTTTTTACCCGTGCAAAATTTCTTCAGAAAAATTTTCATCAAAAAATTATCCCAGGTAGGGCAAGTCACTTTGATTTTCCTTTCTACCCACGTCCAAGGTCAAAAGAAATACGTCAGGTCATACTTCAGCAGAGAATTTCCCATTGCTGTTGAGTATCTCACACTACAGACAGTTAAACAGCAGTAGCACTTGGCTTCTGACTTGAGTATAAGTATTCCATGTCCACAGGGCCTTTAAATTGCTTGGTTCCAGGATTTCCTTTTAGCAAAATGATGACCCTGAGACTTTAAAGCTATTTACTGTAAGTGGCCTTTATCTAGCATTGCTTAGCAATTTATGCTAGACTGCAAAAGACTAGAATTAAATCAGTAGCCTCCTCACTAGACTGAAGGACCTGCTGTCTAAAGCCTCCCTTTCAAAACAACATTCCATTCAGGGTTATTGTTTCCGTGACTGCCTTTCTAATGCTGATAACCTCAGTGAGAGAAACCACTTCCTGACTAAAGTGTTATATAAATAACATGATTTAGCTAAACTCAATGGCCTTGTATTTCTACCACAAGGTTTCTCTAACAACCTCGAAATTCTGCCCTCTGTTTTGTCATATTTGAATTCACATTCTTCTTGGAAGATGTGTTGAGAGTGAATACTGTTCTCTCTACTTGAAGCCACAAGTTTGCAGAATTAGAGGGAAGAACCTCTTCTTTCCTAGCTCATATTTCACTGTAGGCCTGTTGCACCATCTATTCATTTCCTTCTCTCCAGAGGGTAATTTGTAAGAAACTTTGGAGGGAAACAATGAATCCACAAGGCACATGAATTCTGGGTTCCTCCATGCCATTGAGTTTGCAAGGACAGGTTCTTTCAAGGGAGAACTGAGGGCTTGGCAACGTTGGGGACTGGGATTGGGTAAGGCTGACCTGTTAGCCTGTTTTCTTATATCAGATTTATCAGGAATATCAGTGACACTTTGCTTTCTTCAACCTGACTTTTACACATCTCTCATTTGTTTCCCAATTATGATGGGAAACAAAGATATGAAAAAATAGTCACCTCTAGTACTAACAGGATGAATAAATATGTCTGTCTAACCCTATATTATAAGCTAATTTACAGTACAGATTTGCTAGAAGCCCCGCTCAATTCCCTAATTCCCTGTGGCATTAATTCAAGTTTGTCTTTCAGGTCACAACCAAGCTATGCCCTACATGGTGATGACCTTGTGCCTGTCCACTATTATTATTCCATCTGCTTCTCTCAGCCTTCCCAGATACGATCTCTACATATCTCCATCATCTTATACAGACTTGAAATTTTCTCCTACCAAC
Source organism: Homo sapiens (assembly GCF_000001405.40). Lineage (NCBI taxonomy): Eukaryota > Metazoa > Chordata > Mammalia > Primates > Hominidae > Homo > Homo sapiens. The sequence goes on along the minus strand of NC_000021.9, from coordinate 18,154,857 downwards.
TTTAAGCTGTTAGAGAGCAGTGAACCCATCATTCTCATTTTGTTGTCACCCATATTTAATGCATAACATTAAATACACTTACAGAACACACCATAAACATTTGTTCATTAATTTTAGGAAGCTGTGGTAGGAAGAATTCTAAAGATGCTGCTTCCCCAAGATTTCCTTCCTTTAGTTATTCAATCAAATGTTAATCTGAGTATTTCTATGAAGGGAAGTTCTAGAATTTAGGACGGCAGATGGAATTATGATAATTAAACAGGTAACCTTTTTTTGAGACAGAAAAATTTTTCCTCTATCCTCTGAATTCTGTATCTGGGGGCTTTTGAATTAAACTAAAATTAGATGGATTAACAGAAGAAAAGGCACACCATTTTATTAATATTTACATGAATGATAAATTGCGGAGAAGCAACTAGGAAACATACGGGGAAACTAATGAAAGCTAAGGACTAAATTTGAACTAGAGGAAGATAAGATCTGTTCATGCAAACTAATCCTGGTGTCAGCTCCCATCTTTGATGATAAGAGTTCTTGTGTCCCTGTTACAGGTGTGAGGAGTGGGGACATCTTCCTAAAAAAAAGATGTAGTCAAATAACAACGATATAAATAAGAAGTAAAACTTTGAGATATATTGCTGAGTAAATAAACAATATTACAAAATATGTATAATACATAAGCCTTTTTACATACATATTTCCTATACCGAATAAAATTATGTGCAATTAAACCTGTTTCCTCTCCAGGCTGGGCACATAGCTAAATTACATTTTCTAGTATAAAGGGAAATTATATTCACTATCTTGTGGTCTGAGACACATAAACATCTCACTTGCCATCCCTCTCTCTCTTCCTTCTGGCTGGAGGTCGATGGCCAAGAAACTCCAGTAAGAGGTGTTAGTGGCACTGCACTGAATGACTACGTGAAGCAGAATGTCACTGCACTGCCCCACCTGAACCCCATCCCACCACTGGCAATCCCCTCCTGAGAGAGAAATAAGATTCTATCATGTTAAGCCACTGATATTTTAGAGGAAATCTGTTTTAGTAGTTATGGTATCTTAATATTATTCATAGAAAAGGGTAAATATATATGTATATATATATAAAACATAGTCCTGCTTTTAGGCAGATAAGAGGGTGAGAAAGAACTCTTTCTCTATCAGTTGATTTTCAACTGCTTTCAGCTCAAAATAATCCTTATGCCAAAGTGGCATATTTTGGGGGTGGCTTAGTTTGATGCCCTTAAAATAGAGAAATTATTATAGATTTACCCAGATGAACTCGATATAATCATGTAAGTCCTTAAAAGCAGGGAAAAAGGCAGAAGAGCCATTAAAAGAGATACAGCAGGAGAGGGAGACAGAGAAGTTACGAGGCAAAAAGGGAGGTCAAAGATATTTGAAGCATAAGAATGACTCATCCTGTCATTTCAGGTTTTGAAGATGGAGAAAAGTGACCATGAGCCAGGAAATTTGACAGCTTCTGGGATCTAAAAATAAACCCTCAGCCTATAGCCAACAAGGAGAAGGGGCCCTCAGTCCTACAGTCACATGGAACGGAATCCTGCCAACATTCTGAATGAGCTCTGAGGTGGACTTATCCCCAGAGCCTCCAGACAGGAAATCAGCTCTGCTGACACCTTGATTTTGGCTGCATGAAACTCAGAGCAGAAAATCAGCTGAGCTAAGCTGTGCCTGGATTTCTGGCCTACTAAACTCTTAGACAATAAACAGGTGGGGTTTTTCAAGCTGTTGGAGTTTGTTATAATTTATTATGGCAGCGATAGAAACTAATATAGAGTGTATTGATCATAATGATAATTAACCAGTTATGTCTAGGCTGCTGCATTCAAGAGGACACTTAACAAGACAAATAATAGAAATCTCTAAGACATGTCAAGACCATGAGATAGTCCCAAATCAAGGCTTTACATCTTTGCTGATGATGGTGGCTATTCCTTCTCTTAACTTCTGTCAGAAGATTTATTTGGAGTCTAATAGTTACAGGCTGGCAACACAAATCTAGCTATGTTCATATAGTGGGCAGAATTCTAAGATGGTCCAGAAGATCCCCACTCCCTGGTGCATATACCATGAACGATCCTTCTTCTTGAGGGATCTGAACATGGTGGGATAGCTGCTCTCTTGGTTATGTTATATCATGTAAGATTCATCTTAGCAAACTGGAGTTGGATTTTCCTGTTGGCTTTGAAGAAGTAACTGCCATGTTTTGAGAGAGCCATGTGGCCAGGATCTGAAAAAGGCCTCTAAGAGCTGAGAACAACTCCTGGCCTGTAGCCAGGAAGACTAAAGACTTCTGTTTTACAAATGCAAAGAAAAAATTATTCCAACAACTTCAATGAGCTTGAAAGAGGACCCTGAGCTTCAGATGAGAACCCAGCCCTGGCTAACTCCTTGAGTTGAGCCTCGTGAGGTCCTGAGGACCCAGCTAAGCAGTACTCAGATTTCTTACCTCAGAACCATGTGGAAATGAATAGATGTGTTTTAAACCATGAAGTTTGTGATAGTTAATTTGATATGCAACAATATAAAACAAATATCGATTTATTCAATTCTTCCAAGTCTATTATTTTGTAGATGACACTATAGAAAGTAGTCACCCTTCAGATGCATAACCACCAGTGAATTGTGGTGTTCAGACTAAAACCCTGGTTTGGCTTTGTGCTTCTGCATATTATATAACATTTCTCTGTTCAATGAATTGTTAACATTTCCCAAACTATTCCACAACCTCTTTTACTAAACTCGACTGAAATAATTCCTATACTCTAATACTGATAGGTTATACACAAATTCACACACACACAAACACACACACACACACACACACACACACACACACACAGAGTTATATACATATTGCCTAACATGGACTGAATGTATCCCCTCAAAACCACATGTTAAAATCCTAACCCTCAATGTGATGGTATTAGAAGGTAAGGCATTTGGAGGTGTGAGCTGAAGAAAAAACCTCAAACTGTTTTTCCTCTGCTCTCAACCACAACAGTCAACACAGAAGACTTCAGTGACCAAATGTATGGAGCATTTTCTCCACATACCAAGCAAGCAATCACTTCTGTAGTGGACCCCAGCTGGGTGTCCTCCAATTCAGTTTTGATACTATCTACCTAGAAATAGCATCAAATCCCACAGACTGAGGGCTCAGTCCCACATGACTATTCCCCGTCTGCCGATATCAGTTGTAATTCGGGACCTCCAGAACTTCTGATCGACCATTTTAAAACTGGAGTTCTCATGACCCGTTTTTTGGATTTGATTAAATTGCTAAAGTGTCTCACATAACTCAGGGAAACACATTTACCAGTTTACTGTAAAGAATATTACAAAGGATACAGATGAGGAGATGTAAGGGTGAGTTATGGAGGAAGGGGTGGAGAGCTTTCATGCCTTCCCTGGGCATGACATGCTCTAGGAACCTCTGTGTGTCCAGCTATATAGAAGCCCTCTGAACACTATCTTTTGGGCCTTTTAGGGAAACTTTGCTGGATAGGCATGACTGCAGCATGGACAACTGTGTACAAACGTGACTGGATAAAAAGAGTATGATCTAATACTAGGCTAAGCGGGAAACCCGGCAAGGCCTGTCTGTTCAGATTCTTCTTGGCCTCTCTGTGCAGCATGTCTTCCTCCTGGATATGAGGAAGAATTTCTGAAATGGGGAATCTTATGACCTACCATAAGACAAGGTAGGTCAGAGAATTTCTTTCTTTTTTTTTTTTTTTTTTTTTTTGACACAGAGTCTCGCTCTGTCGCCCAGTCTGGAGTGCAGTGGTGCGATCTCGGCTCACTGCAAGCTCCATCTCCCAGGTTCAAGCAATTTGCTGCCTCAGCCTCCTGAGTAGCTAGGATTACAGGTGCCTGCCATCATGCCCAGCTAATTTTTGAATTTTTGGTAGAGACGGGGTTTCACCATCTTGGCCAGGCTGGTCTTGAACTCCTGACCTCATGATCCACCCGCCTCGGCCTCCCAAAGTGCTGGGATTACAGAAGTGAGCCACCATGCCGGCCAGGTCAGAGAATTTCTTTATGGCCAGTCCCAAGACAGAAAGGTGAAAATGATTAGAATACATTTTTAGTTTCTATGGCCTGTCTTGGGGAGAAATAATAAGGGTGTGGCAGTTATGAGCCAGGAACAGTGTATGCGTATCATAGGAGGTAATTAGGTCACGCAGGTGGAGTTCCCCTGAATGGGAGCAGTGCCCTTATACAAGGGACATCAGAGAGCTCCCTGGCCCCCTTTTTCCCGCATGAAAGTGCAATGAGTTGTCATCAATCTGCAACCCGGAAAAGGCCCATCAGCAGAACCCAATCGTGATGGCATTGTGATCTTGGGATACCGGCCTCCGGAACTGTACTGCAAACCAAAAATGAAATTCTAAGGCTTCCCAACTATCTGAATGGACTTTCTCCTTGGCCAGGGCACTCTTACAATTTAACCTGAGAGACTGGTTCAGGCCATAGTGGGGAGTGGGGTCAGACATGCCTCACTATACCTCTCCAGCATTAACAGCAACACAGACCTTAGCCTGTTAAGAAGCATTTACAATCCATCCTCTCTGAGGCCTGCTACCTGAAGGCTTCCTATGTACAATAAGAACTTTGGTCTCCACAATCTTTTATCTTAACCCAGACGTTTCCTTTCTATTGATCCCAGGTCATTAGATAAACTCAACCAATTGTCAGCCAGAAAATTTTTAAATCTACCTATAACCTGGAAGCCCCTGCTTCAAGTTGTCCCACCTTTCTGGACCAAACCAATATATTTCTTTAATGTATTTGATTGAAATCTCATATCTCCCTAAAATGTATAAAATCAAGCTGCATCTCAACCACCTTGGGCACATGTTCTCACGACCTCCTGAGGGTTGTGTCATGGGCCATGGTCACTCATATTTGGCTCAGAATAAATCTCTTCAAATATTTTACAGAGTTTGACTCTTTTTGTTGACAGTACAAAATACCTTTCTATTGTTTATGCGCCGTCCAGTCTACGGTAGTTTGCTATAGTAGCCTGAACTGACTAAGGCATTGACTCATCCCAGTTAGCCAGTGTCCTATCAAAGGACAACTTAACTTATTGGACAGCCACATAGGCCACTTAGTCAAATTAACTTTTACAAGACAGGTGCAATTCTCCTCAAGGAACTTTAAATGTTTTGATATGTGAAATTAATTTGATATTATCATTGAGATGTAGCTTGACATATAGAAGTTTGAGACTCCTCTTGCCTATTTAGACTGCAGAGAGTTAAAACAGCTCTGGAAAGTTGAAAGACTATGCCTTGGGTGTTCTCTACATGCAAAAGAAGGATGTTCACATAGACAGACCCATGAGGTTCCTTCCTTTAAAAAAGAACCCCCCCAAATTTCTTGTAAATATTTGATAGATACGGTTATGAGGACTCTATGACATCCATTGCCCTGACTACCAGTGCTACAAGAGCAATTGTGTGTATTTCTCAAGGACAGTCAGTCGCTTTCATCTCATGGAGAAACAGCGATTAGGCATCAGGAGTGTGTGTGTGAGGATGGTCCATTCAGTGTGAGCCCCCTTTTCCTGAGACTGCTCACGCCTGCCAATTATTGTCAGATGGAATAGTATTAAAAGAAGGCAAGAGAGTGATTCATCTGAAAAGCACAGTTTTCCTTTTGTTTTTCCCTTCAAATGTCATTAAAGCCTAATCCAAAACCTACCTCTGATGGTTATGTTTTACTTTTACAAATCAGAAAGAATTTAAACAGGACAGGAAAACAAATTCAAACAGAATGTTCAGCAAGGGAAAAAATAAGTTCTCTAATTAGAAAGCAGGAAGGCCAGTTCTTAAGGGCAAAGCTACTCCAGGCAAAACAGCCAAACTGGTATCTTTATCCCATGGTTAGCAAACAAGTTTAAAAAAAGGGCTCCATCAGACCTTTTTTTTTTTTTTTGACAGCCAATATTTTGAATTAAGATTCAAATGTGGGGTATATTTGAAATAAATTTCCATTTGAATGTTGATAATAAGTGGAAAGACAAATATACTTCTGGGTTAATAGAAAGATTTCTTATATCAGCAACTAAACTGCCTACTTGTATGGAGTTTCAAGACACAATGAAATGTGTACAGTGTAAATGTATACAGTGTAAAATGTATAGTAACACTTTTCATATAAGGAAGGAATCATGGAGAAGGAAATAATTTTCATAAATATGAATATTTGAAGGCTGGCTTATGTGACCTCACACCTCATAAATGACTCAATATGGGTTGTACTGTATCCATTTCTAAAAAAAGAATATTGTGTGTGTGTGCATAAGTACATTAAACTTCTATAAAACCTACAAATTCTCCCCCAAGTCCCCAACTTTTTAATTAAATTGTATTCTATCATTTCTCTTCAATCTTAAAAAAATCATACATATAAACTACATTAAATGGAAGTGCTGTACTCCCAAGAGATTTTGAAAGAAGTGTTTAGTTATTTTGCAATGATATCTTTTCAAAAGATAGCATTTTAAAATATTTATGGTTTTATGGCATTTTTAATTAAGTTTCCAAAGACATAAGGTTTATCTTTGCTGTGAGTTGTGATTGCTTAAAAAATAAAAAATATTCATTCTTCAATATAAAAATCTCTACCAAAAATAAAGGTGGTACTAATGTGTGCTGCAGTTTGGGAGATGTCATGACGAGTTACTTGAAGTTCACACAAATCATTGCTATTATCATCCTGTGATAATAGATGTGATATAGTCACATCCTCTTGATGTAGCTGCCTAAAGACCTGCTTTCCTTATGTGGACTTCTCCCACATAACATAAACCAGAAGGACCCATCGGATTTCCTTTTATGTTTTAACAGCCTGAAATAAGATGTACAATTACCCCTAAACCAATCACTGGCAACTGGTGACCCTTGGCGTGACTGGTTTAAATCAGTCATGATTCATCACCTTGAGCTTAGGGAGGAACCTACTTCCCTGACGATGTGTTCATCAACTTACTAGCTGAGCAAAACTGGATTTCAAAACAATGAAGGGAGAAACTATTAGATAAGTTCTGTGTTAGCACACACTCCAGCCACACTTGTTAATTTGTTTACATACTGTCTATGGCTCCTTCCACACTGTAACAGCAGAGTTGAGTAGAAGTGACAGAGACCAGATGCCTACAAAGCCTAAAATATTTGCTACCTGGCCCTTTGCAGAAAAAGACTGCCAATCCCTGAAATAAAACAATCAACATTATCTTCCACAATTTATATGACAAAGTTGAGAACTCCCTGTGATTATAAGAAAATAATAGAAATTATGTCTATAAGCCACACATGAAAAGAATTGCTTTCTCTAAGATCTTGTCTTTTTATTTAGCAGATTTAGCCACATTTTAGGCAGCTGTTTGACAGAGACAAGGCTTGGGAACACAACTAGAATAGGGAAGAACCAAAGAACAGGAAGCAGCAGGGGGACCACCAGCGCTTGGAGAGGGGAAGGGTGCTACTTCGAATGTGGTAGATTCTAGCTACTTCCACAATGACCAGGAATCTTCCAGAGAATAGTTTGCTGAGTCTGCGGAGCAGGCCATTCCTCTTCTCTGTACACACATAACCAAACCAGAACATTACTAACCAAGTGTACTCTTCCATGTGATTTTTAAGCCCAAACACAGGAGGAAGAGGAGCAACTCAAACAACTGTCAAAACCTTTCTAGCAAAATAGCCCTAGAGAATAGTAGCACATTTAAAAAATATTAAGACTCTTTTCCAATGGTCAGAACATGAAGCTCCTTTCTCTTTGCCAAGCAGAGTACATAAGGCCAAGAAGGTAAAGCTAAAAGGATTAAAAGAGAATTGGAAAAAGTAATGAGTCACTTTTCACCCTCTTCCAAGATCTCAACACAGTAGCAATGAGAGAAGAAGGTAGACATTTCAGGTTTGATCAAAATAACATTAGTCAGAAACACTAGAAAAGCCAATAAGCTGGAAATAGTTTTTATGGGGCTAAATAAAAAAGAGTGGATGCCAAAATATTCTTCTTTACAATACTGGTTACAAGGGGATACTAAGAGCTCAGATTAGCCACTTCTCTTGAAATAAAAGAGATGAGAGATATCGGTAAAAAATGTGTAAGTACTGTATTAGTTTGTTTTCACACTGCTATAAAGAAATAGCTGAGACTGGGTAATTTATAAAGGGAAGAAGTTTAATTGACCCACAGTTCCACATGGCTGGGGAGGCCTCAGGAAACTTACAATTATGATGGAAGGGGAAGCAAACAACGTCCCTCTTCACAAGGCAGCAGGAGAGAGAAGTGCTGAGCAAAGGGGTCAGAGGCCATTATGAAGCCATCAGGTCTCATGAGAACTCACTCATTCTCATGAGAACAGCATGGGGGAACCACCTCCATGACCCAATCACCTCCCAAAATGTCCCGCCCCCACTATGTGGGTATTACAATTCAGATTACAATTCAAGATGAGATTTGGGTGGAAACACAAGCTAAACCATATCAGGTACGGTGCAGTAATGAAATTTCAGACTCATTTTTAAAACTTTTCCAGGCCAAGGTGTGGCTCACGCCTGTAATCCCAGCACTTTGGGAGGCCGAGGTGGGCGGATAACGATGTCAGGAGATTGAGACCATCCTGGCTAACACGGTGAAAGCCCGTCTCTACTAAAAATACAAAAAAAAAAAAAAAATTAACCGGGCGTGGTGGCGGGCAATGTAGTCTCAGCTACTCGGGAGGCTGGGGCAGGAGAATTGCTTGAACCTGGGAGGCAGAGGTTGCAATGATCCGAGATTGCTCCACTGCACTCCAGCCTGGGTGACAGAGTGAGACTCCGTCTCAAAAAACAACAACAACAACAACAAAAAACAAAACCAAAAAATAAACTTTTCCTGATGTGCAGAGGATTCTTTCTTGATGTGCACAATTTAACTCCGTATTGAGCTACAGGCATGAGAAAGTTGTTCCACATGTGTGAGTATATACATGCATCTATGTAAAAGATCTGAATCTTTCCCAGTCATCAGTGAAATCATCACAAAGTGAAAGGAAAAATAACCATAATCTGGTTTCTTTGTCCCTTAAACAAACTCAAGCCATATTCTCAGGCTTCAAACTGGAAGCTTCTGAGATTCTTTATGAAGTCTTAGAAACACAGTAATATATTTCATAAACACTTGACAGGATATCAAGCTTTCTTTCTTGAACACATTGACCCCGAATGAAACAGGTTATTGCCTCATTTTAACAGCCCACCCTCCATTCTATGCTATATAAGCAAGCATTCAGAAAAAACAACTTTTTAATGCCTATCAGGTCATCTTTTCACATATAGGTTAAAGATGAATTCAATATCATATTGAATGCCGCTTTTTTTTTTTTTTTTTTTTTTGAAAGGTAGTCTCACTCGTCCCCTAGGCTGGAGTGCAGTGGCGCGATCTTGGCTCACTGCCAGCTCCGCCTCCCGGGTTCACGCCATTCTCCTGCCTCAGCCTCCCGAGTAGCTGGGACTACAGGCGCCCGCCACCGCGCCCGGCTAATTTTTTGTATTTTTAGTAGAGACGGGGGTTTCACCTTGTTAGCCAGGATGGTCTCGATCTCCTGACCTCATGATCCGCCAGTCTCGGCCTCCCAAAGTGCTGGGATTACAGGCCTGAGCCACCGCGCCCGGCCCAAATGCCACTTTCTAATGAGCAGAGATGTTGAAGTGTTCTGCTTTACTGACTTGAACATCTTGTTTACTACACAATGTATTTGTAGTAAATAAAAGCAGGCTTTTAACAAGGTAAAGATTAATATTCTAGATTTGTTACTACAAAGAATAACAACTTAAAATTGAAATTAGTCATGTATAATTGACATACAAATAATTTATTTTCAAAGCATCAAAGTTGTAATTCTTATATAAAAATAATACTGTTTTGAACCTTTACTTTGTTAATGTGATTCTGAATATAACCTGCTTTCTTTAAGGCTTTTCATGTTTACCTTATAGAATTTATCAGTATTTACTTCTTCCTAAACTCACTTGCCCCGCCCTCCTGAATTCAATGATACCATAGAAAGAAAAATTTTAAAATCTTCTTACAATGGAGGAAAAAAAGTGATTTTTTTTATAACCTCCAGGGAAGAGGTAAGAAACAGATTCAACATTTTAAACAATATAACCTGATGCAATTATATAAAATATTATTTCTAGAGAAATAGAGAGTTATGAGAGCTTGTCGTATGATGGAATCAGTAAGTGGGATCCCCGTGGTCTTTGTGTGAACATAAATCACTTCAAGGTAAGCACTTACTGAAATTGCTTTGCATGAAGTAGACTAGAAATCATCACAAGTGACATGCACACCGGTTGAAAGTGAACCAACTTTCATGTAAATGAGGCCTTAAGGTTAGTTGTATATATAAAATGAAGAGTGATAATTGGAACAAGCTGTACAAATTCTCCTAATTGTAAAATCAAATTCCCTTATTGTTGTACCCTAACACAATATTCTACATAATATTTCAGTGCTTTAGGCTAAGAGGCTAACAGAAAAAATGTTCTATAAGTGCCACAATAAAATATAATAATTTTCAAATATAAAGAATTATCCTCTCAGGTATCAAATAACTGATATGATTCCCTTTACAATAAATGACCCCAGAAATTTAAAGTAAAATAAGCTTTATGTATAAACATGTATATCAAGCCTTGGTTACTATTATCCAATCAAAGATAATATTATTGACCGAATACAAGAAATCCTACTAATTACATGTAAATAGCTTTCAAATTAATCTGGGTAGCTGTAAATTACTAGACCAATGTTGCAAGTTCTGAAAATGTTGGTTATGTTACTGTCTCAATATAATCACTTGGTTTTGTTAGAAAAGTTAATGAAATTATAGTACCCCAATGTAGAAGGTTGGGGAAAGAAATATTCAATTATATTGAATAAATGTCGAATATATAATTTTATAAAAGGATAGCCTAATTAATTTTCAGTAGCAGGAAGTAATTTTTCATAAATTAGGATGTTATTATTCTGAAAAATCTCTGTAAGATATCTGAATACCTAAATAAATGCACATTGAGTTATAATAATGGCCAACTATCACCTAGCATTAATATGTTCTGGACACTATGCTAAGTGATTTATATATTTTAAATCATTCACAAAACAACACTAGGGACTAGGAGCTATTACTCTCCCGTCTTATAGATGAGAAAAGTGAGACTCATAGAGTTTAAGTAAATTGCCGAAAGTAACACAGTTAATATTTGAGGAAGCTAGGGTTCAAATTCAGACCATCTTGCCACAGAATTCATGCCTATAATCATACAAAAACTTTTTAAACACAATTTATTTTCAACGGTACCCATTGACAGAAATAGACAAGGAAATTAATCTCTCTGTATAAAAAGCATACTTGTCATAATAATTAAAATCATGAAACATTTTATTATTTATGGTGTTAAAGATGTTAGAAAAATAGATATTGGAGAAATATTGGATTTAAAGAAAAGTCAAATCAATCGACACAAATGTTTAAGCAGAATATGTGTATATACATGGTTATAGTGTTCCTACTTCTTAATTTCTCAGTATGTATGGATTAATTTATGGTGCTTAACCTGGAAAATATGCTCCTAGCACTTCGTGCCTTGACAAATATTATATTTATGTAACTATCAATTCATTTACAGAGTGTTTCCCTCTAGGATTTACTGGAAAACAATAGTTCCAGTCACTGAAAGAGAAAACAAATATAGTAAGGAAGATGAGTAAATTAACTGGTCTATAAAAATTACTGAATACTCTGGTTTTAGTGGAATCTAAACTATAGCTCATTATGTCTTCTCATTCTGAAATATAATTATCCTGGGATTCTAAAACCTTAGGGCTTTCTATCTCTAAGCAACCCAAAGATAGAAATACACAAAGCACTTAAGTACTCTGCAACCATCAAATGCAAAGTAGATCCCAGTCAATCAGTCAACTGTGTTTACCACACACTAATCTAGGCATGCAGCCAGCTATTGTCTGCATATATTTGTCAGAAAACAGTATAACACCTGATGGTTCTCCTGGCAGATCTGAATACAAGTTTTGTAAGAAAAGACCATTTGATCACCAGGGAACTGCAGATTTGAAAATTCTTGGAATAGAAAATGAATGGTAAAAAGTTGAGAAGAAAGGTAAGTCCAGTGGAAATGGATCTGAAGTGGTCTCTCAGGGTAACGTGACCCAAGCTGGTCTACCGTAATCTGCAGTCTTCTCTTCAACTTGAAACCAGAAACTGGGACTTAACACTGCACCCAGAAATAGGTGATAAAATGACTCTAACTAATTCTCATAAAATAGTTGTATAATTAAGAATACCAACATTGTAGAAAACTAACACTGTAGAAAATACCACTTCTAATTCCCATGCTTTCTTTAATATTCATAGCCAATAATTGGATAAGTAGGTTGATCGATGGCACAGAATTAAAGCAAAGCTCAAGGATTTAAATGGGGGTTATTTTGTTCTGATGAAGCCTAAAGAAGTATTTCCGCCCACAGAAGAGAACATTTTTCTCATGAATGAGCTGAGTCCCTCAAGTGTTGCATCTCTCTCCCGGGACAATGCTGGAACTAAAATTCCAAAGCTTGCTTCTCTAAAAGGACCTTTTCTGTACAAACCAATCCATTTCCCCTTTAATTACAATTTTCTAGCTAGGTCAAAGAATATGATCTCGATTTTCAATAGGTTTGATTTTTGTTTTGTTTTATTGACAAAAAGCAAACATATTTCTGTAATTTCCGAATTCTTTGGGGGCACCTCCTTATAACACTCATTAAACAGTCTCCATTGTATGATCTGTTCAACATTTAAATTTGGACAGGAATTCAAGTTTTAAGTGAAGCACCGGTCAGTTCACAGTAATCAATAATACCTGGGCGACTACCATCAAAACTTTCACATTGCCTAGTCAGAGTCAATGTAGTTTCTTGACACGCTTCCTGATTCTTACCTTCAGCTTGTTTGCTTCTCTGGCTTATTTCTCCTGCTGATCTACAAATGTAGGAGTTTCTCCCAACAACACATTATCATTTTCTTTTTTTTTTTTTTTTCCTGTTCTTTCTCAAGGGGATCTCCTCCAGGGTTACAGCCACCACACCTGCGAAGCCACCACACAAATCTCTATTTCAAGCTTTAACTTCTCTAGGCATTTCCAAATGCCGCTAGGGAAGTGTCATGTGTATAGCATGCTGTCAACTCCAATTCTCAGTTTCCAGCAAAATTTCATCATCCTCCTTTAAAAACCTAAGCAAATCCAATCATCTTCTGTGTTGCCCATTTCTAATGATAATACTATGTCTCAGACACTAAGATTTGGACACTCAGAATGTCTTTTCTCTACTGCTGTTCATTCCATTCATTTCACTCCAGTGTGTGGAGTGGCACATTTTTTCTTTTTTCACATGTTTGAGAAGGTTATGAAAATGGTCTTCCTAATTTTACTCCCCATTGTTAGTATTTATATATTTTATTTAATTTTATATACTTCTACTAAATTATTTATAAAGCTCAGCAATGATCATGCAAACTTCCTGCATATAAACCTTCAGTAAGTTTAGCCTTTACTTGCCAAATAAAGCTCAAGGGTCCCCATGATTACTCCAAGTCCACCTTTCTGGGTTTATCTCCATTACTTTTCTTTTCTTCACTTTGATCTTTTCCTTTTTATGCTTGATGCATTTATCTACATTATGCTTTTGTCTTTGTCTAAAATATCCTCAACTTCAAGTTGGACTCACCCAGTAACTCCCATATAAAAAGAATTCTACTTATTGATATCTAAATAGCTAATGTTATACTGAATGTAGATATCTAACATGAATGAGAAATATCTGTGCCAGAACATTCTGAATCTTAGTGTGGAAAAAAAAACAATACACGTCTTTGTATCAAAATTCGCATTTTCAAATGTGAGGAAAGTGCCACAACATAAAATGTTACCAAACAGATGGGTGTTTTTCAAGATGCAAGAGCTCTAAAAGTAATTATATGTATATAATTATATACACCACATGCACGTACACACAAACCCACCAGCCATACCACCACCATTATCAACTTTCCACATTATTAAAAACAGCAAGGATGTTGAGTATTTTACTATGAAAGCAGAGTCCTTCTTAGTCCCATTTTCTGGCTCTATTTTTTTCCAGCTTTCTGGTACCTGGGACTTTTCAGATTCTGGAACAGACAGTGAGCCATTATAGAAAAGTTTAATTAAATTAATATTCATTTTTCATGCTTCCTAGTTTTCCTTCCCCTTATGTGGAATAGGTCTATAAGGGTTTTTCATATGAATTTATGAGATATAGTTAAAAGGAAATATGGGTAAGGCACTGGTGACTCAAACTGTAAACAGTGGTCCATTAGACCTGTTATAGGTTTGTCTTATATAAAATTACATCATATAGAAAGGGCAGCAGTCCTAAGTTTACCACTGTCCTCTCTGTATAATGTTATACATTTTTAAATTTTAGGGATTATCAAGTTTGCCTCCCATTTTGTAAGAAAGCTGTTGACATTTAAAGAGGTTAAGTAAATTGTCCAAAGGTCAAGGAGCAAATTATCCACGTTTTCAAATTCTTCAATTCCTGTGTAAGCTTTCCATTTATTCGCAGCTCAGGGAGTGGACTCCAAAAAGATGTTCTCTTCCTAGAAATCTAGCCATTTTTATTAAATCAGTCTGGGAAGGCAAGAAAAAGAGATGCATTTACTTGCATTTTGTTTCTGTGAATTTAAGTGGCAGAAGATGGAATAGTACAATAAGATAAGGAACAGGAAGTGGATCAGGACAAAAACTCAGTTAGATAACAGTCCTTTTTAGCACCATAATCCATGTGATATTTCCTCAGTTCTCTCAAATATTTAGAGTCATTAAATATTTGTACAGTTTCCCATTCCCATTCCCACCTTTCTCCCTATCAGTTATGAACTTCAAGTAGAGTACTCTTTCTAAAAATTAGTTAAGAAATATAATTAACAGAAAAGACTACATAGTACATACAGCAAACATTAAACTAACAGCCTGGAATACACATCTAAATGTCGTGGGTGATTTTAGCTATTTAGCTTGTTGCCATTACCTGCAACCATGTTGTTTTATTTAGCTCTCTGAATGGGCCTGCAAAGTCTCAGCATATCAGAGAGTAGCTCTTAAATTTCCCAGGATTCCACTGCACACAGTGGAGGTCGTGGTCAGCTAGGAGGTCATGGTCAGCTATGCTTGGGATGAGCCATTAATGGTTACATAGCCCTTCCATTAACTCAGTCTCTGCCCCCACTTTACTTGGGCCATGAGCTTTCATGCCTCGAATTTCAATAATGAATTTTATAACACATAACTCCCTAATGACACTCCAAAGGAAGGAATTGTGTCATTTTTGTTGATGGTTGCCATTTGTTCACTTATTTTTATCACTTTTTCAAAACATGAGGTCAATTTTACCTCCAATGGGTTCTCCAGTGGCCCTTCTCTCTACGTAGTCCTTCATTGCTGAACCTCTTTATATCCCATCCCTAAATCACAGTCTTCCGCTTGCAATTTCCAGACAATGTAAAAATTTCTACCTACACTGCTGAACGTGAGATTCAACTGTGCTTATGTAAAGTCTATTCATGACTCAAATAGACACGGTTTTTATTGGAGTATAAACATACATATATACACAAATTCACAAACATACTCATAGGCTTTTACACATACTCATGCGCACATTCACACACCAACCTGATTGCAGCATTATCTTTTATGAAATGACATAGAAGAAAATAAAATATAATATTACCCAAACTATTTGTTAGCTTTTTCATTTCTACTGCAACTGCACTTGAGTTCATCCATGCCTGTATCTACAACTGAGTGCCCTGCTCCAAGAAATGAAACATCAGCTCCTATTTGATATATTCCTAAGTCTTGGCTGAGAGCATTTCATCAGAGATGAACTGCACCTAATGCAATCATGAGAATTAAAGCAGTTAAGAAAATGCAACTCCCTGCCAAGAAACTCTGCTGTATTGTGCTCTTATTCGCTTGCTATTCCAGAAAGTATGCAACCAGTACTAATAAGTCGCTGGCTGCAGTTCCAGAAAGAGCAGCAGGAACAAAAATGCTGACCTCAGTAAATGTGTTCTCACTTTACAATCCGTGAAATTCTCTTTGATTGATCTACAAGGCAATGCATCCATCCATTCCATTACTGTTCCTTCCAAGTACCTTTTAGGAACTTGCAAAATCAATAAAATTCTGTAAATAAAAGGAATCTCCATCAATATGACTATAAATATGATAACAGAAAAAGCTGTCACATTTTAATTGATAGTTATTTAAACCAGAAAACAGGAGGTGAGTAGGAATTCTATCATGGTCATCCACTTTTACTTTAGGAAAATGTTGTAAACACTATGAAAATAATAAACTGGAGTGTTACATTAAAGTTCATTTAAATATTTTTAAGATTCCATATTTTTAAGTTAAAGATGCATTGAAATTTTCCCCAATTTTGGCTTAAATATGATCAAATTCCAAAATATATAATGATATGAAATAAATGGAATCAACAAAGATTTTACAGTGGAAAATAGAGTAAGGGGCTCTGGACCTACTATACATAAAAAAAAAAAAGATAAGTCAGGATATAAGTTGTTGGACACATAAAAAATAATGTTTTAATAATGAAGTTGTGTAACAAAATGCTGTTTCATAGGAAGGGCAAAATGAACCTGACAATACATATTTTAATTCCTGGGTAATTTTCAGACAAAAGTACTGATTTTTGGAGGTTTTTTTTGGTCCCTAAATTTCCAGAGACAAATTGAGTTTTTAAAATTGTATTCAGCAAGAAAGTGTTCTTATTGTGGGTAAACATCAAAACATACACTGTATATACATGTGTTATACATGTGTATATAATACAGTTAGATGTACATCCATATAAGCTATCATAATGGTAAAGACACAGCTACCTGAATGAACAATTTCTCACAGTAAGGGCAGCACCTCTAGGTATAAAAGAAAGCATATATACACATACGCATGCATCTATATACCATCGTTGTTATTTTTAAAAAATAAAATGTGTTTTCACTTTCCAGGCAAAGGCAGCATCTGCTTCAGAGGTAAATGACAATTTTGTTTAAGAAAGTTGTTAATGAATATTTTAGCTTCTCAAAGTTAGTTCCATGGCCTGGTATAGCATAAAGGTTGAGAGTGATATTGCTCTGCAGACTAAAGAATCTGGGGTTTGGAAGATGTAACTTAAGAGAAGTTAGGAAGATCTTGGCAACTGGGAGAAAGGCACCTGTTGAAAAACGCTCTAAGTAGGTAAATGAGGAAATACCTGATATTTAACATATTCAAGTTGAAGTTGTTGACTGTGTTGTAATTCTTGTCCATTATCCTGAATCTTTCCATTAAAAATGCTAATTATGATAGTTATGTTTAGTTGATTTCTTTGAAGAAGGATCATAAAAAAAAGTTGTTAACACTTAAAGAAATTGGAGGAGGGCAAACAATCCCAGGAGCAATGATAGGAAGGTGAGTAAATCAGAAATCAGGAGGAGAAGGAATGCAGAATGGGAGGTATCTGGACAACATCAATTCCTTTAAAACCCTCAGAAATAAGGAAGAGGGTGTTGGTTTTACATTGCACACAGGCCAAGGATTTAAGTCATTTTAAGTGGATAGAAGAGGAAGACTTCAGGCTACTCAGGATGCCCAAAATATCTGTTGTCATTCACCTTTAGTAATAGTTAGGGATGGCAAGCCCAAACCACTGCTGCATTGTAAAAACTGATAATTTAGTGTGTTGCAAATGTGAAATGAGATGAGCAGAAAGTAATCTTTTTTCTGTATGTCATGGTATAGGGCATTGGACTTTAAATTAAGCACATCTTATGGGATTATCACACCAAAGCAGATTATATAATATGGCTCCTAACAAAAACTATTTATATATTTATATATATATGGATATATGATGTATATCATATATGTGAGCATATGTGTGTGTATGTATGTGTATACATATATATATATATATATATATATATATATATATGCTTTGATTTACCTTCTTCATTGAGAGTATCTGCTACTCTGTAAATAGTCTACACTTAAGATTCTTTTGGCCCCAACGTGTATATGTGTGTGCGCACGCACACACACACTCCCACAGGATAAGCTACTAAGTAAAAATGTAATTTGTACCAAATAATTACTTCTCCTAGGGAAGTGGCAAGGTATATAAAACACTCAGTGGTGCCTCATTTTAGGATGTCAATTTGCATTCACCTGAGAGATGATGATCCCCATTCCTGGGCTGTGTGGTACATGGGAAGCATTTTAAAAGGGAATAGAAACAGTCAAACTTAGGCACTGTTCAATTTCTGTCTAAGTCAACTTTATCGTGGTGCTCAATGATTTTGAGAAAAACATGAGACTGCCCAGAAAATCAAAGGAAATAGTATCCATTAAAAATAGAAGTAATCCTAATCCCAAACTGAAGTATTTTAATATTGTGCATTTCATTCCTCTTTTTCCTTGATGATGGAGAACTAACAGTTGGTTATATTTGTTGAGTAAAATGAACATACAAAAAACAAATGCTTTAAGGCAGAGATGTCACTGTAGAAATTCATTTTTTCTTTTTTTTCTTTTTCTTTTTTTTTTTTTGAGACATAATCTTGCTCTGTCGCTAGGCTGGAGTTCAGTGGCGCAAGCTCAGCTCGCTGCAACCTCCGTCTCCCAGGTTCAAGTGATTCTTCTGTCTCAGCCTCCCAAGCAGCTGGGACTACAGGCACGTGCCACCATGCCCAGGTAATTTTTGTGTTTTTAGTAGAGACGGGGTTTCACCATGTCGGCCGGGATTGTCTTGATCTCCTGACCTCATGATCCATCCGCCTTGGCCTCCCAAAGTGCTGAAATTACAGGCATGAGCCACTGCGCCTGGCCAGAAATTCTTATTTATCCATACATTCACTCAGAAAACACTTATATTGAACAACTACCATGGCTTGGGTACTATTATTGGCATTAGGAACACAAAATGCAAGAGTCATATTTGGTTTCAAACAGTATCTGACCCTTTGTCAGTGAGAGATACCCCACTCTAACAGATAGATGTGATGTACTATGATAGAGGTAGATTTGACTGCTGTGACATCTCAGAGATAATGGCAGGGTAGAAAAGACTTCCAAGAATTAAAAATTGATATAGGAGAAGGGATTGACCAGATGAAGGAGTGGGAGACAGTGGACAGAAGTTGTGAGAAATATGGCAGTCTGTGGATTGGAGCTGGAAAAAGATAATTGGATGGAACGCTGAGGCTACTCAATTGCTTCCATCGAAGCAACTGTGTTCTTATGTATTCTGTATTTTTGAGTTTCATGTAAGATTTTGCTTGAATGAAGCTTCATGAAAATGAAAAAAAAAATCAATAACTCATAGTAGGGAACCTGAAGAGTTTGAAACAGTTGGAACTGAGAGCGCATAAATGAAAATGTTAGGAAATTAAATTAACAGAATTGGCAAAGGGCAACCTGTAAACTGATTAAATGAAAACTCAAGTGTAACAGGATGAAATAGAATTTTCCTCGTATATAATAATAAAAGACTGTAATCAGGATTGGCACCATTACACTTCAATAGGAGAAAGAGAGATAGAGAGTGCCATTTACTTACGGTAAGTGTAGTTTTTCTTATAATGCAAACATGGCTCAAGTGAGTCAAGAAAAAGCAAAACTTTTCATAGTCATATCAGTGGTAAAATTTACTATTCCCAATGAGCAAGATCAAAGTCAGGCTAATAAGAAAAAGCACATCTTTGTTAACTTAATTTTTTATATGAACTTTCACCTTGGTGTGGTTTATTTACATCATAGGTAAGCCAATAAAGACTAACATAGCTCTCTCTAGTAACAGATAGATTGGAATTAATGCCACTTCTCATTCTAAATCCTTTATGGCTTGATCAAAGGAAAGATCTATTAGTATTTGGCTGAATCTTAAAGTGTCACCCAAATGTGCAAAACTTAAGTTGCAATCTCCTCCTCTTGTGAGAGAGGTGAAAGTACCTTCAGGAAGGGAGGAAGTGCCTCAGCATGATGGATTTAAATGGATAGCTGAAAAGGGAAGAAATGGTAGAAGGAGTATTTATTAAACTCAGTTTGAAAAGACTTTCATTTGCATAATACGTTAAGCCCATACCATCTTTCATTGTTCCTCAGCCCACGTACTAACATTCTGAGAGCTTGTGGCCCTTCGGTTGCAGGTCTATATTACCTATATTGTATACAGTTCAATGTATTCAGTCTGAAGGAAAGGAGCAAAGAAAGATGAGCCACAGAAATGATAGCAAACTTAGAGATCCACCTACAAGAGTGAGATGCCAGCTTGACTTAAAACACCTCCACCTTTCACTCAGTGGACTAAAAAGTGAAGTCACCACTGTTTATCAATAGCATCAGAGAGATCCACAAGTTAACAGTGGCAAAAGAGATCATCCAAGTATAAAAATGGCAAGATCAGGCAGAGGCATATGCACACCTAGATAACAAAAGAGTGGTAACCTCATCATGAAGGTGCTGAAGAATCACTGAAAGATTTAAGTAGAACATAGATGTGAATATATAAAAAGGGGCATGAGAGAGTTATACCCGCCTCCCTGCCTAGACTTTTGTTCATCATTGTGTAAATGTGTATATCGTGCTTAGAAAAATTATTACTATTGCCAAAGCAAATTGCTCAGATATATCTCTAGATAGATAGATGATAGAGAGATAGATAGGTAATTGATACAGATGATATAATAGTAGACACAGATATATTCAGGAACTAAGAAATATCTGAGATTTTGAACTACTTGCAAACTAAGTTATTCTGACACAGTTTTATAGATGCTGGCAGAAGAGATGGGACTCCCAGTTCAGTGACAAAAGAATTTATTAGCCACACAATAGGCAGTATGAGTGTGAGCTTCATGTTCATAAAGATTCCTATCACCCCCGTGCCCTACAGAGTGATGCTTACACATATATGTTATACATATAGTTGGCTTATGTTTGAGTTGATGAGCCCTGAGCTTAAGAAATGGCAACCTTCTAAAGGGGGCTATACGCAAATCTGCCTAACCTTTCTCCTGTAAGCAGATATTATCTTTATTATCCTGGACAGTAAATTTACTTGCTTTCTGCCACAAGGGAACTCTGTTTGCTGTACAAACTTCCTGTAAAGATTGTCCAGAATAAAAGTGGATACAAGATATGCAGAAATGCATGAAACCCATGCAAATAGTATGTGTGTGTGCATGGGTATGTGAATTTTCTTCTAATTATTTCACAATTTTTCATGTTAGTTCTTTAATCCATAAGGACTTTATTTATATGTAAGGTCTCAGAAGAAATTTTCTATTAGGTATAGCAAAAGCATCCTAAATGAAACAGAGAATTGGACCACTT
This sequence comes from Homo sapiens, assembly GCF_000001405.40. Taxonomy (NCBI): domain Eukaryota; kingdom Metazoa; phylum Chordata; class Mammalia; order Primates; family Hominidae; genus Homo; species Homo sapiens. The sequence goes on along the minus strand of NC_000021.9, from coordinate 18,133,321 downwards.
AAGTTACATAATTATATATCTAGGTGTACATGCAGGCATAGAAAAGAGACAAGAAATAATGAACATCGAACAATTGGCAGTGGTTACCAATACAGAGGAATCCAGAAGGGATTGCACACAAAGGGCTTTTATATTTTGTTTTGACAATCAGAAAACTGCCAGAAAGCCCTTAAAGTTTCTGCATAGACATACACCGCTTTTTCTAACATTTCAATAGCCAAAGCAAGTCTTTTTTTTTATTATTATGGAGTGTAATTTAATAGAACAAACCCCATAAGAGTTAAACAAGCACTGTAGAGTACAAAGTAATGAATTACAGAATTGCCAATAGTTTCATTAGGCTTTCAAAGACTCGAGAGTCATAGGTTGTAAGAAAGCAGTAGCAAAAAAACTCATATTTGACAGTGTATTATACTAGATAATCTCTTTTCATACTACTATCAACATTTATATGTCAGGAAGTTACAAACATAATTGGACGGGATGGAGGTGGGAGGAGGGCCAGCCAAGGAGAGTGCAACAAATGCCTTTAATAAAAAAGGGAACAAAAAGATTTCTAGTACAGTGAGAGAAAACATGTTAATATACAAAAACAACAAAGATCTGAATAGATAAGAACGCAAATACAGTTGGATATGGAATTCAACTTATAATTCATGAATCAGGTAAGGTGCTCCTATGCTGAGAATGTAACAGCAATTCTCTTCTGGCCTAGATAAAATGATCTTTCTAGCTAAGGGAGGACAAATTCAGATCTATAATAGAAACTTGTTCCTGGCATACGGTATTGCTTACATATAGATGTATAGATGTTAAAACAATAAAGTTTGAACTTTAGTTATGCAAAATATTATGTCAAAGAACTCACTTTTATCAGGCTGAGTGCCTTCCAAGGATTGGAGGACACCTAAGTAATTGGAATATTTTTCTTATGTTTTCCCATATCTAGATGTCATATCTGCAAAATGCTTAATCAGATGATAAGTGAGAAGTGGGAAGAATTCACAATCCTTTTTTCTAGTAAGGAGAACTTTGACAATAGCTTTTTAGAAACATTTTCCTCACAATTTTCCCCATGCCATTTTTTTTCTATTTTCTTGTTAACTAAAGAGATAATAAAATGAACTCATAAATTTAAAATTAATGGTCAAAACCCCACACGGCACATGTATATATATGTAACAAACCTGCATATTGTGCACATATACCCTAAAACTTAAAGTATAATAATAAAAAAAGAACTTTGACAAAGAGAAATATTAAACAATGGCTATATTTTTAATCAACCTTTTAAATGAAAAATGCTCTTTCTGTATTGATGTAAAGCAAGTCTTATGATCACAAGTAAAATCAGTTACATAACTTATTTTCAGAATAGGAAGGTAAAGAATTAGGAAAAATAAGTTGTACCCCATGTAACTTTTTAAAAAAGATAATTCTTTTAAAAAATAATGGAAGAATGAAATAAGGGCAGAAAAAAGGTTTAAAAAAAGAAGAGCAGGAAAAAGGGAAGGAGAATTTAACTGTTGTGTTGGTAATAATTTTAACATGGATCAGACTGAAAACAGAAAGACCAGCTACAAGGCTCTTTCTGTCATCTATACAACAAGCAATGAGTGACTGCAAGGAGGCATACCCAGGAATGATATAGGGACTGTGGTGCTATGACTTTCATCATTATTAAAAAACCAGTGTCCAAAATAAGTTTTAAAGCAAAGATAATGGGAAGATCAAATATTGCATACTTAAATTACAGGATGAAAATAACTGGGGAAAATGGGGCCAGGAGTAAATTTTCCTTGTGAGAAAAATTAAATATTTACCCAAAGTCAACTTTCAACATTCTAATTTATTGTTACATTAAACAAAATGTTCGTAAATTGAAATGTATACCAAAGTGATGAGAATAGATTTACATTGAAATGTTTCAAATAATTTGTGATATTGCTTATTTATGAAACGTTTTCTACCTCATTAAGATATTGAATGGACTGAATATTTGTGTCCCCCCCAGATTTATATGTTGAGACCCTAACCCCCAGTATGTAGGAAGCTGGGGCCATTGAGAGGAATTAGGTCATGAAGGCAGGGCCCTTTACTATTCCCTTATAAAGGCACTTATAAGATGAGACACCAGAGAGATTGTTTTCAATCTCTCTCTCTCTCTCTGCTCTCTCTGTCTCTCTCTCTCTGCTCTCTCTTTCTCTCTCTGTCTTCCTCTCTTTTCCCCTGCCATTTGCAAGCCAGGCGGCCATTTGCAAGCCAAGAAAAGGGACCTCACCAGAAACTGACCATTCTGGCACCTTGATCTCAGACTTCCAGCCTCCAGAATTGTAAGACAATAAATAAATTTCTGTTGTTTAAGCCACCCAGTCTATAGTATATTTATGGTTGCCCAAGCTGACTCAGATTCTTTAACAAAATAAATAAGGGTACAGATGTAGCATATCAAAAAGACCACTTCAACATGTTTCAGTATTTGAAAGGATTCAATATGAATGTAAGTAATTGAATAAATAACATTCTTTAGTGGAAACCATGACATATCTATCGATTTCGAATAATGGAAAAAAGCATTTGCCAAACTAAAATTTGGGGGTAATATCCTACATCTTTTTACCTATTGACTTTGCACTTCCATCAGCTGATTTAAAGAACAGATTTTTTTCAAGCAGATTGGTTAATGCCTGTTACTATGGCCAATTTATTATGACTACTCATGCTATTTCCACTGAGTGCTGAATGTTTGACTTTGTTGTCATTTAAGGGTGCACTGTTCATTCCCAGGAATCAGCCCTGTTATCCCTCTGACTTTCTAAAACTATTTGTATTGACACAGACCCACTCTATACTCTATTTAAAGTATTAAAACACCTCAAGCTATTTTAATATCCATTTCACTGGCCAAGAATTGTTTTAACTATGCACAAAGGCTGAGAGAAGATAGAGTCAGTTCTACCAGCCACCTATGTGGATGACAATGAGCACTAGGAATAATAATAATACCTAACATTCATTGAGCACTTCTTATTTGCCAGGCTGGCGTTAAGCATTTTGTAATAATTATCTAATTTTGTCTTCAAAATAACCCCATAACAAAGATACGATTATTACCACTTTACAAGTAAGGAAACTGTAATATACAGAGATTAAGTAAATATCTGCATTATTGACTAATCATCATAGCCATGACCACATGAACCAGAAACCAAAACTGGGGGGAAAAAAACAGATTAAGACATAGATATCAACTTGCCCCCTATTCCTTCTCCTTGCTCCGGTGAAAATCTGGAAAGAAACAAGCTTCTTGGCCTTCCAAAATATGTTTGGCTTAAAAAATTATCTGTCATACAGATATAGTTTCTTTTAGAATTGCTCATACACACACACAGACACACACACACACACACACACACACACACACACACAGAGAAAGACAGAGAGAGAGAATACTAAAGATGTATTTATTACCCAACACCATGCATATATTTTTTGCACTGCAACTGCCAAGCAATTTATCAGCCTCATTCCAGGAACATCACACCATTTTTGTATTATCAGAACTTGTCCAAATATGATTTCCCCCGGATAAGTGGTCCACAGGGAGAATTTGATAAATATCCTCCTGCAAATAATTTTTAATGGATTTCTACTTCTGTCTAAACTGCTTTAGTTGAGGATCTGTTGAAGGTAAACCAATGCCAGATGATGTTAGGATCACTCAACCCTAATTCTCAAAGCCCTACTACAAAGATACTAATGTTTTGAAGAACTCAAGAACTCTCACTGTCTATTATTCAAATTGATAGAATTTCCTCTGCGGCTCTTGCATCACATTTTCCTCTCTAATACATTAAATTATTTACTTCCATCCTTCCCCACTAACCCTCTACCTGCTTCTACAATGCATTCTGAATAGATGTTGCCAGGAGGAATAATTCTGGCAAATTAATAAGGCTTGTCATGCAAAATATCAATTCAGTATTAGAATAACAGGACAATAAACCAAAAGCAATCCCACAAAGTAATGGTAAATGGTTAAAAAAAAAAAATCTCTTCTTTGTCAAGTTTGTGGTGAATTTCAATAAGATATCTAGTCTTATTAAAATAAAAATTATTCTGAGTATGTTTTATATGGTAGAACTTCATTAAAATAACCCATCATCATTTTTATCATTAAACTCTTTTTAATAGAAATTATTGCTACAGAATATACAGCAAGTGACAAAAAAATCCAATAAAATATAAAATAGGTTTTTAAAAAATTAAATATATTTCAAAAATCTTAGTACATACATCTTATATGGCTATATTTGGCTCCACATAGAAAAAGTAAACGGCATAAAACTACAAAGTGGGGTATAATTATTTAGATAAAGAAAAGGTTTCACTTTGATTTTAGAGAGATAAAAGAACTATATACAGTTTCATACGTCTACAATAAATTCTATAGCATTGCCATTACTAAACATGAAACTATTAATTTTACAAATAAATGTTTTATGAATATGTAATATATGCATGTAAGTAGACACACGTATAAGAGATTATGATATACCATCATGAACAGAAACCAAAACGGAGAAAAAAAACAGATTAAGACATAGATATCAACTTACTCTCTATTCCTTCTCCTTGCTCCTTGCTCCAGAATGTATTCTGATATGTAAATTACACATTTTATTGATCATTTTACTGAATACTGCACATCCTCACCATACACCATCCACTTTCCAATAACATTTAATCCTTTCTAAAATTGTAAGTATACAATTGTACTTTCTTTGGATTTTCATAACAAATATACCATAGACTGTTAATTTTATTGAAGTTTCCTTAATGGAATGAGTCATTTTTGTCTTGTGCTTTTGAGGTTACCTTTGCTTTGACTTCCAACAATTTGATCATATAGTGTTGAGCTGTGGAAATCTTTAAGTTTATTCTATTTGTAGTTTGTTTAGGTTCTTCTTCTTCTTCTTCTTTTTTTTTTTTTTTTTTTTTTTTTTTTTTTTTTTTTTTTTTTTTGAGACTCTTGCTCTGTCACCCAGGCTGGAGTGCAGTGGCGCGATCTGGGCTCACTGCAAGCTCCACCTCCCAGGTTCACACCATTCTCCTGCCTCGGCCTCCCTAGTAGCCGGGACTACAGGCGCCCGCCACCACGCCCAGCTAATTTTTTTGTATTTTTAGTAGAGACGGGGTTTCACCGTGTTAGCCAGGATGGTCTCGATATCCTGACCTCGTGATCCGCCCACCTCCGCCTCCCAAAATGCTGGGATTACAAGCATGAGCCAATACGCCCTGCCTGTTTAGATTCTTGAATGTGTAGATTTATCTCTCACAAAATTTGGAAAGTTTTCAGCCATTATTTCTTCAGTTACCCTTTCCACCACTTTCTCTGTCTCCTCTCCTTCAGGAACTCCCATCAGGTTTATGTTGGTCTGTTTGACGGTGTCCCACAGGTCTCAAATGACAGTAGCACTGACCAAGATAGATGAGAGCCAGGCCTGACTGGCACCTCAACTGCAGTTTTGTGAGACTCTGAGCAGAAGATAAAGATAAGCTGTGCCCAAACTTCTGACTCATGGAGACTGTGCAGTAGTAAATACTGCTGTTTTAAGCTAAAAAAAAAAAAAAAAAAAAAAAAAAAAACAATGGCAACGCAACTGGTTATGTAACCACAAAAGATTTATTCGATGATTGATGAGGAATTTTTTTAGTTGCCTTGCCAATTCTTGGACATGTTTTATGTGTTTTACTTTATGTCAATTACTTTCTTATTGATGTGTAAGTTGCCCCATCTTTGATCACTGTGAGCATATTCAAGCTGGTTTCTAAATATTGATGGTACAACATACAGATTTTTAATAGATTTCTCACTTTCTGACATGACCAATGGATCCAGGCTCATCTCACACATTTTCTGCCCCAGACAGAAAATCAACCATTTTCCTATAGATCTCTGCTTTACTTTTTTGATAACAGATTTATTCATATGTATATAGACACCACAAATACCATATGAATCATCCTTTTAAAGTGATTAAAAGCCACACAATTCAGTGGCGTTTAGTATATCCAGAGTTGTTCAATCATCATTACACTGTATTTTTAGAACATTTTCATTATTCCTTAAAAAAAAACATATATCCATCATCATTATTCCTCATTCTCTCTTTCCCCAGTTAACTTGTGTTTAAATTAACTGTTCCCTTGGTATCTCTTCAATATCCTGTACATATCTTTGATTTAAATCCTGGCAAATGTGACTCAGTCACTTGATGACTGACGCGAAGGATAACATGTTTATGGTATAGAAGTCTATTGGAGTAGAAGTGGCATTGTGAGAGTTCATTTGGCCATCAATTTATCTGCACAGGGCATTGTTGTGTAAGAGCTGAGTATTCCAGGATTTCTGTAGAGTCTGGTGAGAGTTCCTTAATCTATTGTCATTTCTGTTAGGAGTCAGTCTTCTTTCTTACCTGATATTTTCCCACCGGAGCATCATGGATTTTTTACTAGCATTGAGTTGAAGAATGATTTGCATTAATATCTGTAAATTTAATAATCCTCTTAATTTATGAAAGATTTTTTAAATGCCATTTTCAACTCTTTAAGAGATAACTAATTGGAGTTTTCTGCTGTCATACGAGGATATTAAGCCCTAGTAATATATCATTGTGTGTGATAAAATGAAGTGCCCCTGAAGAAGATGCAAAAAAAAAAAAATGAAAAGATATCCCGTGTTCATGGATTAGAAGAATAAATATTGTCAAGATGACCATTACTATTCAAAGCAATCTATAGAGTCAATGCAATCCCTATCAGAATGAAAGCACATCTCAAAAATATTGTGGGTTTGGTTGTAGACAACCGTAATAAAGTGAATATAGCAATAAAGCAAGTTGCACAATTTTTTTGTTTTCCCAGTGTATATAAAAGTTATATTTACAGTACACTATAGTCTATTAAGTATGCAACAGCATTGTTTCTTAAAAAATGTACATGCCATAATTTAAAATACTTTATTGCTAAAACCCATTAATAATCATCTAAGCCTTCATAGAGTCATAATCCTTTTGCTGGTGAAGCATCTTTCCTCGATGTAGATGGCTAGTGACTAATCAGAGTGGTGGTTGCTGAAGGTTGGAATAGCTGTGGCAATTTTTTTAAGAGATAGAATCCTGCTATGTCTTGTGCAGTGGCATAATTATAGCTCACTGCAGCTTCAAGCTTTTGGGCTCAAGGGATCTTTCTGCCTTAGCCTCCTGCATAGCTGGGACTATAGACTGTTGCATTTTTTTAAAAATAAGACAACAATGAAGTTTGTTGCATCAATTTACTCTTCATTTCATGAAAGATTTCCCTGTAGCATGTGATACTGTTTGATAGCATTTTACCTGTATTGGAAATTCTTTCAAAATTGGAGTGAATCCTCTCTAAACCTGCTGCTGCTTTATCAATTTTAATACATAATATTCTCCTCACCAATATTTTTGTGAGCTGTTTTTCTTTTTATGCTGTTTTTGGTGCCTTTTTCCATACAAAAGTTTTCAGGTTTTTTTAATCTTTAAATTAGCACATGACTGTAATCCCAGCTACTTGGGAGGCTGAGGCAGAAGAATCGCATGAACCCGTGAGGCGGAGGTTGCAGTGAGCTGAGATCGTACCACTGCACTCCAGCCTGGGTGACAGAGGGAGACTCCATCTCAAAAATTAATTAATTAATTAATTAAATGTAATTAATACAATTAATTAAATTTAAAAATAATGTAATCAATTTTCTATATTGCTTGTGAATATTAAGTCACAGTGAGAAACGTTTTCCTCACTTTTAGGTTTTAGAGCTACTTACTTATATTTTCTTCTAGTTGTTGTATGATTTTATATTCTATATTTGACTCTGATTCATTTGGAATTTATCTGATGAATGGAGTAAGATGTGAATGAAGGTAGGACTATTTGCTTTTTTTGTTGACATAATCCAAGTATCCATAACAGTAGCTAGCACATGTTAGCAGATCAGAAAATATTTACTGAATGGGTGACTGAATAAAACAGTGATTAGAAATAAGCACAACAAACATTCCATGTGTTTTAAGTTACATTATTTCAGTAAATCCTTATAGCAGTGCTCTAAAGTACTTTTTGTTTGCTAGCTTTTTGTTTATCATAAAAGAGAAAACAATTTTAAGGAGATCAGACACACCTGGCTTAAGACTAAACAGCTAGCGAGTGTTGGAGCTGCAAATTAGTGTACCATTCTTGATTTATGTGACTCACTACTGATGCATGTATATTTACTGAAAGGTAGGAAGTTTTTTTGAGATCCTAGACCTGGATTTAGACAGATTGGTAGACTCCTACCTTATATTCCCCACTTTCTAGCCCTGGCTAACTTATTTAACTTGCTACATCTTGGAGTTTTATTTTCGCTTTGTTTGTAATCTATGATAATAGTTTCATAAGTTTATTGTGAGAACTAAGTGAGAAAATGCATGGAAATCACCGGATATAGTAAGTGCTTAGTAAATACCAGCTATTGTTATTTATTCAGAACACTATTCACTTTCTTTTTTCTACCTTTCTTCTACCAGTTCAAACGTCCTAAACTTCTTCAGAGGTTTATTTATGTGCAAAGCAGGCCATTTATGTGTTTCACATGATCCAGACTTCTGTCAATGACTTGTTTGATAGTATAACATTCTCACCACGAAAATTTTTTAAATCTTAAAATTTTAACCTACTATTGTCTTAGAACTAAGGTAGTTATCTTTTCTATAGATAGTCAAATAGATTGTCACAGTTAAAATATATTTGAGCATATGGAACCAGATGATTTATGCTATTTTCTGAATGCCATGTCTTACCCTCAGAGCACAGATACAAGAAGACATATTTCTAAGCACAAGGTCAGCAGTGACATATCAGAATGTCCGAAGACATTGAGTAGCAATATACTGGTGTAGGGCCAAGCACATGGTGGGTGGGAGTGGCAGGGGAGGGTCTGTTTTAATCACCTCCTATTCACCCACTGATGAGGGAGCGATTCCCACTTTAGGGTAATGGGATGACCAGACATACAATAACTGAAACTGGACTTACGATATTGACAATCATTTATTAGTCACAAATACTTACAGTCCAGAGGAACAGAACGTCACATGCCACGCAAGGTCATTCATGAATAGAGTGAACAGCCTAGGGCTATGGAAAGCAGACTTTGTAGTATTTTTTTTTCTGCCTTCCAAGTAGCTGGAATTAAGGCGCCTGCCACCAAGTCCAGCTAATTTTTGTATTTTTTAGTAGAGACGGGATTTCACCACGTTGGCCAGGCTGGTCTCAAACTCCTGACCTCAGATGATCCGCCCGCCTCGGCCTCCCAAAATGCTGGGATTACAGGCGTGAGCCACCGCGCCGGGTTGCAGGCTTTATAGTATCAAAAGGGTGAGGTACCCTGCGTTCTTGCTGGGAAGACAGAAATGGCTTGCTTGAATAATAATTCCATGGGCTGGGGCTGTGGTTTGAATGCCACCCGCCCCGCACAAAAAAAATTTCATGCCAAAATTTAATTGCCTATGTAACAGTATTGGGAGGTGAGGCCTTAAGAAGTTATTAGGTCATAGGGCTCCTCCATTATAAATAAATTAATGCCATTATTTACGGAGCAGGTTAGTTATTGTGGGAATGAGTTCCTGATAAAATAATGAAATTCAGCCCTCATTTCCTCTCTCTGCCATGCATGCTCATTTCTGCTGCCTGCCCTTCTGCCACAGAATGACCCTCACTAGATTCTAGGGCCATGCTCTTAGACTTCCAGCCTCCAAAACAATGAGGAATATGTTTATTTTCTTTATAAATTAGCCTATTTATACTATTCTGTTATAGCAGCAAATGGACTAAGACAACTGGTATAGAATTGAAACCTACTACTTAGGAATAAGCAGAAATTGCACCTAGTCTCCTTAATAAGAAGGTTTGTTTGTCTGGGGAACCGTATCTACAGGAGCAGAGTGGGAAGTGGAACTTGGGGTTAAGCCAAATGATCATTCCTGATTTCACCAAACGTCAAAGCAGCACATAATATTGGGCTTTACTTTTAGGTCTTATACCACAGCATCCAGTGAGGGTATGTGCCTGAGGATAGGAACATCTGAAGAAGCTCCTCGGGGAGACCTCTCATTCACTCTTTTGCATAAGTCCATGCTGCCTGTGATATACTCCCATAAGCAGTCTTGTGCATGAAAGAGTTTCGGCTACTTACTGTATTGCTCAGTCAGACGTTTTGATGTTAAGCCCTAAATCTTTAGCATCGAAAGCTGCTTGTTTATCTCAATAATCTCAAATAGGAAGTAAAATAACCATCCAAATAGAATTGTGTAAACGTACACAAACATAAACTGATGATTAAATTAACATATAACGATGGGAGAGAATATGTTGCTTTACATCAAACGATAAACATAAAATGATTAATGAAATCACTTTAAACTGACGGACAAACTAGGTAGATAAATAAGCGTCTAATGGAAACATCACTGTTCAAGATTACAGGATTTATTTGATGAACGCATTTTTTAAATATCCAGCCATTAGCTTTAGTAGTGCTTTATTTGTAATCTACATGTATTATCTTTTTTTCTAAACCACCTTCATTCCTAGGCAAGTCTATTTTCAAATGTGTTCTATTCTTTGGTGATGTTACTTCTGTATCCACATTGATGTGGTAGGGCTCTCTGGCATTGGAAGAGCCCATTAAAATAGTAAAAAAAAAAATTGAGCAGAAATATGTTGGTAGGGATTTTTCCTTGTTTTTTAGGTGCCAGACATTGTCACAGCTTTTAATCAGCCATTTGAGCACACAGATAATTTCTTCCAGAAAATGGCGCAACAATATGCTAACTTTCCCCTTACACTGCTCAAATTAATTATCCTCCTTCAGTAGAAAAGCCATATTTTATAAGAATTTAATGCAGTCTATGGACCTCATCCAGTGACCGTAAGAAAGTATATAATATTAAAAGATATTAAAAGGTTTTAAAAAGAATGTATGTCATCCATTGGTAGTTTTGAATTTATCCCATCTGACGTATATTATTTTGATCAGAGTTGTTTAATAAATCAATAAAAAAATGAAAAAGCATAATCATTTCAACTGGAATCACTTAGGCCTTTAGAACCCTATAGTTGTTTTATCATCATAAAACTAAATTCTTCATGAATAGAGATTAAAGCAAGGTAATCATTTTTAGAAAATTTAAGAGTATAGTTGCTCTTTAGGGGCTATAATTCACTTAGCTTAACACACCATTCATTTATTTAATATGGATAGATAGATAAATAGAGCATTTACAAAGTGCCTGGCACTGATAATAAAAATCTGCATTCATGGAATTTACACTTCGAAAAATGGGAAAAGGGGACAATAAATAAGAAAAATATTAACTAGTGACCAGCACTATGAGATTAGTTGATGACGTAAAGATAGCCTGGATCTAAAGGCGCTTGATAAACCAGGGCAAGGAGTGAATTTTATTCTAATTGTGATTAGCAGTGGTTAGAGAGTTAAAAACAGGTGTGATATGATCATACTGGCTCTACAAGAAAAAAGGATTGTACAACTTTAAGCATCAAAGAACGAACACCCCTCACTCAGGAGGTTGTGTCCAAAGGACCTGATAAGTGATTATGATAAAAGTAGAGACACAAACAATAACTTGATTTTTAGTTTAAGTTATTTGGGGAAGTAATGCACTATAGTATTTACTGAAATGAAGATGAGTGAGGAGATTTGAAGAACAAGAAAGTAAGCGTTTGGGCCATGTTAAGTTTGAGATGCCTCTTTGATATCTAAATAGAAATGTCAAGTGACCAGTTGGCTCTATAAGTCTGGAATTGTAGGCATAGTCAGTACTGGAGTTATCCTCTAAAACATGCTTGTCCAACCTGCGGCCCAGAATGACTTTGAATGCAGCCCAACATAAATTTGTAAACTTTCTTGAAACATTATGAGGTTGTTTCGTGATTTTCTTTTTAGCTCATCAGCTATCATTAGTGTTAATGTATTTTATGTATGGCCCAAGACAGTTCTTCTTCCACTGTGGCCCAGGGAAGTCAAAAGATTGGACACCCCTGCTGAGTCTAAAAGATCTTATTTAGAACCACAGAAATAGATGAAATCACAAGAGAATGTGTAGAAAGAAGAGAAGCCCTGAGGAACTTGAAAAGTATGAGTTTGAGATGAAAAATCACCAGAGAACACAGAAAACAGACAGCCAGGGTACAAAATGAGAGCATCTGGAAAACTTGGAAATGTTTTAATGCTTTACAAATGCAATCCGAGCCTTATAACTAGAGGTAACTGAAAGAAAAGTAGCTATTTGTCATGCCATCTTCCCTAAGCTTGAAAAAATGTAGGATTTGTATTTCATTATTCTTGGTGGTGACTATATTGGGATGTGAGTACACATGGAAAGGCACAGGCAATTTGAACACAGGATTTTTGGTTTTCTACATATGATAGGATTAAAATGAATGGTTACAAGAGAAGTCCATTATCAGGATATTCACAGAGGTATTTTGCAAATAAGTATCATACCAAAGTAAACAACAAAATTAGCTATGGACAGCATAGGAAAACATTTAAATATGTGTATATGTATAGATAGACATAGAGACACATATTTTGTATATATGTACACACACATTTTTAAAACAAAAAGATATAAACAATAAACAGGTTCCTCTTGGTTTCCAATAAATGTTTTGTGTGAATCAGTGTGACCTATTGTCAGGAAAGGAGACAAATTAAGCTGAAAAGGGAAAGGTAAAACACGATAAAACTGTGAATTTCAGCTCACAGGCCTGAGGTCAGATTAGAAATGACAGGGATGTGGACAGAAAAACAGCCATAGGAAACAAATAAACTTAGACAATATTATTTCTCCATTTTCTACCCCATACACAGGGTATGCACATTAATTTCCCAGTTCAACTCGAGGTCTGCTTGGTCCCAGGTATGTTCAGTTTTCCCTGTTGTCTTTTATGCATACACCATTATAACATACATGGTTTATGATTTAACTCTGTGTCTGCACAAGTCAGAAAATAACTTTATGTTGGACATAGCTCAATAATTTATACTTCTAATAATATCATCAGCACAATGTGAAACAATTCTTATCTCAAAGATCTACAAATATATATCTTTAGCCCCTTGCTCCAGTGATATGGGGACTAATCAAGAGCTACTGGGGAATATTTTTCGCCTAGTCACAAGGACTTGCAACCACCATCCCAAGATACAAATTTCTGCATCTCACCACCAAACAGAGCAGCTAATTTTAGCAGAGCCTAATATTCTTAGGCATTATCTATAGTAATATTAATTCTGCAAGGAAAAATAATCCTACAAAATCAAAATCGGAGGCTTGGATCCTAGCTCTAGATCTGCCACAAGTGAACTGGATGACCTGCATACTTTGTTTTTATGACACAAAAATCAGAGCATTGACTAGATGATTCTTGAGGTTCCTTCCAATGCTCATATATAATTTTACAAGCTAATAAATTTCTATTTATTTCCATCCCTACTTTATGTTCTCTTTCCTCCACTGCTATTATATAATCTCCATAAACCCCCTACCCTGAGTTATTGGCAGCTTTCACAGGGCAACTTCTTAATTGAAAAAGAACTCTATTTCAAGTCCCAAAGCTTAGACATATGTTCCTCTGGCTTGACCTACCCATTCAGAAATGCTCCTCATTGTCCCTTCATGTAGATCTTAAGCCAATTGTACCCTCTTCCTTTGTGGCACATTCCTGGACCATTTGATAAGCAACCCCTTTATTGGAGTTTCTTTCTCCCACGGTTAGCACTGTGAACACTACAGTACATGCAGCTTGTGAGGTTTGCACAGAAAATAGGAAGCTGATCCCTGATTTAGCCCCCAACTAGTTAGATAACCTCATAGGGTAAGCAAACGGGGAGTTAATGGAACATTCCACAGTTCTTTGTCTACTACCTCTCAGCCTGACTTTGGGATCTGGAACAGATACTAGATCAGCGGATGACTGGGGATGTGAAGTGTGAGGAAGGGGTTGAAAGGGCACAAAGACACTTTGAGAATGATGGGTATGTTCCTTATGTTGAGAGTGATGATGCTGTCACCAGCATATACCTCAGCTGAAGCTTATCAAATTGTACTCATTAAACATGCTCAGTTTATCATATGCAAATTACACCTCACTAAAGCTTCTTTTTAAAGAGTCGTGGTTTTTAAAAAATAAAAGGATATATCATATAAAAGGAAAGAGGGGAAAGAGATTTATGAGTTAAAACTGACTGCTGGGAGTGGAGCAAGGCCGGCTGACTCTTCCATCTGGCTTGGAGAACTAGGAGATGGAAGGAAGACAGAAGTTTGAAGTGAAAAATGTATGTGAAAGCATTTTGAAAACTGTAAAAAACAAACAAAAAAAGAAATCTATAGTAGTCATGAGTTTTTGTATTTAAAGTATGGTAACTGCCCTTTCAAGACAGAAGAGCTATGAAAGGAAGCACATAATTAAGGAGAGTGAAGTGTCATTAGAGACAAGGGCTAGGGGAATTCAAAATGAGTTGTTTTGATGTTGAGTGGCCTTAGAAGCTGGCCCATTCCTTCCTTAGTTAATTATTTAGAATAGAATTGTCAGTCCCATACAGACATAGTGTCAAGATAATTACATGAAATATAGGACCCATTTAAGATGCATTTGTTAACATCTTAGAAACATTACAGTATTGGCTACTGCTTTATACTTTTATTGGAAGAGTGATTTATGATTAGATGATAATGATGGATAAAGCTAATTCAGACAATATACAGAGGTTCATAATTTTTAGGTTCTTAAAAGTAAGACTTTTGAGAAGTGTTTGAGGATGTTAATTAGTATTTTTGAGGAGAGACTAGTGGTTGGAATGCATTGTCTGTCTCATTACCTACTGTCTTTGAGTGTTTTGCATTCATCTCATTCAAACTGCTAGCCTGTCAAGAATGAGATTCTTGTCTCATTTTTGCATCTCTCAGAGTACCTAAACAGAGTTTTGATGGCATGATTGAGGCTCAATAAACATTTACTGAGCGAATTAAGACAGAAGCTCTCCTATTCAAAGCAATTTATGCAGTTTGTTAATTTTAAAAAACCAGTTAAATCTGAAAAATATTAAAATGTACTTTAAACATTGTGTTTTAATTGAAAACATGTAAAGGTACATTAATTTCCCAATTCAACTTGAGGTCTACTTGATCACAGATCTGCTCAGGATTTTTCCCTGTTGTCTTTTATGTATACACCACCATAACAAAAATGGTTTATGATTTCAGGTTTCTGTTTCTTTAGAGTTACCTGAAAACTTAAAGAGCCCTGCACAGCAAGCCAAATGTGGAAATAGAATGAGAATTTTTCTTTAACTTTTTAAGGATGCTTGCTTAAAGCTAATTTAATAGCAATGTTTAAACAATTCACCTTTATCAAGCTTTCCAAATTCAATTCAATTTTAAAATAACAACTACCTCCCTTTTAAAATGTCTATTTCATTGTTTTATTTATTTATTTCTTCTTATTTATTTATTTATTTTATCTTATTTATTTATTCTTATTTAATTAAAGTCACAATGACAATAACTCATTTTTTATTGTATTTCTCCCCCACTAAAATATAAGCTACACGAAGGCACAAAATTAATCAGTCTTGTTCATTAATCTATTTCCTAGGGGTGAAGGGAGTAATTTTTTTATGAATGAGTAAAATACTGGCTTAGGACAGAATTGAAGCAGACACAGCTGTATATTGTACACATTAAGCTAACTACCAAGGAGGCAGGAGAAGCCTCTGAACTGTGAACTTTCAGTCAGTTTGCAACACAGAGGGAATAGAACTGTCACTTCATCTAGCAGATGGTTAGCAGATCCTTAAACCACAGTACTTCCCAATATTTATCTCGTCATACCACTGTGGAAAATTATACTGTTTACCCTGTTAGGATAAATGATCTAACACAACAGGCCTGGGGGCTCCAGCTGTCCAAGTTTCTGCCCAGCCATCCCAAGGGCTGAGGGGATTAATAGCCCATCAATAAATGCTTGCCACAGGTTGGGAAGTTTGGACTTAAAGCTTCTACTATTATGACAGCTCATGAGGTAACCCAGATAGCATCAGCTACTGTACTCTGCCGTTTAACATCCTGCTTTGCTATTGATAGTGGAACACCGCTATAACCTGATCAGGTTTCCATTCCCAATGGCAGCTAATGCCTTGCTGGCTGACCCCTTCTGGAAAGCTCTATCAGTGTCACTACTTGCTGAAGCTCTGGCTATCTACAAAAATGTGGGCGCAATGGAGTAACCTGGCCTGGCTTCCCTTGGTGCTCCAACTTGTTAGCATCCTTGCTCATTCATCTGGGCCACAGTGATTCCAACATGCAGAGAAGGATGATCTTTCTCTCAATGTGACTCACTCAGAGATGTCCCAGAGCAAAACTGTCTGAGCCCCAAAGGCTTCAACTCCCTAGCAGGTGACGTCTTCTGATTCACCCACACCCTTCTCTATAAGAAGCACCCATGTCAACTGCGTGGTGGCACTTAGATGGTGCTGGGATCATCACTTCCTCTAGTGGCCTCAGGCCTGCTCTTCAGTCTCAGACTCCTCTCTGCGATTTCCCTTTACTGAAAATCTGGCCTTGGTTAGGGATCCTTTAGTCTATCAGCTGCATTTCTCTACCTTTCAAGCTCAAACAAAAAAGAAAATAAAAGGAAAGGACCCAATCTTCAATTAACATAGAAATGAGATGGCGTTGATTTGAACTAGAATAATAGCAATGCAAACAGACAAATATAAGTGAACAGATCACAGAGACATTTAGAAACAGTAAGACCTGGTGACTGGTGGAGGTAGAGGTATGGGAGCCAAGTCTTCATTTAGGTTACTGTTAGGTATTGGAACCTCTAAATGAGATAAAAGAGAAAAGAGAAAGAGAGAGAGAGAGAAATAAGTTTAAAGGGCATATTGACTTGACTTAAATTTGGAATTTCCAACAGAAGGGGCCATATGGGTCAGATCTCAGGAGAAAACTTTGCTTTAAAACTTAAGGTATTGACATAGAGTTGGTCACTGAAGCCATGAGAAGATTAGATCATTCAAGGAAGTTTTGTATATTATGTAAAAAGAAAAGAGGACTTTGCATGTACCCCTAAATAACACTAAAATTCAAGAAATAAATTGAAGAAGATGAAAAAACAAAATATTCTCAAGGAGAAAAGTAGGAAATGTATTAAGAAATCTAAAGTAAAAAAGCAGTTCAACAACAACAAAAAAGGCAGTAATTAAAAAAAAAAATCCAATGCCACTGAACGTGTCCACTGGATTTGATCATTTAGCAAGTCATTGATCCTTTGAAGAGCAGTTGTAGCAGAGTGGGAAAAAAGACACAGGGATCATCTCCAAATTCTAGGATTTCTCAGGTGTAGAAGATGAAGCAGGATACATTTGAGAAATCCGCAGGATAAGGAGTGTCCACATGATAAAATCAGCTTTAAGTTTGGGACAACAGAAGAAACACTCAATAAAGAGACAGAGGACTTACCTTTACCATGGATCGGGATAATTAAGTGCACAGTGAAAACGTTTGGGCAGAGGTAAGTCATTAGAGAGGAAGGCAGAAGAACAGCACTATGGGAGAAGGTGAATCAGGGATTAAAATTTGGAGCAATAGAAAATAATGACATATAAGAAAGACTTTGTGTGTTTGGCTGTCTACAAGTTTTCCAAAGGAGTAATTCACAGGGAAATTCAAATGGATGGAGGTGTGGAAAAAAGAAGGGAGGGCAGAGAGATTCCCTGGAGTTACAGAATAAGTCTGCCATAGCTTTGTGGGAAGTTCTTCTAAGAGGATGCAAGTCCTGGTAAGCAAGCTAGCAGTAGGATTATTTTGCACAGTCACTTAACATTGCAAAAATAAGCAGCCTTTGATGGCAGAGGAGATGCTGTACTTTGGAATCAGTCAGACAGGATCCTGATTATTTTCACAAGTCCTCAGGAAGAAGCTGAGTTCCAGGATTCCGGCACATAGGCTCCTGATTTACAGCAACTGGCGTTTCCCACAATCTTGCAATTGTTTCCTAAATTCACTGAGTCACTCTCATCTCCTGTAATCTGTTCTCTACAACTTTTCTATTAATCTTTCTAAAAAGTAAATATGATTACATCAGTAATATGTTGCCATGTAACATACAACCCTGAAACCTAGTGCCTGAAGCAACAGCATTTATTTAGCTCATGAATACATAAGAAGCAGTTTAGGCTGGGTTAAGTCTGGCAATTCTTCTGCTAGTGTCAGCTGAACTCACTCAGATATTTGCTGTCTGCTGAACACTGGTGGCCTCACTCACACATCTGCAATTGTCTGGCTATTGCCTGCAGCTGGCTGCTTTGTGTTGGCCTTGCCTGTATGACTGGAACAACTGGGGTTCCTCTTCTTCCAGGTTTAATTCATGAAATCCTGCCGTACCTTCAATACCAAGGTAAGAAATCACTTGTTTAAAAAGTTTTTTATGCCGGCCGTGGTGGCCCATGCCTGTAATCCCAGCACTCTGGGAGGCCAAGGCAGGTGGATCACCTGAGGTCAGGAGGTCGAGACCAGCTTGGCCAACATGGTGAAACCGTGTCTCTAGTAAAAATACAAAAAAATTAGCCAGGCAGCTAAGCTACTCGGGAGGCTGAGGCAGGAGAATTGCTTAAACCGAGGAGACAGAGGTTGCAGTGAGCCAAGATCGCACCATTGCACTCCAGCCTGGGCAACAAGAGCGAAATTCCATCTCAAAAAAAAATAATAAATAAGTTTTTTAAATTATTTTTTAAACTGTTGTGGGTACATAGTATATATATTTTTGGGGTACATGAGATATTTTGATACAGATATGCAATATGAAATCAGCACATTATGGAGAATGGGGTATCCATCCCCTCAAGCATTTATTCTTTGAGTTACAAACAATCCAATTACATTCTTTATTTTAAAATATGCAAGTAAGTTATCATTGATGATAATCACCCTACTGTGCTATCAAATAGTAGGTCTTATTCATTCTTTCTTTATTTTTGTATCTGTTAACCATCCCTACCTCCTCCCCAACTCCCCACTATTCTTCCCAGCATCTGGTAACCATCCTTCTACTTTCTGTGTCCATTAAATTCCTTTGATTTTTAGATCCCACAAATAAATGAGAACATGTGATGTTTGTATTTCTCTGCCTGGCTTATTTCACTTAACATAATGATCTCCAGTTCCATCCACGTTGTTGTAAATAACTGGATCTCATTCTTTTCATGGCTGAACAGTATTCTATTGTGTATATGGACCACATTTTGTTTATCTAGTCATCTGTTGATGGACACTTAGGTTGCTTCCAAGTCTTAGCTATTGTAAACAGTGCTGCAACAAACACAGGAGTACAGATATCTCTTCAATATACTGCTTTCCTTTCTTATGAGTATATACTCTGCAGTGGAATTGCTGAATCATGTGGATATAGCTTGGATTTGTGTCCCCACCCAAATCTCGTGTTTAATTATAATTCCCAATGTTGGAGGAGAGACCTGGTGAGAGGTGACTGGATCATGGGTGGATTCCCCCCTTGCTATTCTGGTGATAGTAAGTTCTCACAAGATCTCGTTGTTTAAAAGTGTGTATAGCAGTAGCACTTCCCCACTCTCTCTCTTCCTCCTGCTCCAGCCATGCGGGATGTGCCTGCTTCCCCTTCACCTTTTGCCATGATTGTAAGTTTCTTGAAGCCTCTCCAGCCATGCTTCCTGTACAGCTTGCAGAACTGTGAGCCAATTAAACTTATTTTATCAATCACCCAATCTCAGGTAGTTATTTTTAGCAATGTGAGAACAAACTAATACACATATAGTAGCTCAATTTTTAGTTTTTTGAGGTCCCCCAGACTGTCCTCCATAGTGGTTGTACTAATTTACATTCCCACCAACAGTGTGCAAGAATTCACTTTTCTCCGCATCCTCGCCAGCATTTGTTATTGCCTGTCTTTTATAACTGAGGTGAGATGATATCTCACTGTAGTTTTAATTTGCATTTCTCTGATGGTGAATGTTATTGAGCATCTTTTCATATGCCTATTTGCCATCTGTATGTCTTCTTTTGAGAAATGTCCATTCAAATTTTTTGCCCATTGGTTGATCAGATTATTAGATTTTTTTCCTATAGAGTTGTTTGAGCTCCTTATATACTCTGGTTATTTATACCCTGTCAGAGGGGATAGTTTGCAAATATTTTCTCTCATTCTGTGGGTTGTCTCTTCACTTTGTTGATTGCTTCCTTTGCTGTATAGAGGCTTTTTGACTTGATGTGATCTCATTTGTCCATTTTTGCTTTGGTTGCCTGTGCTCTTAGGGTATTGTTCAAGAAACCTTTGCCCAGACCAATGTCCTAGAAAGTTTCCCCAATGTTTTCTTGTAGTAGTTTCATACTTTGAGGTCTTAGACTTAAGTCTTTGGTGCATTTAGATTTGATTTTTGTATATGGTGAGAGATAGGGGTCTAGTTTAATTCTTTTGCCTATGGATATCCAGTTTTCCCAGCACCATTTATCAAAGACAGTGTTTTTTCCCCAATGTATGTTCTTGGCATTTTTGTTGCAAATGAGTTCACTGTAGATGTGAGAATTTGTTTCTGAGTTCTCTATTCTGTTCCATTGGTCTATGTGTCTGTTTTTATGCCAGCAGCATGCTGTTTTGGTTACTATAGCTCTGTAATATAATTTGAAGTCAGATAATGTGATTCCTCCAATTTTGTTCTTCTTGCTCAGGATAGCTTTGGCTATTCTGGGTCTTTTGTGGTTCCATATAAATTTTTGGATTTTTTTTTCAATTTTTGTCAAGAATGTCATTGGTATTTTGATAGAGATTGCATTAAAAAATATATATTGCTTTGAGTAGTATAGATATTTTAACAATATTGATTCTTCCAACCCATGAACATGGAATATTTTTTAATTTTTTGGTTTCCCCTTCAATTTCCTTCATCAGTGTTAGACATCACTTTTTTATAAAGCCTTAACTGACTCTTCACAACTGTTATTCATGCCAATCCTCTGCACTTTCACAATCCATTACACATACCTCGACTAGCAATTATTTCAATGTATTATCATTACTATTATAGTCCACATGTCCTCACCAATCTGTTGAGGGCACTGACATATTTTTCACATTGCATTTATCTATTACAGTACTTGCTTGCATCATAGTGATGTTCAATAAATGTTTTTGCATAAAGGAATATATGATTATATAGTTGGCTTTCACATTTTCTAGGTTTCGGAAGCACTGATAGGAGAGACCTTTGCTGAGTGAGTTTTGCTCCTAGAGTAAACATGAATTTCCACCTGAGTTCCCCTACAGTGTTGAACAGATCACATCCCTTGGTTGCAGCCAAAGAATCTGAAAAATACTGAATAGGCTAAGCTAAGATATATTGGTAGCAATGGTAAAATTTCTTTATAATTGTGAATATAAATCAAGTTGTTTGAAATCGACTGAAGTTGTAGTATAAGTAAGTAATTGATAAAGAAACATTTGCCAGTGGACAGAAAGTGTATTATGAACTATAACATACTACCTAAAAGCAAAAGTGGGAGAAAATGGCATACCCACTTTGTGATTAAAGTGTCTGAGCCAGACTATATGGCTTAAGGAAATGACAGCCAACCTGTCATTGTGTAAAGGTTAAGAAAACTGATGCAATAATTGGACTGAGTCCAGGTGACATAAAATAAGAGAAGTTAGCTCTTCGCTAAGGAAAATCTGTACCATCAAATACTAGTAGAGTCCCATCCCCATGCTGGCGTAGCCGACAATCTCATCATTGAGATTTGGCATGTAAGTAACAAATGGTAACCCCTGAATAATATATGTAACTTCTCTATGATGATATGAGGTTAGTTGAAGTCACTAAATTAAAAAAGAAATGTGAATTGAATGTGTATCAGTTCGCCTGCCTCCATCTTCAGGTGTTTTGATTTTATCATGAAAAGATCTGTCTGAGTTGTGATGGTCTCCTTACACAAACGGGAATATATTATTAGTCACTCTGAAGAATCTCCAGGAGCTCATGTATGTCCTGTTGCAGAAATTCACTTTCTGGTATCTCTCTCATACATGGAGAGTGTGAGTGAAAACTCAATAGAAGTCTGTCATTCTAATTCTAGAATATTACACTCTAATATTCCCCTAGTGTGGAAGCTGTCCCAGTTTGAATCTACATAAGATACAGCACTTTCTTTCACATGTCTGGAGAACATATAGGGCAAGACAAGAGATCCCTATTTACAGAGTAACTGAGGAGGCTTATTTGGAAGAATAAACCCTAACAAAGAAAAAAAAAGTCAAGCACAATGAGCTTACCACAATAAAGAAAAATATGAAAATGAAAATCCTTGGTGGATTGGACAGGGAGAATCTTGAGCACACTGCATGTCTGTTACTTAGAACTGTCCCATGTTCCAGTGCATTGTGACTTGTGATTTATACTTACAAAGTGGGAAATTTTAAGTTTTTCCAAATGCTTTTGAGCAAATGCAGTGCTTTTCCCACTCTCATTCTAAAGTATGTTATGAAATAACAACCTATTTTGTGGTTTTTGTCATGAAGACCCCAGTCTTCTGTGATGGTGCCTGGCAGACATCAGCTGTAGGTGTTGGCAGGTATCAGCTGTAGGTGTTGGCAGGTATGGGTGGAATGGCTGGGTTCTTCTCTCTCCAAATGGCTTCCTTTAAGCATAGCCACTGGGTCCCAAAAAGGAGCATTCCAAGAGGCAAAGGCAGAAATTGCAGTCTCTTAAGGCCCAGCCTCATATGCTAGACAACACCACTTTTGCTGCATTCTGTTGGTGACAATAAGTCCCAGGGCCAACTCAGAATCAAGGAGAAGGAAAAGTGAATCACCTCTCAATGAAAAGTGTGGCAAAAAATTCACATATTCCTCTTTACATCACCATGATGTGAACAAACCCAAGAGACTCCTGGAAATTCATAAAAACACATGATATGAGGCCAATGCCATACATTAGAAAGAGGAAGCAAAAGTTAGTGGAACTGTAATACTCTTGTTGTTGTAAATATGTTTGTAGCTAGTAAAGTCTAGGAAAATTCAAATAATAGCAAAGCTATTTCCAACATGCCATAAAGTTGCACAGCATCCCCGGTGCCCATCTCAGTCCCCATCCTCAGCACAACACTCCCAGCCCAGGACTTGTCAGCAAAGCACATTATTTTTTCCCCTTGTTGGCTTTGTAGGTATAACTATAGTTTTTTCCTTTCTCCTTTTATATTGTACCTGTAAGAGAGCACATGTCTTCTTGACTGCTAGAAAACACTACCTTGAGACACTGAATGTGTTCTATTCCTCTAACCTTTTTATGCTTAGATTTTGAGCTCTTTCCAGGTACTCTGTCTTGGGTTACTTAGGAAAAGAATACTTATTTTATCTTCCTCCTCCCTGCTTTTCATCCATTCTCTGTCCATTTTTGTTGCATGCAAGAGAAATAATCTCTTGCTGACTTAAAAAAATTATTTATTTAACACTTACAATGCAGCCCTGAACATATATAAAGATTTGCTGAATCTCCAGAAAGATGAGGGGAAAAAAAACAAGCATGTAAAAAAGACAAGAATGAAAGAGGTAAAACAGCAGACAGGACTACAGCTGAAGTCTTGACCAAAATTAAGTACCCCCAAAACATAATGCCAACCTTGGACACCTGAGGCCACTCCTGAGCCATTGCCACAGCTGCCCTCTGGAAACTTGGTAGTCCTACTGTTTCTATGGCTCATCACCTTCAAAATAGAGTCTCCATTCTCTCTGCTTGTTCAAGTCATTTATTATTCATGCAGCCCCATGGTGATTAGATCCCATAGTCCAAACCTACATCATATATTCTCATTCTCACTGGGAGAAAAGCTAAGCTACTAAGCATCTGATTTTCAGATTCTGTGGCGAGATGAAGGGATGCTCTACCCTCTACCATAACTTTTGAGGTGGGCAATTCCCAAATATTAAGGAGATTGAGATGATTTTCATGAAAAAGAAAAATAAATAATATAAGTCATCCCTACAACTGCACAAGATTCACATATAACTTTATTTAAATTGTTAAGGCTTAAAAAACTGCTGCTACATAATTAATGCAAAAGCTGTATGCTGAAAATACGTTTATCCTTCCTTACAAAAAGGTGACCCAAATTTTAGTCAACATTCTGCTATAAGTTCTGGATCTCTTATAGCTGTCAGTCTGTCATAATCCTATTTCAATATTCTGTGATATGTGAATTACATTATAAATTTAACCACCACCACACTACATGATACAAAATAGTGCGAGAAAGAAAAAGTTAGAAGAAACACACACACACACACACACACACACACACACACAACATTGCAAAGAAGAGAATCTGAGAAAAAACTATAATCGTCTCCATAGCTATTCATAAAGGCGTCTTTGTGTGACTCCCTTACTCTCACTCCATTCTCATAATTCTTTTTCTATTATCTAGCTGGCTAGGGTTTTTCCAGTGGAATGACCAAATTTTAATTCATAAAGGATCCTATCTGTATAGGATTTATGTATACCACTTGACAAGGCAGTACTGGGGGGCAGCCAAGGTATCAGGTGTGTTCCCTTCATATACTTCCCATCCTGTAATGTGTTGCACCTGTATTGTCAGATCAGTCAT
Organism: Homo sapiens; assembly: GCF_000001405.40. Taxonomy (NCBI): domain Eukaryota; kingdom Metazoa; phylum Chordata; class Mammalia; order Primates; family Hominidae; genus Homo; species Homo sapiens. Next base: position 18,108,536 of record NC_000021.9, on the reverse strand, counting down.
TAGAGTCAACACTAACCCTCATCTGGGGCTGATCATTCAGTGGTTTGTGAAGCCCAAAATGGCTAAGAATAAATCTTACCTTCTAATTCAACATAGAACTTGCTGTATTCCCTGATGGAAACATTTCTCTCTAGTAGAGCCTAGTGTTTTAGGGATAAGAAAGAAAATATTTCTAGCATATAGTAAGACGTCATTGAGGGCATGTCACTCCCAATTCCATCTATTCATGGGAGATCCAATACCCTAAATTGGTTGCTGGTTCAGAGCATATTATGCATTTAAAGGACCATATCCTAAATATGCAACCGTGACCTTCCAGCAGACATAACTAGTATTCCCAAAGGCCAAGAGCTAATAGATCATACAGTAAATGATAAAAAAAAAAAAAAGTGAATCTGATGAGCAACTGCCTTGTAAAGTGAGTTTCTTGGTCAAGAACAAGATTGTGTACAATCCCACAATGGTGTAAATGGAAATCAGGAAGTTCACAGATTGCCAAATGCATGAAAGACAGGGCAAGCAAATCCCAGCCTGGAATAATTAACTATTCTACACTGTAGATGGTACGAACATAACCTGTAATTATCTTTCTATGCAAAGGTCATCTTTTCCACATGCTTATTGAAAGTTTTCTCCACTAGGAACCTTCTGATGAGATGTCATGTGGGAATCAAACAGTCTTACATCCACACACATAGTCATTGTACTTCTCACTTTTTAAAAAAATTCTTCCTTTAATTTCTTTAACTTCACCACCACATTATTACATGCTCAGGAAGCAATGTAGCTACTGAGCTCAGGCCATTTCTCTGTCCAGGTCTTATAGACAATAGGGTATCATGCTCAAGGTTCTACCCAGTGGGAGGAAACTTCATTTCCCACACAGCAAACCCTGATGCTAGTTATTATGCTGCAGCAGTTATGTTCCTGATCATACTAGGCCCATTTCTTCCAGGAAACTCTTCACAAGGCTAAAGATGTAAGTCATAGGTAGGACGACACTATAGCAAAATGGACAGATGCGACTAAGTTCTTGCACAACTAGTGCTTTCAAGGCCTGCTATGGCCTGGTATAGTTGCCACTGAGTTGATAGGCCCCTGTATTTTTGTGAGATTTGCCTTTCCCCCCTGCTGTGCATTTGTCTTTCCAAGGGAAAAGCAGAATGCTTCTGATGTTCTCTGCTGTTTGAGTAGAGACAAAAAGTTCAGCCAGACTGCTATCTGTGTACCAGGAACTAGGTGCTCTGTTTATTTGCTCCCATGAAGAGACCACATCTGGAAACTACAGCTGCTATAAGAGCAACCATCTGATTAAGCTTCCAGCAATTCATTATCATTCTCAAACTTCATATCTGATCCCTGTAAACAATAGGCAAACTGGCAGATTAAAAGGAAATATAAAGAACTCATTACCCCTATTTCTTTCAAGTCTGAAAATGGCATTGCTATTCGTACTTCCCTTAGATGGACTATTTATTAGGGAGAGGGTTCTCCAGAGGTCTCCACTTAGTCCTTCTTATCATAATAGTTATGGCTCTCTAGGGCAGGAAATAAAAGGACAGATTCTGTCAGTTTTCAAGCATACTCTTTCCTTCTGTACACTTGGGTGCAGGGACAACAACCACAGGGTGGTGTCAGGGTCCCATAAGGCCTGGTATATGGCAGATAAACCAAGACTCCTTTGGTGTTCTAACTCCTAGTGGTGTTCTGAGTTCCCAGGAATTAGAATTAAGAAAGATCTAGGCTGGGTGTGGTGGCTCACGCCTGTAATCCCAGCACTTTGGGAGGCCAAGGCAGGTGGATCACAAGGTCAGGAGATTGAGACCATCCTGGCTAACATGGTGAAACCGCGTCTCTACATAAAAATAGAAAAAATTGGCCAGGTGTGGTGGTGGGCAACTGTAGTCCCAGCTATTTGGAGGCTGAGGCAGGAGAATGGTGGGAACCCAGGAGGCGGAGCTTGCAGTGAGCCAAGATCAAGCCACTGCACTCCAGCCTGGGCGACAGAGCAAGACTCCATCTCAAAAAAAAAAAAGAAAAAGAAAAAGAAAAAAGAAAAAAGAAAGATCTAGTAACAAAAAATATTTCAAAAGTATGTATATTGCTCTTTATGCTGTGCCAGTGAAGGAAGGACCACTGAGCTATTTGGTGACCGACCAAGGGCCTTCAAGGAAGGGTAGGACTCACAGCCTCGGTCAGTACATTTTAGGTTTTCACAGGTTCCATCCTCAAGGGTACTGTCTGTTTTTTATTCAAGGGCTCTGGGGTGTTGGAAATGACTTAGGTCTGAAAATTTTATATGGATTTATGACTCTCCAAAGTTAAACCAAGTCAGACTTCCATTTGCCAGACTTGGAAATGTTCCAGTTAAACAAATCAAGGAAGAACTTTGTGGGTTTCTCATCCATTTTAGTCCTACCAACCCATTGTTAATTGCAGAATGCCAAAGACCCCAACTGGACCAATCATCATGATTATCAGGTAAGCCCTGAACACTATTGCAATAAGTGTGCCCTCCTTTGCTCCTAGAATTTAGGTGTGGCTGGTTGGCCACTGCTACCTGAGATCCTGTTGTCTCCATTGGCATCTGAGAAGCCAGTTTTAAGGGCAATGTTTCACTGTCTCTGGCTTAAAGAGAACAGACACAGAAGTGATTTTCCAGGATTATTGGAATCACCCAAACCTTGGTGAAAAAAGTACATTCTGGACCCTCTCAGGGAACATAACTTGGGAATGGGTGAGCAGGTTACATATTATTAATCCACGTCAACATCCCCATCTTCAGAAAGCATTGTATTTCTTTCTCTGTATTAATTCTCACATTAGAATCACCTAAATAACTTTTTAGGTATCTGTACCTGGTTTCCTAGCTATGGCCATTCAATGTGATTGATATGGGTTGGCTTGAGGCATTGGCAGTTTTCAAACCTTCTAGGGTACTCGAATGTGCAGCCAAAATTGAGAACCACTGCTACCACTTCCCTGTGGGTCCATGGCCTATAAGCACTCTTGATAGTAAGCTCCATAATGATCAGGATCCTTAATTTCAAGCAACAAAATCCAACTTTGACTGACTTAAGCAGACAAAGATATGAAATGAAATGAGTCACAGAGTTGCAGGGAAGACTGAAGGACCTGGCTTTGAAAAGGCACATAAGTCAGGTGTCAGCCACAATTGGGATAAAATCCTGCAACAAAGCAAGTCTAGTATGAATACCACAGCTTGCTCTGCTACAGCTGGTCCTGAATGCTACAGACTACTGCTGTCCCAGTCTCTGCCTCACCCCCTACTCTTGCACACTGGCATGCAGCTGTGACCTCCCGTCTCCAGACTGTATTTTTCAAGGCTCTGATTCTTTATATCACTACTTCATGATTCCTCATATGAAATAGCCATGACTATTTAAGCCTATCTCATGGGTGTACTCTAGTTGCCAAAAAGGAGAAAAAATATCTACCCTTTCCAGCTTCCTATTGAAAGATATTCCCTTAGTCTTACCAGGATTCAAGATAAATAATTCCACAAACATAAAACAAGAGGTCAGCTGCTGGGCAGCCAAACAATGACATATTTTCCAAATCATGTCATAGCATTCTAGAGAACACATCAATTAGCACCATTAGGGAAGGAGAAAATCTTGAAACTTACTACTTCACATGAGACCACACTTAATGGTAACCATTATGGTTAGAAATCTTTTAAAATAGATTTTACATCCTCTATACTTAAAGGACACACAAAACAGAATTTAAACATGTGTTGCTGGAATCATTAGGAAGAGCAATTGGTAAATAGGCTGTAAAACAATAGTTGCTGAGATGCTGATACACTCCTATTATCACATTTAAAAGCTCAGAGTGGTAGAGTACTAGCATCTTGTGTCTAGGTTCTTCAAGTATGTCACTTTTTAGTAGTCCAGTCCTATATTGGCCTACAGTAAGTTGAAGATCCCATATGGTTTGAGCCTTGGGTATTTTCTATGACTATGGTATATTTTATTAGTTTGTTTTCATACTACTGTAAAGAAGTGCCTGAGACTGGGAAATTTATAAAGGAAAGTGAGGTTTAATTGACTCACACTTCAGCATGGCTGGGGAGGCCTCAGGAAACTCAGAATCATGGCGGAAGGCGAAGGGGAAGCAAGGCATCTTCCTCACAAGACAGCAGGAAGGAGAAATGCCAAGCGAAGGGGGAAGGGCCCCTTATAAAACCATCAGATTTTCATGAGAACTCACTATCATGAGAGCAACATGGGGGAAACTGCCCCCATGATTCAATTACCTTGACACGTGTATGGTGATTACAATTCAAGATGAGATTTGGGTAGGGACACAAAGCCTAACCATACCATGCATAAACCCACTTCACTGCTATTTTGAATGCTCAGAGACTGAGAAGTTGTGCTTACTTCAGTGTTTCCCACCTGTCCAGTGTCTTAGTGACATTGGGAAATATGATTTCCTTATACATGAAAAATAAAAGAGGAGAGAAATATTTTGTGCGAGGCTCTATGTGAGGAACCTAACAGACATTGTCTCATTGTGTCTTCACAACAACTGTACTGGAGTAGGTTTTATAAAAGGGCAAAACTGAAGCTCAGAGGTATTGTGATAGATTAAGAGGTGAGGTCTAATCCCCTTCCTCTGGAATAGTGGTTAGACTGTATATCTCTCTTGATAAAAAGAATGTGACAGAAAGGATGTTTGGAACTTCTAAGGCTAAGTCACACAAAGCATTGCTACTCCTGCCTGGGTCCAGTGGGATGTTCACTCTGAAAAAAGCCAGCTTCTATGGAAGAGGAGATAGTCATGCTGGAGATGTCAGGAATTGGCATGTCATTCCACAGCTCTAGCTGAGCCCAGCCTTCCAGCCATCTCCACCATGGCTCCAGACACATGAGAGAAGTCATCCTAGCCAGCCCATAGCAGCCCATCCATCGCCTGAATACACTGAGAGACAGGCAATGCCACATACAGCTGAGGAAACACCAGCTATGCCATTTGAATTCCTGACCCAAAAAATCATGAAATGTAACGAAATCATGGTTGTTTTAAGACACTGAGTTTTAGGGCAATTCTTTATTTGGCAGTATATAATCAAAAATATGTGAAATACATTGATTGGCTCCTTTAGGTAATGTGTGTTCAAATCAGGAGTCAAACTCTGATTGTTTTAATATCAAGGCCTATAATCTTCTCCTTATTTCTTAGTACCTCTACTGAGAGACTAGGATGTTTATATTTAAAACTATTTTTTAAATGACAAAGGGTCAGTTTCTTTATTATCTTAACATCTCATTTTTGTAGAAAAACATAGTTTAAAAAGATTTCACATTTTCTCATTTCTTTCATTCTTACAACCATCCATTGAATTAAATCTTATTATTTCTATTTTATAAGAGAAGAGGCTACAAACAAATGAAATGGTATCTCAACTTTAGGTTCCCTGCTCTAAAATGCATATTCTTAACATTAAATTAAAATACTTTTTCATCTATTCTCTACTTAGTCATTCATAATGAAATTTTTAGAGACAAAATAATCTATCTTTGGTTTGGATTCCAGAAGAGAGATTAGTGTTATTGCTACCTTTGTGCCAAAATAAAGCTTCAGGATGATAAAGCAGAAATTTATGCCAAGGAAATTAATGTGTTACTTTCAGTTCCAATTCTTACTTTAAGTTTTATAGCATCCCATTTTTCTAAAGTTTCCCTTCCTGTACTAAAGAGTGCTATCTTGCTACTCAGCAGAGAAATTCAGAAATTATTTCTATCAACAAAATATTCATTAGGCTCAAGTGTTCATTTTTAATATAGGCCATACTTGCCTAAAAACTTTGATTTATGAAATCAATTAAAGGGTTAGACAATTATAAAGAGCAATAGGTATTTCTTTAGAGCTATGCATTATATACACTGTACTCACCAGTGATTTTTTGTTAAACAGCACTTTTATAGTTATCATTAATTGCTTTAAAACTTCCTCAAAAATAAGTGAAAGAATAAATTCTAAATTAAGCAGAATAAAAGCAGGCTTTCACTGACATATTTTTATACAGATAATTGAATTGACCTTGCTCACTACCCTCTTAAGTCCTGCCTCATGATGTTGATGTAGCTAACAAATTTGCTCAGTCACCTTGTACAATTAAAATCCAATCAAAACTTACTAACATTCAGTCAGCAGTGGACTGTAGTAACTTACTGGGAACAGCAGATCTGGAAAGTATTCAGGTTAAAGGACATAAGTAGGAATCCTGAAATGACAAAAGGAAGTGTTGGGCGTTCCCTGGATGATTGACAAAATGATAACCAAGATGTTGTAAGGAATAATCTCCTGAGATCTCCCAAGAATGGCAAACTCAGTTTGACTGAAGTTCTAGCCTATGGATATAGAATAGGATGATGTGGGCAGCTATAAAATGCAAGTTACAAAGAAGCTGTTTCTTATGATTCTGAGCTTACACTCAAATATCTTCATCCTGGCAAGATCTGCTACATTACATAACATTAATCAGTATTGATTCTTGGACCTGAGTAATCAACAGTTACTCATCTTTAATTGAAAATTTTCTCCTTAAATTTTTCTTATTTTTTATCCTTATTAATTTTGGACACTTCATCTGCCTCAGTGAAATATATACTTTTCAAAACCAATTTGGGCCATGACCAAGCAAATATGGATTTCATTATGGAAACTAAATATATATTTCTCTCATTTTTCAAGGAGTGTCACACAGTAATTTCATTAATGCTCTTTACCATGGATGAGAAACTTTCTTATACACTCACAAGTACAGACATCAGCAAAAAAAAAAAAAAATGTTGTAAATGGAAATAGATTGTCATACTGAAAATGCAGCTACTGGCTTCAACACTTACCTTTCTTTTTTCTAGTATTGTCATATTTTCAATTATGTTATAATGACACATTTAAAATGTAGGTTAGACATCTTTTTTGACTGTCTCAAAAAAATTCAAGAATTTATCTTATACCTTTTTGAGTATTAAATGAATATCTCTACACATTTTGTATTAAAAAGTTTCTACAACTGACTTAAGGATAGGAATAAGAAAATAGAAACAAGGTAGAAATTAAGACACCACAGGGATTCTAATTAAGAAATAAAGCACACCTTTAAAACTGCAATAAAGATTTACTATTTGTATTGGTCCATTTTCACGTTGCTGATAAAGACAAACTCGAGACCAGGAAATTTACAAAAGAAAGACGTTTATTGGACTTACAGTTCCACATGGCTAGGGAGGTCTCACAATCATGGCAGAAGACAAAGAGGAGCAAGTCACGTCTTACACGGAAGACAGCAGGCAAAAAGAGAGCTAGTGCAGAGAAACTCCCGTTTTTAAAAACCATCAGATCTTGTGAGACCCATTCACTATCATGAGAACAGCAAAGGAAAGACCCACCCCCATTATTCAATCATCTCCCACTGGGTCCCTCCCACAACACGTGGGAATCATTGAGCTACAAGATGAGATTTGGGTGGGGACACAGAGCCAAACCATATCACTATTTCAAACACACACAAAACTTACAGAACCATCTCTGATCTGATACCCCCAATTTACTGCTGAGTAGACAGAGATTTTGAAATACTCATTGACTTGCCTGAAGTTACCAAACTGGGGGAAAAAAATCTTAAGACCAGCATCTCTGTATGAGATGGAATTCACAAAAGTATTTTTTCACATACAGTATATAAATACTCTCACAGATCATTTGAATGTACACACACTCAACAAGCTTAAGCAAAAATCTTAATAAAATCATTCCTGAATGACTCTTTTCAGTTGTTTCCACTTTACCTTTTTGTGCCTATCAAATCAATACATGCACAAAATTAAAATGTTAAATAATTTCTACCCTACTTCTACCCATCCACCTCTGTTCCTCTAAAGGCAGCAAATTCAAACTGTTTCTTTTTGTAGTTCTTCAGGTGTCCTTGAGTCTCTAAATAATATCCTTAAACCAATACTTATCTATGAACATTAGGAATTGCATATGGAATTCTTACTACACAAGAAAATGTTTTAGCTCATTCACAAACCAAACAGTCACCATCCCCTTTCTTCCCTTCCCCATGCTAACCACCCAGTCTAGTTATATTCCTACTTTTAGTTCCTCTGTTATTTACTCCACCAACCACATGTAGTCAATCTTAGCTCTATCCTTATAAAGACATTATCATCCTGTCTACCTGCTCACTTCTGTTTGCCTTCCACCTTCAACATCTATTATCAGGACCTTTACTATTTTTAAGTTTTAAGATTGACAATGTATCTTTCCACAGTTTGTCAGTAGGTTGATTCAACATGTTAGATATTTTTTTAAAAACAACCTTCACTTTATTTAAACTATGTAAATATTTTTCACTTGTCTACTTAGGGTGTTATTGTTTTCTTCTCTTATGTAACTTATTTATTTTTATTTTTATTTGTCGTGGATTGTTTAATTGTCTTTATTTTTCCTTTCCTTCTTTGCTTTGTCATATCCTTAGATTTATCCAGTCTAGCACAGTACTCCAATTGTGCAATGCACCTTTATATGTGGATAACATCTGGACCCCTCCATCTACCTGTGCCAGTAAGTAAAAATGCTTTCTAATCCTGCTTCGATGAAATTGTCTGGGGGCTTCATGTCATTGTTCTTCAGAGTTGGATCTCAATTAGTGTCCTGGAATACATGTGTCGTTTCTTAGTTAACCCACCCACTTTATTTAAGCGCATCCAAAGTAACTACTTCAAAAAATGGTGTGGAGAAGTAGTTTTCTGAGTTGCATAAAAATATACATATGTTTATTGAATAATTTGATTGGTATTGAGGTTTTGGCTTGAAACTGTTTTCCGTTAGAATTTAAAAATTGTTGCTTGGCTTCCAGCATTCAGCATTATGGGTAAAGTTCTGATTCCAACTGATTTTGATCTCTTTATTGGATGGCTTTTTGAAAGATTTAGGACTATCTTTTTATCTTTATTTTCTGAAACTTCACAAGAATAAGTCAGAGGTAGTTCTTTTTATTTTTTAAATCATATTAGGTATTTGCTGGACTTTGGAAAATATAAACTATATTCCTTTTTAGTTACAAGATTTATATTGTAATATATATTATTATTTTTAAATTTTTTTACTTTTAATTTTTGTGGGTACTCAGTAGGTATACATATTTACAGGGTACATGAGGTGTTTTGGTAAAGGCATGCAATGCAGAATAACCACATCATGGAAAATTAAGTATCCATCTCATCAAGCATTTATCCTTTGTGTTACAAACAATCCAATTATACTCTTAGTTATTTTAAAATGTACAATTAAATTATTATTGACTATAGTCTCCCGGTTGTGCTGTCACATACTAGTTCTTATTCATTCTTTCTAACCATCTTTTTTTATCCACTAACCAACCCCAACCCCTACAGTCCTTCCACCCCACTACCCTTCCAAGCAGCTGTAACCATCTTTGTACCCTCTATCTTCATGGGTTCAATTGTTTTAGTTTTTAGAACCCACAAATATGTGAGAATATACGATGTTTGTCTTTCCATGCCTGACTTGTTTTACATAACATAATGACCTCCAGTTCCATCCATGTTGTTGCAAATAACAGAATATCATTCATTTTTATGGCTGAATAGGACTCCATTGGGTGTATGTACCACGTGTTCCTTTTCCATTCATCTCTTGATGGACAATAAGGTTGGTTCCAAGTCTTGGCTACTGTGAGCAGTGCTGTAACAAACATGGGAATACAAATATCTCTTTGATATACTGATTTGCTTTCTTTTTGGTATATACCCAGCAGTGGGATTGCTGGATTATATGTTATTTCTAGTTTTAGTTTTTTGAGGGACCTCCAAACTGTTTTCCATAATGGTTGTAATAATTTACATTGCCACCAACAGTATATGAGGGTTCTCTTCTCTCCACATTCTCACCAGCATTTGTTATTGCCTAAATTTTGAATAAAAGCTATTTTAGCCGAGTAAGATGTCTCATTGTAGTTTTGATTTACATTTCTCTGATGAGAAGTGAGCACTTTTCTCTAAAAAGAAATTGAGCACTTTTTTACATGCCTGTTTGCCATTTGTATGTCTTTTTTTGAAAAATTTCTATTTAACTCTTTTGCCCATTTTTAATTGAATTATTATTTTTTTTTCCTATAGAGTTATTGAGGCCCCTATATATTCTGGTTATTAATTCCTTATCATATGGGTAGTCTGCAAATATTTCTCCCATTCTGTGGGTTGTCTCTTCACTTTCTTAATTATTTAATTTGCTCTAAAAAAGCTTTTTAACTTGATATGATCCCATTTGTTCCTTTTTGCTCTGGTTGCCTGTGCTTGTGGGGTATTACTCAATAATTTTTTGCCCAGACCAAAGTCCTAAGAGTGTCCTCAATTTTTTGTAGTATTTTTATAGTCTGAGGTCTTAGATTTCTATGTTTTTAATCCATTTAGATTTTATTTTTGTATGTGGTGAGACATAGGGGTCTAGTTTCAATTTTTTGCATAGCCAGTTTTCCAAGTACCACTTATTGAAGTGACTGTCTTTTCCCCAGTTAATTTTCTTGGCATGTTTGTCAAAAATTAATTTACTGCAGGTGTGTGAATTTGTATCTGGGTTCTCTATTCTGGTCCTTTGGTCTATGTGTCTGTTTTTATGTCAGTACCATGCTGTTTTACTCTTTATAGCTCTATAGCATAATTTTAAGTCAAGTAATGTGATTCCACTAGTTTTGTTCTTTTTGCTCAAGGTATCTTTTGCTGTTATGGTCTTTTGTGATTCCATATAAATTTTATGATGGTTTTTCCTATTTCTGTGAAGAATGTCATTGGTATTTTGATGGAGATTGCATTGACTCTGTAGACTGCTTTGAGTAGTATGGATATTTTAATAATATTAATTCTTCCAATCCATGAACATGAAATGTCTTTTCATTTTTGGTATCTCTTCAATTTCTTTCATCAGTGTTTTATACGTTTCATTTGTAAAGATCTTTCACTTTCATGGCTAATTCCTAGGTATTTAATTTTATTTGTGGCTATTGTAAATGGGATTACCTTTTTATTTCTGTTTTTCAGTTTGTTCACTGTTGGCATGTAGAAATGCTAATGATTTTTGTGTATTGATTTTATATCCTGCAACTTTACTCAATTTGTTTTACCAGTTTTAATAGTTTTCTTGTGGATTCTTTAGGTTTTTCCAAATATAAGATTATATCATCTGCAAACAAGGATGATTTGACTTTTTCCTTTTCAATTTGAGTGCCCTGTATTCCTTTCTCTTGTCTGATTGTTCTAGCTAAGACTTCCAGTACTGTCTTAAATAACAGTTATGAAAGAAGGCATCCTTGTCATGTTCTAGATTTGAAAGAAATGGCTTTTTATTTTTCCTCTTGCAATATGATACTAGCTTTGGGTCTGTCATATACAGCTTTGATTATGTTGAGATATATTCCTTCTATACCCAATTTTTTAGGGTTTTTAATCTATCAGGGGAACCAGCCCCCAATATTTCAACGTGGGTTCTTTTCTATTTTCGCTAAGTGTCGGCAGGTCTGAGAAATAAAGAGAAAGAGCACAAACAGAGAAATTTTATAGCTGGGCCTCCGAGGGTGCCATCACATATTGGTAGGACCACCTGGAGCTGCAAAACCAGTGAGTTTTTATTAGGGATTTTAGAAGGGGAGGGAGTGAACGAATAGAGAGTGGGTCACAGAGATCACATGCTTCAAAAGGCAATAAAAGATCACAAGGCAAATGGCAGAGCAAGATCACAAGGCCAGAGCAAAATTAGAATTACTGATGAGGTTTCATGTCCCACTGGGCAAGCATTGTCACTGATAAACATCTTAACAGGAAACAGGGTTTGAGAGCAGACAACCGGTCTGACTAGAATTCACCAGTCTGGAATTTCCTAATCCTAGCAAGCCTGAGGGCACTGCAGGAGACCAGGGCATATTTCATCCCTTATCTTCAACCACATAAGACAGACACTCCCAGAGTGGCCATTTATAGACCTCCCCTGGGAATACATTCCTTTCCCAGGGTTATTCCTTGCTGGGAAAATAATTCAGCAATATTTCTCCTATTCGCTTTCTGCAAGAAGAGAAATATGACTCTGTTCTGCCCGGCCCCGCAGGCAGTCAGACCTCATGGTTATCTCCCTTGTTCCCTGAAAATCGTATTATCCTGTTCTTTTTTAGAATGCCCAGATTTCATATTGTTCAAACACACGTTTTACAAACAATTTGTACAGATAACACAATCATCACAGGGTCCTGAGGTGACATACATCCTTAGCTTAAGATGACAGGATTAAGAGATTAAAGACAGGGATAGGAAATTACAAGAGTATTGATTGGGGAAGTGATCAATGTCCATGAAATCTTCACAATTTATGTTCAGAGATTGCAGTAAAGACAGTCGTAAGAAATTATAAAAGTATTAATTTGGGGAACTAATTAATGTCCATGAAATCTTCACAATTTATGTTCTTCTGCTGCAGCTTCAGCCAGTCCCTCCATTCAGGGTCCCTGACTTCCCGAAACATTTATCATGAAAGGGTATTAAACTTTATCAGATTCTGTTTTAGTATCAACTGAAACGATCATATGGTTTTTGTTCCTCATTCTCTTGAGATGATATATTACATTCATTGTTTCGCATATGTTGAACCATCCTTGCATCCCTGGGATAAATCCCACTGGGTCATGATAAATAATCTTTACAAAGTATTGTTGGATTCAGTTTGCTAGTATTTTCTTGAGAATCATTGCATTAATATTCATCAGAGATATTGGCCTACAGTTTTCTTTTTTGAATCTGTCTTGTCTGCTTTTGGTATTAGGATAATACTGGCCTTGTAGAATGAGTTTGGAAATACTCCCTCTTTCTCTATTTTTCAGAATGTTTGAGTAGGACTGGTATTAGCTTTTCTTTAAATGTTTGATAGGATTCACAGTGAAGCCATTGGGTCCTAGGCTTACTTTACTGAAAGACATTTTAATATGGGTTCAATCTCATTACTTGTTATTGGTATGTTCAGGTTTTGGATTTCTTAATGGTTCAATCTTAATAGGTTATAGCTGTCAGGGAATTTACCCATTTCTTTTAGTTTTTTTAAATATACTGGCATATAGTTGCTCAATGTAGCCATTAATGATTCTTTGAATTTCTGTGGTATCAGCTGTAATGTCTCCTTTCTCATCTCTGATTTTATATATTTGGATCTTCTCTCCTTTTCTCTCAGTTTGTCTGTCTAAAGGTTTGTCAATTTTGTTTAACTTTCAAAAAGCCAAATTTTTGGTCCATTGATCTTTTGTATTGTTTTCTTCATTTCAAATTTATTTATTTATGCTCTTTTATTATTTTTCTTTCCTTCTTTTTTTTTTTTGAGACAAAGTCTCAATCTGTCATCCAGGCTAGAGTGCAGTGGTGTGATCTTGACTCACTGCAACCTCTGCTTCCCAGGTTCAAGTGATTCTCCTGCCTCAGCCTCCTGAGTAGCTGGGGCTACAGGCATGCATCACCACACCCAGCTAATTTTTTTATTTTTAGTAGAGATGGGGTTTCACCATTTTGGCCAGCCTGGTCTTGAACTCCTAACCTCAGGAGATCTGCCTGCTTCAGCCTCTCAAAGTGCTGGGATTAGAGGAGTGAGACACCACCCCTGGTTATTATTTTTTTCTGTTACTAATTTTGTGTTTGGTTCCCTCTTGTTTTTCCAGTTTATTAAGATGTGCTATTAGGTTATTTAAGCTTTTTTTTTTTTTTTGATGTAGACATTTATAGCTATAAATTTCTCTTAGTACTGCTTTTGCTGTATCCCATAGGTTTTGGTATGTTGTGTTTCCATTATAATTTGTTACCAGAAAGTTTTCGATTTCCTTCTTAATTTATTCATTGACCCCCTGGTTATTCAGAAGCATATTGTTTAATTTTCATGTGTTTTCATCATTTCCAAAATTCCTCTTTATTGGTGTCTAGTTTTATTCCATTATCGTTAGAGAAGATGCTTATTTCAATTTTTGAATGTTTTGACACTTGTTTTGTGACCTAACATATGGTTTATCCTTGAGAATAATCTACGTGCTGAGGAGAAGAATGTGTATTCTGTAGCCATTGGATAAAATGTTCTGTAAATATCTCTTAGGCCAATTTGTTCTATAGTGCAGATTAAGTCCAAAGCTTCTTTGTTATTTTCTGTCTAGATCTGTCCAATGTGGAATGTAGGTGTTGAAGTCTCTAGCTATTATTGTATTGAGATATATCTCTCTCTTTAGCTATAATATTTGTTTTATATATCTGGGTGCTCCAGTGTTTGGTGCATATATATTTAAAGTTGTTATATTCTGTTGCTGAATTGATCCTTTTATCATTATATAGTGACCTTTTTTGTCTCTTCTTACAGTTTTTGTCTTGAAATCTGTTTTGTCTGAATAAGTATAACACTATTGCTTTTTTTGTTTCCATTGGAATAGAATATCTTTTTTCCATGTCTTTATTTTCAGTCTATGTGTATCTTTATAGGTGAAGTGTGTTTCCTGTAAGCATAGATCATTGGATCTTCCATTCAGCAAGTGTATGTCTTTTTATTGGAGAGTTTAGTCCATTTACATGCAATGTTATTATTGATAAGTAGGGAATTACTCCTGCCATTTGTTATGTGTTTTCAGGTTGTTTCCCAGTCGTCTCTTTCTTCTTTCCTTCCTTCCTGTCTTTTAGTGAAGGTGATTTTCTCTGGTGGTATGCTTTAATTTCTTGCTTTTTATTTTTTGTGTATCCATTGTATGATTTTCAATTTGATGTTACTACAAGACTTCCAAATACTGTCATATAATCTATTATTTTAAACTGATGACAACTTAACACTGATTGCATAAACAAACATGCAAAAAGAAAACTAATAAAACTCTAACTTTATTTTCTTGCATTTTAATTTTGTTATTGCTTATCTTTATATCTCATTGTACTGTCTACTTATTGAAAATGTGTTGTAGTTATTCTTTTTGATTGGTTCATAATTTATTCTTTCTACTTAAGAGAAATTTACATACCACAACTACAGTATTATACTATTCTGTGGTTTTCTGTGTGTTTATTATTACCAGGACTTTTGTATCTTTAAATGATTTCTTCTTACTCATTATCATTCTTTTCTTTCAGATTAAAGAACTCCCTTTAGATTTCTTGTAGGACAGGTCTGGTGTTGATAAAATCCTTCAGCTTTTGTTTGCCTGGGAAGGTCTTTACACCTCATTCATGCTTAAAGGATATTTCACTTAATACATTATTCTAGGGTAAGAGTGTTTTTTCTTTCATAACTTTAAATATGTCATGCCACTCTCTCCTGGCCTGTAAGGTTTCTATTGAAAAGTCTGCTACCAGATGCGTTGAAGCACCATTGTATGTTATTTGTTTCTTTTCTCTTGCTGCTTTTAGGATCCCTTTTTGATACTTGACCTTTGGGGTTTGATTAAATTCCTATATGTAGTCTTCTTTGGGATCAATCTGCTTGGTGTTCTATAACCTTCTCGTACTTGAATGTTGATATCTTTCTCTAGGTTTGGGGAGTTTTCTGTTATTATCCCTTTGAATAAATTTCCCACCCCATCTCTTTCTTTACCTCTTCTTTAAAGAAGAAGAGGCCTTAAGGCCAAGAACTCTATGGTTTGACCTTTTGAGGCTATTTTCTAGATCTTACAGGTGAGCTTTACTGTTTTGTATTCTTTTTTCTTTGTCTCCTCTGACTTTGTATTTTCAAATAGCCTGTCTTCAAGTTCACTCTCTTTCTTCTGCATAATCTATTCTGCTACTAAAAGGCATGCCTTCTTGGGAATGTCAATTGCATTTTTTAACTCTAGAATTCCTTCTTGATTCTTTTTAATTATTTCAATCTTTTTAACTGTATCTGATAGAATCCTGAATTCATTTTCTGTGTTATCTTCAAGTTTCCTCAACACAGCTATTTTGAATTCTCTGTCTGAAAGGCCAGATATCTCTGTTTTACCAGAATTAGTCCCTGGTGCCTTATTTAGATCATTTGGTGAGGTCTTGTTTTCCTGGATGGTTTTGATACTTGTATATATTCTTCATTGTCTGGGTATTGAAGAGTTAGCTATTTATGGTAGTCTTCACAGTCGGGGCTTGTTTGTGCCTGTCTTTCTTGGGAAGGCTTTCCAAGTATTTAAGGGGACTTAGGCCCCAAGCCTAATAATGCTGTGGTTTTTGCACATTCACAGAGGTACCACCTTGGTGGTCTTGCATAAGACTCAAAGGAATTCTCTGGATTACCAGGCAGAGACTTTGGGATTTTTTTTTCCCCTTACTTTCTCACAAACATATAGATTCTCCATCTACTGAGCCACTTGGAACTGGGGGTGTGATGATGTAAGCATTTCCGTGGCCACCAACATTGGAACTGCTCTGGCTTAGACCTGAAACCAGCACAGCACTGGACCTTGCCCAAGGCCCTTCTCTTCAGGATGGCAATTTCCCCCAGGGCCTGAATGTGTCCAGAGATGCTGCCTGGGAGCCAGAGATTGAAGTCAAAAATATCCGCAATTTACCAGTTGCTCTATTCTACTGTAGCTAAGCTGGCACTCAAACCACAATACAAAGTCCTTCCCACTTTTCCTTCCCCTTTCCACAGGCAGAGGAGCCTCTCCCTGTGGCCATCACCACCACTACTGGTCCACGGGGCATTCTGCCAGGCTACTGGCAATGTTTGCTTAAAGCCCAAGGGCTCTTTCATCAGCTTGTGGTGAATGCTGCCTGGGACTCACTCTTCAGGGCAGTGGGCTCCTTTCTTGCCCAGGACAGGATCAGAAATGTTGTCCACGAGTCTAGGCCTGAATTTGAGGACCCAAATGCCCAGCTTGTTTCTCTACCTCACTGTGGTTGAGGTGGTATCTAAGATGCACGTTGTCTGGGAGCTAGGGTTTGGAGAGGGGGGCTCATGAGTCTGCTCAGTGCCCTATCCTACTGTGGCTGCACTGGTACCTAAAGAGACAAGACAAAGTCCTCCATACACTTTGCTCTCCTCTCCTTAAGCAGAAGCAAGGGAGTCACTTTCATTGCTATAAGCTGTACTGCCTGGGGTTGAGGGAAAGACGGTGCAAGCCCTTCCTTAACCATACCTACTGGAGTCTCCCTAGGTCACGTGCCACCTTAGTTCACTGGCTCTAAGCCCAGCCTAGCACTGAGTTGCCTAGTCATTGCAGTCCTTGTGTCCTACGTGTCCTCGACTGCTTTTCAGGTTTACCTGGGATCCCAGAGCACTTCAGCTCATGGTGCCAAGGCTTGCTGAGAAACTGAAGTTCCAATTGCTGGGATGGGCAATTACCTCTAGCTAGGGCTGGTCCAAATGTTCCCTCTGTATGTGGGGACTGGCTAAGCCAAGCATGGCTTTATTCTCTGCTGTGACAGGGAAACATTGAGATCAATGCAAAGTCCCCCAGGTGCTGTGCTTTCCCTCCCCAAAGTGAGCAGAGTCTCTCTGCAGGCCAGACGGTCACTGCCAGGAAATGGAGAAGTGGTGGTTTCTGTGATTCAAGATGCCTGTTTTGTCCTCAATGTCTTTTTTAATGATATGAAGTTAAAACCAGGTCCTGTGACTGCTCACCTGATTTGGGGTTCTTGTGGTGGTGCTTTACTGTGTGCAGATAGTTGTTAAAATTTGGTGTTCCATCAGTGGAGACATACAATGTAGGCTTCTACTCTGCCATCTTGCTGTGCCCCTATAGCTTTAATATACTGTAACCTGCCTTAGTTTTTTTTTTTTTTTTTTTTCTGGAAATTATAATAGCAAGTTTCTGAAACTCTTAAAGTTATACTCTACATTTTTTTATTTTCCTTTTCATATTTTCTATATTCCTCTTTCATTCTCTCTGTGGCAGACTTCCTCCACTTTAGTTTAGATTCTTTTCTGAATTTCTTTGCACACTGTTGTTATTTTAGGGATGTAATATATTTCAATTATTTTGAACTTCTCAACTGAAATATTTTTTAAGTTATCTTCTATTACCTGAAATATCTCTATTTCCCCTAGGACATGGTTATCCTGTTCAATCATCTTCATCTTTCTCTTTTATGTTTCAAGCCTTTCTCAAATGCCTAATGTTTTTAGCACCCTGGCAGGGCTTCTTGACCAGCAGGCTCTTGGATCCACTATAAATAGGCATCCTTGGCACAGAACCAGGGTCTCCTAAATAGACAAAAGACATATTATCCACTCTAGGTACCCCTATTCAGCTCCTAACATTACTGTAAAGAAGAAATATCTACTGGTTTTGGGTTTTGCCCATGTTTTATGTTTTTGTCTTTCTGTTTGTTTGGCCAGGGTAAAATACTAAGCTTCTAGCCATTCTATGCTCAAGTAAACTGTTACATGTCTAAGCATACAAGAGTTGTAATTAGTCAGTATGCACTGATAGGGTTATTGTTTGATGTTTCTTGTGAATATCCAGCTGACTAATTAATATTGTTTATTGTATCAGTTGTTGAGTACTTTCATCATGACCCCAGAAAACCACCAATTAATGCCACTATTTTAGGACTCATTTTTCACTCTTGCTATTCATTTATCTTGCAATCTCTTAGTCTGTAACCCTCTTCCGCTATAAAACTTTTCATAAATATTTACAGTGGAAGCTTCCTGTGCTTTGGCTTATCAAGATAAACTCATCTATCTCATTTCTATTTGCAATAAGTGTGTTGAAATATCCTGTTTCCTGTAGAATTCTCCTATCCTCTTCTTTGTTGTAAGTTTAAAAGCTTTTTATTTCTTTATTGTCATTTTAATGGTGTCTCAGAAAGAAAAGATATGCACCTCATGAGCTCAATCTGTAGTCTTGAAGCAGAAAGTAAAAATTATTCCATATCCTTGAATAAGTAATAGAGATAATATAATTCAAGTTGTAAAATAAAATGCATCCATATGTTTATTTAGAAAACAGAATATACTGTGTAATTCTATATGGTGTTTTCATATTTCACATGCTGTGACAAACAGATTTTGTTATAAATTAATGAGATAAATTATTCCTTGGCTAGCATGATTTAGAGCAATATAAATGTGAAAATAATTCTCTCTACTCACTATAAAAACAGAAGAGAAATTAAACTTCTAACAAAGTTCTAAAGTTTATAAATGACACATAAATGTTATGAAGCTGAAGAAAACAGATAAATTAATAAATAATATCTATATATTCAAAAATAACGAGAAAATAAAAGAAAGATAAGAGAGAAGAGGCAGGATAGCTAGAGAGAGGAAACTGCTAACTGTAAGAACAGGATAAACAAAAGATTTGAAAAGGAAGCATCAAATTATTTACTAGCTAAAGCACATAATACAGAGTTATGTGAGCAACAAGATTGGTAAAATAAGTTAGGGTTATGTTTTGAAAGGCTGTGCTTGTCAAGTTTGAAAAAGGATTTATAGCTGAATCTTCAGGCAAAGGTGGCCATGGAAAGTTGGAAAAGAGAGTACCCATCAGGAGGAGGTGAATGCACATGAGATGGGATGAGCAGGTGCAGCCTCCTCTAATATAAATTAACCCATTTGGCAGACTTTACTGAGAACCGAGACCTTACTGAGAACAGGCTAGGTAAGGAGTGCTGATTTTCAGTCATGCGTATTTAACTCACTGGCAATCTAGTCACTTTGACAAATCCATTGCTGCTCCTGTACAATAGCAAAAAGAAGCCAGATTTTGGATCAAGGTGGCTTACTGGATGCAGGTAGTATGTGCCTCCTCCATGGAGAAGAATCAGAATAGTAAGTAGATACTCACATTTCAAACAGATTGTCTATGAGAGAATGCTAACATTCACCAGAGAAGAGATGGAAATCAACAGAAGTAAGGGAAGGGTTTGAGGCAGCTTGCCCATCTGGAAATTGACAGATAGCCAGGAGAGATTCCTAGATGCAGGGAAACAGTAAGAGAGAAAACCACAGGGCTTGGCTTTTATGATCTTGGGTACAAGAAAAACCCTTGACCCACTGGGTCTGACACATGGTGTTGCCTAAAGATTGCACACAGATGTTGCTCCAGAAAGGGAGCCCACAGAGAATCCCATGGGCACCCAGACCTAGAGCAGCCTCAGCAGGGTGCAATTTTGAAAGGCTAGATATCAGGATCTACAGACATGGCTGTGACCACTGCACTGCTCCAACGAGGGAGAGTGAGACTCTCACACACCCCTGGAAGTGACCCTGCTGCCCTGATATGAGCTGCTGTTGAGACTGAGACATGAGAAGACTGCACTTCCCACATCTTCTTGCCCATACTACATGCCTAGGAGAGA
The DNA here is from genome assembly GCF_000001405.40 of Homo sapiens. Lineage (NCBI taxonomy): Eukaryota > Metazoa > Chordata > Mammalia > Primates > Hominidae > Homo > Homo sapiens. The sequence goes on along the minus strand of NC_000021.9, from coordinate 18,088,206 downwards.
CCTCACCCTCTCCGGTCCTCAGGGAAACCAGGCTGATATGGTTTGGCTCGTGTCACTGCCCAAATCTCATGATAAATTGTAATCATCACTGTTGGAGGAGGGGCCTGGTAGGTGACTGGATCCTGGGGGTGAACATACCCCTTACTGTTCTCATGATAGTGAGTGAGTTCTCATAAGATCTGGTTTAAAGTGTATAGCACTTCCCCCTTCGCTTGTCCTCTCTCTCCTGCTCCATCATGTGAAGATCGTGCCTCCTTCCTCTTCCCCTTCTGCCATGATTCTAAGTTTCCTGAGGCCTCTGCAGCCAAGCCTCCTGTACAGCCTGCAAAACTATGAGTCAATTAAACCTCTTTTCTCCATAAACTACCCAGTCTCAGGTATGTCTTTGTAGTAGTAGGAGAATGGATTAACACACAGGCCCTCCTAAACACATCTAGGATAATACCCTGCAATAGGCTGCTGTGAGACTGAGTTGTGAGCAGGCCACATTCCACAAAACTTCTTCCCACACTGCTTACCTGGGAGGATCCCTGCCCCTCGAGGTGTCATTTTGAGAGTTTAATTCCAGGCTGCCCTCTACCCTCAGGCTGAGTTTAAGCTGACATGTCTGCAGCTCCCACTTAGCCAAGGAAGGACAGGGGGCCCAGCTCTCCTATGCATATATCTAGGACAATATTCACTGCCCTGCAATGGGCTGCCGTGAGACTGAGATGCAAATGGACTACATTCCCCACAGCTTCGTGCCCCCCTGCTTGCTTGAGGGGCCTTTCCATCTCTTGTCACATGCCCAAGGTGCCATTTTCAGAGTTTAACACTGGGCTGCACCTCACCCTCAGACTGAGTTCAGGGTGATGCAGCAGCAGCCACCACCCAGCCAAAGAGGGGCAAGGAAAGTGGACTCTCCTATGAGTACCTCAGACAATATCCATTTCCCTGCTATGGGCTCCTGTGAAACTGATATTTGAGCAGACCACACTGCTTATACAGCTTCTTACCCAGGCTGCTCACCTGAGTGTGGGGCCCTCTCTGGTCACAAGTCCATGACTGGCACCATTTTAACATGGGCCAAGTTCAAGGTGATGCAGCTGAGGCCACCACCCAGCTGGGGGATCGACAGGGAAGACCAAGCTCTCATAAGCACACTTAGAACAATACCCAGTGCTCTGCCATAGGCCACTGTAGGATTGGGGACTAGCTCACCCAACCTATCACAGCTACCAGGAACACCCACATGGACTGCTTGGGTCCCACTGGATTGCTCTAACCACTGCCACTGCAATCACCTGCATGACACCAGCTGCCCAAGGGTCTGAGAACCCACCCACACACTTGGCTCACCACTTTCACTACTGGCTTATAAGCAAGCTATCTGGAGGCCCAAGAATCAGCCCTTCAGAAGCCACTAACACCAGAGCCAGTGTGTTAGTGGTTGCTGCTCTGGGGCCGAAAAACAGACACATTTGCCCAACTGCTTCCACCACTGGGGCCAAAAGACTGGGTCAGTTGGTGATAAAGTTCCCAGAAAAACTTCACCACAACCTCATCTAATAACTGTACCCTAAACCACTGAAGAAATTACAGATACCACTGACCCTGTGTACAACCAAAGTAGTCATACAAAGATTATACTATCATAAGTCACACAAAATTAAAGCCAAAGTATACTACTGAATCAACAACATATGTACATTTTCAGGAAAAAATTCTGCCCTACAATTAAAACTTGTAACTGCTATACCAGATGCACAGATATCAATGGAAGAATACAGAAAACATGAAAAAAAGAGAAATATGACACTACCAAAGGACTACAATGATTATTTAGCAACATATTCCGTTTAAAAAGAATTCCTTGAAATGCCAGATAAAAATTTAAAATATTGATTTAAAAGGAGCTCAATCAGATGCAAGAGAAATCTGAAAACCAATACAAAGAAATCAGAAAATCAATTCAGAATATAAGTAAGAAATTTACCAAGAAGATAGATAACTTTAGGAAAACAAAAGCAGAAATTCTGGAAATAAATTCATTGAAAGAAATACAAAAGACATTCAAAAGCTTTAATTATAGACCAGAGCAAGAAGAAGAAATAATCTCAGAACTTAAAGACAGTTTTTTTAAAACTAATCCAAGCAGGCAAAAAAAAAAAAAAAAAAAAAAAAAAGAACAAAGTCTTCAAGACATCTGGAATCACATAAAACAATCAGAGTTACAAATTATTGATATTCCCTAGGGGAAAGAGAGAATAAAAAGCTCAGAAAATCTATTTAAGAAAATAATCAATGAAAACTTCCCATGTCTTGCAAGAGAGTCAGAAATCCAGACATAGAAGGCCCACCAATCCCCAGTCAAATATATTCTAAAAGGAATTCACCACAGCATACTATATTTGAAATGTCTAAAGTCAAAGTGAATAAAAGATTTTTAAAATTAAAAAGAGAAAAGCATATAGTCACCTATAAAGGAAATCCCATCAGACTAACAGTGGACTTTTTAGCAGAAAACCTCCAGGCTAGAAGAGAATGGAATGACATTTTCAAATTGTTGGAAGTAAAAACTGTCCACCAAGAATTGCGTATCTTGCCAAATAAAGCTTCATAAATGAAATAAAGTCTTTCCCATACCAACAAATGCTGAAGGAATTTGTCAGCACTAGACCAGACCTAGAAGAAATGCTCAGAGGCGTCTTAAACATGGAAATGAAAGGTTGCTATTCACCATCATAAAAACACATGAAAATATAAAACTCACAATATTCATAATACAATCACACAAAGAAGGAAAAGAATCAAATGTCAATAAGATAGAATTTCATCAAACCACAAAGACAAAAAGACAGAAAAAAGAAATGAATTTATAAAACAACTTTAAAATAATTAGCAATATGACAGAAACAAAGCCTCACCTGTTAATATTAACCTTGAATGTAAATGGATTAAATTCTCCACTTAAAAGATACAGATTGGAAGATGAATCAAAAAAACATGATCTAACTATATGCTGCCTACAAGAAATTTACCTTACCTGTAAAGACACATATAAACTAAAAGTAAAGGGGTGGAAAAAGATATTCCACACAAATGGAAACCAAAAGCAAACAGGACTACCTATATTTAAATAAATAGAACATTTTAAATTAAAAAAATAAAAAAGAAGATCATTATATAATGACAAAGTGATCAATCCAAAAACAGATTCTAATAATTCTAAGTGTACATGCACCCAACATTGGAGCACTCAGATTCACACACACACACACACACACACACACACACACACACACACTATTACTAGACCTAACAAAAGAGATAGCAATACAATAATAGTGGGGGACTTTAACACCTCTCTCATAGCACTAGACAGATCATCGAGACAAAAAATAAGCAAGTAAGCATTAGGCTTAGATTGGATTTTAGACTAAATAAACTTAACAGACATTTACAGAAAATTATATCCAACAACTACAGAATACACATTCTTCTCATCAGCACATGGAACATTCTCCAAGATAGACCATGTATTAGGCCATAAAACAAGTCTTAAAGTTTTTTTTTAAAATCAAAATTGTATCAAATATCTTCTCAGACCACAGTGGAATAAAGCCAGAAATCAATACAATGAAGACCTTCACAAACTATACAAATACATAGAAATTAAGCATTATTTTCCTGAATGATCACTGGGTCAATGAAGAAATTAGGCTGCAAATTTTAAAATTTTTCTCTGTGAGTTAAATTGACAACACAATATACCAACACCTGTGGGATACAGCAAAAGCAGTGCTAAAAGGGACGTTTTTAGCATTAAATACCTACGTCAAAAAAGTAGAAAGATCAGTAATTAAAAACCTAACATCACATTTCAAGGAACTACAAAAAACAAGAACTAAACCTATAGTTTGAAGGGAAAAAAATAACAAATAACTCACAGGTTTAACAGGAAGCATGACTGGGAAGCCTCAGGTAACTTACAATCATGGTAGAAGATGAAAGGGAAAGAAGCATATTTTACCATGAGAGAGCAAGAGAAAGTTAGAGAAAGGAGCTGTGCCACACACTTTCAAATAACCATATCTCATGACAACTCACTCATTATCACAAGAACAGTAAGGGGAAAGTCCACCCCCATGATTTAATCACCTAGCACCAAGCCCCTTTCCTGACACATGTGGATTACAATTCAAGATGAGATTTGAGTGGGGACACAGAGCGAAACCACATTGCCTCTCCCAAATCTCATGTTCTTCTCACATTTCAAAATGCAGTCATGTCTTTCCAGCAGTCTCCCAAAGTCTTAACTCATTCCAGCATTAACCTAAATGTCCAAGTCCAAAGTCTAACCTGAGGCAAGGCAAGTCCCTTCTGTCCATGAGCCTATAAAATCAAAAGCTAGTTAGTTAATTCCATGATACAATGGGAATACAGGCATTGGATAAATGCTTGCATTTCAAATAGGAGGAACTGGTCAAAACAAAGGGCCACATGCCCCATGCAAGTCCAAAGCCCAGCAGGGCAGTCATTAAATATTAAAGCTCCAGAATAATCTCCTTGGACTCCATGTCTCACATCCAGGGCACACTGATGTAACAGATGGGTTCTCATGGTCTTGGGAAGCTCTGCGCATGTGGCTTTTCAGTGTACAGCCCCCCTCCTGGCTGCTTTCATGGGTTGGTGTTGAGTGACTGAGGCTTTTCCAGGCCCATGGTGCAAGCTGTTGGTGGATCTACCATTCTGGGTTCTGGAGGACAGTGGCCCTCTTCTCACAGCTCCACTAGGCAGTGTGCCAGTGGGGAATCTGTGGGGGCTTTAACCCCACATTTTCATTCCAGACTGCCCTAGCAGAGGCTCTCCATGAAGGTTCTACCCCTGCAGTAGACTTCTGCCTGGACATACAGGCTTTTCCGTACATCCTCTAAAATCTAGGCAGAGGTTCCCAAATTCTTGCCTTCTGTGCACCCACAGGCCCAACACCACATGGAAGCTGCCAAGGCTTGGGGCTTGCACCCTCTGAAGCAACAGCCATGGCTGGAGCTGGAGTGGCTTGGATACAGGGTGCCATGTCCCAAGACTGCAAAGAGCAGCAAGGCCCTGGGCCCAGCCCATGAAACAATTTTTTCCTCCTAGGCCTCTGGACCTGTGATAAGATGGACTGCTGTCAAGATCTCTGATATGCCCTGGAGACATTTTCTCCATTGTCTTGGCAATTAACATTTGGTTCATTTTTACTAACGCAAATTTTTGCAGCCAGTGGCTTGAATTTCTCTTCAGAAAAGTTTTTTTTTTTTTTTCCTCCTACATGGTCAGGCTGCAAATTTTTCAAACTTTTATACTCTGCTTCCTTTTGAAATGTAAGTTTCAATTTCAGACCATCTCTTTGTGAATACATATGACTGTACACTGTTAGGAGCAGCCAGGCCACATCTTGAATGCTTTGCCACTTCGAAATTTCTTCTGCCAGATACCTTAAATTCTCTCTCTCAAGTTCAAAGTTCCATAGATTTCTACAGCAGGAGCAAAATGCCACCAGTCTCTTTGCTAAAGCATAGCAAGAGTGACCTTTACTACAGTTCTCAATAGGTTTCTTATCTCCATTTGAGACCACTTCAGCCTGGACTTCACTGTTCATATCACTATCAGCATTTTGGTCATAACCACTCAACAAGTCTTTAGGAACTTCCAAACTTTCCCCCATCTTCCTATCTTAACCCTCTAAACTCTTGCAACCTCTACCCATTACCCACTTCCAAAGTCACTTCCACATTTTCAGTATCTTTATAGCAATAGGTCACTTGGGCACCAATTTTCTGTATTAGTCAATTTTCACACTTCTATAAAGAACTACCTGAGACTGGGTAATTTGTGAAGAAAGGAGGTTTAATTGACTCACAGTTCCACAGGCTTAATGGGAAGCATGACTGGGAAGCCTCAGGAAATTTACAATCAAGGGAGAAGGTGAAGGGGAAGTAAGCATGTCTTACCATGGCATAGCAGGAGAGAAAGAGGGAGTGAAGGGGGAAGTGCCACACACTTTGAAACAACCAGATCTTGTGAGAACTCACTAATACAAGAACAGCAAAGGAGAAGTCTGCTCCCACGATTCAATCATCTCCCACCAGGGCCCTTCCCTGACACATGGGAATTACAAATTCAGATGAGATTTGGGTGGGGACACAGAGTCAAAACATATCACCAGGATCAGGTGGGATTTATTCCAGAGATGTACGGATGGTTAAACATATGCAAATCAATAAATGTGATACATTATATAAACAGGGTTGAGGACAAAAACCAAATGATCATCTCAATAGATGCAGAAAAAGTAGTAAATAAAATTCAGCATTGCTTTGTGATAAAATTCCTCAACAAACTAGCCACAGAAGAAACATATCTCAATGTAAAAAAGGCAATATATGACAAACCCACAGCCAACATCATACTTAACGAGAAAAGTTAAAAGCATTCCCTCTAAGAACTGGAACAAGAGAAGATGCCCACTTTCACCCTCTTTTTTTTTTTTTTCTTTTTGAGATGGAGTTTCTCTCTTCTTGCCCAGGCTGGAGTGCAATGGTACAATCTCAGCTCACTGCAACCTCCGCCTCCTGGGTTCAAGCGATTCTCTTGCCTCAGCCTCCCAAGCAGCTGGGATTACAGGCACGCATCACCATGCCTGGCTAATTTTTGTACTTTTAGTTGAGACAGGGTTTTACCATGTTGGCCAGGCTGGTCTTGAACTCCTGACCTCAGGTGATCCACCCATCTCAGCCTCCCAAATTGCTGGGATTACAGATGTGAGCCACCGCACCCAGCCCCACTTTCACCACTCTTATTCAACATAGTACTGTAAGTTCTCACTGGAGTAATCAGGCAAGAAAAAAATAAAAGTAAAAAGCATCCAAATTGGAAAAGAGTAAGTCAAATGATCCTTGTTCACTGATGATATATGATCTTATATCTAGTAACATCTGGAGACTCCACCAAAAAACTCTTAGATTTGATAAATGAATTGAGTAGTTTCAGGACATGAAACTATGTACAGAAATCAGTGGCATTTCTATACACTAATAATGATCCAGCCAACGACAAAATCCGAAGGCAATTCCATTTACACTAGTTATAAAACAAATAAAATAGCTAGGAATATATTTAACAAAGGAGGTAAAGTATCTCTATAAGGAGAACTATAAAACACTAGTAAAATAAATTGCAGATGACATAAACAAATGGGAAAACATCCCATGCTCATAGATTGCAAGGATAAATGTAGTTAAAATGACCATACTGCCCAAAGCAATTCATAGATTCAAGGCAATCCCTATCGAGTTACCAATGTCATTTTTCACAGAATTAGGGGAATAAATCATAAAATTAATATGGAACCAAAAAAGAGCTTAAATAGTCAAAGCAATCCTAAGCAAAAAGAACAATGCTGGAGGCATTATATTACCTGACTTCAAATTATACTACTAAGCTATAGTGACTAAAACAGAAGGTACTAGTATAAAAATAAAAATAGTCACATAGATCAATGGAACACAATGGAGAACCCAGAAATAGAGCCACATACCTACAACCAACTGATCTTTGATGAAGTCAACAAAAATATATGCTCAGGAAAGAACATTCTATTCAATAAATGATGCCGGGAAAGTTGGATAACCATCTGCAGAAGAATAAACTTGAACCCATACCTCTCACCATATACAAAAATCAACTCAAGATTAATTAAAGACCTAAATATAGAACTTGAAACTATCAATATCCTTGAAGAAAATCTGGGAAGAACTCTTCTGGACATTGGCCTTGGCAAAATATTTATAACCAAGTCTTCAAAAACAAATGCTACAAAAATGAAGATAAACAAATGAGACTTAATTAAACCTAAAAGCTTCTGACAAGCAAAACAATCAACAGAACAAACAGAAAAGCTACAGAATGGAAGAAGATATTTACAAACTATGCGTCCAACAAAGGGCTAATATTCAGAATCTACAAAGAACTCAAATAGTTCAACAAGAAATAAACAAATAACCCAATTAAAAAGGGAGCAAAGAACATGAACTAATAATTTTCAAAAGAAGACATATAAGCAGCTAACAAACATGAAAAAGGGCTCAACATAACTAATCAACAGAGAAATGCAAGTCAAAACCACAAGAGATACCATCTTAGACCGGTCAGAATGGCTGTCATTAAAAAGTCAGAAAACAATAGATGTTGGCAGGGATGCAGAGAAAAAGAGAATGCTTATACACTGTTGGTAAGAATGTAAATTAGTAGCAAATTTATGAAAAACAGTATGACTATGTCTTAAAGAACTGAATATAGGACTGCCATTCAATCTAGCAATCCCACTACTGTGTAGGATTATAGCAAATTCTATTATTTTGCTATTGTGATTATAGCAAATTCTATTATTTTGCTATTGTGAATAGTACTGTGATAAGCATACACGAGTAGGTATTATTACATCAGAAAGATACCTGCCCTTGTATGGTTTGTCACAGCACTATTCATAATAGTAAAGTCACAGAATCAACTAAAGTGTCCATTAACAGATGATTGTATAAAGAAAATGTGATATACATATGGTATATATATGTGATTATATATAATATTCTATGGTATATGTGTGTATATATACAAGTTTTATATTTATCACATACATATGGTATATATATAATATTCTATGGTATATATGTGTGATACATATATTCTATGGTAATATGGTATATATATGTGATATATATATAATATTCTATGGTATATGTGTGATATATAATATTCTATGGTATATATATGTGATATATATATAATATTCTATGGTATATATCTGTGATATATATATAATATTCTATGGTATATATATACCGTAAAATCATGTGTTTTATGGCATAAGAAAAATAAAATCATGTGTTTTTGCAGCAACAAAGTTGGAACTAGAAGTCATTCTCTTAAGTGAAATAACTCAGACAGAAAGTTAAAGACCACATGTTCTCACTTATAAATGGGAGCTAAACAATCAGTACACATGGACATACAGAGAAGAATAATAGACACTGGAGTCCACAAAAGGTTTGGAGGGAAATGAGGGTTAAAATAAATACCTATTGGGTACAATATTCACTATTTAGGTGATGGGTATACTAAAAGCCCAGGCTTTACCACTATACAATATATGCAAGTAAGAAATCTGCACTTATACCTCCTAAATATATGCAAATAAACAAATAAAAAGAAGCCATGTAGCATAGTGGATATGAACATGGGCTGTGATTCAAACTGGGTGCAAATCTTGTGTCTGATTCATGTTAGCTGTAGGACCTTAGACAAGTTACCTACATTTCTGAGCCTCCATTTCTTCTTGAGTTGTGGAAAATATTACCTAGCTCATAAAGCTCTTTGAGAACTAAATGAGACAACATCCATAAACTCCCTAATATGTAAAAAAGAATATAAATGACAACAAAACACCACTAAGCAAGTAATATGTAGTAAAGAAGAGTGGAAATCTATGGTCATTTGTGTTACATGAATAAGGCATTCTTATCTTTGAGAAACTCATAGCCATATAGGGAATATTAACTGATAAAAATATAAACAGAAATGAAATAAGTTCTAAGTATGAGAAAAGAAAGATTAATTCAAAAGTCGATGTATCTGCAATAATATCTGTTAACTGCTTTTTAGTACATTTAATATTCTAAACCATTTGACATGGTTTAGCTGTGTCCCCACTCAAATTTCATCTTGAATTGTAGCTCCCATAATCCCCACATGTCGTGGGAGGGACCTGGTGAGAGATAATTTAATCATGGGGACAGGTTTTCCCATGATGTTCTTGTGATAGTGAATACGTCTCACAAGATCTGATGGTTTTATAAAGGGGAGTTCCCCTGCACACACTTTCTTGCCTGCTGCCATATAGGAGGTGCCTTTCCTTCTCCTTTGCCTTTTGCCATGATTGTGAGCCCTCCCCAGCCATGTGGAACTGTGAGTCCCTCAACCCTCTTTCCTTTATAAATTACCCAGTCTCATTACCCAGTCTTGGGTATGTCTTTATTAGCAGCATGAGAACAGACTAATACACCGTTTTACAAATGAAGAAGGCTAGGCACAGAAAGAATAATCCACTTATCCAGAGAAAGAGATATCGTGTAAATGGCAGACCCTGAATTATAAACCCAATAGTTTGACTCAAGTCCATACTTCTAACCACACGTTATACTGAAATTACTCTTAAATCTCCCCTTCTTCTTCAAGGCCATTGTACATAACATATGGCAGAGTCCATCCCTAGCAGGGGTTGGGAAAAGAAGGAGAAAGTTGATTACTGATGATGGTAATAAGGTTGTCTTATTCCAATAGTCCATTCAGACTGCTACAAAAATATCATAGACTTAGTGGCTTAGAAACACAGAAATTTATTTCTCACAATTCGGGAGGCTTGGAAGTCCAAGATCAAGGTGTTGGCAGATTCAGCGTTTGGTGAGGGTTTGCGTCCTAAACAGCACTCTTTCACACTCTTTCAATGTGTCCTCACATTGCAAAATGGGCAAAGGAGCTCTCTGGAGTCTCTATTGTAAGGGCACTAATCTCATCCGTGAAAGCTTCATCCCCATGACCTAATTACTTCCCAAAGATTCCACCTCCTAATACAATCACCTTAGAGGTAAGGATTTCTACATATAAATTTTAGAGGGACACAAACATTTGGACCATAGCCCTCTGTCCCTTGGCCCCCAAAATTTATATCCTTCAATCCTGCAAAATATATTCATCCCATCCCAATAGCTCCAAAATCTTAACTTGCTCCAGCATTAACTCAAAAGTCTAAAGTCCAAAGTCTCATATAAATATTACTTAAATCAGATATGGGTGAGACTTAAGGTATGATTTGCCTCAGGAGGCAAATTCCCATTCACCTGCAAACTTATGAAATCAAAGAAGTTATACATTTCCAAGAAACAATGGTGTGACAGGCACAGGACAGACAATCCCATTCCAAAAGGGAAAATAGGAAAGAAGAAATGAGTGACAGATCCCAAGTAGCTCCAAAGCCTTAGGGTTTGAAGGTATTCTTTGACTTAATGCTCTACCCTCCATGCACACTGAGGTGGGAATCCTGCCTTCCAGACTCACTGAGCCAGGAGTCTCACATTCTGGCCCCACTGGGGTGGCTCCCCAACAGCTTTTCAGGTCAGTAAATAGGCCGCCAAGGTTCCAAACAACCCTAATCCCACAACTTTAGGTGGTCCCATTCTTGTAGCAGTTCTCTGAAGTGGCCCAATCTGTGTGGCAGCTCTGTTCCTCTGTCTGGAGACCACAGCTCCCTGGGGATGGAATTTCACTTTGGTGGCTCTACCTGTCTGAGATCACAAAAGTGGCCCTGGCCCCATGAATCCACTAGGCATTGCCCTAATGAGGGCTCTCTCCAGTGGCTCCACCCTTGCTGGGGCTCTTGCACCCTAGACCTGTAATGCAAATTGACTCTGGATCATTCTTCTATTGTCTTAGACAATAGTTCCTGGCTTCTGTTTAAATAACTAACTAATCTCCCTATCAGTTAATCTTGACCACATCCTTTGTGTTCTCTCCCAGATAGGCTCTCTCATTCTTTTCAGAATGAATAGGCTCAGAATATTCCAAATCTTCAAGTTCTGCTTCTTTTTTAATAAACAACTTCATCTTTAAATCATTTTTCTCTTCTTGCCTTTTACTAAAAGCCATCAAGAGAAGCCAAGCCATACCTTCAACATTTTGCTTAGATATTTTCTCAAATATCCAATTTCATCTTACACAAGTTCTATCTTCTACAAAATACTTGGACATGAACACAATTTGAACAAAGTTTTTTGCCACTTCACAACAAGATGGTCTTTCCTCCAATAACATGTTCCTCATTTCCATTTGAGATCTCATCAGCATGGCCTTTACCTTCCATATTTCTACCAACATCTGTTCAGGTATTCTCTAAGAAGTTTGTTCTAGCATGCACTTCACAACTCTTCCAATCTCTATCCATTATCCTATTCCAAAGCCACTTCCACATTTTTAGGTATTTGTTATGGCAGTGCCCCCACTTCTTGGTACCAGTTCTCTGTCTTAGTCCATGCAGGCTACTATAACAAAATGCCATAAACTAGGTGGCATATAAACAACAGAAATTTATCTTTCTCAGTTCTGGAAGCTGAGAAGTCCAAGATCGAGATGCTTCCAGATTCAGTGTCTGGGAAGGGCTCACGTCCTGACTTGTAAACAGCTGTCTTTTTGCTGTGTCCTCGGGTGGTAGAAAAGAGGAGAGATCTCTCTAGAGACTCTTTTATAAAGGCACTAATCCTACTCACGACAGTCCTGCTCCTGTTACCTAATCACCTTTCAAATATCCACCTCCTAACGCCATTATCTTATAGGTCAGGATTTTGTTGTATGCATTTTGGGGGTACAATAACATTTAGACCATAGCAAAGGCAGACATAGAGATCATGTACAGATGGACACAAAATAGAACAGTGCCTATTAGCAGGCAGATGATGGAAATGAGCAATGTGGAAGTTATCATTATAAAAATAGCTACCATTGATTAAATACCATGTACCAGTTTTCCGTATATTCTTACTACAACCTGTGAGATACAAATAATAATCCTAATTTTAAATATAATGAAACTGAGACCAAGAGAGGTTAAGTATCTTGCCCAAGTTCCCATAGGTAGTAAGGAGTGGTGATGAAGGGTCAATCCAAGAGTGTCTGACTTTATAGTTTCAATTACGGTCACAGGGAATTGTATGGTAAACATGGGGAAAGAGATGTCTTGGAATTTATTTTGACATTTGCAGAGCAATCTTTCTAATTTGTTCTCTTTCTAGAATTACAGTACTAGAATATTTTTGCCTGAAACCACAGACATGAATATTGGCATTTTCAGAGGTTGGCAAAGCGTGACGCTCTATAACTCATAACCCATTTTCTCAGAAGTTCCATCAACCCAAAGAAGGTGGCATGAGGCTGAGAGCATTCTTTAGTCCATGTAGTTATAATTAAAGAATGAATTTCCTGCATTTTCTGAGTGGATAATAGAAGTTGTCATTCTGAAATAGAAGTGACTCTGAATATACATTCAAAAATTCAAATATCAAAAAAGACATCTTAATTTTTCAAACTCAATCAATTTACTACCCCCTTTTCTTTGTGATTACATTTAAGTTTGAGAAGCTGGCTTGGAAATAGGCCATTAGTAACTATCTCTTTATCAAACTACTGTGGCCCCTGCCCAGACATCCTTCGTTACATCTGGTCCTTAGTCATTGTCCCTGCAAATGTATCAACTCCCCATTCTTTCTACGGGCTCCTCAAATCTCTCTCCTTTTCTTCTCAGTCTCCACAATCAGCAACATTTTTAATCTAAACTTTGAAAAGAAATTTTCTCTGACTCAGCCTGAAGACTTCCATATTCTAGTCTTTCCCAGGAGTGGATTAATTTTTCTCTTAATTCTTTTTCCATAGAAAATAAACTTAGAAAACCTAATAACAGAATGTGGAAGAAAAAAGTAAGAAAAAATTTTAGGGGAAATTTTAAACATATCAAAAAGGACAGCCCACCACAAGTTCCTCTTCAAGTATTTGAATCAATTAGTCAAGCGAAAACTTTTAAAAGCACAGGGGAAAATACAATGCATCCATCCCTCTCTATATCATCTATTCTTTATAGCAATGTCTCGATATGTATGTTATTACCTCATATACATTACTACTTTGTCTTCAAAAGAAACTTACATAAAGCCTGTGTAATGTTCTTCAGAACAGCAAACACCAGCAAGTAATAACAGTCTAATTTAGAAATTCTTAGAGTGCCCCATATCCAAGACTATTGCTTAAAGTCTGTTATTAAATTTTGCTCATGTGACAAGTGACTTGTGTCTAAGTCAGAAGTTATTTAGCAATTCTCATTGTTCTAACAGACATGCACATAGCCTGTTCTTTCCAGGGATAATTTCATAAAGGCTGACAGGCAAAATGAGATCTTTTCCATCACTCAATCACTAGAAAAACAGTGGCTATTTTCTATATAATCAATTCCATCAGCCATTATGATGTCAATAGCTCAGCAATTTATTCAGCAGTAATCCATTAGATTCATGTCTCAGCCACTAAAATAATCAAAGTATTCTTTCGACATTTCAGCTCACACATCTGTTTAATTCCATGTCTAAGTGATGCAAAATCAGAATTATAAGAAAAAAAATGACCTTCTATCCCAAGCTAAATGTTATGAAATTTATTTTTAACTGTTTTTTAAAAATAAAGTTTATTTTATTAAATTACATCAAGATAAATATAATCTACATATAGTCTGAAAATAACATAGTATGTAATAAGTTACATAAATGATTGTGAATACCTAATAAAAATAATTAATCACTAATAAACACATTATATATTTTGAGGTGTCTGAGATTGGGAGGTAAGCCAGGTAAAATATAAAGCTAATCTTTTTATTCTTAGCTATTTTTTCCTTCCTGAAAGATAGATTTAGAAAAAAAATGAACTGAAATCTCAATGTGAATATTGCACTTTTTAATTCAGATAAATAATGCCGGTTGAATAATCATTAGAATTCATGCAGTAAAAAGATAAGGTGGAAATTTTTTTCAGGTTAATAATTTAAAATAGAAAAACTCATAGAATCTTCCTGAAAGTTTAAGTCAATTTAATGTAATCATTAGAAGTATAAAAAGGCTTCATGCCATGCCATACATTACTGATGCAAAAGATGGATGATGATTAAAGCTAATCACTCAGAAAGACTGCAATTGATGTATTTATTAAGGTAAAACTACAGTCTGAAATCTACTCAAAATGCAACCAATTTCACTTGCTGCTGAATTTTTTATTCACCTTATGGATGTCATTTTTAAAACTTGTTGCCTGGCATTACTTTCAGATTTTCACCTTAATTTAAAAACTTTTAAGCTAGTACTAACCTTGTATTCCAGATTAAAGTTGCTAACGTTTTGTCTATTTCAAAAAGTTTTCCTATGTAGGAGTATTAATAATAGACACTTCATTATCAACACCCACTAAAGTCATTATAAATGAGATAAATGTCACAAGGATTCACTGAGATGGTTTGTAATATTTCCCATCTCCAAAATATTCCTTATCTAAATGTTATTGTTACTGAAGAAGTTACACATTGATAAGAAGCCTTCCAAAGGCTTAGCTTTTATGTATCAAAATATAAACTTTAATAATAAATGAGACATCAAAATACATGGAGATATTAACATTTTTCAAATGTCATTGTAATGAACTCTAATATAAAATAGTTTGAAATTAAAAGTCCATTGAATATAGAAAAAAGAAAACTTTTTTATAGGTATATTTGGTATAAGAGGTTCTCCACCCTCAGGTGAGGTGGCAGACTGACTTTTTGACATGCAGCAATTGGAGATCCATCTGCCAAGGTTATGTTCTTGTAACAAGCTTGTGTCTAGATGGTCAGTAAAGATTGTATTACCTCATCCATGGGTTTTTTTTTTATCTTAAATAACAAGTTATTTCTCTTAATACTTGCAGAATTGTTACTACACATACACAAAATTAGGACTGTACCCTACAGTTTAATTTTACTCTCATTGCAATAACATCAAAATTTCTCTTTATTGAAATTCCTATATTCAATATAACTTCAAATACTTATTTTAACTAGAGTCTTCTCCTAAATTCCCGTCTTAAATCTGAAGCCCTTGCACTTGATAATGTCAACTCCTTTATAACAAAGGGGAGGGATGGGAGAGGGCTTCATCCATGTAACTAGCATTGTGTCTTAAAAAATATTTCTCACTATAATTTCTAATGACAAATTATAAGTGGGCTTTTTAATGCTCATCACTAAGTGCATTGTGACAGAATTCACATTGAAGCCATAAGGAGGGAGAGCTTTCAACTAAAGAGAGATGTTTAAAATTGTTTTTCAATCAGAATTATATATTTTTATGATTACTATTAATAGTTTTAGAATTAACGTTGTTTTTAATCAGAATTATATATTTTTATGTTTACTATTAATAGTTTTAGAATTAAGAACGTTGTTTTTAATCAGAATTATATATTTTTTACATTTACTATTAATAGTTTTAGAATTAAGAATGTTAAGATCTGCTAGCAGCTCAGCCATATACTTCTGTAATGCAAACTATTTAAAAAAGATTTATTTAAATAGGTTACTACACTATTCTATAAAAGAACTGAAAGAACTTTATTTATAAAGCCCATAACAAAATTTTTACAATGCACAGACCAGCAGAGTGGAAAGATTAAGACAAAAGTAAGCCTGATATTTGAAGACGGTTGTGATATTTGTAGTATGTATTGGTAAGTGTAAAACTTAATTCGAATATTAAATATTACATAAAATATAGGCATGTATGATTTATGGAAATAGAATGAAATAGAAATGTAATAGAAATAGAAATGTAATAGAAATAGAAATGAAATAGAAATGTATAATCACTTTCTACTTGGCTAGGAATCCATCTGCACCTTGGAGTTCAGGGGAAATTCTAAGTACTATTGATAGGAGAATTAAGTTTTCTGAGCCTGAAATGAAATAATTGTCTCTTAGAAAAATCACGTGGGGAGCTGTGTAGAGGGTAGAAATGAAATAATTGTCTCTTAGAAAAATCACATAGGGAATCATGTAGAGGGTAGAACTGAAGGGGTGATCATAGAAACAGGGAGACCAACTGAAAGAGCTGTAGCTGGCCGGGTGCGGTGACTCATGCCTGTAATCCTAGCACTTTGGGAGGCTGAGGTGGGCGGATCATGAGGTCAGGGGTTCGAGACCAGCCTGGCCACCATAGTGAAAACCCATCTCTACTAAAAATACAAAAATTAGCCAGGTGTGGTGGCATGCACCTGTAGTCCTAGCTACTCCGGAGGCTGTGGCGGGAGAATCATTTGAACCCGGAAAGCAGAGGTTGCAGTGAGCTGCACTGCACCATTGTACTCCAGCCTGGGGGACAGGGTGAGACTACCTCTCAAAAAAAAAAAAAAAAAAATGCTGTAGTTATAGTCCAAAGTAGGAAGAGTAGGATTTTGAGGGTCTGGACTGAGACAGAAATGGGCAAGAGGAGTAAAAATTGAAAAAATATATATATTCAAGAAAATCAACAGGGCTTTAATGACTTAGTATAAGAAACAAATATTCAAATAATATCTGCGATTTACTAGTTTAGAATAACAAATAAATATTGACAAGACTTACTGAACTGAGTAATGCAGGAAGAGAACATAATTGGAGTAAACAAAAAAAAAAAGGATACTATAATACTATTTTGGTTATAGCACCCAAGTTTCCATAGTTACTTAGAGTTGAGAGAGACAGATTTAGAAGTCACTAGGGTACAAGCAGTAGTTGAAGTTATGGGGAGTTGAGGTCATCCAGGAAGGACATGTGGAGGACGGGGTATGTAACGCACTTCTTTGATTGGGAGTCAGTTCTACATGGGTGTCTTGGTTTCTGCATATCTATAGAAGCACTAACAGCGTTTATTCTGATCTTTTCAATGATGTTTTTATAGTGAACAAGCTTGGAGATTAGAGAAGATAAGAAGATTTGTTTATTGCCCAGTGTAATTAAAATAATGCCTTCCTGCTGAGCAAAAGGCAGGCAGGCTTAATGCCCATTATGAAATATTTGCTTACTCTCGAACTTAGTACAGTTTTATCTCATCTCCAATTTTACTTTTTTTTTTCCCTAGCTATACTTCAGTACCAATGTAATCCTAAGGACTGCTGGTGAATTTTGTGAAATCCCTCTTTTTGAAACATGGATCTAGAGAATACAGAAGAAAAGAAATTAGCTTTAGAACTTGCTCTTTTGTCTTCAAAGTTGCAGCTCAAAGTAGACTCAATACATTAATGTTATTTTTCTACTTAAAATTAACACAAGGAGAACTTTTTTAAAAAAAGTTTTTTTTCCATAGGTTTCTGGGGAACAGGTGGTGTTTGGTTACATGAGTAAGTTCTTTAGTGGTGATGTGTGAGATTTTGGTGCACCCATCACCTGAGCAGTATACCCAATTTGTAGCCCAGGAGTTCCAGACTAGCCAGAGAACGAAAGAAAAGAAAAGAACAAAAAGAACAAACAGGAAAGCAAAGGAAATGGGTGGGGGGGGGGAGGGAAGGGAAGGGAAGGGAAGGGAAGGGAAGGGAAGGGAAAGAAAAGGAGGGAAAGAAAAGGAAGGGAAGGGAGGAAGAAGTGAGGGAGGGAGAGAGGGAGGAAAAGAAAAGTTTGGGCTGGTGCAGAGGCTCATGTCTGTAATCTCAGCACTTTGGGAGGCTGAGGAGGGACGATCACTTGAGCCCAGGAGTTTGAGACCAGCCTGGGCAACACAGCAAGACTCTGTCTTTACAAAAAATTTAAAAATAAAAAGTATGTTCTAAGCCGTAGAACATATTTTGTAGTTGTAAATTTTAGTAGTCACTGTTTTAGGAAAAAGTAATTTTACCACCATCTTTGTCATTGCACAATGTACTAAGTCAACTTTATGTATCAAACACTAAAAGATATAGAATAGCAGTTCCCAAACCACTCTTGGACGCATGGGTCATAGAGCAGGTACAGTGTCCAGGGATCAAATAATCCATATATATATATATATATTCCACATATATATATATAATCCCCTTATATCCCTGGACACTATACAGACTTTATATATGTATATTCTCAATCAATGGACTATAAAAGTATAACAATTACCAATGACATTGTTGGAAAATTATTTTTAAAAGCTGATATCCACTAGTGTATTTGGTGGTATTTATAGGCAAAAACAGCAATAAAATGATAGAATACGAAATGGGATTTTCGAGTAAAGGAATGACCAAGTTGAATGCAAAGGTCCTCTTTTAGGCAGCACACTCCTGTGGTTTGTCCAATTCCTTTCTGGTAGTGTGTTGTATTCAACATTGCTCAGAAGGAATTGTCATCTGTAGGTCTTAGAAACCTTTTATTATTATTCTGAAATTTCATTATGTTTCCCCCGAAAGATAATTAATATTAACATTTTCTTATAATTATTCTAGAAATTTTTCTCTGCATGTTTTTACTAATAAAATTGAGATAAAAAAATTTGCTTACTCTAACCTCAAGGTTCCTCTTCAATAACACAACTTACTGAATGTGTTGGCCTCATCTGGCTCTCTTCAGGTAACCTTCTGGGAACTGGAGCTTGGAAAATGATGCAAATGCTAAATTCTCTGGCTGCCACTGTTGTGAGTAAAATGATTCTTTGTCTCTTACCCAGGAGTCATAAGAAACTGTAGCAGATTAACTTGCGAATAAAGTAAAACCTCAGATCCTTCAGTTATTGATTGACACCTGGAAAACCTCAGGGTTTAGGGTTAAAAAAAAAAAAAAGAAATTTCCTTATAATATTGAGTAGAGCTAGCCAATTAAGCAAAATGAAATGTTGCTTCATACATAACCAAGAGCGGACAGAATATGTAAGAAGGAAATTTTCAACAATGCACAGATGCAAGTAAGATGAGGACTTCAAAAGGTCGATTCAACTTGGGAACATCTACGAGAGCACTTTCCAGGTGAGAATAGGGTGCAAGAATGAGGCCCAGTTGGATTAAGGGGTAAAGTTTAGGGAAGGACTTGGTGAGAAGAATTTTAGAGATTTAAAGAAGTTTACTCTTGGCGGGGCACAGTGGCTCACACCTGTAATCCCAGCACTTTGAGAGGCCAAGGCGGGTGGATCACCTGAGATCAGGAGTTTGAGACCTGCCTGGCCAACAGGGTGAAACCCTGTTCCTACTAAAAATACAAAAATTAGCAGGGCGTAGTGGCGGGTGCCTGTAAACCCAGCTACTTGGTAGGCTGAGGCAGGAGAATCACTTGAACCTGGGAGGTGGAGGTTGCAGTGAGCTGAGACCGCACCACTGCACTCCAGCCTGGGCTACAAAAGCAAGACTCCATCTCAAAAAAAAAAGAAAAAAAGAAAAATGAATAAAGAAGTTTGCTCTTGAATAGAAGTTTATGTTTGAAGAGAAGTAAATTATTTGGGGCCATAGTTTGAAGGAAGAACAAAATTAATAAAAATTGTTGTGCATTTATTTTATTTATAAAAATAAGTGAGAAAAATAATAAAAACCAATAAGAGAAAAAAAGTATTTAGATGAAAAGAGAAAGATGGAAGACTTGGAGGAAGGAAAAATAAAACAGAGCAACAATTAAAATTAAGTAAATGCTGAAATGAGCACATATATTTTTTAATCTGCCCAGCAACTCTTTGGGCATGGAGAAATACAAGCTGGGGAATCCATCACAAATGACCTTTCTGGCTAGACTGTTGCGTGATAATATCACAAGTAGAACAAAAGAGAGGAGAAAAATTGTTTGGAATAGCAATGGTAAGTAATGCTCAGAGAACCTTATAAACACTCTATGATTGCCAGTTAGGATTCAGGCATCCTTATTTCTCAAATATGAAGGAAAAAGGAACTAAGGCAAGTATTGGTTCCCTAGAACTGCTGTAACTAAGTACCACAAACTGAGTGGCTTAAACAGAAGAAACTGATTGTTTCATAGTCTAACGACTAGAAGTCAAAAATCAAGGTGTTCTTTCAAAGGGCTGTTTCAGGATTGGTTCTTTCAAAGGGCTGCGAGGAAGAATCTGTTCCATGTCTCTCTCCAAGCTTCAGTGGTTTGCTGCCAATCTCTGACATCCCTGGGCTGGTGGAAACATCACCCCGGTTTCTCCCTTTATCTTCACATGACATTCTTTTGTACATGTCTACATTCAAATTTCTACTTGTTTTTTGAGGAAACCAGTCATATTGGATGAACACTCACACTAATGACTTCATCTTAACTTGACTACATCTGCAATGATCCTATTGTCAAATAAGATCACATTCTGAGGCATTGGGTTTTTGGATTTCAACATACCTTTTTGGAGGAACACAATTCAACCTGTAAGTTTATACTCATCTCCCAAAGATAAGCTCTTTCCCACTAGCTCAGACATCTTTCTATACTGCTTAAAAGTGTTGTGAAAATGTGCTGAGGCGAATGCCTGCAAGGAGCCTCTCACACCATCTGGCATAAAACATAACCCATGAAGATTCTTCTACCTCCCTGTATTAGTTCACTAGAGCTGCCAGAACAAAATACCGCAGACTGGGTAACTTAAATAACAGAAGTTTATTTTCTCATAGTTCTGGAGGCTTAGGAGGGTCAAGATCAAGGTGTCATCAGGTCTGGTTTCTTCTGAGGCCTCTCTCCTTGCTTGTAGGTGGCCAACCTATTGTGTCACTTCCCATAATCATTTCTCTGTGCACATTCTTTCCTGGTACCTATTTGTGTGTCCAAATTTCGTCTTCTTATAAGGATACCAGTTAGATTGGATTAGGTCCCACCATAAAAGCCTCATTTCAATTTAATTGCCCCTTTAAAGACCCTATCTCTAAATAAAGTCACATTCGGAGGTACTAAGGATTAGGATTTCCAATATATGAATTTGGAGGGAGGGGAAGAGAATTCAGGCCATAACACCCCCCTAAGTTATACTTTCCAGAAAATGTGGTAGCAGGAAGCCAGCATATTTCTGTTTGGGTAATGGCAGTGATTTGTTTCCTTTTCTCCCTACATGATTTTCTCTATCCCTGTCCCAAGGTTTGTTCCACAAAGTTGTGATAAGATCTCTTATTCATGCAGAAAACGGAGTGGGATCTCTCACTAGCCATTTATTCCTAGAGACGGTCATTCAAACCTGCAGCATCACTGAAATAAAATATTCAAATATGAATTAAACAATCATGAGACATTCCCATATTGAGGTTTAAAAACCAGATATAAAACTATGTAATTAGGAGAAAATAAATTGCTAGAGTATCCATTAAAATTGAGCAATTTCCAGCCTGAGAATCTCAGTTTACAGGAAAAGAAATGTTCCTTATTTATGGAACAAGATTGCAAATCAGGTACATAATTTCCTAGCTTTCAATAACATATAGTAAAATATATAGCCTTATATTTGACAGAAAACATAATTTAGTAGCATAAATTATAATTTGGGGCCATGAAAAAGAAATTCCAGTAAATTTAACTCAATCTTAGATCAGCAACCAGTACCAAAATCCTCCATAATCTCTCTGGTAGAATTTGCTATAGATTTATATATTGGGAGGTCATTGAAACTTAACAAATACTTGCCTTTCAAATTTTCTGATGAAGCAGCTAAATTGGATTTGGTTGTTTATGTTAAATAGCCATGCATCACTATCAGCTGTGGGCTTCCTCCTTCTCAAATGTGCCATCACAGCATTCCTGTTAAAAGCATTTTTTTAGATGCATTTCCTAATACCCTCGAACAATTTACCAAAACTTCATTTGAGCTTTTCCTGCCAAGGAAACCAAAAGTGCCATAGTCTTTCATATTCTATCAAATTTGTTTCCAATACTGCACTTAATGAGTGCCTCTGAATGATGAATGATCACTTGCTTTGCTAAAACACTGATGTTCTTCTCCGGAGCTTCTTCAAAATTTTAATATGATGATGCTCTGTCTGGTTCTTTTCTGAGGCTTCATCAGCAACTTGATTGCAATCTCCAGGATTGTAATGTTTTGGGTAAAATCCTTCCCTTCTTATTAAATAATACTGTACTTTTCAGGGAAGAAATATCACTAATGGCACAAGTTTCAAGTATTCAAACACATGTAGTATTCTCAATGCTCAAAACTCCTTGCGTGAACTATGTGCATTCCGTTAATCACAGACGAGCATGTATTTTATGCACTCATTTATGCATTAAATCCATTCATCATACAATATTTTTTGGTGCATGTTATGGTCCAAGCAGTCTGTTAGGGTTTAGAGATACAAAGATGAAAAAGATGGTTTACATCCACAGAAGGCATATAGTACCTTATAATGCCTATTCCAATGCAGGACTGCTAATTGTTGCTTGAATTTAAAAGCAGGCATTACTGGCTACAAAAAGAGAATCTCTGTGTGTGTGAGTACATTTGTGTATGTATGTGCCATTTGTGTTTCAAGAGCAAGTGCTGGCAAAATAACTATTAGTGTGTACAAGCACCAGTCCTTTCCACAGAGCCTACCCATGAATGCTATCCTTCAGATGGTAGTGCAACCACCATTATCAGAAGCATGATTGGAGTCTGATTCACAAATAGCCTTCCTTCGTTTAAACTACACACAAAGATAGAATAATTACTAGTCCCACTGACACAAATCATTTGAAGCCATGATTCCATTTGTGCTAACAGCAATATTCTTGTTTATTCTGTTTTAACTTAATTTAACTAATTATTGTATTAGAGTTATCCAGAGAAACAGAACCTATAGGAGATACAAACATATAACTGAGGTGCATACATACATATATTTACATACGTGTGTGTGCGCGCATGTGTGTGTGCGGAGAGAGAGAGTATAAGGAATTGGCTGATGCAATTATAGAAGCTGAGAACTCACAAAATCTGTAGTTGGCAAGATGGAAACTCAAGCACATGGATGGTATGGTTCCAGGCCAAGTCCAAGGGCCTGAGAAACTGGAGAACCAATGGTGCAAGTTCCAGTCTGAAAGCTGGCAGGCTCATAAGCCAATATTTCAGTTCAAGTACAAAGGCAGGAAAAGACCAATGTCCCAGTTCAAAGCAATCAGACAGCAGGAATTCCTTTTACACAGCCTTTAACCAACACAACTATAAACAACTACTGAAATATTAATGGGGCAGACACTTAGTATACCTGTTTAATTTGGATTCATTTTTATTAATTTAGCAAAAAATATTAAGTACATAGGTTTGTGTAGGGCACAGTATAAGGCACTGAAAATAAATTGCTCAGTAAAAACACTGACAAAGTCCCAGTCTTCTTGGAGCTGACATGGAAGAGATGGGTATGACTTAAGAGTATGACTCATGGGTATGACACAATTGAAATGGGTATGACACAATTGAAATGGCTATGACATGGGAGAGATGGGTATAACTTAAGGGTATGACTTATGGATATGACACAATTTAAAATATATTGTAATTGTGATGAGTGCTAACAAAGAAAGGCTCTTAAAAGAACCTCTGACCCAAGTGAGGAGGCGAATAAAGGATTCTTAGAAGTGAAGATTTATCTACAATATCAAGGAAGAATAGATGTATGAGGTGAAAGCAAGTTTGGTTAGGAAACAGGGACATCATCTAGGAAGACAGAATGAACTTTAGTGACAAGCAGCTAGTCACACTGAGGAACAGAGTAGAAAGCAGGCAGAAAGTAGGAGTGAGAAATGTGAGAAAAAGAGAGAGTGAGTGAGAGAAAGGATGCAGAGAAAGAAGGTAGATACCAGCTAAGTTTGGCATTAGAGGCCATGTTAAACATTTTTGGTTTTATCTTAAAAGCAATGAAAATTCCTTAAAGTATTTTTAAATAGTATTCTTTACATAATTATTCAATCATACAAAAAAGAATTCTTTGAATGTTTACAAATTGTAAATCTCCTGAATATTTGTTAATTCATCATTCTTTAACCAATGAAGAACTAAAATCTTCATAAAATTTTAATTTATTTGAAAATGGTTGCAGTTATTTTTCTTTTTTCTCAAACAGTATGAGCCTGGGTGGGTTTCTTGCAAACACACCTATTTGTACCCCAAGGGCACATGACCGATTTTCTCTTCAATCAATTTTTTTCCTAGAGAAAAATCTGTACACAAATGAGAACATTCCACTTTAAATTAATTAATGTCATGCTGTTCGTCTTCAATATGTCCTCAGTAATAAATGAAAGGAAGTCACTAAAGTGTGGCAGTATGCTTACTGAATCTTAATTACAAAGTTCAAAGTTCATTCTTTATAATGTGTTCATTGACACAACCTTCCAGCATTTTCTGCCATTTTTTCTGTATTCTTTTCTCTGAACTTAAAGTCAACCAGCAGTTCTTCTACATTGGTTCTGTTCCTTTGTTCCTCAGGGATTCATGAATGATAAACACAGTGATATTATCAGCAAAAGTCTATTATGAAAACAATCTCTATCACTTTTCTTGTAAACTTTGTTGGATATATGCTAATTCTGATCTTCAGTTATTTGAAACGATGTTTTAGCTCAGCCATCATTTTTGGAACACTCATCAAACCAGCCATATTCTGCTTTTTTCTCACGTTTCTTTGAGTTTTTCTGAAGTTTTCATATATCATAGGATAGCATTCTTTTTTAAAATCAGAAGAATTGATGGTTTTTTAAAAAAGGCTCATTTTTGTCCTTTCCCTCTCTTTCTCCTTTTCTCTCTTTCTCTGACCTAGACACAAATTTTTCTTTTACAGTGTAGTTTTCCCGCATCAGAATTAATATTCCAGGGCCAGGTGTGGTGGCTCATGTCTGTAATCTCCACACTTTGTTTTGTTTGAGACAAAGTCTTGCTCTGTTTCCCAGGCTGGAGAGAAGTGGTGCTATCTCGGCTCACTGCAACCTCCGTCTCCTGGGTTCAAGCAATTCTCCTGCCTCAGCCTCCCGAGTAGCTGGGACTACAGGTGGGCACCACCACATCGGGCTAATTTTTATATTTTTAGTAGAGATGGGGTTTCACCATGTTGGCCAGGCTGGTCTCAAACTCCTGACCTCAAGTGATCAGCCCACCTCGGCTTCCCAAAGTGCTGGGATTACAGTCGTGAGCCACCACGCCCCTCAATGTCTACACTTTGAGAGAGGCCAGGGTGGGAGGATCACTTGAGCCCAGGAATTCGAGACCAGCGTGGCCAACCTTGTGACACCCCATCTCTACAAAAAATAAAAAAATTAGCTGGCTGTGGTGGTGTGTACCTGTAATCTCGGGTACTCAGGAAGCTGAGGCATGGAGAATCACTTCAACACAGGAAGCAGAGGTTGCAGTGAGCTGAGATGGCGCCTGTATAAAAAAATTAATATTCCAACCTCAAAGCTCAGCAATACTCAAATTAAGGTCTGGGCTGTTGCCTGTCATTCTCAAAAGTTTAAACTTTGTGCTTCTTGGTTAGTCTTGTCACTGAACTCACGTACTTTATCCCTTTTTACTGTCTGGTGGTTCTTTACTTTTTATATTCTTCCTCCTATTCTCCTATCTGTTGCTCTATGGCAACTTCACTTGCCTTGTCTTCTATGTCTCCTAACCAGATTTAATCCAGGCCTTACATCAATTGCAAACAATACAATGTCACATGGCATCTTATCCGATGAGTCTATATTCAAGGACTTTTTGATGACTATTTTCTGCAAAACACTGTATCTTTGTCATTTTCATTGTTTCAGATAACTCACTTACACAGCTGCTGAGAACCAATAAAACAGAATCACCTTTATCCCAAGTTGTGTCAAGTTTAAACTTGCATAGTTGAGTATCACATTCAAAATCTCGATCTCTCAGATGGCAATATCTTTGCTGATGCCTACTTTTGCATTCATCTTCATCATCATCATTGCCACCACCACCACGAAATTGTGGAGAGTCTTTTGTTGGTGTTCCCTCTGTTTTCCTCCCATCCATGTTGACAAGTGCAATTGTTTGGGCTAAAGATATCATTATAGTCTCTAGACCCATATTTAAGGGCTCTACCATAATTTTGCTATTTTGAGTTTGATTGTCTTTGAGACATTATTTGTAAAGGATACAGTACTGAAATTGACAATGACTTTCCCTTGAGAATGACTGTTCCTTGAGAAATATTTTCATTCATTTCATCTCTGTCATCTATCAGTTATTCAGCCTCTTCATCTAAACTCAAGTGCTTTGTTATTTTCCTATGAGACATAATATTTAGTTTTTTTCCCTTACATTACTGCTTATATATATTTGTACAGCTAGTATTTCCTGTCAGTTTCCATTGAAGGACTTATCATCAAAGTCATCCTGAACTTCCGAAGTTCAGAAATTTGCTAAGCGTCTGAACCATGGATTTCCACAAATACACATTTTGAGATGGTTGCTGCTGAAAAGGAATTTGCTTTTCGCTTTCTGGCATAGTGTTAGTATCTACCTTCTCAGTCCATTCCTGCAGCTTCCTTTGCCAATTTAGTTGTTCTCCTAGTTATAGTACCCAAAATGAAGAAATGACTGACTTAGCCACAGAAATGTTATTTGCGTCTCATTTTGTACCTGAAAGAACTTCGGCCTCACTTCTTTTGGTCATTATAGTTCTTACTGTGGGAAATACAACGCTGGAACACCTGAAACCTGACACCGAGCTTCGGAGATTTCTTCCCTATGACACTCATTTATGGTAGTTGTTTACTATCTTTCCTAGTCGCTTGACCCTGTAGTGAATAAGCTATTATCTCTTTTCACAGACTTACCCCTCAGGTGAGTCTCTGAAGCACAGACACAGAAACAAGTTGACTCCATTTCAGAGGTTTCTTCATCAACAAACAGTTTAATCAACCTTGGTAACAACAAACTCCCTTTTCTGCTTGCTTTCTTTTTTTTTTTTTTGGTCCGAGGAGTAAGATTTACTACTGTATGGCCTGAGCTTCAGAGGTACCTAGGTCTTCAAATTCCCAGTTTTTCTGCTTTTGATTAATGTATATTCCTATTTATGATGATTCAGCATGAATTCAGCTGCCATGCCTTGGTCTGTGGACTGCCCTGATGGGTACTATATCCAGGCTTCCAGTTTCCTGGAGCATCACTACCTCTAGATTAAGGTATTTGAGGAGTTTGATAATTTTATTTATTTATTTATTTATTTATTTGAGACAGAGTCTCACTCTGTGGCCCAGGCTGGAGTGCAGTGGTGCAAACACGGCTCGCTGCAGCCTCGACCTTTTCAAGTGATCCTCCCGCATCAGCCTCCCAAGTAGCTGGGACCACAGACGTGCACCACCATGCTAGGCCAATTTTTGTATTTTTTGTAGAGACAAGGTTTTGCCATGTTGCCCAGGCTGGTCTCAAACTCCTGAACTCAAGCGATCTGCCTGCTTTGGTCTCCCAAAGTTCTGGGATTACAGGCATGAGCCACCATGCCTGGCTAGTTTGACATTTTAAAGGTGTCCCCGTGGCTTCAGGAGAGAACTGGTTAGAAGGAGGCAAAAATTGATACGAAGCGATCAGTGGGGGGACTTCCACATCAAATAAATGATGGCACCTTGGAAGAAAGTGTTTGAAATGGGGAAGGAGAAATGTGGACAGATTTTAAAAATCTTAAGAAAGTAAAAGATAATGGGTCAGTGGAATAATGAACGGAATGTGGGGTGAAGAAAAGAGGGAGGTGTCAAGAATGACTCCTAGGGCTCTGACTCAGATTACAGAAGGGAGTGTCATTAACAGAGAAAAAGAATATTGGAAAGAAACCAGGTTCTGCAAATTGAGAATGAACAGCAAAGTGTAAAATCTGAGTTTGTTCTCATTGTTCACTCCCCGCTTATAAGTGAGAACATGCCGTGTTTGGTTTTCTGTTCCTATGTCAGTTTGGTGAGGCTAACAGAGCTGAATGATGAGAATACACAGACACGTCAGGGGGAACAACTCACACTGGGCCCTATTGGGGGTGCTGGGGAGGGAGAGCATCAGGAAGAATAGCTAATGGATGCTGGGCTTAATACCAAGGTGATGGGTTGATCTGTGCAGCACGTTTACCCATGTAACAAACCTGCACATCCTGCATATGTAACCCCAGAACTTAATAAAAGTTGGAAAAAAAAAAAAAAAAGATCATGAGTTTGAGTTTTAGGCAGTTAGATGGACCTTTTAAGGATACAAATGAAAAAGCTGACATCTGAATAAAGGCTCTTCGCCCCATTTGATGACCAGGTTTGCTGGTCTGCTCAGGCTGCCATAACAAAATACCACAGACTGGACAGTTTAAAAAAACAGACATTATTTTTCCCCAAACCTCTGGAGCCCAGGAGTTCATAATCAAGGTTTGATGGCAAATTTGGTTTCTGATAAAGTCTCCCTTTCTGGCCTGTAGATGGCCGCTTTCATGTGTCCTCACATGACCTTTCTCTGTGTGTGTACAGAGAGAGAGAGGGACAGCTTTCCGGTGTCACTTCTTATAACAACACCAATCCTATCAGATCATGATCTCACTCTTAAAACCTCATTTAACCTTAATTAATTTCCTAAAGGCTCTATCTGGAAATATAGCCACACTAGGGTATAAGGGCTTTAACCTATGAATTTGGGGGAGACACAAAATTTAGTCCATAACACCAGGTCAGGGATGTAACTTCATAAATTGTCTTCATATAGGCGCTAATTAAAGCAAGGAGCACTGATAAGACTGCCTTGGGAGAGTACAAAACAAGGGGAAAAAGACAATCAGGCACTGAATCTTGCCCATTCTGAGTTAATGAATGATTATGGGAGAATTATCCTGTAAAGGAGGCAAAAAGGGAGTTGTATAGCAGGTATAATGAAAACCATAAGGCTGAAATCAAAGAAAGAGAATGTTAGATGCTCATGAGCTCATGAAAGGCCAAGAAAGATTATAACCAAAAAAAGTCCATTTTGTATTTTGTGACACAGAAATGGCCTTAGCTAGAGATATTTCACAAATAGTTCAACTTTTTTCTCCCACATATGAGTGAGAACTTGTGGTATTTATTTGTCTTTCTCTGCCTGGCTTATTTCACTTGACATAATGTCCTCCAAGCTCATCCGTGTTGCCATGAATGACAGGATTTCATTATTTTTTATGGCCATTGTGTATATATGCCACATTTTCTTTATCCATTCATCTGCTGATGAACTCAGGTTGATTCCAGATCTTGGCTATGTGAATAGTGCTGCAATAAGCATGGGGATGCAGCTATCTCTTTGATACACTGATTTTCTTTCCTTTGGTTAAACACCTAATAGTTGGATTGCTGGATCATAGGGTAGTTCTATTTCTGGTTTTTTGAGGAACCTCCATACTGATTTCCATATGGCTGTACTAATGTATATTCTCATCAACAGTGTATAAGAGTTCCCTTTTCTCCCTATCATCACCAGTATTTGTTATTTTTTGTCTTTTTTTAATAGCCATTCTAACTCTGGTGAGATGATCTCTCATTGTGAGAAGGATAGTGGATAGGGGAGGAAAATGAGAAGTTGGGTAATGAATACAAAGTTACAGATGGATAGGAGGAATAAGTTCTAGTGTTCTACAGAACTGTAGGATGACTATAGTTAACAATAATGTATAGAATCTTTCCAAATAGCTAGACAAGAGGATTTTGAAGTTCTCAATACATTGAAATAATAAATATTTGAGGTGATAATGTAATAATTACCCTGATTTAATCATTGCTAACTATATACATATATCAAAATATCATTTTGTACTCCATGAATATGTACAATTATTATATGTCAATTTTTAAGTTTTTTTTAAAGAAAAAAATTAAAACTAGTGCTGAATGGTAGACTAAAGCAGGTTGATAAGAAAGCAAGGAAAAGAAGAAGTTTGCCTGTGAAAGAGACAAGAGATACAGCGGCAGACTTTCAGGGTTATATAAGATTTTTTTTAATGGAGGAAGCTTAAATATGTGTTGAAGATTATGGAATAGGCAGGGCACAGGGGGTTTTTTAGGGCAGCAAAACCATTGTGCATGATATAATAACAGTGGATACCTGTCATTATACATTTGACAAAACCCATAAAATGTACATCATCAAAAGTGAACCCTATGTAAACTATGAACTCTGGGTGATAATGATGTGTCAGGTTCATTGATTGTAACAAAAACCACTCTAAGGCAGAATGTTGATATGGAATGAGGCTGTGAATGTGTGGGGTCGAGAGGTATACGGGAACTCTCTGTATGTACATTTTTGCTCAATTTTGCTATGAACCTAAAACTGCTCTAAAAAATAAAATATAGAAAAAAAGATGAAAACTATTCACTTCAGATAGAGACAGAGAGGAGGGAGAGAGAGATTAAATATACCTGAGAAAGTGGGTATGGTATTTTATAAAAAAGAAAATAAATAGCCACATGAATGCTAGATGCTGAAGGCAGAAAATCTCAGCGTCTTTCCCCACTCCACTCCCAGAATGCTGGAATCAGGATCTTACCCTCAAGGATGAAATTGGAACACAATTTGCTGGAGACTGTAATTAGCTTAAGCGGAAATATCTGAAGATAATGACATGGAAGTTCCTCAGTGTAAGACTCTCCCATATCATCCTACAGTAAAACTCTACATTGCAGTCCCTACCTATACATTTAGAACACTAAACCTGATTTTTCATTCTTCTAAATCATGAGCAGAAATACCAGATATTGGGGAAGACTTCTGAAATGAAAGCTAGAAACAAAACTAACAAACAGGAAAACAACTCCCTGCAACTTGAAGGAAAAAACCATGGGGAGGAGAAAAGAAAACAAACTATAAAATACCTACCATTAATCTCCTCAGAAAAATTAGAGAAGATATTACATTCATGGAGCATGATTAAAAGCATAATAACAGAAAGGAAAAACACAACAACAGATATGTGAGATAAAAGTTGAAGAAATCTCTCAGAAGTAGACCAAGAAGTTAAAGAGATGAAAAATAGGAGGAATTTAAAAAAGAGTACAGTGCAGGATGTCTCACATTTGGAACAAAACGATCTCCAAGGAAAGAACAGAAACTTATTAATGATATAGCTGAAGCAATATTTCCAGAATTGAAGAACAGAAGTTTTTGAATTATAACACCTTAGGGAATGCCCCACTCACCACAAAAAAAAAAAAAGAAGGAAAATAGGCCCATGCCAATGCACATCATTGTAAATTTTCAGAACACAGAGGACAAAGAAAAGATTCTACAAATTTCAAAAAGATATTAAAAGATAAATAATTCTTTATTTTTAAGATAAAAATTTATTTTAAGATAAAAAATTATTTCTCTTTTATTAAAAGATAAATAAATCAAGTGACCTACATAAACAAGATTTGAAATGACTTGATAAACAGCAACACAAGAAACAATAAACACTGGAGAAATGCCTTCAAAATCTTGAAGGTTAATGGTCTGCCAGTGATATTTCTACATCCCTCCAAATGATCATTAAAGTATGAGATTGAATAAAAACAACTTCAGACATGAGGAGTCTCAAATATTTTACTTCCCATGAATCCTTTATCAAGAAACAACCAAAAAAATCTAAGATAGTGCTTCAAGACAGGAAAGAAATCAGAGTTCTGGGGAAGATGGGAAGGAAGGTCCTAAGATGCCAGCCCTACATCCAGCAGAAAAAGCAATCATTCTAATTGAAACATTATGACAAAAAGAGACAGAAAGAGAGAGATATCATCATGTCACCATTAAACTGTCTTTTTAACCTAAGGATAGAATGTTCAGGTAACGATGACCAAGAATCTTTTGGTACTTGAATTCTTATGAACATATTCTATAAAATTTCTACTCTCCCCCTATGTTCTGTCACTGTGGACCAGATAAAGATGTTCATTCTTCCCCACCTTGGTATTGACTTAGCCCTGAGAGCTTCAGGTATGACACCAGAAATTCAAAAGCAGAAAACACAATGCCCCACTCTCTCTGACCACATTTTTTTCATAGACATAGAACCTAGTCCACACTTTAGCCCTGCCGGATATGCTAACTGTGGTGAGCCCTGTTTTTCTCATACTTTACTCGTGATCTGTCGCTAACTTTCCAAAGAGAGGTTGCTGTAGTTCTCAAGGAAGCTAAAGGCATGAGACTATGAACCTCAAACCCTGTTCAACCTATCTTTTACTTGGAAGCTTTTTGTAGTAGTGGAAGATTGCTCCTTCTTTATACAGGTTCACATTTGCTACTCAGTTTTCAAAACTAAAAGGCAAGGAAATAACTTATACGAAGTCAGGATATTGATAATCTCAGGAGAGGGTAGAGTGGAAACACAATTGAGGAAGAGAACTGGTGTTTCTTAACCTCAGTAGGGGGACATAAGGGTGGGTTCATTTTGTCATAATTCTTCATTCTTCGTTACTATTTAAATTCTCTATATAAGCTCTTCAGTTCCAGTTACATATTTGCCAACTAACAAGAACAAAATTAAGAAATGGAGGGAACACCGTGAGTAAAATGGAAGGATGGGAAGGAGGGAAAGTGAGGAGAGATGCCACAATCAGTCTATTATTGTTGAGTGTTATAAAAAGGATAGATTTTAGGATCTAAACTGGATAGAGAAGAAAGTAAATTTAAAACAGGGTCAATGAACTGTGAAAGAAGAGTGATCAATGGACGACCAGTCTCACCTACTTGGGAGTATGGTCATGGTGACAGCCCTGGACAAATGAGCTGGAAAAACAGAGGCTTGTTGCCTAATTCGTTAAGAAATCGGGGACATAGCAAGTATTGTTTTGATATTAGTGGCTGGTTTTCTTTTCTCTTTTTAATTGACATACAAAAATTATATATATATTTGTGGGGCACAATGTGATGTCTTGATATACATAGTGGAATGATTAGATCAAATGAATTAATATATCCAGCATCTCACACACTCAGCATTGTGATGGGAACATTTAAAATTCCACTCTCCAGATCTCAAAAACATATTCCTCCTGTCTCACTGAAACTTCATACCCTTTGACCAACATCTTTTTATCCATCCTTACACCCTATGCCCTGGTAACTACCATTCTACTCTCTACTTCTATGAATTTAACATTTGTAGATTCCACATATAGGTGAAATCATACAGTATTTATCCTTCTGTGCCTGTCTTATTTTACTTAGCAAATGTCCTCCAGGTTCATCCATGACAAGATTTCCTTCTTTCTTAAGGCTGTATAGTATTTTGTTATATCTAACTTACTACATCATCCAGCTTTAAACATGGATAATGTACTAAGGCCAAGTTGGTATGACAGTCATAAGCCATATAAAAAATTGGAGAAAAAAATGTTTGTAGAATTTGCATGTGGTCTTGAATTTGATATTTTATTAGAACAGGTTCTCTATCACACATCAGTTAGTTAAGTTTTCTGCCTCTGTGATCTCTTCCTCCCTCTCTCTCTGTATATGTATATGGATATATGGATATATACATGGATATATGGATAAAGATATATGGATGTATAAACATAGCAGAATTACTGCAATTCTGAAAAACTGAAAATCACAAAGAAGAAAACAGCTTAATATTAGCCTGTACCAGGAAAACCATACTCACAGCTACACATTTGCATCACAGATATATATCTTACTCTCACATGTGATATATATACATGTCATATATGTCATATAAGGTGTGATATATGTGATTTTATATGTGATATATATAAATTATACACATTTATGTCATATATCATATGTCATATCACACATACTATATATGTTATATAAATAGAGATAAATATAGATATAATCAGTGCTGAAAATGTGTAGTGGTTAGTACAGTTATCCTGGTACAGTCTTACATGAGGCTGCCTTCTTTTCAGTCCTCAGAACTGCAATAACTGAAAAGCAATCTATTGCCTCCTGTACAATTTATTACCAACTCTTTGTACTTCTCACTAACTCTGATTTCAAATGAAGCAGAAAAAACTTTTCAAAATAAATATTAAGAAATAAATATAGACAACTAGATTTTCCGTTTTTCTCCCAAAATATGCTCCTGTTGATCTACCTTTGTAAGACTACTTGAAAGTTTGATAGAATCAATGATCAAATGGAGGTTCCATTTCTAAAATATTAATGTCATTTGCAATGAAGTCGCTGTAAAATTTTAGTCTTTTCAGCCATGACAAATTAATCATGCTAGACCAATTCCATATTTTAATGGAAACCAAAAACTGTTTTGGCTACCTCTGGTATTGGCAATTCTGCAGGCAACAAAATGTCTTCTGAGGTCAATGCAGAATGCTACATCAGCATTTCAATAAATAGTGCTTTAAGCTAGCAATGCCAATTACAATGATGTAAAGATCCTATGGTTCTTTGGCAAGAGAAAAAATATTTATTTGCCAAATTTTGCTTTACAGTATTACATCTTTCCTCTTACATTTTTAGCTGTCCATAATAGTCTTTATTCTCTTTCTTAAATTTTTGGGCATAATTGCTTTAACTCCTTCAGAATTGGTCTCTTCCTGCATTCACAGCTGATAATACTGTATAGTTTCTATGTCACATAGACAATCCATAAAGAGCTTGGGCTTGAAAACTGCTCTATCAAACATGAAAATAAATATTAAACTTATTGAAATGCACACAGTGTACCTAATGAGAAATTAAATATACTCCACAGTATGTTTCTATTTCCTCAATGTTTGAAAACCTATCTAGACACAGGTTAGAGAAAAATAAATATATTTGTGGGGATCTAAAACATTTACCCCTTCGCTTAAACATGTCAGCCAGAATAGTTAGCCTGAAACTCATGTTAACAAAATCAAAAGTGACAAACTCAATTCACATATTTCAGGAAGTGTCTTTCCAAATATTGGTCAGAGATGTTTCCCTCATTCTGGAGAGTGGTAGCAAAACTGTGTGATATAAGGGACAACTAAGCCTTTGCTAAACAGGAAAGACGTGTCAGTACTACTCAAAAGATGCCAATATGTTTGAGTAGAGGCACATGGAAACCCAATCTGCTTTAAACCTAGTATATCCTTGCTAGGAAACCTTTTTCTAGCTATGGTAAAAATACCCAACAAAAAGTAACTGATTTCCTACCCAATTAATACTTTTCTTCTAACAAAGTACAGACTTATACTTTTAACAAAGGAACTATCAAAATGTTTTGTTATTTAACAAAAGAAGATGCCAGGCTATAAAATGAAGCTTTATGGAGTTGAAAGGTACTAGCCTAGAAGTCAGAATCTCTGGGTTAGAACCAGGCTTTCCAATAACAAGCTGTGGCCAGTCACATTTCACCTGTATAGGTCATAGCTTCCTCATCAGTAAAATAAAGACATTGGAAAAAATTAATGCCTAAGATTTGTTCATAGCACCCTATAAAATTAATCACTACTTAAAAAAAATTCAGATGTATGCCCTGCTGTTTATCACTGTCCTAATGTGAGTAAATGAAGATTAGCCTTTAGTATACGTAAATACCAAGATTTCTCCGGATCTATTTAGTAATAAACTTCTCCTGGTAAATCTTTCTTTATTCTTGGGAGCAATTTAAACACTGAAAATAGAATCCTTCCCGCAAAACAAACTTCTAAAGAGGCGGATAATGACAAAACAGCTAATCTGATTTTTTTCCTACCTTTAAAATCATACTCAATTCTTTATCAAATTTACATAAGATGCTCTGTCATATGTTTTGCCTTTTCATGTGCACAATTTATTTTCCTGACCTCTCTTTTCCATTAACAATTACTTTCATTAAAAATAAGAAAAACTTATATAAAAACAAGATTCTTTTTCAGGTTCCAATAGTTTGGGGCCAAATGATTTATTTTCTTCATCAACAGCAAACTTTTTATCATCCTACCATTCTGCCTAGATCATTAAATATTTAAGAAGTAGTTAACGGGAAGTCTTTACTAAATCACTAAACTCACTAAATTACTAAAGCCAGAGGAACCAAACATTTCTTAAAATTCCTGCCAAATTTACAATTTGCAAAGCCACACTAAAAGCATTTTGTTTGGCACTTTCATTTAAGTTCTAAACTGCTCTTTTATTACACTCTAAAAATCTAGCATGACAGTCTTCAGTTTCAAATAACTTCACATTGCCCCCTTAACCTGCCTTTACTAGTAGCATCAGCAAATGAGATAGGAACACAAATATGAAACCCTATAAGCCCAGAATGTGTCACATATAAATGTCCAACATCTACGGAAAAAATAAAAAAAAAAAAAAGACAAAGCTGTACCTAACCTTTAGTCAAACCTTAATTTAAAAGCAAGACTTGGAACCAACCCAAATGCCCATCAATGACAGACTGGATAAAGAAAATGTGGCACATATACACCATGGAATAATATGCATCCATAAAAAAGGATGAGTTCACGTCCTTTGCAGGGACATGGATGAAGCTGGAAACCATCATGCTCAGCAAACTAACACAGGAACAGAAAACCCAACACCGCCATGTTCTCACTCATAAGTGGGAGTTGAACAATGAGAACACATGGACACAGGGAGGGGAACATCACACACCAGGTCCTGTCAGGGGCTGGGGGACTAGGGAAGGGATAGCATTAGGAGAAATATCTAATGTAAATGACGGGTTGATGAGTGCAGCAAACCACCATGGCACGTGTATACCTATGTAACAAACCTACACGTTCTGCACATGTACCCCAGAACTTAAAGTATAATAATAAAAAAAAAAAAGCAAGTTACTTAAGCTCACAGATACTGTTTTAACTGGGGACCACTA
Source organism: Homo sapiens (assembly GCF_000001405.40). Classification (NCBI taxonomy): domain Eukaryota; kingdom Metazoa; phylum Chordata; class Mammalia; order Primates; family Hominidae; genus Homo; species Homo sapiens. Next base: position 18,050,880 of record NC_000021.9, on the reverse strand, counting down.
GTAATCATTAGTAAATGAATATATTTTTACTCCAACTTCAGTTTTTCTTTTCTAACCTTCATAACATGTTCCTACACCAACAAGTCTACAATTCTTCTAGGATAACCTAATAGGCACCACAAAGTCAACATGACCCAACCTACACTCTTGGATCTCAACACCCCTTCTTAATCATGATCCTTACGTAAGTGTGTCCCCTCCCAGTTTTCTCCTTCACACTAGCACTAACATCTCAGGTGTTCAAACCTGGGAGTCATCGTTGGTTCTATTCTCTCCTTGCTCTGCACATCTAACTTCAAGTCTTGTCATTCCTACCCTTCAAATGTATCTTACGTTTATCTATGTCACTCATCTGTACTGCTACCACCTTCGTCCAATCTGCTGTTGCTACTGCCCTGCACTACAGCCACAGCCCTTTAAATGGGATCCCTGTATCTACTCTGTCCCTTCCAAGCTACAGCACAGCAGTAAGAGTAAGAGTTGTCAAACAGAAATGCCTTTCTTGCTTAAACGTGTTCAAGGACTTTATAATGCAATTCAAATAATACCCAACTCTTCCCTAAGCCTAAAAGGCCATATAAATCCAAACACCTGATGCCCCCTTCAAGGATCTCATTTGACTTCTTATCTGTTGTGCCTCAGCCTCCCTTTCTTCCAGTTTTTTAAACACAGCCACCTGTCACACCTTGAGGAAAATGTCCCTCTGTGGAGTGTTTCCTAAGGATCACACGAAGCAGGTTTCACACCCTTTTTCTCCCACCCTCACTCCTTTGATCTCCACCACATACTCTTTTCACTGCCTTCACAGCAATTATCACCATCTGCAATTACCTCATTTTTTGTCTGCATAACTCTTAACTGACTTTCTACTCCATTAGGCTGTTAGCTCCAGGAAAGCAGAAACCCTGCCTCCATGGTATCACCTGTGCTTAGCTCAGTGCTGATGACTAAGAGAAGCTCAACAAACACGGGCAGATGGACAAATTACATTGGTGTTATGTGCTGAATTACGTTTCCCAAAAAATTCATGTGTTGAAGTCCTAACCCCCAGGACCCCATAATGCAGCCGTATTTGAAGAAAAGGTCTTTAATGAGATGATTATGTTAAAATGAGGCTGTTAGTGTTGGTCCTAATCCAATCCGACTGATGTTCTTATAAGAGGAGGAAATTTAGACACCAGGGATGAGAGCACACAGAGCAAAGGCCATGTGAGGACACAGTAAGGAGGCAGCCATCTGCCAGCCAAGGAGAGAGGCCTCAGCAGAAACCAAATCTCACTTGACCTCAGACTTACCAGCCTCCAGAACTGTGAGAAGATAAATTTCTGTTGTTTAAACTACACAGTCTCTGGTATTTTGTTATGGTAACCCTAGCAAACTAATATAATTGAAATTAAAATGTAATAGAAAAACAGATCCCACTACTTTCCTAAGTAGTATTGTTATACATCTGAGTCATGTTTGATCTTGAATTCATAATTATGAAACAGTGTAGAGCAAATTCCAGATCTGTTCATTATATAGTTAATCTGGTAAAGACAGATACATTCTAAAATTTTCCCATGAGTTTGGCAAACTTCTAAAAAGTTTATCAATTATTTGTCAAACATCTATCTATTTTGATCACCATAAGTCACAATTTTGGCTAATATCCTACTTCAGTAACGCATTCACAGCAGCTTCCCTCATTCAACTGGTAATAGAATTACTCAAATGTATCACCATCAGCCATTATTGAAGCTGAAGCTTAAACACTGTGTCTGTTTATATTGAATACACTGTACAAGAACAATGTAGGAGATAAAAATAATTTCCCAAACAGAAAATACTAATTTTGTATTGTTTTGTAATTGTGTTCATCTCAATTTACAAATTTAAAATGATTAATCAATACTAAAGTGTTCTTTAGTGTCATCTGAAAATCATTGTAAACCAAAATTCTATTTTTTTTAAAAAAATGTGAAGTTCTGAACATTAAAACAAATCTATAACCAATAATATTCGATAGGTCTAAAGTGGCTGGAGAGTAGGTTGCATTTCTGCCCCCCAGAAGGATGGATGTCAGACAGAGGCTTGCATATGGTTTTGTTGTACTAACAACTGTAAATGCAAAATAGATCCAAAAAAAATTTTCAGCATATAGTATTATCAATATGTTTGGGCAGTTCCAGTGCTTATAATTATTCCTCAATTGAAAGCATTATTCAGTTACCTCGCATGCCATTCATTTTGAAGTTCAAAGATCATAAACAAATTTTCAAAATCTTGCCAAGTTTTTTTGCTGATAGGGTTTAATGGGTTTCAGAATTTTTCTTTCTTTCTTTCTTTTGCTGCTACATATTTTCAGCTTTATTATTTCCCAGTATTAAATGCAATGATTTTCTAAATTCATGGATGTAAAAACTATGCACCGAACAAGATGCAAATATAAAAAGTCTTATATACCCACACCTAGTTCCTCCAACCATGTCTCATTGTTTTTTAATTCCACCCAAATTGCTTAGTCAGGAATTATCTCATTTCACAAAGAAATAAATATTTTAAAACTTCTGGGACTCCATATTATTTTCACAAAAGTCTCAGAGTTGAAGAGACACCAAGAAACATTGAAATTCCTTCATAACTTCTTCTACTTTAAGTTTTAGGGAAACAAATGAGAACGCCATCATTTTTGAGAAAAGCAAATCAATTCCTCCTCTTTTTCTCAGGAAGAAAGAGATTTTTAGTTTGGCCTCTTTCACTATTTGTCAGTTACCAATGTTAACTCCTTCCTTCATTAACAGTTTCCATATCATCAAATAAAGCAACATACTTCTCACAAGCACAGGACATAGTAGGTGCTCGACAAGTCCTGAATGGGTAAGTGGAAAATGTATAACGTTCTGTAGACTGAAGAGATACAGCACAAGCAATACAAAGAAAAAGTTGGTGGCCATTTTCCCAAGATGGTTAGTTAAAGTTTTGGTTATGGAACATTAAAAAATGGCCTCTTGTCCTCACCACCCACACTGTGAAGCGTCACAAGTTTTTCTCATAGTCAATATCTGCCAAAGTGCTTTAGGTCAGAGCAGGTGGTATGACATCTAAGATGGTAGCTTTTTCCCAAGTCATTCTCTATAACATGCATATCTGTTTACCCTGAAAGGCAGACAGCTATCTATACTCTTACTACATTGAGGCTGAATCCAATGAAAATGAGATCAGAAGGACCACTGTATGTGGCACTCTGGGGTTTCCCAGTACTGTTGTTTTTATATTTATTGCAACGGTGAATGTGGGGAGCGCCAATGGTGTGTTCCTCCCTTCTCTAATCAGAAAACGGCTAAACTGCTGTGCTCTGCTCAGCCAGAAATAATTCAGGCAATCTAAACTTATTAAATTAGCATATACAGTTACAAGCCATAAAAAGGAATTGAATGTATTTTAATAGTTGAAAAGATTCCATTTTTAATATAAAAATATATATCCAAAGTTTGAGAGGGGAAGGGGACACCCAGGTCAAAGCTGTGGCCTCTGCACTCTGTAGTCTTCATTTCACATTAAATAATTTCTCTCTCACAATTATCAATGCCAGGCCTCCTATATATCATCTATCACTGTGGCTTCAAAGCAGTGCAGTTAATCTAATTAGGCAATATTCAATTACCTTTGTTAGGGAAAAAATATATACTTTCTCTTTCTGCCAGAGTCATAATAATTAAATGGAGAAGGGTTAGAAAGAGCATCCATAAGTCCAGATTTTCAGGCTTTTTGAGCCAAGATTAAAGTAGAGTTTGGACAAAAAGTTGATTCTTGCATTTCTTCTACTTGGTGGATTTAATATTTGCAAATCACCAGTGTCAGGGAACTGCTTACTTTGGAGGAATCACTTGCTAATTTGTGATGCAATTTTAGCCCTAAACTGACATTACACTCTATGACCTGTGGATTGGTGTAGAAATAGCAAATATGGAGACGTGAAAATTAGCTTGGCTTATGGAACTTTGCCCACAAAGGCCATTAGTCTGGTCTAACAATAAATGAAGGCAAGAACTAACGACCGCAGTGATAAATTGATGGAGTGATATCCCCAAACAGTAAAATAGCTATTTTGTGACAACTAAAGTAAGAAAACCAAGTCATCATAAAATGTTAAAGGATATATTCATTTTTTGAGCAATTACATATGTGTAACTAATTAGGCTTTTAGCATACATTATCTCAAGTAATGCTATCTAAAATTTCCATTTGGATTTCTAAACCTTAATTATGTTCTACAGAATCTTCTGATTTCCACTATCAACAGTGGGTACCTGTTCCTCTACTAGTCATTGCCATTTGAATAAATGACATTACCATTACCTACTTGTTTGCTCTACAAATGTCAGAAGTTATCTTTGATTCCTTACATCCAATCTCGCCAGGTCCTGTCATTCTAATCTCAAAATATATCTCAATCTGGTCCCCGTAATGTATTTCTGAGACAACAAGGCGGGTGTGTGCCACCATCATCTCTCAGTTGGTCAACTACCATAGTATTTTTCCTACTTTTTGCTACAGTATTGCTGCACTCTGACTTTCTGACAGCCCACTCTTTGCACTGCAGCTTAAATGTACACCAAAGAATTCTCTAGCTTAATATCCATTAACCGCTTCCCATGACTCATAATAAAAATCCCAGCTCTTTCCCATGTCTACGTGGCCTTTTGGAATCTGGCGTTGGCCTGCTTTTCTGATATCCTCTCGGTCTCCTCCACCTTCTCACTTTATCTTACTCACACTGACCCCCTTTTATTTCTTTAAAAAATATCAGGTGTATTAGTGTTCTGAGGATGCCACAACAAATTACCACCAGTTGGGTGGTGGCTTAGTTCATTTGTGCTTCTATAACAAGATACCTAAGATGGAATAATTTATAAAGAACAGAAATTTATTTTTCATAGTTCTGGAGATTGGGAAGTTCAAGATGAAAGCACTGGCAGGTTCAGTGTCTGGTGATGGCCTTCTCTCTGCTTCTCAGATGGCACCTTGTTACTGCATCCGCTGGAGGAGACAAATGCTGTGTCCTCACATGGCAGAAGGGAGGGAAAGGCAAAAAATGGGGGCCTAGCTAGTTCCTTCTAGTCAATTGTAAGATTACTAGTTCATTCATAAGTGCTCTTGACCTAATTACCTCCCAAAGGTCACACCTCTTAATACTGATGCATTGGGGATTCAGTTTCAACATGAACTTTGGAGTGTACACAAATATTAAAACCATAGCAGGTGAATTAAAACATCAAAAATGTATTCTCTCACAGTTTTAGAGGACATAAACTTGAAATAAGGTGTCACAGGGCCATGCTTTCTCCAAAGACTCTAAGGCAAAATTCTTCCTTGCCTCTTCCTAGCTTCTGGGAGTTCCAGGTATTCCTTGGCTTATGGCAACTGAACTCCAATCTGTACCTCTGCCTTCATATGGCCTCCTCCTTTGTGTCTGTCTTGTTCTCTTCTATCTGTTGTAAAGACAGTTTTCACCGGATTTAGGGCTCACCTGGTTAATCAAGGATTATCTCATTTTGAGATCCTTAATTACATCTGCAAATGTAATTTTTTCCAAATAAGCTCACATTCACAAGGTCTGGGGCATGTTTATATCTTTTTGGAGGCCATCATTCAACTCACCACACTCAGGGTATTTTATCTTTAGGCTTTGATAATTCTAGCTCCCTCTGTTTGAAACGTTCTCTTTCTAGAACTTTGACTCATTATTCAGGTCCCAGATCAGATATTATACATTGTTCTTAGTCCTTCCTTGATTACACTATTTAAAATGGCCTTTCCTTGTTACTGTTTTTTCCATCACACTGCTTTTTTCTTATCACCGATTCATCTAAATCTGGGAAGTTTGCCCTTTTTATGTACTTGTTATTGTCTGTCTCCCTCACCCACATGCATCTGCATAACGACATAGACCCTGTCTATCTTACTCACTGCTGAGTCCCAGCACCTCGCACAGTGCCCTGCTGGAAATAGCTGCTCAGTACATATTTATTGAATACATAAATTAAGCCCTTACAACTCTGTGAAGTAGGATGAAATTAGCCATCTGAAGAGTAAACTTGGAGTAAATTTAGGCTAGCTTGCAAATCAAATCAAAATTTAATCAAGAGGACCAGGATACAATCTCAAGAAGGCATGACTGAATTATTATTGATATCATAAAAGAGTATATAATCAACTATATTGTAATCGATCTAAAGGAAAAAAAAGGTATTTCTTTTTCCTTCTACCAAAAGAGAGAAGATTATCTGCTTGAAATTCAGAAAATGGCAGTGTGTCTGGAGAATGATATAGAATGCTCTCTTATGGACCACAATGAGTCAGTACTGACTCCAAAATTTGTAGGTTACAGCGCAAAGTGAAAATTCAATGTTGTTAGTTAAAACAGCAGGAAAATGTGCCAGTAAAAGTGTTAAAAAAATAAAGATTTTTCTTTTTTCTGCAGTCTCAACGATGTGGTGTTTTTTATTCACTATTTAATCTCTTCCTAACTGAAGAAAAATTAATATTTTAAATTATTAGCATGAACTTCACTATTTATATTGTTCAATGTTAGTTTTAAATGTAAATACAAGAGCATTTGTATGTGAAATTATTGAAATCACACAATTCACATTTTGTAGCTCATACATGCATATATATTTCATTCTTACCAGCAAAGGAGAAACACAGCACAAAACTAAATCAACTGTTTTTATTTCACTTCTTGATTACGTGCACATTTTACCAATACTTTCTACCTTCAGTTTACTGAAGAATTCAAAAGGACTGAAAGGAAAAGAAACTATAGGTCTGATATGGTTTGGCTGTGTCCCTACCCAAATCTCATCTTGAATTGTAGCTCCCATAATCCCCATGTGTTGTGGCGGGGAGATAACTGAATCATGGAGATGGTTTCCACATACTGTTCTGTGATAGTGAATAAGTCTCACAAGATCTGATGGTTTAATAAGGGGTTTCCCCTTTTGCTTGGCCCTCGTTCTCTTGTCTGCCACCATCCATGGAAGACATGCCTTTCGCCTTCCGCCAAGATTGTAAGGCCTCTCCAGCCCTGTGGAACTGTGGGTCCATTAAACCTCTTTTTCTTTATAAATTACAGTCTCTGGTATGCCTTTATCAGCAGTGTGAAAATGGACTAATACAAGGTTGCTCTCTTTTTCCTCCCATGTCATCATTTTCAGCCTAGGTGGGTAACTAATACAGGAAAGTAGCATGAGTATGAAAGAATAGAAGTGTTTCTCATAGCATCATGTCATCCTTCTGGAACCTAAGCACGTTCTAGTGAGAATGGAAAGAATGGCCACTTGGGCTGTCAGCTCTGTGCTTACTTAGTACAAGTAACACACTTTGAGTCTCTCTGAACTCCCACACATCCTGGGTCTACTGGAATTCTGTGTTCATGGAACATCTTATTGTGTTCGAGATGCTCAATGAAAATAAGGCAGCAAGAAATGACAGATTCACATACTGCATATATATCCTCTATTCATTCACAGGCATGCTCCTTTGTCCCAACAGACTTCACTTACAAACCACAAGTCCAAAGATAATGTTATTAAAAACATCAGGACAACAACAGCAGAGCATTAAACCAAGAGTGGGTTCCTTCTGTGTGTTGGCCCAGTGCGACTGCACAGGTTGCACACCCTTGAGGCTAGCCCTGCAATGAGTTTTCTGGTATTCTAGGCCAATACACCCCTATAGTAGAGATAGACTCATTTAGCAATCATCTTGCTGACCAGGATCATTAAGAGCATACAACCAATTTCCCTTCTCTGTGTCTATGATTCATTAGCAATCTTGCAGTTATAATTTGTCTTCCTAATGTAGACTTTTCTCCAGAACAGCAAATAATAATTCATTCATTCACTCAGAAGTTAAATTTCTCACTGTAGTTCAATATTGTCATTTTGCATAAAGGTATTTTGAATTAGTTAACAAAAAAAAAATGGCCAGAACATGACCATTCTTAAATACAGCCCCAAAATCAAGTTTTCTGGACATACAAAGGTGAAGACTAAGTAATGACCAAAGCTGACACATTGAAAATTCAACAATTTTGCATATTCGTGTCCCAGCAACTATCCCAGATATGTATCTCTATTATTTCACCTTCTGCGCAAGAGAATTTCTCTCTTAAAATATTTTACCTGAAAGTTTATGCACATCAAGTGATGTGAGAAACATAAAATGAAGCACATTTTGAACAAAATGGTTAACTTATTTCTAAACCACTGGATATATAGAATAAAGGAGAGGTCACTAAGCTATGGTTTAGAGCACCTGAACTGTAGTTCCCAGATCTGCTTCACACTGGCTGGGTGACAAGAGCAAGTTTTATAACTCCTCTGTGCTTTAAGTTCCTTATCTACAAAATGAGAATTTTAGAATAAATATTCCCTAAGGCTTCTTTCTGATTTATAATTCTATAATTCTATTGTACCTGGAAAATGAAAACCAAGCATGTCTCTTATTGCCATAGCTCTGAGGTATGAGGATATATTTTATACAATTTGTGGGCCCCAAAATGGGGCCATCTCAATCAGGCTGTAAGAAGGTTTGCAGAAGGGGGTGGGGAGAAGGGGGTCCATTCATCCAAGACCTGACTAGCAAATGTGTATTTAAATCTGTGCTGTGCTCCTGGAAAACAAATTGTCTCCCCTTCTAAAATATTAAAATTAAAAATTTTTAAACAGAAAATATTCCCAGAGTCTTTTCAGTGGAACATTTACATTTTTTTTCAAATTTTAAGTGGGATATTGAAGAGTATACTTTCTAAAAGCCTACAGGACACCGTTCATCAGCTCATGTGATAAGCTGTTTAATGTTTTAGGCAACAATGAGAAGAAGCAAGATTTTTTCACCTCTCCAAATTCTACCTAAAAATTAAAAAAAATATATTCAGCTTCCCATATCATCCTAAATCTGGACTACAAACGCTTTCTCATATAGTTATTGCTAATCTCTAGTGGATCAATTTGAATTTGGCTCCCTTTAGCACATATAAAAGCCATAAAATTTGCCACTAGAGTAGAATTGATCAAGCCCTTCCTAAGACTCACCTGTAATTTATTAATCAAGTCATTTAACTTGTAATATGAGCCTCTATGTACTCATTTTAAAAGAAAAAGAACTGAACTAGACATCTCAGTTATTTTAAATTGAGCCTATTCCATTCAGTCTACTACAAAATTCTAAGACTTATAGTTCTCAGTTAAATTTTCTATCATTTTGGTTTTACTAATTAATGATTTAATCATATATTGTGCTTAGACTTTTTCGATCACAAAATGCATCTGCATGACGTGAATCCTAAATATTATAAAAATCTGTAACCCAATTTTATATATATTTCAGTAGGTAATAAAATGATGTTTAACAAAACATTGTTTCAAAATAAAATGGCTTTCATTTAAAAAAAAATAGCTATTGTTTGTTGAATGTTTTGCTTTAAGTCATTTTTAATTTTAATGCTCAAAATATATTTTGACATGGGCATAGTTATTTTCATCACACAGTTGAGTAAACAGAAGCTTAGAGAGGTTAAGTAACTTACCCAAGTCCCCAAAGCCAATCACGGTCAGTTAAGACTCCAACACTATCTCTCTTTCTCCATAGGCCATCCTTTTGAGTGTGGATAACGCCACCTTGTGTCTGTCTATGACAGGCCAATAACACCGATAACAAATGAACAAAATGACTTTCATAGGTCCAACCAAATCAATGCCAGGATACAAATTTTCAGCTTACAGAAATCATCATATAATTTTTAGTCTTCAGTAAGGACTGTTTCACTTTTCTAAAAAAGGGAGGAAATAATCACAATAAAAGCAAGCTAAAGAGCATTTAAAACTCAAATCATATGACAAGAGTAAATTGTAAAGCTTAATTCTTTTTTTATTTCCTGACTTAAAATGGATCTAAAGCATGTAACTAGGTTCAGAAGCCAATTTATTACCAATACAATCAAGGGAAGAGGAAAAATGAAGAAATAAAGAGAAATCAGTCATGAAATGTTCTCTAATTAAAGTATATCATCTGATTTTTTTACCACCTGCGAGTAGACAAAAGAAAGCTATATTTGAAGTAAAGAGTTCTGTGGATAACACTCAAGATACACTAAAATAAAATGGTCCCAATTAATAAAATGGTATGAAATTTGATTACCTATAACAGTCTTTTTATGGAAAAAATAATAATGCACTGTAGCTTAGAGCAATAGTGTAAAATACACCTGTAAACCATTAAGAAGCTTTTTGTTACAAAACTGAACTGCTGATGCAGCCCTAGTATCAGCAAATATACCATTTTATTGAAGACACTAAGGCCTACAGCAATTCAACAGAAAATTAATTAGCATCAGCTCACCATAAATCTCAACAGTATTAGCTAAAATGCCAATTTTGTAATCACTTTTCATTAAAGCCAAAAATACTAATTAAAATTGATTTTTGCCTGTACTTTGGTGAGCCACTGCCAGTTAATGGCTTTCAGTTGTAATGCAGACCTTTACTTAAATTAATTTTGTATGTCGTCTCCTTCTCTTTTGTAAAGATAATACAGAGTGAAGGGATAAGAGCTGTGGATGCAGGAAAGGGCAGTTCATATGCAGAAAGAATTGTCCACATGTAGTGGACATAAAGTGTTCTGAGTCTTTTACCAAAGTTTGCATGACCATGCTACTTTGTAATCTGTTTTTGAATATTTTATTTCATGAGCAAAGATAAATAGGGCCTTTAACAAATAAATTATAAGACTCAATTATGATAAGAGGTTTGAATAGTTAAATAACATATTTCTTTTGAAAGAATGTTCTGAGTGAAGTTACATTCTTATTTATGTGATGTGATCCATCTGTGAAAAACTATCCTGTGAACTTAGTCCATGTTTGGAGGCTCAGCAAGACCCAATAAGGATTAAAGTCTCAACATGTGTTAAATGAAAACTAATATCTATATAAATGTCAAATTCCTTTTACTGGAGTTAAGCAGAAAAAATAGCAATCCATAAATCTCTTAAAGGGTAATTTGCAAAGGCTTTAATTGTTATTTTAACTTTTATTTAATTTTTTTAAAAAAGGCATGGTGCCAGAGTTGAGGTTTTGGTAGCATCAAGATGAGTTACATAAGGATTAGGGGTTAGGTTTTTCCAATAAGTAATAGAGGATAGGGAGTAATTTATATTCAGGATCTCTAAGGAGCCCCAAATTAGAACCAGAAGCCATATTGTCAAAGCAAGTTCAAGGCTCTAGAGTTCCTTAGATGTCGAATGAAAAGTTGGCCAATATTTCTAGATTTAGAATATAGAAAACAATATAAAAGTGTTCCCAAATAAGAAATTCAGGTCAAATATTCTAAGATCCATTGAAGAGAGGTAGGAATAGGCAAGGAACACATTTCACACATGATGTCTAAGGTTTTTATCCATGATGTCCAAGATTTCATACAAGATTTAGAGAACAGCATGGGATATGACTCTTTGACCTTAAGGCCTTTACTCCCTACCACAATCCCTACCCCTAACTACTAAAGCTACAAACTTAACACTTTCTATTACATTATCATGAACAATCAAAATAGATTTCTTCTTAAAATATTAGAATAGCAAACTTAATGAATATCTAAGAGTTGATAAATAACAGATATATATCTCTCAGATTTATTTGTAATGTGTTAACACAGAGGAGTTAGTACAGACTTGACATTGAGGCAGCATAAATCCTGACCATTAAGAATCCCTCGATTCAGAATTATCACTAAACTAAATAGCTTCCATCCCAAAATGGGATGGAATGAAAATTTCAGTTTGGACCATCAATTCATAAGAAGAAAGACATCTTGCGATCCCCATGGACTTATCTAGGTAAGTCTTTATCTTCTTTTTATCCAAGCATATTTTGTTTACATATCTGGGATCATATTTTAGATTCTTATTTTTAAGTACCATGGATGAAATATTCAAAAATTCTACATGTAAGATGACATTGAAAAGGGACTTACAATTAATGTTTGCCACTAGATTATTTGTCAGGCATTCCCAATATCTAAAATACCCCAAATCTTACATCAAGTCATTTTACTTGATTTTTAATGATACAGAAACTATCCACTCATATCTCATGGTCATTAAGTTTTCTATGCACCTCTACTCTGAAGTATGTGTTTAGTAATTTTCCAAGTGCAAGTAATTTAGTGATTGTTGGCAAGTATTTTTCCCACTTACTTTAAGTGGTCATCAAATATGGGAAGAGCTTCTATCTAAACTTAGTTTCAATAATAAAGCATAAGAAACACTTGTCACTGTCAATGGAAATACAGTGAAAGCAAAAAAATAAAAATTCAGCAAACTATCTCAGAAACGACTTTAACTATCATGACATAGAGTCCAGCTAAAACTATATTTAACTGGATTCCTGAATTCGTGTCAAATTGTGTAAAAAATCATTCATAATCAATGTCTTTCATAATTACCACTTCTCTTGAATTTATAATTTTTGATGATCATTCAAATGCCTGAGGTTAATTTATTGTCTACTTTTGTTTGATTTACATGTGGAATATATCTTCTGAGCCCTTATACATTGGGAATGTCTTTCTATTGCTCAGAAACGTAAAAGACACCTTGGGGAAATGCACAATTTAGCATTTCAAATTTCTTCCCTCAAAATTCTCCATTTTAATGTCATTTCATTATGACATTTAGTACTAAAGAGAAGTCTGAGGCTAGTCTTTTCTAAAAAAATCATTCTTTTGGAAGCAACTTAGTAAACTTTTCACCAAAAGAGAAAGTACCAGATGTTTTTCTGATTAAAAAAAATTGTAAAGCTGTATTTGTAAGGCAGATGATAATCAAATTGCTTAAAACCAGTTATAAAGAGGAAGTCTTAAAAGCACGGAAAAAAACATTATGTGCAGGGAAACAAAGGTAAGAATGCAAACAGTTTTCTTATCAAAAACAATGCAAGACTTGTAGAATTGATTCTGCATAAATGAGAGGAAAATGTTAAATCTGTATGCTGATTTTTTTTAAAGTTTGTATATTCCCCTCTCTTAACACTGGTTATTGCTGCTAAGTGTTCTAATGTTTATGTCAGATACCCTAAAACCATCAAACATTCTACAAGTTCTTTTCCTCTATATGTATTATTTACCCACTTATTCTTTTTATTGGTCTCTCTTTATTCTCTCTGATCTTGGAGAGCTTCTGCAAGTGATCCTCCATCACTGATTTAATTCTTTGATGGTATCAGCTCTACCCTTCACTACACACTTAACACTTCTCATTACTACTTCTATCATTATGTTACCTTTCCATCTCAACCTCTGTCTTCCTAATGACTTTCTGCTTCTATTTCATAGAGGCCAGAACTTCATAGTGCTATAAAAGATGGTAGGAGTCTAATAATTTTTCCTGTTTCCTGCTATGGATAATTTTAAAAGATTGTTCTTACTCTACCATTTTAGGATCTATCCCATCTTCATTTTAGAAGACTTTTGAGAGTTCCTCCATTTACATTGTCTACTCCTACTAACAAAATAAGAATTTTCCACACCTAAAATTTTTTAAAAGTCAGAATATATACATTTCACTTAGCCCAACTTTCTGTTTACTTGGATGCCAATTAAATCTCCTTCCAAGACATAGGATCGCTTGCTGTATAAGTTTTCTAATTATTAGTATCAGAACTAGCAGGATTTAATTCAATGTAGGTCTGTTGGAGTTAAAATATAATTCTTACTCATCCCCATTGTCTGATATTGTGAAAATATGTTATATATGGAAATCTAAAATCTCCAGAAGGTAATGCTACCAGAATTCTTCATACCTTTATTGGGCATACTAACCTTCTAGATATCAGTCTCCTCAAAATTGTTTTGGTTTTCAGGTGTGGTTTTAGATATTAAAATAGGTACAAAATCTGCATGGATAAAATATTATTGGTTAATGATTGAATATGGCAGGGCAATGCTATTCAAGCTGCCATAAATAGTAAAATCTTTACAATAGAAAGAACTCCACCCAGTTTCCTGGCTAATATTAGAGTTCTAATTATTTTATGGGAATTTTACTGAAGTCACTCATATCTGCCCAAATCAAAAAAAAGTTTAATTTTACAAGGAAAAGAAACAATTATAACATCAAGTAACAGAAAAAAATTAGAAAAGCTTTCCAATACTGCCTTAAATTTTTCTTCATGATAATATATATAATAGAACTGTTTTCAATCAAGATGGAAAGAAGACTGATTTCTGATAAAGAGAAAATAAACAAAAGAAGACCTATCGCTGTCCCACTCTAGTGCCTAGGCAGAGTTTCCAGGCCACAGTGCAGGGAAAGGAAGCTCAGGCAGAACCCAGTGGTCTTCCTGAGTTGAACTGAGTTAGGATTCCAAGGAGGCCAAGGTAGCTAGAGTTCACAGGGCAGAGTGCCAGAGCGTACAGTCCTATACACAAAGCAAGCCCCTGAAATATGCAGAGGATACCTCTTGAGCCTTCAGCAGAGTGTTAATCTTTGCATGTGTGTGAGGAAACTACACAAAGCCAAGGATAAAATGCCAAAAGGATTACAGGTAATATTCCCCAGAACTGACACATAACCAGGAATAGTTTGTGTTCCTACTAGCTAGACTGAAAAAAATCTCAGAATTCACAGGTCATTAGGTAGAGTACTCAGAAAGGTATTGCCTTAGTAATAAAGGATAATTGGCCCTAGACTACAGGCTTCTATGATCTCACCTAACAAAGCTCAAAAGCAAGACTCTAATAGATAAAACAGTTTCCAAGTAACTTAACTGCATCCCAGAATAAAGTTCAAGAATACTTATAGGAATATAAAAATAATCAAGATAAAATGTATAATGTCTGTCAGCCAAGTAAGAATTACCAAATATGCAAAGGAGGAAAATATGATGTGGGATGAAGAGAAAGAAATCAATCAATAGAAACAGATCAAAAATGACACAGATGCTATGATTTGTACATAAGGACATTAATACACACCATAATTCATATATTCAAGAAAATAAAGAAAAGATTGAGCATTTTAGGCAGAGACATGAAAGAAGAAGATCCAAATTGAATTTTCAAGATAAAACTTTAACATCTGAGATTAAAAATGCACTGAACAAAATTAATAGCAGATTAGGTTTTGAAGAATAAAGATTAGTGAATATGAAAACATAGCACTAGAGACTATCTGCAACGTAAACAAAGACTGAAAAAGAAGAAGTAATACAACATTAACAAACTGTGGGACAACTTCAAGTAGACTAGTATATATGAAATTGAAGTATCCAAAGGAGAAGTGAGGGAAAAGAAAAAACTGTTTGAAGAAATAGTGGCCTAAAATATTCCAAATTCGAGGAACACTGCAAATTATTGATCCAAAACGTTCAACAAACTTCAAGCACAAGAAATATCAAGACACCAAGGCAGATGATATTCGAATTGCTTAAAACCAGTTATAAAGAGGAAGTCTTAAAAGCAGAGAAAAAAACACTATGTGCAGGGAAACAAAGGTAAGAATGAAAACAGTTTTCTTATCAAAAACAATGCAAGTGATAAAACGTATTTAAAATACTGAAAGAAAGAAAACTCACAACCTGGTGTTCTATACCCAGCCAAATTATCTTTCAAAATGAAGCAAGTCCTTCAGAATGAAGGAAAAGCGATACTAAATGGAGAAATGGGTCTACACAAGGAAACGAAGAACACAGAAAATAGTAAACATACAGACATATATAAAGGCTCATCTAAAAACAGATTTTTCAATCTTCTGCTAGTAAGACCTCTCTCCCTGAAATGTTGCAAAGGACCAAACAGAACTTAAGGTTCTCTGCAATCCATCTTAATGGGAGTGGACAAAAAGAGGTCTGTCTGGAGTCATGCACTGGGAGTCTGATAACTGTTTCTCTCATCTGAGATGACCTACTGTGGTACAGCAACCAGGTCTCTCTGAACTCCCTTAACAAGTGGCGAGCCTGAGGCTTTCTCTCCTTCTCTAGTCAAAGAGAATATACCTAAAGTCAAATTTTCATGTTACTGGTGGCTTTTTCCTCCCTGGAGAAAGAACTTCAGTCTCCTACAGACCTCACATACTATCTAAGTACTGGGGTTCAAGATTACCCAGACAATTTATATAGAAAGCTGTCTTCTAAATTCAGATTGCCTGCTGACCCAGTAGTCTATTGCATGCCCGCTGACAATTGTTGTTCTCACATTTACCCAATAGAAGAAAGAATCACAGGAGAATGGAGACCCTCCACGCTAATACAAATATATTCCACTTCTATTAGACCACCCAGGCCATGGCATTAACTCCATGACATGAAGAAAATGCAGGTACTGTATGCTTCTTTCCTTCCTATTGGCTCTTAATTTGTAGACTTTCCCCAGTAAATCCTATTCCATAAATCTTAGTCCATATTCTGTGGATTGTGGAAGACTTCCCAAGCCCTGCTGCCTGACAGGTGGTGGTGACCTGGAAGGGCTACACTTGCACCACACTTTGTCTTTTATATTCAAGATGACGACATCAATTACTATGTATTTCAGGTCACCTGGTGCACAGAGAAGAGAAACTCTTATGTTTTCTAACAGATTTCAAAGTGCCAAGGAGGCAAAGTTTGCATGACATAATGCAACAAATTTTGTTTCCTAACATTTCCATTATTACATATTATAGAAATCATCTTATAAGATGATTTCCTACACATGACTGAGAAGCATAGCCATTCCCAGAATAAAGCACAGTCATAATATGAACAAGAGAAACAGTGGGCAAGCTTGCCAAGTCATTGTTTGGATGGGCCACTCATAGGGTTCTCAATTCAATTTCATATACCTTAGAGTCAGTGGAAATTCCTTTCAGATTCTGAAATCACGCTGATACTCAAACTTATCTTAAGATGTTATAAGGTTTTTTCTTTTTTCTATTTTTAAAGTATTTTTGTGAGAATATAGTACAGACTATATCAGCCAAACTTAAGCTATGTTATTTTAAATGAGAGGTCTCTGAAGTCACATTGTGTGTGAGCGTCTTGATTCTCTTCCCTTATGTTGAGTTCTTTCCCAGGTATTTTAATGATCCCTCATGTAAATATGTTCTCAATGGTTCTGTCTCACTAGTTCTTCAGAAACATAGAGTTATACAGATCCAAGGCTATACCCTACTATACCCATAACATAACTTTGACAACTGAAAAAGGCCAATGGGCTGTTACTCCCACATTTCTGCTGCTGGGTGTAAACTATTAAGTTCCACTCATTCTCTAAGTGATAATGATTTGGTCCCTGCAGTCAGAGGTCACAGGACTGTCACCCAGTGGTATCTTACCATAAATAAATCCAAACATTGATATTAATTAAAGTTGCAATATTATTTTGTGGCAGGATGCTATGGGAGGAATCAGTTTCTGATACCACCTGAAGAGAATAATAAATAAATGGTTCTTTTTAAATATATGTCAGATAATGTCATACTTCTGCACAAAACCAGCCATTTCCCAATTCACTCAGAGACAGACTACAATGACCTATATGATCTCCTGCCTCTGTCCTTATCCCTACCTCACTCAGTGTACCAGCTGCTATGTTCACAGTGAAATGCAGGTCACCGCTTTTATTGTCTTTGCATTACCTATTCCTTAAATTTTGAACTTTCTTGTCCAAAATATTTTGTGTTGCATTTTCTCTGTTCCATCAGGTCTCCATTGGTATATCATCCTATCAGTTCAGCCTTCCCTAACCCCCAATATTAAGTATCATCCTCTGACCTCGTTTACTCCCGTTTTTGTTCTTTGCATAGCATTCATCAGAATTTAATATGTGATGCATACACATGCTTGTTTATACTTACTCTCTCCCTTCCATGATGTAAGCTTATGAGAACAAGAATTTGTTCCCTTTTGTTCACTGCTACGTTTTAAATACTAAAAAGGAAACTAACACAAAATAAGCACTCAATAGCTATTTTCAAGTGAATGAATGCCATGCAAATGTCATGCCGTCACCTTTAAGAGAACTGCTTTCCAGGTTCTATCAGCACCAGGTGAACAATAGAGTGAAACTACATGTCGATGGAATTCTGGGCCACAGTTTGGAGAGACAGTGCTAGCTTTTAAAAGTTCTGGTATCTTCTGTTCAGTGGGGAAAAAAAAGGAAATAAGAGAAAAATATTTTCAAGTAAGTAATTGCACACCAGATGTTAGGGTACATTGATTTGCTCCAGTAAGGGGATCACATTTGAAACAGAAGTTTCATTTCAGGTAACCACCTGTCATTTTCCTGAAGTCATCTATCTTCAGCACCAGTCATATTGGAGAGATAAATGAGAAAGGGGTAGGAATCAATTCCCCCGAATCTTTCAAATATTGTATTGTGGCACTAATCTCCAATGACTCCCTAGTGATTCAGCATTGTTTGGGTCAAAAATCTATTTTCTCCCCTTCAGAACTTTATTGTATGCATTCTGTATTTTCCTAACTTCTTAATGTTATTTTTAAAAATGTTTTTAAATGATACATAAAAATTGTATACATTTATGATATACATATTTTGAAACATGTATATATTGAATAACGGATAAATACAGCTAATTAAAATATGCATTATTTCATACACTTATCATTTTTCTGGTGTGAACACCTAAGATCTACTCTCCTAGCAATTTTCAAGTATTCAATTCATTGTTATTAACCACAGTTGCCATGTTGTACAATATATATCTTGACCTTATTTCTCCTCTCTAACTAAATGTTTTATCCTTTGCTAACATCTTCCCAAGTTCCCCCTACCTGGTTTGAGTTCTGTTTATCAGCTGACTCTCCATAAGCCCATACTATGACTGGTAATCTGCAGTAGCATTGTAAATTAGTGTCTATTCACAGGCAGTGCCAAAAAATCATATAAATGATACAACTGTGATGGCAAGTAGAAATAGAATAATTTGGAGAATCCTAGGATGAAGGTTCACAGCATATACTTGTTTTTTCTCAAAGGTAATTTGAACTCTCTTCATTCATAGATGCTGAGTCATTGGATCGATCCCTTTGGTAATTAGGAAAAAGGCTATGGATTCTCTAATAGTGTAATTTATTGGGCCTCAAGTAGAATCTTAGTGGACTCAACAGCTATTTTATCCCCCTCTACCTAATACAAAATGCAAGTAAGCCTGGCCTCTGCCTCTCCAGGATTCAACCATCCCCACTGCAACCAAGGAACCAGTTATACCTGTAGCATTTAATAGTATGCTGATCTACAGAGAACAATCTCCAAAGCCCCTTTCCAATGGCAAATGTAATGGCATTTTTCTCCCCCCCAAAAAAATCTATTTTTCATAATTTTGGCAAATAAAGTCTGTCCTGCCCCAGCTGGGTCATATTAGATAAAATTACCCCAATTTCTTAAGCCTTCTGAAATTCTTTAGCTTCTTCTTCTCTATTATTACCAAGGAATTTCTGACATCTCTTTTATTAAATATGGGCCACTGTTAAATATAGGTTCCAATCAGCTAACTAAGTAAACAATTAAAAGTATTTTCAGAGTGAAAATGAGGCAAGTTGCCCTAGTAAGGAATCTCCCACAGGTTAAAGACTTATGACATCTTTAGGCAAAGAGAGAACAACTTTTCCAGATAGGGGAAGTGGGTCTGCATTGGTTGCCATGAGAAGTTCAGTGGAGTTGGCAGTTTCAGCTTCACCAGGGGCTTCACATCTTCCTAGATATTGCCAGACCAATTCTGAGTTTCCGTTTTCATATAAGAGCCATTATGAACCAAAATTTTGACTGCATTCTAATTTAGTAACTAATTAGATCAAACTATTCATTTGGTTCTTGACTGACTCAGCCCTATGGCTTCAAACAGTTGTTGAATCTTTGGCAAAGTCATAAAACATCTATGCCTTGCTGAAAATCTAGAAACTTACCCTTGGTTATTCTCCTCTGATCTGCCCAATATTATTAGAAAAAGCCACCCTGCTACATGACTTTAAATTCCACATACCTCTACTATTTTTCTAAGGTAGCAAACACTGGATTTACCCAAATTTTGCCTTCAAAGGGTACTTTATTATAAATTGACCACAGATTAAAATTTTAAATAAGTGTTTTCTTATTGAATACAATAAATTTCAGGATTTTTTTCCAGAATCCTAAAGAGATTTCCACTGTCTTCAGTCCGATCCCATCCATTTCTATTCCTAGTAACAATTTCTGCATTCTTCATTGCAACCAACAGAAACCTAATCTAGTTTACTTAAACAGAAGAGAGATTTTCTGGAAGGACATTTAATTACTTATGTATTTCTATGTAACAGATTATCCAATGCTTAACAATGGAAAACGACGAGCAGTTATAGTATGTCACAGTTTCTGTGGTTAATGACATCAGTTTCTGTGGGTAATGGCTCAGCTGGGTGTTTCTGACAAAAGGTCTCTCACAAGACTCCTAGCAGGTCTAGCCAGCCTACTGGCTCAACTGAAGGAGGATCTGTTTCCAAGCTCACTCACATGAGTTAACAAACCTCAGGTCCATGCTGCTCGTTGTCCAGACATGGACTGGCAACCAGGTAGTTCCTTGCCATGCAGGTCTCTTTGTAAGGTCGTTTCCAAATTGTCATTTGGCTTTCCTTAGAGTAGGCAAGAGAATGCGTACACCGATGACAGAAGTCACAGTCTCTTTGTAGCCTAATCTCAAGAGTAACATCCCATCACTTTTGCCATATCCTATTAGTTAGAAGTTAGCCATTAGGTCCAGCCCACTCTCAAAGAGAGAAGATTACTCGAGGGCACAAGAATCAGTGGGGAGGGATCACTGGGGGCTATGTTAGAGCCTGCCTGCCACAGATCTCCAGTACCTTACATAATTGACAAGGGGGCTAGAGAAGCCTCTCAGAAAGCCCCAGGATCCAAGAGAGGATAAAAGCTAATAACACAGCCAGGTCATGTCCCAGAGATGATGTGGCTGCAATGCTATCACAGGACACTTCCTGTTGTTCTCACTAGCACTACTGCACGCCTGGACTTTACTCCATAGTTCCCACTAACTTGAAAATCTTTTAATTAATTATAAGATTCAGTGTCCTGGGCTTGAACATCCATTTGCTTGAGGCTCACTTACCTGAGCCCTAGCTGCTAGGGCATTGAGACAGGAATGCCTACCTCCTTTGTCTCTTTGTGGGAAGTGGAGCCTCCCTGAGATTCCCCCCAAAACAGGAAGGTTCCAGATTCTAGATGACTAGAAATAAACAATCAGATAGAGACTTAGCTAAATTTATAGATAGATAAAATATCCCTGATACATGTTAAATATATACAAAGTTTCCTAAATTGTTGCCTTTTTGCACATAAAAACAAGTAAAGATTACTATTTTGATCAAAGTTTCAAAATGTTTATGTTTTCATAACACATCTATCTTCAGTGAAACTCATTTCATTCTTCTGTTTCTAAAAAATTTAAAATATACACAAGGATTGTTTAATCTGGCTTCATAATATATTCAAACAATGTCAGACATGTGGCCAAAATGTCTGCCTGCAAGCAAGGTGTGATTCTAATGCCATAAATTAAAGTAGGAATTTGTACATCCCCCACATCAATATATATGTTTAACACATTGCCTAGAGTCTGACTGATTTATGAATTATTATCACTCATGCTATTTAAAGCTGAGATTCCTATAAATAGATCTATTGCTTTAGGAGAGATGATATTGGTTCATCCGCACCCAAGTGAAAGTGACTTCTCACCTCATTTTCTTTGATTAGAAAAAAATTAAAGAGGCCATAAGAACTCTAAGAAATTAAAGAAGGTGAGAAAGAGAAAGCATAATGGGTAACATGAGATGCTAAGCTCACTTCATAATTTTTCATGTGCAATTCTAAACCAGACCATGTTCAGGGAATAAAAAGAGACAATGAATTTATAAAATCTACTTTCATTTTTATCATTGAAAATAGGTATGCCAGCTATTATTTACCTTAACTGACAAAACATATATCTGTCTATGAACCAGGCTGGGCTAAATAAGTGACTTTGAAATCACTTATTCAACAATATTCAACAAATATTTGCTGGATGTATATTATGCAGTAGTAACTGTCCAGCCACTGGAGATAAAGTAGTTAACAAGACTAGTTCTTTTTTTTTTTTTTTTTTTTTTTTAGATGGAGTTTTGCTCTTGTTGCCCAGGCTGGAGTGCAGTGACAGGATCTTGGTTCATTGCAACCTCCGCCTCCCAGGTTCAACAGATTCTTCTGCCTCAGCCTCCCAAATAGCTGGGATTACAAGCACCTGCCACCACGCCCAGCTAATTTTTTGTATTTTTAGTAGAGATGGGGTTTCACCATGTTTGGTCAGGCTGGTCTTGAACTCCTGACCTCAGGTGATCTACCCACCTTGGCCTCCCAAAGTGCTGGGATTACAGGCGTGAGCCACCGTGCCCAACCAAAACAAGTCTAGTTCTTGATCTTATGAAACTTACCTGTAAAAATAGATAATAAGTTACACAGATAGAAGAAAGAAACAGAGAGGAAGGAAGGAAGGAAGGAAGGAAGGAAGGAAGGAAGGAAGGAAGGAAGGAAGGGGAAAAGGAAAAAGAAAAAGAAAAGGAAAAGGGGAAGGGGAAGGGGAGGGGAGGGGAGGGGAGGGGAGGAAGAGCTAAAGGAAATAATAAGGTGCTGTGATAAGGAATAACAGAGATAGCTAATTTACTTGTTCAAAAAAATTCCCAACAAAGAGATGACATTTAAATTCACACTGAAATATGAGGTTTCTTTCATTGTTGTATTTGTATTGATACTGTTTAAAGGAACTGTGTCTTAGTCAGTTTGAGCTCCTATAACAGTATGTCATGACCAGGTGGCTTAAACAATAGAAATTTATTTCTTACAGTTCTGGAGGCTAGAAGTTCAGAATCAACGTGCTGGCCCATCCAGTTTCTGGGGAGGGACCACCTCCTGGTCTACAGATGGGCATCTTCTTGTTGTATTCTCCTTTGGTAGAGAACAGAGAGAGGAAGCAAGCTCTCTTGTATTGCTTTATCAGGGCACTAAGCCCATTCATGAGGGCTCTCCTCTCATGATCTAATTACCTCCCAAAAGCCCCACCTCTTAGTACCACCACGTTATGCGTTAGAATTTCAACATATGAATTTGAGAAGGGATACAAGCATTCAGTCTATAGCAAACTGAAATCACTCTGGGGGTCACAGCAAGGTACAAAATTGAGAAGCAAGCTAAAAAGAACAGAGAAGTGCTTAATATTAAAAGGCATCGCACTTTACCTAAGTTCCTGTTTCCTAGCACTCATTTCAAGGTGAAATGCTCATTACCTACGTTAAATCTAACATACATGAATCATGCCAAAGTTTAAGTCATTCACATGTGATTCTTCTGTGTAACTACAGAGCAATATTATCATCATTAATAATTTGTATTTTGCTTTCCTTCAATGACTTCAAAATCTATAATTAGAAGAGAATTATTTAGATCCATACCTATTTAGTTTAATAATTGCTATTAAAAAACTAATGAAAGGACATGTTATTTCTGGAGAGTTTTTTTTATTTATTGTTACGATTGCTTTTTAGAGACAGGGTCTTACTCTGTCACAGAGGCTGGCGTACAGTGGCACCATCATGGCTCACTGCAGCCTCAAATTCCTGGCCTTAAGTGATCCTTCCACCTCAGCCTCCCAAGTAGCTAGAATGAGAGGCATGTGCCACCACACTCAGCTAATTTTTTTTTCATAGTAATAGGGGTCTCACTATGTTGTCCAGGCTGGTTTCAAACTCCTGGCTTTCAGCAATCGACCCACTTCTGCCTCCCAAAGCACTAGGATCACAGACATGAGCCACTGCGCCCAGCCTGGACAGATAAATTTAAAGGTATTACTTGCTTCTTTCTTAAATTATCTTTCTAAAAACAGAAGACGCAAATTTTATAAAACTTTAACTATCACATCCTTCAAAAATGAATTTTGAAATATGTCAAAAAAAAGTAAAGATTGTGTTTAACCTTTGTCTACAAACTTTCATGTGGAGTTGAAGTTAAGAATGTGCGCCCTCCACATTACAGTGCACATAGCATTCCAGAAACGACTTAGGATAATCAAATGGATTGCATGTGTATTAAACATCTTTTGATTCCTTTTAATCAGCTTTGCACAAAAGAACCAATTTTGGCATGTGAAGAAAGCAAAGGAGTGCATTTTCTGAATGTTAATGCATGTAATAGAGGGAAAGTCACATTTGTTATAACTCTCCCATAAAGTGGAGCTGTAATCTCACCATGCATCTGTTCCATATGCCATCAATTAGTTTGATGAAAACAGGCTAACAGTGCAGGAGTGATTAGCAGCAAAGATTAAATTCACTTCATTTTTAATTACAAATCTTTGTCCTTAAAGTGATCCAAGCTTGTCGAACCCCTACTGTTCTGTTTCTCCTCCACAGTTGATGTGCTTTTTATTCTTCATTTTGAAATTATTAATGCATTTTATTTGGTACTTATTTCTAATTACAGGCTTTACCCACAAATGTTACTGATATGCCTAAGCAGAACTAAGGCTGTTCAAATCTTACTAATTCAAGTTCAAATGATCTTTAGTAGCAAATGTGGCATCTGTTAGATGTAGAGAGCTCTGAGGTTGACGTATTTGTCACTCAACTTACTGGTTTTATCCATTGACCGATTCATTTATCTATTCATTCAGCAAATACTAATTTCATGTCTATTATGTCCCAGGAACTGATATAGGTGCTTAGTATATCAAAATAGACAAAAATCCTTTACCTCACCAAACCTATATTACAGTGGCTGGAAATAAACCAATTGTTAGGGGCTGAATCGTGTCACCCAAAATTTATATGTTGAAGTCCCAATCCCCAGTATGTCAGAATGTAACAGCATTTGAAGATAAGGTATTTAAAGAGGTATTTAAGTTACAATGAGGTCTGTAGGGTAGGCCCTAGTCCAATATGACTCGGGTCCTTATAAGAACAGGAAATTTGGACACAGACACACACACACTGAGACTGAGGAAAGACCGTGGAAGATGAAGGGAGAAGGCAGCCATATTCGAGTCAAAGAGTTAAAGCCTCAGAATCAAATCAACGTGCCTACACTTTGATCGCAGCCTTCTAGCTCCCCGATCTGTGAGAAACTAAATTTCTGTTGTTAAAGACATCCAGTCTGGGGGTATTTTGTTACGGCAGCCCTAGCAATCTAATATGCCAATTAACGCAACAAAAATAACTAAAAATAAAAAAATAAATTATGTCATATCTTGAAAATTAAGAATGCTATGAAATATGTATTGAAACCGAACGAAGAAGTAGAGGGACATAGATTTACTTCCATCTCTGAGAAAATTATTGTAAAATATGGATACCTGCCATTTCTATAAAAATAAGATGATAGCCAGAGGGGCTTTGGAAGAAAAAGAAATATTTTCATAAAGACTCTACCACATCAATTATTTTCCTCTATCATTCTATTTTTCTTAATAATCATAGAGCAAAATATGACAATGTATGCATATGTTTTATACCACTAACATTGTTTAATGTGTTTAATATATAAGGTTAAGCTAGCCAAGTGACCAGTAGTGACACAGACTGTCTGATATTTTAGCATTTTATTTGATAATTTTTTAGAAGAAACATAAATGTCTACTTTTAAATCTTTGGTTTTTTTAAATTTATTGCTAGGTGTTTTGAATCTAAAACTCAGTACTTCTGAACCTGATTAGCAGAATCAAGAACAACACAGCTCCTTAAAAACTGAGAATCACTTTTTTCTGTAACTATTGAAACATAAATTATTTTGTTCTTTTGGTTCTGGAAGGTATCACTTTGGTGTGCAGGCTAGGTCAAGCAGGTATAAGTCCCAAGATATAGTCACAGTTCTTGTGATTGCTCGACATTAATTAAGTAATGTAAATGCAAATAGTTCTGGCTTGTATTCTATTTAATAATATAAAATTCTCTGGGTCGATGAGTGGTGGGAGTGCAGAAGGTATATTTCTGATAAGAGAATGCAACTCCACCATCCTCTATGGATTAGCCAAATAAACTCCCATGGCATTACAGTTCTGCGTGGACTTTTCTAGGAGGATGATACTCAATACAACAGGACTTCTAAAGACTGGCGAAATGCTTCATGATATCATCAAAGAATGAGGTAAGGATTGATTCAGTGGATTTGGCCACTACTCTTTACCCTCCTTCCCACTATGTCAGGTACACCCTGCCAGTTCCAGAAAAGTGCCATCCATAGACTTCCCATCTTCAGAACTTCCTCTTTTCAGTCAGGCAGGAAAGCAAAGAAGCAAAATGCTCCCACTTGAGAACATCCTTGGATTTGCTCACGAATCAGGCAGAAATTTCATTATACCCATTTTTTATGTTTTCATATGTATATGATCCTAAATAAACCAGTTTAGAATTTTTATTTCATCTGAATTTCTAGGTCAAAGTTCAGGACTTGCGCCCTGCCCTACCTTTTCTCCATCACTGTTATGCCCACGGGTCTATCTATACCAGGATATAACATTCAAAATCAAAGAAAGAATAGGATACCAGTAGTGTATAGGCAAACAAGTGAGACCTCGTCTTTATTATCATGGTTAGAAGGATTTCCAAAATATATTCTAAACATTTAGGTTTTGAATCTCCTCGTTAGCAACTAAGTTAATTAAAAAAGAAATGGGGAGCATTTTTTTGTCCTTGCAGCAAAAAATTTTTAAAAAAGAAAAAGAAATGAGGAGTTTTAGTTGGAGATGCAGGAAATAAAAAACACTCATGTCAGAATCTCTGGCCAATAATTTCAACACAGTAAACAAATACATTGTAAAAACAGTGTAAGTCAACCAAAGTTATTCTCATAGGGGGACTGTCTCTTGCCTTCTCTTTTACCATAACTAATCACTAGTTTTGCATGCTTTGAGAATCAGATACTCTGTGCCGTTTCATCTCCTTTCCAAGAAGCGTTTATATTCCATAGCAATTCTTTCCAGGAAAGCCATATGTATACTGTTTTATTGATCCTCACATTTTCTGTATGAGAAAGAGAGGTGGAATGTAAAAATATTTACATTTTGTAGATCAAAAATATTAAGGTCATATACAGGGTAAAGGGTAAATACTGCTATAAAACCTGCCTATGACTTTCCTACCAATGTAATTGGTTAAGGGGAGAAAACAAATTAAAGCATTTGTGCCAAAGATAATCCAGGGGACAAACTCAGAACAGTATGAGGCACCGTGCCTGCCCCAGCCAGGCTCCTCTTTACCAACAAGAGTGGACCCAGATGCACAGCCAACAACTCCACACATTTGACACTCAGTTGCCCTTCATTCCTGATTGGGTTCGCGACATCCTTTTTGTTACCCAAGCTCAGCACTGGTCCCTGGCCCACGCTTTTCCCACCCCTGCCTGCTACCATCTCTGCAGGGTGGCCTCATCCTGTATGACTACCAGCTGGAACTGGCTCCCGTAAATAACATCCCTCTCAGTCTGGCTCATACCACAACCAACTGGCCACCCAGTTTTTCACAGCAGCTAAGCCCCCACACCACCTCCCCTTGAGAGCAGCTCCAGCTGGGGAATCTCTTTGTAGTGAGCCAGTCCCCACCCCCTTATCCCCAGCTAGTGTCAGCCAGTTGCTACAGCTAAGCAATCAGACCCACCTGTATCCTGACATAGGCCAAACCCAAGGACACTAGTGAAGTAGGTGGGTTATCTCTCCTTTAAGTGTTCTTAGACAGACACTCCAGTGCTGGCCATGACCCATTCTTGCTCTCATATAACTATGAGATCATTCCTATGAAATCTTTCATTAGGCATTTAGGCAACAGCCGTTACCAGCTTAACATGTGCCTGCCTTTCTCCTTCCCAAAACTTGCCCTTTCATGCTTATCTCTTAAGAGGAGTGGAGAAAGCATTAAAGTTGGAATCAAGAGATTGGGTTCCAAAGGAACTTGAGCAAGTAACCTCTAAGTGTCTCTGTTTATTGTGAAGACTAAACAAGATAATGCTCATTGGAGTTTAGAACAATACACAACATCTAGGAGTTTCTCTGTATGAGTTAACTGCATGTTGAATTGAGTTTAGAAAAGCATTCCCATGACAAAAGAATAAAGGAATAAGAGTGAAATAATGGGCATGAAGGATTTCTTGGAAAAGTCAACCAATCTAACTACTCAAAAGTAACTAGACACTTGTGGCTGGGGGAATGGAAAATTAGACTCCCTAATGCCTATTTTTCTCCTTAAAACCTTCCTATTGATTAATTTCGAGATACCCAAATCTCAAAGAGGAAATGTAGCAGACCAAAAAAATAGCCCCTCAAAGATATTTACATCAAATGCCTGGAGCCTGTGAATGTTATCTTATTTGAAAACTTGTCCCATTTGCAGATGTAATTAAATCAAGAATCTCAAGATGAAATCATTCTGGATTATCCAAGTGTGTCCTATATCCAAAGAAAAATATTCTTATATGAGAAAGACAAGAAAATATGAGACAGAAGAGGAGGCAATGTGGCCATGGAGGCAGATACTGGAGTGATGCAACCACAGGCCAAGGAAAGCCTGTAGCTAGCAGAAGCCGAAAGATTCAAGGGAGGAAATCTTTCCCGGACCCTTTGAAGAAAGCACAACCCAGCTGACACCATGATTTTAGATTCTAGCCTGTAAAAATGTGAGTGAATAAGTGTCTGCTGTTTAACACCCTCAAGTTTGTGATGATTTGTTACAGCAGTCCCAGGAAAATAATACAGTGATCCTGAGAGAAGCAAGCTCTCTGGTATCACTTCTTATAATAGCACTAATTTCCTGGGGCATTGGTGGCGGGGGCTTCACCCTCATGACCTCCCCTAAACCTAATTGCCTCCCAAAGGCCTCACCTCTAAGTAACATCATGTTAGGAGTTACCTTTTCAACATATGAATTTAAGGTGGAGAGGACACAAATATTCAGATAATAACACTCTTGCAGTGATGTTTTAGGAACACAAATTCCTTTGTGGGGAATGACTTGGGTTCTCTTTTCCTCCAATATCATACATTCTCCTACCCTTTTTCCACTCATGAAGGGCTGTTTTTATGTTCTCCACTATGAGGTGGTAGGAAAAACACAGACTTACTATACAACATCTAAACATTTTTAATTATCACTGTGGTTATTAATACTGTCACTCTGAAATCTACATATTTACTCACTCAGCTAAGCTATATAAAATATATATTAAGATACTTTTAGTTGATATCGCTGATGATCAAAGTGAAGAAATATGTAGATGATTTATTAACATACAATCCAGAATCTGAAGTCCTTTGAGCTAAGGTGAACTAGTCTACTTCACTCCAGTGGGGAAAGAAGAACAAGCCCCATGTTACCTTTTCTCAGTCTGGAAGGAAACTGTTTGCTGGACAAGGTAGACTAGAGTTGGAATCAGAAAATACATAATCAGGAGTATGGGGGCAGTAAAGCTCAAATTACGATGCATATGTCTGGGTTACTGAAACCAGGATGAGAGCTCTCTTGATTGTCACTTAGCCTCAAGAATTACACACGCTTATTTTCCCTTTACTACCCTGGCTGCTGCTTCTTGGTCTCATTTACTGGAACTTCCTCCTGTGGCTGACTTCTACATTTCAGAGTATCTCTGGGTTCAGAACTCTTCCCTAAGTAGTCAGACCTAACCAATGTCATCCAAGGCCATGGTATTAACAGGCTCTTTTATGCTGACAACTTCCAAATATATATCTCTAGCCAATCACTTAATATTCAACTAGGGGTCTATAGTGGAGAAGTCAGTATTTCAAAACGGACAGATCCAAACAGTTCTCTATAATTCTCCATCCTAATGCAAAAAGAAAGAGAAAGCAAGCTCTCTGGTGTCTCATCATATAAATATAGAGAGAAGGGGGTCTTGCTATCTTGCCAGGCTGGTCTTGAACTCTTGGACTCAAGTGATCCTCCCATCTCAGCCTCCCAAAATGCTGGGATTACAGGTATGTGCCACCATGCCCAGCCATCTTATCTTATAAAGACATGATTCTTTCAGATCAGGGCCTTACCCTTATGACCTTATTTAAACATTAATTATTTCCTTAGAGGCCCCATCTCCAAATATAGCTAGGGGTTAGGACCTCAACATCTATATTTTGTAGAGACCCAAACATTCAGTCTATAACAAATGCAGTAAAATGAGGCAACTGAAACTGAAGAGGAAACCAGTGTTTTCTATGCGAAGAAGAACTGAAGGGTTTAAAGAATAAAAGGTGTAAATTTATTTTGAGAGATTAAATTGTTTTCATCTCTCAAAATTAGGCCAAAAGAAAAAGGAGGAATTCAGCCTTACCACATATTACTTGGTGTAAATGATGGATAGCAATTAAATATAGTGGTTCAAATAGACTATGCTTAATATATGAAGGTACCACTGCAATTTGAAATGACTTCAAAACAAATAATTTGACATGTGCTTGCAGCTTTCAGTCATTTTACAGGTATCTTTTTACCTCCTCAATTTCCTTGACTTAGACTACAATTTTTCATATTAATTTAATTAAACTGATGCAGATTGATGCCCTAGATGGCCAGCAACCCACAGTTTTCTCTTAAATTCTCTGTGAAACTTCAAATGAGTAATTGTCTGAGCCAACTAAACAATTTCAAAACTGGTTCTTCGGGGAAAATAGAAAATTTGGGCAAAACCAAAAAGTACCTTTGAAGTCCATTTGCTTCATATCATGTAATTCTTTGTAATTATTCACTATCATCCTTCCCTTAAAAGGATCATTCAATGCCATCTATTTCCATATGACCTGCCAGTCCTTCCAGTAGAGAAAGAGAAGAGTCCCTGGACTCACGGAGTTTGGGCTTAGCCATGTGACATGTTTTGGTCAATAGAATGTGGGTAAATGTGACACACACCGTATCCAAGCAGAAGCTTTTAGAGTCTTATGAGCTTCTCCCTGCTCTATTGCTTTTCTTCTGATCAAGAATGGGTAGGTCCACATACGGGCTGATTCCTCAGTGTGATATGGCAGGAGACATATGGAGGACAGGCTACAGCTGCCCCATACATGTAATGTGCGTAAGAGATGAACTCTTGTTTGTAAGTCAGAGATTGTTTGTTACTAGAGAAAAATTAGTTAATACATCACTAAAATTATTTTTTAAAAAACAAAGATATTTTAAAGATGTAAAAGGAAATTTTAAAGTTTTTTTTAAATTTGTGGATATATAGTAGTTATATATAATTATGAGGTACATGAGATATTTTGATACAGGCATACAATGTATAATAATCACATCAGGGTAAATGGAGGTACTCATCATCTTAAGCATTTATCCTTTCTTTGTATTACAAACAACTGAATTATACTCTTAATTATTTTAAAATGTACAAATAAATTATTTTTAATATTATCTCTCTATTGTGCTATCAAATATTAGATCTTATTCATTCTATCTATGTTTTCAAATCCATTAACCATCCTCACTTCCTCCCCACTATCCTTAAAAGACAGATTTAAAATTTTTGTAATATTAACTTTGCATTCTCTATATAGGTCTTTCCATAGCACACAATACTAATTTCAAGTAACATCCAAGAATACCTGCTTTTATTCTTGTTTTGAACATTAGCTAGAAAGAAATAGCTTAAAATAATAGTGATAATAACTAGCATTTTTGATATCTTAATATGTAGCAAGCATGGTTAAGAACTTGAGCACAGATTATATCATTCTCACAAAAACTCTACAAATAATCATTTTTATCTTTATTGTTTACATAAGATTACTAACATGTGAAATAGCTCAGTAGATTTTTCTAAGTCATGAACTTAACAAGTGGTGTAATTAGGACTGGACAGGCAGATAATAATCAAGTCATGGAGGGTATTAGAAGGTTGCAATAATAGATCAACCAAGCAAGGTGTGTGCCTATTCGTTGACTCTTCCAGGAAATCTGAGAGTATTTGGCATAACTGCAATTCCCCGCTTTATAAACTTCAGTTTTTATTTTAGATACAAGGAGCACACGTGTAGGACTGTAGGCTGGTGCAAAAATAATTGGGGCTTTTCCCATTACTTTTAATGGCAGTTTTTCAATCCACACCCTCTCCCACACTCCCGTATTAGGCCATTCTCCTGTTACCATAAAGAAACACCTGAAACTGGGTAATTTATAAAGAAAATAGGTTTAATTGGCTCACAGTTCTGCAGGCTGTGCAGGAAACTCAGTTCCAGCATTTGCTCAGCTTATGGGGAGACCTCAGGAAGCTTTTACTCACGGCAGAAGACAAAGCAAGAGTAAGCATGTCATATGGCAAAAGCAGGAGCAAGAGAGAGTGGGGGTGAAGGTGCCACACACTTCTAAATGACCAGATTTTGTGAGAACTCACTCACTGTTGCAAAGACAGCACCAAGCCATGAGGGATTCACCCCCATGACCCAAATACCTCCCACTAGGCCCCACCTCCAGCATTGGGGATTACAATTCAACATGAGATTTGAGCAGAGACAAATATCCATACTATATAATTCCACCCTTGACCTCTCCCAAAAATCATATCCTTCTCACACTGCAAAATATAATCATACCTTCCCAATAGTCCCCCAAAGTCTTAACTCATTCAAGTATTAACCCAAAAGTTCAAAGTCCAAAGTCTCAAGTCTCATCTGAGACAAGGCAAGTACTTTCCACCCATAAGCCTGTAAAATAAAAAACAAGTTAGTTACTTCCAAGATACAGTGTGGGTACAGGCACTGCATAAACATTGCTGTTCCAAAAGGGAGAAATCAGCCAACAGAAAGGGGCCTATGTGCAAGCTTGAAACCCAGCAGGGCAGCCATTAAATCACAAAGCTCCAAGGTAATCTCCTTTGACTCCATGTCCCACATCCAGGGCACAGTGGTGCAAGGGGTAGGCTCCCAAGGCCTTGAGCAGCAATACCGCTCTGGCGTTGCAGTGTTCAGGCTCCACAGCTTCTCCCATAGGTTGTTGAGTGCCTGTGAATTTTCTAGGTGCAGGGTGCAAGCTGTGAGTAGATCTATCATTCTGGGTTCTGGAAGGTGGCAGCCCCCTTCCCACAGCTCCACTAGGGAGTGGCCCAGTGGGCACACTGTGTGGGGCCTCCAACCCCACATTTCCCCTCTGCATTGTCCTAGTAAAGATTCTCTGTGAGGGCTCTGCCTCTGCAACAAGCTTCCGCCTGAAAACCTAGGCTTTTCATACGTCCTCTGAAATCTATGAGACTGCCAAGCCTCACTCACTCTTGCAATCTGCATGCTTACAGGCTTAACACCACACAGAAGCCACCAAGGCTTATGGCTCATGCCCTCTGAAGCGTCAGCCTGAGATGTCTCTGGGGTTCTTTGAGCCAAGGCTGAAGCCAGAGTGGCTGGAAGGCAAAGGGGAAGCAAGCACATCTTCACATGGTGAAAGGAGAAAGAGCAAAGGAAGTGCTACACACTTTTAAACAACCAATGTGAAAACTCCCTCACTATCACAAGAACAGCAAGGAGAAAATCCACCCCCATGATCAACTTACCTCCCACGAGGCCCCACCTCCAACACAGAAGATCATAATTCAACATGAGATTTGAGTAGGGACACAGAGCCAAACCATATCACTCCACCCCTGCCCCCTTCCAAATCTCATGGCCTTCTCACATTTCAAAACACAATCATGCCTTTCCAACAATCCCGCAAAGTCTTAACTCATTTCAGCATTAACTCAAAAGTCCAATTGCAAAGTCTCATCTGAGACAAGACAAGTCCCTTCCAACTACGAGCCTGTAAAATCAAAAGCAAGTTAGTTACTTCCAAGATACAATGGGGATACAGACATTAAGTAAATGCTCCTCTTCCAAATGGGATAAATTGGCCAAAACAATGGGGCCGCAGGCCCCATGCAAGTCCAAAATCTGCCAGGGCACTCATTAAATCTTAAAGCTCCAAAATAATCTCCTTTGACCTCCATGACTCACATCCAAGCCACACTGATGCAAGTGGTGGGTTTCCAAGGTCTTGGGCAGCTCTGCCTCTGTGGCTCTGCAGGGTACAGATCCCTTGGCTGCTTTCATGGGCTGGCATAGAGTACCTGCAGCTTTTTGAAGTGCACAGTGCAAGCTGTCAGTGGATCTACCATCCTGGGTTCTGAAGAATGGTGGCCCTCTTTTCATAGGTCCACTAGGCAGTGTCCCAGTGAAAACTCTATGTGGGGACTACAACCTCACATTTCCCCTCTGCACTGCCCAAGTACAGGTCCTCCATGAGGGCTCTACCCCTGCAGGTAGCAGTGTCCTGAGGCTTTGTAGGGTAGCAAGGTCATGCGCCTGGGCTTGGGCCTGGTCCTGGCCCATGAAACCATTCTTTTTTTCTTCTGCCTGGACATCAAGGCATTTTCATATATCCTCTGAAATCTAGGTGGAGGCTTCCAAGCTTCAACTCTTGCCTTCTTCGCACCCACAGGACCAATACCACATGGAAGCCACCAAGGCTTGCGGCTTGCATCCTCTAAAGTAACAGCCTGAGCTCCACCTTGGCCCCTTTTAGCCATGGCCATAGCTGAAGCAGCTAGGATGCAGGGTGCCATGTCCCAGGGCTGCACAGAGCAGCAAGGCCCTGGATCTGGCCCACAAAACTATTTTTCCCTCCTAGGCCTCCAGGCCTGTTACAGGATGGGCTGCCATGAAGGTCTCTTAAATGCCCTGGAGGGATTTTCCCCATTGTCTTGGCCAATAATATTCGGCTGTTCTTTACTTATGCAAATTTCTGCAGCCTTGATTCCTCCCCAGAAAGATGGGTTTTTCTTTCCTACCATAGTCAGGCTGCAAATTTTCCAAACTTCTACGCTCTGCTTCCCTTTTAAATATGAGTTCTAGTTTCAGGTCATTCCTTTGTTTATGCAAACGAGCATATGTTTTAGAAGCAGCTGGGCCACATCATTTCTAAGCTTTGCTGCTTAGAAATTTCTTCCACAAGATACCCTAAATCATCTCTCTCAAGTTCAAAGCTCCACAGATACTTAGACCAGGGGCACAATGCTGCCAGTCTCCTTGCTAAAGCATAGCAACATGATCTTTGCTCCAGTTCCCAGTAACTTCCTTATCTCCATCTGAGTCCTTTTCAGCTGGAACTTCACTGTCCATATCACTATCATCATTTTGGTCACAACCATTCAATGAGTCTCCAGGACATTCCAAACTTTCCCTCATTTTCCTGTCTTCTTCTGAGCCCTCAAGTTGTTCAACCCTCTGCCCATTATCCAATTCCAAGGTCACTTCCCCATTTTCAGGGATCTTTATAGCAATGCCCCACTTCTCTGGTACCAATTCTCGGTATTAGTCCATTCTTGCACTGCTATAAAGAACTACCTGAGACTGGCTAATTTATGAAGACAAGAGGTCTAATTGACTCACAGTCCCACAAGCTATATAGGAAGCATGGCTGGGGAGGCCTCAGAAAACCTACGATCATGGTGGAAGGCAAAGAGGAAGCAAGCACATCTTCACACAGTGACAGGAGAGAGAGAAGGCAAAGGGGGAAGTGCTACACACTTTTAAACAACCAGATCTCCTGAGAACTCACTCACTATCATGGGAACAGCAAGGGGGAAATCCACCCCCATGATCCAATCACCTCCCATCAGACCCCTCCTCCAACACTAAAGATCATAAATCAATGGGAGATTTGGGTGGGGACACAGAGCCAAACCATATCACCATCTGAGATCTCATCAGACTGGACTTCATTGTCCATGTCACTATCAGCATTTTGTATACAACGATTTAACCAGTCTCTAAGAAGTTTCAAACTTCTCCTCATATGCCTGTCTTCTAAGCCTTCCGAACTCTTCCAACATCTGCCCATTACCCAGTTCCAAAGTTGTTTCCATATTTTCAGGTATCTTTATAGCAACATCCCACTCTGTGTACCAATTTTCTGTATTAGGCCATTTTTGCACTGTTATAAAGAAATACCTCAGCCTTGGCAATTTATAAAGAAAAGTGGTTTAATTGGCACATAGTTCTACAGGACTTACAGGAGGCATGAAATTAGCCTCTGCTCGCCTTCTGAAGAGACCTCAGGAAGCTTTTATTCATGGCAGAAGACAAAGCAGGAGTAAGCACATCATATGGCAAGAGCAGGAACGAGAGAGAGTAGAGGTGAAGGTGCCACTGCTTCAAAATGACCAGATCTTGTGAGAGCTTACTCACTATTGCAAGGACAGCACCAAGCCATGAAGGATCCACCCTGATGACCCAAAGACCTCCACCAGGCCCCACTTCCAGCACTGGGGATTACAATTCAACATGAGATTTGGGTAGGGACAAATATCCAAACTATATCATCTCCCTTCTGTGTAGTAGTCCATAGTATCTATTGTTTCCAGTTTATGTGCATGTGTGCTCAATATTTAGCTACCACTTATAAGTGAGAATGTGTGGTATTTCATTTTCTGTTCCTGCATTAATTCACTTAGGACTGTGGCCTCCAGCTTCATCCATGTTGCTGTGAAGGACATGATTTCATCCTTTTTAATGGCTGTGTAGTATTCCATGGTATATATGTACCACATTTTCTTTATCCATTCCACCATTGATGGGCACCTAAGTTAATTCCATGTCTTTGATATACAATCTCCTGTTGAACCAACCATTAGCATTCCCTACATGTGGTTTCCTTTGCTCTCTTCCACATGACTCTGTCACCCTCAACACTGATACCTCCCTTCTTTGAAGGGAGTAACCTACCAGCTTGAAGTAGTAACCTATCAGCTTGTGCCCACAAAGCCTGGATGTGTGTTTTCTACAAATCCCTTCATATCCATCCCCAAAAGCCAACTAAATGAAGATCCAGTGCTAGTAAGTGGTCCTAACAGTCTTATCAGAAGAAGCAGAAAATAGCCAGGCGCGGTGGCTCACGCCGGTAATCCCAGCACTTTGGGAGGCTGAGGTGGGTGGATCACCTGAGGTCAGGAGTTCGAGACCAGCCTGACCAATATGGTGAAACCCCATCTCTACTAAAAATACAAAAATTAGCCAGGTGTGGTGGCACACGCCTGTAGTCCCAGCTACTCAGGAGGCTGAGAGAGGAGAATTGCTTGAACCCAGGCGGCAGAGGTTGCAGTGAACCGAGATCACACCACTGCACTCCAGCCTGGGCAACAGAGCAAGACTCTGTCTCAAAAAAAAAAAAAAAAAGCAGCAGCAGCAGAAAATCAATGATCTGTAATATTTGTCTATCACTTATCATTGTCTTGGGTACACAATAAAGAAAACAAAATAATACTCCTTCAGCCTCTAAAACTTATTGTCTTAAAAATTTCATCAAAGTAGGCAGAGATTACCCCTAATTTTGGCAAGAACCTAAGATGGAAGGACCAAGTCCCTGAGACAGAGAGAAGTTGAAGCAGTTACAGGGATATATGACCAAATGGCAGCACTGTACAATTGGGAAATTCCTAGAGATGAGCATTAGACCTCCTTTTGAATGACCACGGGCAGACAACTAGAGATAAAGTTGTATCCTAGAAAAAAAAAATTGTCTTATTTTGGGTTCTCCCAGAGAAGAAACTGAAACACAGATTTGAGTGAAAAGTTTATTTGAGAGGTGACCCCAATAAACACTGGTAAGAGAGTGAGAACATGAGATACAAAATGAAAATGAGTCAATAGAGAGTGCATTATTAATCAAGTTACCTATCTGGGCAAGTAATTGGAAAAATTAAACAAATAATAAAATTTTAAAACAAAAATTTTAAAAGCCAATCAGATTCCCACGTAGTTACTGGTATGTTTATGATCCAGATAGTTTCTAATCCTTGAGATAATTACCAGAACTTCCAACAAGATTTTACACTAAAATTTTATGCTAAATATCATGTTCTACATACTATTTTTTTACGCATTTATTTATCCATTTACTGAACGACAGCAATACCACTCCAGCCATATTTTATATGTAATTAAGATTAAACAACAGATACACCAGCATAATTGAACTATTTTCTTTTACATTTGTATTTTCACCATATATTTCAGCATGGTGACCATGTT
Source organism: Homo sapiens (assembly GCF_000001405.40). Lineage (NCBI taxonomy): Eukaryota > Metazoa > Chordata > Mammalia > Primates > Hominidae > Homo > Homo sapiens. The sequence goes on along the minus strand of NC_000021.9, from coordinate 18,012,780 downwards.
CACGAATTCTCTTCTGTTTCTTCTGGGAAACATAATCCTTCTTCTTCATAATCCCTGATCTTGGGAGGTCTTACATGGTGGAAGAAAACACTAAATTTAATGCAAGATATTTTGTAAGAAGAGAGAGTACACAGACCTGAAACTTAATAGAACTCTGTTTTCGTTCCAATATTTCTTCCTAATAATTAATAAACCCGAACTTAATCACTTAAGCTTCTTGGGCCTCCATTTACTCACATGTCCAACTATCTGCTGGAAGATTCCAGTTATTTTATACTTCTATATACATTAATAGTAGCAATTTGGAGTGCTTTAAGATTATTCTTTACCATTTTTCAGCTGGCAACGGGCAGACTCATAGGAATGCATTGGAAATATTAATCTAGATTACCATTCAGACAAAGTCAGAGGCTCTTGCAATAATCTAAGGACAAAAGAAAGGCCTGACATAGAGATTGTCAGTAGAACTTAAAAGTAAAGACAGAGGACAATTATGTATTAAAGGAAGAATGATTGTGATGACAAATGAGAGCAAGGGAGCAGAAATCACCATGTCATTTAGTTTTGTTGTCTGGGAAGATCATAATGCCACTGGCTGAATGCCCAAACACTCACACCATCAGCCTTCAAATGCCCATCCACCAATCCTCATTCATGTCAGTGTCCTTTAAGTCTTCACATGTCAAAACAGAGGGGATGCAACATGCATAAACTTCAAATAGTTAAATGGGCTTGTCAGATTAAAAGACATCACTTTCACTTAAAAACAGAATATTAAAGATGCACATAGAACAATGTCCTGCACATAGTAGGCACTCAGTATTTGTTGAATGAACTAAGTTGATTTGTAGTCTTCTCTGAAAAAGAAACAGGAAATCCCTAAGAAGCCCTGTAGAATGATTTTGCAGAACAGAATACTCTGCAGTACACAACATCTGTGGAGTCTGCAAAGTCTCTCTTGGCAAATCTGCTTCACCAAAGTGTCATTGTCTTTGGCCACTATCAACAGTTCAAAAGAAAGAAGAAAAATAACCTTTTATTATTACCTGAGCTTTAAAACTTTCTGACACACACTAAGAAAGTAGATGATTTATTCATAGCAAAACTGTAGTGCTAAGGACTAAACTTCAGCTTGAGAGAATGAAAACAGTGGGGCCCTTAAAAATAAAAATATTGCCCTTCAGCAAGAGCTGTAGTGAACTTACAACTATTTGAGACAAACATTTCCTCTCTTTTTGTTATAGAGAGGATGACATTTTCAATAAGAGAAAATAATATTTATGCCAAGTTATACTTTATATTCTTTCCCCTAAAAAACAAAGGAAGAAAATATCCCTTTTTATCACTGCATCTTCAAAACCCAAGCTTCAGATTTTGCTTTAAAATACTCATTTATCTCCCATGCACTGATCTTTTCTTGCCTTGCTGTCTACTCAGACCATAGCACTGATTACAACAAACTATTTATGTGTACTTATTCCTTTAAAAAAATGGGGGCAACTGAAAGTAATGTTCGACTTTTTTCTCAGCTAAGTTATTAGCCAAAAACTCTGATATTTAACACTTTATTAATATTTAATACAAACATTAAATATTTGGACAAAGACATATAATAGTGTGTTTCTACCCATCTACATATCCTTACTACCATACACTTGCCCCAGTACAGAGTAAATAGGAAAATGGTAGTATTACATACAGCATACATAGGGAATCGGGACCATTTAAATATTTGCCACACAAAAAATTCAACCAACTTCAAAAAACCCCATTGTTGAAACATTTGAGTAAATATTCAGAAGTAAGAATGTCTTCTAAGAGTATTAGAAAGTGGTCCTTGTTAATACTTTTCTTATACTGTCAAGGGAGAAACTTCCTTCCTGAAAGCTTAACAAAATTGTTATGTTTTACATTTTACCTTGCTTAAACAAACAAAGCTGTGTCAAAACTTGATGGATCTTTCATAATGCAATGCTAAAAAGCTTAAATGGAATCATTGGAAAATTGCAGAAATTTCAGACTTTCCTAAAAACTCAAGTTTGTTTTTAAGTGGTTTGTTTTTGTCTCTCACAAAAGCTGGGATTTGAATGCCACATTTTTTTTCTAGTTATAACCCATGAATAAGTTGCATTATTTTATAAAACCTTACATGAGGAAGACAAAGAACAGCACAAGCAAACCACACTTGTGGAAAAGTGGGTCCCTGATTAAATAAAACAAATTTGTAAAAGAGGATGTAGAAGGCTGGGATTTTGTGAAAAGATCAATGAGACTATTATGAAGTGTTTAAACATGGGACACAGATAAAGCCGCAAGTAAGTTGCTGTGATAATTTGTCAAGAGTTCTGGCTACAGATCTTCACAGCCAGGTGAAACTTCTCCAGTCATTTGCTAACATTTGACCCACCAGGAGACTTTCCTGAGTTGAACCAGTTTTCTTTTTTTTTCCTTTTTCTTCTTTTTTTTTTTTTTTTTTTTTTTTTGAGACGGGAGTCTTGCTCTGTCGCCCAGGCTGGAGTCCAGTGGCGCGATCTCGGCTCACTGCAAGCTCCACCTCCCGGGTTCCCGCCATTCTCCTGTCTCAGCCTCCTGGGTAGCTGGGACTACAGGGCCCGCCACCACGCCCGGCTAATTTTTTTTTTTTTTTTTTTTTTTTTTTTTTGTATTTTAGTAGAGACGGGGTTTCACCCTGTTAGCCAGGATGGTCTCGATTGAACCAGTTTTCTTTTTAATAATTCTAATTATGAGCAGAAGTTGGCCATATGAAAATTTGAACATGGCAGTGATTTCAAAACAGTGTAAATCATATCTCTGTGTCTGTTTGGCTTTATTTGCCCTGTGTCCATATCTCCAGCCTTCCTGATTGATACCCAAATGTTATTTTTTTTTTTTTGAGACGGAGTCTGGCTCTGTCGCCCAGGCTGGAGTGCAGTGGCTCGATCTCAGCTCACTGCAAGCTCCGCTTCCCAGGTTCACGCCATTCTCCTGTCTCAGCCTCCCGAGTAGCTGGGACTACAGGCACCTACCACCACGCCCGGCTAATTTTTTGTATTTTTATTAGAGACGGGGTTTCACCATGTTAGCCAGGGTGTTCTCGATTTCCTGACCTTGTGATCCTCCCGCCTTGGCCTGCCAACCAAATGTTATTCTTTTGAAAAGCAAGTCAGTCAACAATTTCAATGTATTGTTAATTTCAATTAGGTTGTATAGCATTAAGAGAAAATGTGGAGTCTTAAATTATAGATTCTTTTTAACATTATCCTCATTTTATGCTTTACTATATAATTAAATTATATATAACATTATCTAAATAAAATGTGCTTTGTGTAACTTCTATTTTATAGCCCAATTAACTGTGCTCACTAGGCATATATTAACCATTCTTCAACTCCTGGGTTTGTACTTTCAGAAAAGAAAGTGTATTTCTTTGTTTTATTTTTCGTTTCCTTTAAAAATGAAAAAATATGTGTTGAGTACTAATTCAAAATTAAGGTGATTAGAGTAACAATCACCACACATATAATACAACTTCTACATTTTTAGCTATATAGGCTAAAGTATATGAATGAATAAAAATGACTACTGAATCTAAGCTATTCAACTGAACGGAATTGTATTCATGAAAAAAATCATAAGTACAGTTTGGACTCAATTGTCTATGACGGAAGAATGATGAGAATGCAATGCTTCAATATACTAAAAATTAGAAAATCAATGTACCATATAGTTTGCCAATATTTTTCTCTTTTACTTGTCACAGAATTCTTTGTGGTGAATATATCTGAAACCCAGTATTGTCTTAAAATAAATATGTCTGAAACTCAATATTGTTTTTGAAATAAACAAACCCACTTTAAAACATCAGTAATCAGAGTGTATTTCTGGGACATTTTATCTATTTGAATGAAGTTTTTCAAAGAACAACTAGACGAGGCTAATTCTGAGCCATTTATCTGGAACCAATATGCCAACGGAGTAACATAAAATTAAATATGATTTGTCTGTCCCTATCATTACAAAAATTGGAACAATTTACACAAGGGAAATTACAATACTTAAATAGTAAATGTTTCCTTATTATTCAGCCTTGAAAAAGAAGGAAATTCTGCCATTTGCAAAGATATGGATAAACCTAGAGGATATTATGCTAAGTAAAATAAGTCAGCCACAAAGGACAAATACTGCAGGATTCCACTTACATGAGATCTCTAAAACAGTGAAACTCATAGAAGCAGAGAATAAAATGGTGGTTGCCAGAAGCTGAGGGGAAGGGGAAATGGAGAGTTGTGAGGGGAGGGGGAAATGGAGAGTTGTTCTTCAGCTATAGAATTTCTTTATGCAAAATGAACGAGTTCTAGAGATCTACTGTATAGTACCCACAATTAACAATATTGTGCACTTTATGATATGTTAAGAGGGTAGATTTAATGTTAACTATTGTTACAACACACACACACACACACACACAAACAAAGAAATTTTTGGAGATTATAAAAACGTTTAGTGTCTTGGTTGTGATGACGGTATCATGGGTATACGCATACATACAAATACATCAAGATGTATATACACTCAACGTGTGCACTTTTCTGTATATCAAGTATATACTTCAATAAAGCTTTTTTTTAAAAAAAAGAAGAAAAATATTTAAATAAATTCACCACAGTAAAAAAAAAGTAAATGTTTTTCAACTTAACACATTTTACTTCTAGCAAAGCATCTTTCACTAAAACAATAACTCCCATGATTGTTTTGTTTTGTTCAAAACAAATGCACTTATTCAAAGCTACATAGTATAATCATAGATTTATGCATGGATTTTGACCTTGAAAATTCAAGAAAATATCCCTCTGTTTTCTCACTCAGTTTTCAACTGTTCCAAACTCCATATTAAGATTCTACCTGAATCAATAATTGACCCAAAGTATGTTTACTGACAATTTCTATATGAAAAATATAAAAACTTTGCAGACTTAAAAATTCTAGTTCAGTCCTATGTTTGCTACTATAACATATTTTCCATATAGTGAAAAACCTTCCAGGAAGTTTCTTTTTCAATATAACCTCTGTTACATAGTTCATTTATTTGCTGTATTTTAGTCTGAAGAAAACAAATAGCAGTTCGATTTAGGGAGTTCCTGGGGTTCTTTGAGGAGATTACAGAATGCCTTATGTAACTTAGACTGTGTGTCCAATCATTAAATGCCTGTATTTCTTCACAACTATATTTATAAAACATTACTCATAATGCATGCACCTAATCAAAACCTCAAGATGTAATAGATGCAGATTTGAACCCAAAGTGTTTAGAAAAAAACAGTGCAAATACCAGACTATCAGTTTGACGAGAGTTTTATATCCCAAGTACTTATTCCTCTGTCTGCTCATAAGTAATGTATAGTAAATACATATTGGATAAACACAGAAAACAGTTCACTGGGAAATGTGCCAATTTTTCATAACAGATGCACATATTTGCATTGTCAGCTCTTAGAAAATAGTTATTGAAAAGAGTACAACAAATCCTGTGCCCACCTCTACATTTAGGACACTTCTGGGTTTTGCAGTGCCTGACCAGGTTGCCTTCATTTGGCCCTTCAGACAACTGCATAATAAGTTAGTTTTTTTCTTTTTTTCTTGAAGTAGTTTTTTTTAAAATTCAATTCCACACGTATTCTTTGAACCTCTCCTAAGTACACATTTGCTATAGAAATCTGAATGTTTTGATTTTTCAATCTCATTTCATCAACACAATATACTTACGTTTAATGATGCAACTGAACCCCAAATTAGAAAAAAGAAAAGTCCTTTGTTACTCATTTATAGGCTCACAGTTGCATCTGCAACATCAAGCCAAGAATCATTAGCTGATGGCCACATCTGAAGTGTCAGACTGAAGGCACCAAGCTGCTTAAGTGCTTCAAGAAGCTGCCAAATTGCAAAAGGGTGGCAGAGTGGACCGGAGGCAACATTATAATTCTGCCACTAGTTTCCTGGTAGTGAAGTTTTAAGTACTGGGAAGAGTTACAAAGGATGTGCATGAAATCTCTTCAAAAGATATTTCTCAATAGAAAGATAACCCTTAGTGAGATGGTCTAGGGGTAATCTCATCACTTTAAACCAAAATACCACTTGCTCTGACTCCAAGATCAGAATGAAAAGAATGTTTTGCATTAGAATAATACTTACATCACTTATAAACACTAAGTCCCTGTAAGGAATCTAAATATCAGTGTAAAGATAATTGTGTTTTCTTCTTTTGGTTTATTTGTCCCTCAATGCTCCTGTGAGGGAGGAAAGGTATCACACACAAGCAACAGAAGTGGCAGTAATGTAGATAGGTGAGAAGATCTTTGTTAGTTTCCATCTGGGGTGGAAGATAGGATCAGGAAAGGAGCTACATTTTTTTTTCTTTTTTTTTTTTCTTTTATTTTAAGTTCCAGGCATGTGCAGGTTTCTTACATAGGTACGTGTGCAATGGTGGTTTGCTGCACCTATCAACCCATCATCTTGGTATTAAGCCCAGTGTATCAGTCCATTTTCATGCTGCTGATAAAGACATACACTAGGCTGGGCAATTTACAAAGGAAAGAGGTGTAATGGAGAACTCACAGTTCAACGTGGCTGGGGAAGCCTCAGCAATCACGGTGGAAGGCAAGGAGGAGCAAGTCACATCTTGCGTGGATGGCGGCAGGCAGAGAGAATGACGGCCAAGCAAAATGGGTTTCCCCTTATCAAACCATCAGATCCTGTGAGACTCATTCACTATCTTGAGAACAGCACAGGAAAGACCCGCCCCCATAATTCAGTCACTTCCCCGTGGGTTCCCCCCATGAAACGTGGAAATTGTGGGAGTTACAATTCAAGATGAGATTTGGGTGGGGACATAGCCAAACCATATCACCCAGCATCCATTAGCTATTCTGCCTGATGCTCTCCCTTCCTCCATCCCACAGGCCCCAGTGTGTGCTGTTTCCCCCCATGTGTCCATGTGTGCTCATTGTTCGGGAGCTACATGTTTTCTAGGTGGATATGGATTCTGGTTAACTACAAAAGGGGCCTAGCTCCTCAAACTGGAACCAGTGATAGTCAAGCTCTTGGAGGAACCTCAGTGGGATGGAACATAACTTGCAAGTAAATTATGTGGACATGACTTACACAAAAGATGTTTATGATCTGAGAATGTCACGTCATTTGCCCTCTTCTGAACCTAATATTGCTTCCAAATAACTTTAACACAAACCTTTTTAGATCTGTGGGTTATAACAAACTCACAGAAATTCCTTCCAAGTGCTTGGGAGTTGATTTTAAAAAGAAGAAAAAAATTTCCTAAACAAGATGATTAAAAATTGCTTTTGAAATTGTCCTACCAGTCAAATGTAATTTAAAGTCTCTTTATTTTATTAAGCAAACACTTTTATAGCACTTACTATGTGCCAGACACAATTCTAGAGTGCCTCATAAACATTCCTCCTTTAATAGTTGTAACAGCCTTATGAATTATAGGTAAGAATATTATTCCTACTTCACAAATAAAGAAATTGAGACAACAGAGTAAATTGGCAGCTGGCCCAAGTCATGGTGCAAGGAAGTGGCAGAGCCCAGGGTTAGAACCCAGAGGATCTGGCCACAGCGTTCAGGCTCTTAACTACTCTGTTATGAGCTCTCAGAAGTGAATCTTTTTTTAACAAATGGCGTACACACCTGTATTTAAGTCCATATTCTCTATCTGTAAAATGGGGATAATATCGTCTACTCAAATTAAATGGGCTGAGGTATATAAAGCTACATTCAGCATAGTATTTGGCAACTAATAAGCATACCACACTGGCTGTTGCTAGTTTTATCACATCATTGGCAATAGTGGTAACAGGATATCATCACACACATAAAAATAACAATAGCTACTATGTTTAAGACCTTTAACTGTTGTTGTTTTTTTTTTTTTGCAATTTTTTACCTCATTTAATCTTTGCAACAATGTTGCAAGGAAGATATCATTTCTGTTTTACATATTTAAAATACATAAGACATCAAAGTCAAGTAATAAGTGTGAGACCTCATATCTATAAAGTAGTGTATGGGTATGTAAGAGTTTGCATGAGCTTTGTGAGAAAAAAATATAAGCCATGGGGCAGGGACATAGCTGCATCTGTGTGTGTGAGTGAGTGAGCTGAAGCAAACAAACAAAAAGATAAGCTGTAAAAATTGAATTGTCCTCATTTGACCTCTTCCCATTTAATTCAGATGATTGTATGCTCGATTTCCTAAAAGCCACGGGTACGTATTTCAGGTATGTCAACAAGCAAAATATTCACATCACTTTATTTTCCCAAGAGTATTTCTGTTGTAACTGATGTGTACGTGCTTTCTTTATTAATCCTTGAGAAAGATTTAATGTAGTATAAGTACAGTATGCTAATACATATTGATTTAGACCTTTGACACCACTTATAGAGGCTAAAACCTTCTTTGTGCTAAAAACCAATTTACATATTATTCTTGATCGCAACAGAGTGTTGTCTATTACATTATCCAATAAATACAATAAGTAATTAAGAACATATATAATTACAGGTCTCCTCAAACTAATGAAAACAAAATTTTTACCCATTTGACTCTTTTAAGGCCAGTAATGTTTTGCTTAGGTTTAGCTACTAAAAATTTTTACTTTATTAATTATTGTTTCTAAGAAAAAGGCAAACACTTTGAAGACAAAATAGGCCTGAGCACATGACCTTCCATGTCTTTTGCCTGAGTCACTATATTCCTTGAAAGACGAATGACCCTTGTTTTTGCCTTTTCCTACACATAAAATAATGTCTGATGGGGTTAGTGATTATACCTCTGTAATATATAATGAGAATTATTCTTATGCCCAAACCTAGATGTGATTCTGCTTTAATATAACTTCTGAGCAAGTGTGATGTGATTTTGTACATACTGAACCCCTAACACAGGTCGCTAAGCAGTGAGCTGAAGCCCTGTGCTGGAACGATCTGACAGAACTGCTCTTGGGTTCTAGGTCTCAGTCCTCAGTAGGACTTTTGAATAAAACTAACTTCAATTCTTTAAAAAAGAGAGAGAGACAGACAGAAAGAAACAGGAAAAAAAAGGACACAAATAAAATGTTTCTCTTAGCCACTAATGTGTGTGCACTTCCACAAGGCAGAATTAAAGAAATTGTGCATCTGCATTTTGAGTTATTTATAGAATAATTAACATCCCTTCAATATACTGTTAAATGAACACGCATTATTCAGTGAAACAATACATGTGAAGTGCTTAACAGTCTGCCTATCACTTAGAAAGCAATCAGTCAGTATTGGTTTTCATTTTTAATATTATATTTTAGATTAATATATTAATTTTTATAATTAATAAAATAAAATAATGTAATATATTATTATTTTTCTGAAGTCTTATAATCTGCCAGTGTGGAAGATATCAAAAATGCTTAATTTAAGTGAAAAGGTTTTTTACTAAGAGGTGTGTCACTATATATGATCCATCACTTGGGGAAAGTTTGACATGTACTGAGCAGCAATTCTCCTGACAACATTAAGGGAGAAAAGAGAAATGCACGAGAAACTAGATAAAGCTAGTGAAGTTGAACGCCTCCAGGGCTCTTGGGTTTTTTTTTTGTTTTTTTTTTTTTTGAGACGGAGTCTCGCTGTCGCCCAGGCTGGAGTGCAGTGGCGCGATCTCGGCTCACTGCACACTCCGCCCCCCGGGGTTCACGCCATTCTCCTGCCTCAGCCTCCCGAGTAGCTGGGACTACAGGCGCCCGCCACCTCGCCCGGCTAATTTTTTGTATTTTTAGTAGAGACGGGGTTTCACCGTGTTAGCCCGGATGGTCTCGATCTCCTGACCTTATGATCCGCCCGCCTCGGCCTCCCAAAGTGCTGGGATTACAGGCGTGAGCCACAGCGCCCGGCCGGGCTCTTGGACTCTGTCCCCAGGTGAAGAGTGTATCCATCCTACAAGCACCAGTGTCATTAATTCCCAGAAGGCCTCTCTGTCCATCAAACCATATTTCCATGATCCCTGTAAACAGCTCAGAGTGGAAGTGAGGAGGCGTCTTCCACTCCATGAGGCTATGGGGCTTGATGAGGTCTGCTAGGGCTAGGGCTAAGGTGGAGATATGTACTCCTGAGGGCTAAACTACTCATGATATGCTCATAGAGAACTAGCTCAACACCACCTGGAGATATCCTGCTTCAAAATCAGGATGAATCATATACTTCGTATGTCTCAGAGCAGCTATCTCACTGGAATCCATTCAAAGCCAGCATGTGACAAAAAGGTTTAAAATTAAAAGTAAATGTTTTTAAAAAATTAAAGAGAGAAGTATGTTTGAAATATAAAAATTATAATGAGGTTAGAACTAAGAGAAAATGGAAGGAAATTAGAACCCAGTTCTTTGTGACATCTTTTAAGACTGGGATTCTATCTGTTAGGAATCATTTCTACACTGGCTTCAGTAGCAGCTTGCAAATATAATTTTTAAAGAAGAATAAATAGCTAGGGTCAGTATTAAGTTTTAATCATTTAATTCACATAACTTGACATGTCCATAAAACAAGTGGATAGAATCATAAACTGATGCATTATGTTTATGATGTATTGTTTTCCAGCCTTTTTCTTATGCCCAAAGGAAGTTTTTAAAGTTTTATTTTCCCTTATTTGAACAATACCATGACAAAAGTACAGGTGAATAAAAAGTGAGTTACTGGAACAGACACAAACACGGGCAGCAATAAACAGCTGATTAGATATGTGGCCCAGTTTAGAAAAGCTAAACTTTAATTATTCAGATAGCTTTACTGTGAAAATTGGTACCCATTGATTTATTATTCTACACATGGAAAATAGACTATATCCAGATATTTTCTTCAAAAGTAACCTATTTTATATTTACTAACTTTGCCTAGGCTTTTCTTTTGTGACGACATGGACTATGGTAACAGGATTGTGGGAAATTAAAAAAAAAAAAAAAAAAAAAAAGAGGATGAGGCCAACGTATGGCATGAATTCTCTCTCTTCCTTACCTAGGCCTTTTTAACAACTTGTGAAGAAGCAACATGTAACAATGTAATATGCATGAATTCTCTCTCTTCCTTACCTAGGCTTTTTAAAAAAACTCACGAAGAAGCAACATATAACAATGTAATATAGTGTAAACGGGGACTAAATGTATTTTCTGGCAGCAGAAACATGTGTCTATTCAACAGTCCCTGAGTAATCCTTAGCATGATGGATCTGAATAAGCCATTATGACTTTTAACTGGCAAATGAGGCATGCCATTACACTGTATTTATAACAAAAAGAAAGGCATCCTTATGGACCATTTGTCTAGAGCCCTGTGGGCCCTTTAAACACACTCACAGGAAACATCCCCATGGAAGCAGCAAGACCAATAAGACCAAAGTCTGGCATGTTATCAACTTGTTTTCAAAATTCCCTGAAATGGGTGACCCTTGTTCTCATACACTCCGCCCTCATTAACTGAAAATGTCTTCTGGTTTTCAATTCAGCTATAGTCTAGAAGTCATTTGGCTCTTTTTCTTGCTTTCTTTTTTGACCCTGCCCTATCTTAACCCTGCAGTTGTTCTGTGGTCTCTGGCCTCAAGTCCTGTGGTTCCACACCCACATCCCATGTTACATAGGATGGCCCATGCCCAGTGTTTGAAATAGTCCCTGGTTTCCTACCTGGCCTATCCTGGACTCTGAGTATATCTCACACTAGATGATCATGATTATGATGAGCTTCTTCCATTTTTTTCTCCTTAAAAACAAAGGTAAAAAGTAGAGTGTGCTAAACTAATCTTTAGGATCAAGTTGCAGTCTGTTTTTCGGAAAGTTCAGTGTTGAAATTTGAAACCTATCTCAGGAAAAAAAAAGAAAAAGAAAAAGCTGTTCTGAAAGTCATGTTGAACTTTGAATTTTTGACCACTGTTATTTTTTATAATTAATATGAGTATTTATCACAGTGCTGTCAGCAGGTCCATATGAGACCCCTTTAATAATTTATTACCAGTGTGGGGATGCTAAAGAAGCCCTTCCTGCATGGAACAAGGAGAAACACTTTTTGGAAAATCAGGTAAGCCTTTTTTCTTATGACCCAAGGAAGTTTTTAAAGTTCACAAGAGACGAAGAACTAATGTGTTTCCATTATTTAAACAATGTCATGGTAAAAGTATAGGTGGGGGAAGAAAAGTGACTTACTAGAACAAGAGACACAAACAGGAGTGGCAATTAATAGCTAATTAGATATCTGGCCCAGTTAAGCAACTTATCGTCATCAAAGCTCATACAGGACTTCAGGAAACTAGGAAGATGGGCAGAAGAGCACTCCCAACTCCAAAATATCTTACAATTATAACACCATTAAAGTGTTATCATAGTTACATATTTTATGCAAGGCAAGGAACAAGCCTGTGACATTATTCTTTGCATTTAGCAAGCATCTAGGGAATCTCACCTTTGTAGTGAAAGGATCATCCTTTCACTACAAAGTTAGGATGGTCCTAACATAAACAGCTATTAAATTAGAACTCAGCCTCAGTTATGACTGAGGCCCTAAGTCAGAAATATTGATTACAGTCATGTTCTGAAGTGAATTGCCAGACCATCAAAATATAACAATATTTGAAAAACAGACAGCGAAAGCCCAATTTTGCAACTCTTATTTTAGCAATCGCTTTAAGTGTTTAAGAAGTTGAAACTAGATATTTGAGAGAGAATTTCTTTGGAAAAATATTGTTGGAGTGCTGCAGCTGTTTATTTCTTCTTTACTATGGAGAAAGAAGAGTATTTCTCTCCTCATCTTGAGCATGATTTAAAAAAAATTAACTTTAAAAGGCTCAGAGAGGTTGGTGTACATCTTCACACACGACCAAGCTGGAGACTGACAAACCATGTCAAGAAACTGCAGATGAGAGATTTTCTGGCTGAAGGAAGGTGATGTGGTTTGGCTGTGTCCCCACCCAAATCTCAGCTTGAATTGTATCTCCTAGAATTCCCATGTGTTGTGGGAGGGACCCAGTGGGAGGTAATTGAATATGGGGGCTGGTCTTTCCCATGCTATTCTCGTGATAGTGAATAAGTCTCATGAGATCTGATGGCTTTTATCAGGGGTTTCTGTTTTTGCTTCTTCCTCATTTTTCTCTTGCTGCCATCACGTAAGAAGTGCCTTTCATCTCCCACCATGATTGTGAGGCATCGCCAGCCATGGGGAACTGAAAATGCAATTAAACCTTTTTTTTTCCACAGTTTCACGTATGTGTTTATTAGCAGTGTGAAGACAAACTAATACAGTAAATTGGTAACAGTAAAGTGGGGTGTTGCTGAAAAGATACCCAAAACTGTGGAAGTGACTTTGGAACTGGGTAACAGGCAGAGGTTGGAACAGTTTGGAGAGCTGAGAAGCAGACAGAAAAATGTGGAAAAGTTAGGAACCTCCTAGAGACTTGCTGAATGGCTTTGACAAAAATGCGGAAAGTGATATGAACAATAAGGTCCAGGCTGAGGTGGTCTCAGATGGAGATGAGGAACTTGCTGGGAACTGCAGCAAAGGTGATTCTTGTTATGTTTTAGCAAAGAGACTGGTGGCATTTTGCCCTGCCCTGAAGATTTGTGGAACTTTGAACTTGAGAGAGATGATTTAGGCTATCTAGCAGAATAAATTTCTAAGCAGCAAAACATTCAAAGGTGACTTGGGTGCTGTCAAAAGCATTCTGTTTTAAAAGGGAAACAGCATAAAGGTTCAGAAAATTTGCAGCCTGACAATGCAGTAGGAATGAAAAACCCATTTTTTGAGGAGAAATTCAAGCCGGCTGCAGAAATTTGCATAAGTAGCAAGGAGCCTAATGTTAATCACCAATACCATGGGGAAAACATCTCCAGCCCATGTCAGAGACCTTCACCGCAGCCCCTCACATTACAGGCCTGGAGGCCTAGGAGGAAAAAGTGGTTTTGTGGGCTGGGCCCGGGGTCCCCAAGCTGTATGCAGCCTAGAGACATGGTGCTCTATGTTCAAGGCTCCAGCCATGGCTGAAAGGGGCCAACGTAGAGCTTGGGCTGTGGCTTCAGAGGGTGGAAGCCCCAAGCCTTGGCAGCTTCCATGTAGTGTTGAGCCTGTGGGTGCACAGAAGTAAAGGATTGAGGTTTAGGAACCTCCGGCTAGATTTTAGAAGATGTATGGAAATGCCTGGATGCCCAGGCAAAAGTTTGCTGCAGGGGCAGAGCCCTCATGAAGAACATCTGCTAGGGCAGTCCAGAAGAGAAATGTGGGGTCAGAGCTCCCACACAGGTTCCCTACTGGGGCACCACCTAATGGAGCTGTGAGAAGAGGGCCACAGTCCTCCAGACCCTAAAATGATAGATCCACCAACAGCTTGCACCATACACCTGGAAAAGCCACAGACACTAAATGCCAGCCCATGAAAGCAGCCAGGAGAGAGACTGTACCCTGAAAAGCCACAGGGGTGGAGCTGCCCAAGACCATCAGAACTCACCTCTTGCATCAGCATGACCTGGGTGTGAGACCTGAAGTCAAAGGAGATCATTTTGGAGCTTTAAAATTTGACTGTCCCACTGGATTTCAGACTTGCATGGCCCTGTAACCACTTTGCTTTGGCCAATTTCTCCCATTTGGAACAGCTCTATTTACCCAATACCTGTACTCCCATTGTATCTAGGAAGTAACTAGCTTGCTTTTCATTTGATAGGCTCATAGGTGGAAGGGACTTGCCTTGTCTCAGATGAGACTTTGGACTGTGGACTTTTAAGTTAATGCTGAAATGAGTTAAGACTTTGGGGGACTGTTGGGAAGGCATAATTAGTTTTGAAATGTGAGGACATGAGATTTGGAGGGGCCAGGGGTGGAATTATACGGCTTGGCTGTGTCCCCATCCAAATCTCAACTTGAATTGTATCTCCCAGAATTCCCACGTGTTGTGGGAGGGGCTGGAGGGGTGGGGGAGATAATTGAATCATGGAGGCTGGTCTTTCCTGTGCTATTCTCATGATAGTGAAAAAGTCTCAGGAGATCCGATGGGCATATCAGGGGTTTCCGTTTTCACTTTTTCCTCATTTTTCTCTTGCCACCACCATGTAAGAAGTGCCTTTCATCTCCCGCTATGATTCTGAGGCATGGCATCCCCAGCCATGTAGAGCTGTAAGTTCAACTAAACCTTTTTTTCTTCTCAGTTTCAGGTATGTCTTTATCAGCAGCATGAAAATGAACTAATACACAAGGTCTACATAGAATCTACTACCCATCTCCATATAATACAACAAAAGAGTCATTTTCCAATATCTGCCAAGCCCAGGGAATGTTGATGTTGGCTCGTAGCAGTACTAGCCTAGTATGGCCTTTCTTGCTCCCATCTTTGGCAAGTCCCTGGAGGAATCAGAAACACACACAGCAAGAAGACAGAGAAAAGGCAGAAGCCAAAGTGAGGAGGAAGGAAAGCTGGCCATGCCCTGTCTCCCTCCATACAGGTTTTGGATTGCAGCTTTGACTTTATATTAAGATTAAAGTTTTGATTATTCCACATATCTAGACATACCAGTTATTCAAGAGATTATTTGGAAGACAAATGCAACATGAGAATTTCTCCAGGAGAAGCAGAGTAACTAATCGCATATTATGAACTTAAAAGAAAGGTGGGAAATAAAATTAAAGTTGCTTTATAATTATCATTGGTAGTCTTATTTGTTCAATGTTCTGGTGACAAAAGTGATTTTTCATGTTTTTTTTAAAATCAGAATAAAATGTATGTTTCTCTACTAGTTAAATAAATGGTTTTAATTTTTAAAGTAATATGTATTTAGCTAATAAAAATTCTCTAATCATGTTTAATCTTTACCCTCATAGAATTTTATGATAGGAATCATATAAATTTAAAATTTTCAGGTTTCTCATAGGTTTCATCCAAAGAGTTTATGAATTTCTTCCATAAATTCTGCAAAAATAGTCAACCAGCCTCTGATTAAACACCTTCAGGTCTATAAATTCATGAAGTACTTCAGTCTTTGTTGAAGAGTGTTTATTATTAAAAAGTTCCTTTTCATATTCAAGATAAAATCCAAACACTTAGCCCCTCTACTACCTTGGCAGCTTGGCAAAAATACATTTATCCTTTAATTTCCAGGTCAAATCCCTCTGAGATGATTTTCCGGAGAGTCCATTTGATTCCCCTTTTTGGCATCCCCACTGAGTTTCTTACTTATGTGATGCCACTTAGCAGACTGTTTTCCATCTTCATATATTTGGCTGCCTTCTTCACTAGACTGAGCAGTTGTTAACCCACTCTACTGAGACCTGCAGAGGAGTCCAAGATAATCAGACACAGTTCATGCCCTCAAGCTGTATAAGTCCAGAGGCAAGGATACAGCATGTTCACAAGTACCTAAGAAAGGTGCAGATTTCTGAAGGAGAAACATTATTATTTAGTTTTTCTTCCTCTCTTGGTTGAGTACCTTCACTGTAGCCTCATGTTTTCCCTATTCTTTAGACTATAATTTACATTGAAACTTCAATTTACCAACAGGAGGTATTTGATCTTATCAAAAAGAATAATGTTCTGTCTTGGGGAACATGATAACCTTAATATAACTGACTGCATTTGAGTTAGACGCTCAAGGATGGGAAGCATGTGACCATAGGTAAAATGAGCCTTTGCAAAAAAAAAAATAAATGATGAGTCAAAAGTCACTCAATCAGATGCCACATAACATATACAAGAAATAGCAAGTCATTCAGTTCAACAGAAGCCCAGGATACATGGGTGAGATAATTGAGTGATCATATTGAAAAAGTAGGTTTAGCCAGAATACAAAATGGATCAAATACAGATGTAGGAGATACTTTCATCTCACCTGGAGGTCTGCAAAAGTAAATGAGATTTGGGGCTACACTTTTTACTCCAGAGGTTGAAAGAACTGATTCCTTCTCTCAATACTCCAGCAGTTAGGCCACAGGCATTAAACCCAGTTCTGACTGATCCAGTGTTCTTCAGCAAGACTCTAAATATGAAGGAAGTGACCTAAAGATGTAGGTACAGTTAGAGATAATTAAGGTGGTGGTGACAGCAAAGGCAGGAACCTAACTGCACAAGAGATGGGATTGTTGTTTAGTATCATTTAAGAATATGGAGACCAGCTTCAAGATGGCTGATAAGAGACATCTGGCACTTGCCTCCACCACAAAGAAGGACCAAAACAGCAAGTAGATAACCACATGCTGAATAGAGCACCTGAGAGAGAACACTGGAATTCAGCAGGGAAGTGACAGGGAGTGCTTGAAGCACAGAAGGAGAGGAAAGTGAAATAGCCAGCCTGGCTGGCATAAGCTCAGAGTGAGAAAGCACTCCCCATTTTGGGGAAAATGTAAGCAAAAAGGCCCCAGCAGTCTACATTCCCATGGCAGACTCCTGTAATCCTAGCCACAGGAGAGCCCCATGGCCCTCACATATCCTGAGACTAATATAGACAGTTGCCTGGAATCCATGAGAAGACATTTTTCCAGAGGAAGTTTGTGCCATGACCCAAGCAGCTACAGCACGGCACCATTTTGAGAGCCCAGTCCCCACCAGACCATATCCTGCCCTGCGTCCCAACAGGCCCTGAATTTCCAAATCTTGGGAGCTTTGGTGACATCCCTCTGTGGCTACCCAGAGGGCTGCAGCATCATGACGCTGTCTGGATCAAGGGGTGCGATCAGGTCCCTAGCACTCTGGCCCATGCAGTGCCCTACATCCTGGAGAATGGGCAGTACAGTGCACCAGCGAGGTTGCCCCACAAACAAAGGAAGCCAAAGTATTTGCTCCCCAGAGCCTGGGTCCACTGACACTGACAGCAAACCCACCTACTCCAGTAACCCCATCCCCCTCCAGTGGCAGGGTCCTCGCATACCTACATGTGCTGTCCCAGGACCTACAAACAGGCTCAATCTACTAACTGCCACTGCTGGCACCCACATACCACACACATTACCTGGGGGGTTGAACCCTGCCTTCTGCCATCGGCACCCACACACACCATCTGGAAGCCTGAGGACAGGTCTGTCCCACCTGCCACTGCCACTGCTGTCACTGACGCACATCATCCAGAAGCCTAGAAATCAAGCTGCCCTGACTACCGTTGCCAGTGCATACACACACAACCTCCACGGGCCTGGAAATTAGACCTCTCAGTCCACTACCATCAGGACACGTGTGGGCCATCCACAGGCCTGTGGGCACACATGCATGCCTCCCAGAGCCCCAAGGACTAACCCACCAAGCCTGCCTCTACTGCCACCAGTGCCCTCTCACATGACCCACCCAAGTGCCTGGGAATTGGTCCTCCTAGCATGACATTGCACTGGTGACCACACATGCTGCTGGAGGACTTGAGGATTGGCCTGCTCCCTCTACTGCCATTACTGAAGACATACACACCACCAGAAGGCCTAAGTAGCAGCCCACCCCAGCCCATCGCTGTCACCACCTGTACCCAAGCATGCTGCTGCAGGCCTGAGGACTGGTTCACACAGAACTAACACTGCCAGAGCCCAAGATTTCAAATAAACAATTTAACAAAGCACCTCAAGGAACTAGATAAACAAGAAGAACAAAACCCAAAATTAGAGGAAGAAAACAAATAGTAAAGATCAGAGCAGAACTCAATAGAGACCTAAAACACAATATAAAGGATTAACAAAATGAAAAGCTAGTGTTCTGAAAAAATAATCAAAATCAATAAGGCAATAGCTGAACTAACCAAGAAAAAAAGAAAGAAGACTCAAAAAAATAAAATCAGAAATGAAAAAGGAGACATTATAACTGATACCACAGAAAAGCAAAGGATCACTAGAAACTATTATGAAAAGCTATATGCTAACAAATTGGAAAGTCTAGAAAAAGGTTCTGGAGAAAGAGGAATGATCATACACTGTTGGTGGGAGTGTAAGCTAGTTCAATCATTGTTGAAAACAGTGTGGAGATTATTCAAAGACATAAAAACAGAAATACTATTCTACCTATCCATCCCATTACTGGATATATTCCCAAAGGAATATTAATCATTCTTTCCTGAAGACATATGCACACGTATGTTCATTGTGGCACTATTCTCAATAGCAAAGACATAGAATGAACCTAAATGCCCATCAATGATAGACTGGATAAAGAAAATGTGGTACATATTTGCCATGGAATATTATGTAACCATAAAAAAGAATGAGATCATGTCCTTTGCAGGAACATGATGGCACTGGAGGCCATTATCCTTAGCAAACTAGCACAGGAACAGAAAACAAATATTACATGTCC
Organism: Homo sapiens; assembly: GCF_000001405.40. Taxonomy (NCBI): domain Eukaryota; kingdom Metazoa; phylum Chordata; class Mammalia; order Primates; family Hominidae; genus Homo; species Homo sapiens. The sequence continues at coordinate 17,993,457 of NC_000021.9, read as the reverse complement.
TCACTTACAAGTGAGAGCTAATTGATGAGAACACAGGGACACACAGAGGAGAACAACAGACACTGGGGCCTATCAGAGGGTGATGGGTGAGAGGAGGGAGAAGATCAAGAAAAATAACAAATGGGTACTAGGCTTAATGCCTGGGTGATGAAATAATCTGTACAACAAACCCCCATGACAAAGGTTAACCCATATAACAAACCTGCACATGTATCCCTGAACTTAAAATTTAAATTTTAAAAAAGAAAGAACATACCTCAAAATAATAAAAGCCATGTATGAAATACCTGCAGCTAATATCATACTGAATGGGAAAAAAATGAAAATACTAAGAACTGGAACAAGACAAGGATGCCCACTTTCACCACTTTTATTCAACATGGTACTAGAAGTCCTAACCAGACGAGGAAATGGAAGGAAATTAAAGGTGTTCAAATTGCAAAAGAGGAAGTAAAATTGTCCCTCTTTGCAGATGACATGATTTTATATACAAATAAAAACCCTCGGCCGGGCGCCGTGGCTCACACCTGTGGTCCCAGGACTTTCGGAGGCTGAGGCAAGCGATCACCTGAGGTCGGGAGTTTCAGACCAGTCTGACCAACATGGAGAAACCCCGTCTCTACTAAAAATACAAAATTAGTTGGGAGTGGTGGTGCATGCCTGTAATCCCGGCTACTCGGGAGGCTGAAGCAACAGAAGTGAAACTCTGTCTGGAAAAAAAAAAAAAAAAAAAAAAAAACAACTCCACCAGAAACTCTGAGAACTGATAAACAAATTCAAGAAAGTTGTAGGACACAAAATCAATGTTCAAAAATCAGAAGCATTTCTATACACCAATAGCAAACTATCTAAAAAAAGACATCAAGAAAGCAATCCCATTTACAGTAGGTACAAAAATAAATAAATAAATTACCTAGGGTAAGTTTCAACAAGGAGGTGAAATATCTCTACAGTGAAAACTGCAAAACACTGATGAAAGAAATTGAAAGCACAAACAAATGGAAAGACACCCCATGCTCATGGATTGGAAGAATTAACATTGTTAAAATGACCACCACTGCCCAAAGCAATCTACAGATTCAATGTAATCACTATCAAAATATCAATGATAGTCTTCATAGAAATAGAAAATTTGTATGGAACCACAAAAAGATGCCAAATAGCCAAAGCAATACTAAACAAAAAGAACTAGAGGCATCACACTACCTGACTTTGAAATATATTACAAAGCTATAGTAACCAAAACAGCATGGTATTGGTATAAAAAACAGACATATAGGCCAATGGAAAATAATAGAGAACCCAGAAATAAATCCATATATTCATAGCCAACTTATTTTCAACAAAGGCACCAAGAACATACACTGAAGAAAGGACAGTCTCTTCAATAACTGGTGCTGGGAAAACTGGATATCAATATGCAGAGGAATGAAACTAGGCCCCTAGCTCTCACCATATACAAACATCAACTGAAAATGGATTAAATGCTTAAATGTAAGATCTGAAACTATAAAACTACTAAAAGAAAACATAGGGGAAATGCATCATGACATTGATTAAGGCAAAGGTTTTATGGCTATGACTTCAAAAGCAAATGGCTATGACTTCAAATAAACAAATGGTACTATATTAAACTATAAAGCCTCTGTACAGCAAAGGATACAACAGCATAAAGAGACAACCTGTTAAATGGGAGCAAATATTCACAAACTGTTTATTGGACAAGAGATTGATATTCAGAATATATAAGAAATGCAAACAACTCAACACCTCCCCACACCAAAAAAAAAAAAAAAAAATCAAATAATCTCATTTAAAAGTGAGCAAAAGACATGAATAGGCATTTCCCAAAAGGATGCATACAAATGGCCAATAGGTATATTAAAAAATGCTCAAAATCACTAATCATTAGAGGAATACAAATAAAAGCCACAATGAAATACCATCTCACCATAGTTGGCATGGCTACTATCAAAAAGACAAAAAATAATAGATGCTAGTGAGAATATGGAGAAAAGGGAACTCTTATACATTGTTGGTGGGAATGTAAATTAATACATCCATTATAGAAAACGGTATGAAAGTTTCTCAAAAAGCTAAAAATAAGACCACTGTATAATACAGAAATCACACTACTGGGTATTTATCAAAAGAAAAGGAAATCAGTATATCAAAGATATACCTGCACCCCAGCATTTATTGCTGCATTATTCACAAAAGCCAAGACAAGAAATCAATCCCAGTGTCCATCAATGATGAATGGATAAAGAAAATGTGATATATATACACAATGGAATAGTACTCAGCCATGGAAAAGAAAGAAATTCTGTCAACTGTAGCAACATGGATAGAACTGGGGGTCATTATGTTAAATGAAATAAACTACACACAGACAAATATCAAACGTTCTCACTCACAGATGGGAGCTTAAACAGTTGATCTCATAAAGGGAGAGAGTTAGACAATGGTTACTTGAGCCTCGGAAAAAAGGTGGAAGGTGAAGAGAGGTTATTTATTAGGTCCAAACATATCATTAGATAGAAGGAATAAGTTCTAGTATTCAATAGCACAGTAGGGTGACTTTAATTAATAATAATTTGTTGTATATTTCAAAATAGCTGGAAGAGTCATTTTAAATTGTAACCAACACAAATAATAAATGTTTTAGGTAACAGATATCCTAATTACTGATTTGATTATTATACATTGTATGTATATATCAAAATATTACATGTATCCTATAAATATGTACAATTATTTTGTATTAATAAAACATAAAAATATTTTACACATGGAAAAAATGTTATTCCTTCAAGAACACGAACATTTAACATTGTTAGTTTTAATGCTCAACTTTGTATTTAATTGATATTTCTAACATGCTTAAATTCAGCACTGAAAATTGCCTAAACTACTTGAAACCGTAGTGGAAATGTTAGTATATATAGTATAACAATGTAACCAAATATTCTAACATCCCAGTATTTTGGCTAAAGGCAACTCTCTCATTTTCTATACAGGAAAGAACGATATAAAAAAGATTTATATGGCAGAATTGACAGGAAAATATCTTCAGCTTTTAAGAAATGAAACTTACTGTGGTTCTCACTGTGCCTTTTCCCAAACATTGTAGCTAATGTTGGGAAGTGTGTGTACAGTGTGAAGACAGAGTCAGAGAGTCAAAGACAGAAACAGAGACTCAGAGGAGAGAAAAGCAAAGAGAGGAGATATATATACAGATAGAACATTATTTTATATTATAATGTTTTTATATTTTAATATATTATACACACACTTTGGTTTGGCTATATTTAAAATTAAAATCAACTATAGGTAACAATGACATCTCATGAGCAGTTTTAGGAGACCTGAATCCTTGTGACAAAGGACTTTTCAAAGTCCTATATACTGATTATTATTCTTCTCAGCAGGGACCACAGGAGAGCCTCAAACAGCTCTGTAGGAGACAAAGGTCTTGTGAAATTTAAATCTGCACTCTGTCTCTTGTTATGTTAAGCAAAGAAGCTCTGTCTCTTGTTATGTTTACCAATAAGAATCAAGAAGTTTCCAAAAATGTTTAACTGTTTACATCCAAGTTCTTGTTTAACTCCTCGGAAATGGGACATTCAATCAACGAGTTTGACAAATACTGTTTAGTCCGTAGTACCAATTTATTTTTGAAAACCGGAATGTGTTTACGTGGATTGTAAATAACCTCACAAGCCTTGCATTAATTGAAACATGGTCGGCTCATCATTAGCTGAAAAGGTCCCAGAATCTCTGGGGTTGGATTCTAATTGCAGGTTGGTATAAAATAAAATTGTCTTGAGCAGATTTAAATACAAACACATGGTGTTACTTCATTTTTGTTTTGTTACATTTTGGTTATTCTGATATTAAGAAAAGGCTACAGACAGCCAGTCAAATCACATTTTAGAACTCTAATATAAATCTTCTTCAGTAATATCTAATTTTGTGCTCCCTGGAGTTTGGGGGCATTTTAAATGAATATAGTCTATGTGGATATATGTGAGGATAGGAAGAATCTCCTAAGATGCTCATATCCTATTAGATAAAACTATGAAATTTTGGATTTAAAAGAAACTTAATGTCCTCTTTATCAACACTTTTTATTTTACAAATGAGACCCAAACTGAAATCAGTGATCTCTTCAAGTTCCCACTGAAGGACTCAAAGAGAGCCAGGATGATTTGCAGGTAAGTGATCTTCCCCCAAACAGTATTCTGCATCCAGTCTTTGCCTATATCTTGTTCAGGGATCCAGAACCAGGATATAGTTTCCAGCAAAAGAATATTTATAACATAGTACATCATGGACTAAGAATCCCATTTACACTATTTTATTTCCAAATTATTCCTTATCTCAATTCTAGTAAGCATTTGGCAAACATTACTTTTCTCCAATGTGTAGACACATTTGGCATTGAACCTTTACAGGGTAGTTCAACCATTGTGGAAGTCAGTGTGGCGATTCCTCAGGGATCTAGAACTAGAAATACCATTTGACCCAGCCATCCCATTACTGGGTATATACCCAAAGGATTATAAATCATGCTGCTATAAAGACACATGCACATGTATGTTTATTGCGGCATTATTCACAATAGCAAAGACTTTGAACCAACCCAAATGTCCAACAATGACAGACTGGATTAAGAAAATGTGGCACATATACACCATGGAATACTATGCAGCCACAAAAAATGTTGAGTTCATGTCCTTTGTAGGGACATGGATGAAATTGGAAATCATCATTCTCAGTAAACTATCGCAAGAACAAAAAACCAAACACTGCATATTCTCACTCATAGGTGGGAATTGAACAATGAGAACACATGGACACAGGAAGGGGAACATCACACTCTGGGGACTGTTGTGGGGTGGGGGGAGGGGGGAGGGATAGCTTTAGGAGATATACCTAATGCTAAATGACGAGTTAATGGGTGCAGCACACCAGCATGGCACATGTATACATATGTAACTAACCTGCACATTGTGCACATGTACCCTAAAACTTAAAGTATAATAATAATAAAAAAAAAGGAAAAAAGGGAAAAAAAAAAAAAACTTCCCACAGGAAACAATAACCAATAAACCAGTTAGCTGTGTCCAGGTAGATGAGGTTGGCCCAGCTAAACTTGAAGCCTGTGCAATCAGTGGGATTTGAATGCCACATTGTATCAACAAGGCAAGCAAGATCTATGACTTCCTCAATGTGAGTCATTTCTACAAACACCAAATGTTTCATTTTTCTCATGGCTTCACATGCCAAGAAGATTCAGGTAAGGCAAAACTTAATGCGTTTTGCAACTGCTGGAATTTTTCATCCTCTATGTTGTGCCAATAATACTGTTTTATGATTATATTTTCATAATGACTTTTTTATGGGATTTTTTTGAAGTAGATAAATGACTTACTTTGAGGCCAAATGCCTTGTACTCACATCAAAAAATCTGCTCCAATGCATCCACCCTCAATTTGTGCCTTTCTCAGAGCCATGAAGCAGGGAATGGGTTATGAGTATAATGTCAGATGGCTTATGATTTGTTTTAATAACCAGCAGTGGGATGCTTGTTATTCACATTAAATACATAATAGACATAGCAGGTGGTGCAGTTTTCATTCCTGATAGATCATAAGAGACTGAAATATAATGATGTTATATTCTATAGTATGTTTCCCCTCATACTTTCTCACCAGAATCAAATAAAATTTGTGTTACTGTTATTTAAAATATTGCATGGGTAGCTCTTTGCTTTTCTATTAAGTCAGTGTTCAAAGAAAACAGGTCATGAATATATATTACTTTTTAAATGTTCTTCCTTGGCAAGGGTCTGTATAAATGCTCTGGTTACCTAGGAGATGAGGACAAAATGAAAATTGATTGACTTATCCAATTGATTGCTTCAAACTGAGCTTCAAGTGGCAGCTGTGAGTGCTGCACATAAAAGGTAGCAGTTTGAAAGTGATTCTTTTTATTTACCACATCACTAATGATGCCAAACACACTACTAGGTAGAATAAGTGGCTATATTTTTTAGAAAATGCAGTATTGAATAAGTATTCAATATTCTGATGATTACAGCTGAGAAAAAGATATTTTGAAGAAGTAATTCTGGCCTGGATATTTGTTTCTATATGTCACTAAAAATGATTATACTGATGTCAGTAGAATTCTATCTGTGGTAGAAACCCTGTCCCTGGCTTAGTTTTTAGGAATAATAACCCTGCCTCCTGTTGGCTGAGATTGGGCTAGTGGGAAGAAAAATTAATAGATCTTACTGTGAAAGCAGCTATAACCTCCTCCCCATCTATTTCTCTATTCCTTGTGCAATTTTTCTATAGAACCAGGCAGGACAAACCACAGAAAAAATTAACTTTTCTTTTCTGAGCTCTCCTAACTTTTTGTTAATTTCTTCTCTATTCTCAAAGTACACATGTTTTCCTCCAATTTTGTCATTTTGTGATGTCCTCTCGCCACCCATGGCCATCTACCATGGTCTACTCTTCCAGGCACCTATTTTCGGCACCATCCCACTATTAAAACGTATGTATCTATATCATAATGCTAAGGTCTTGCCCTTACATAGCAATCTAGATGGAAATAATCTGATTAATTAAAGTACTGCTGGGAAAAATAGGAACGCTTTTACACTGTTGGTGGAAGTGTAAATTAGTTCAACCATTGTGGAAGACAGTGTGGCGATTCCTCAAGGACCTAGAACTAGAAATACCATTTGATCAGCAATCCCATTACTGGGTATATACACAAACGATTATAAATCATTCTGTGATAAAGACACATGCACACGTATGTTTACTGTGGCACTATTCACAATAGCAAAGACTTGGAACCAACCCAAATGTCCGTCCATGACAGACTGGATTAAGAAAGGGTGGCATGTATATGCTGTGGAATACTATGCACCCATAAAAAAGGATGAGTTCATGTCCTCTGCAGGGACATGGATGAAGCTGCAAACCATCATTCTCAGCAAACCATCACAAGATCCGAAAACCAAACACCTCATGTTCTCACTCATAAGTGGGAGTTGAACAATGAGAACACATGGACACAGGGAGGGGAACATCACACACCAGGGCCTGTCAGGGGTGGGGGGCTAGGGGAGGGATAGCATTAAGAGAAATACCTAATTTAGGTGACGGGTTGATGGGTGCAGCAAACCACCATGGCATGTGTATACCTATGTAACAAAACTGCAGTTTCTGCACATGTAACCCAGAACTTAAAGTATAATAAAAATGAATAAATAAAATAAAAACAGAGAAAAAAATAAAATAAAAAAATTAAGTACTACTGGGGTACAATACTCATTATGATCTAAATACTTGTGCCCTTCCAAAATTCCTATGTTGAAATCCTAACCTCCAATGTGATGGTATTAGAAGGTGAGGCTTTTGGAAGATAATTAGGTCATGAAGGTAGAACCCTCATGAGTGGGAGGGCTTGTGCTGTGTCATGTGAAAACACAGCAAGAAAGCACCATCTTCAAACCAGAAAGTAGGCCCTCATCAGACAGTGAATCTGCTGGTACCTTGATCTTGGACCTCCCAGCCTCCAGAACCATGAGAAATAAATATTTGCTATTTAAGCTACCCAGAATAAGGTCATTTGTTATAGCAGCCAGAGCTAAGTGGCTAGTTTAAGTGGTTATTTCCCCAAGAGCTATTTTCATTTTGTTGAAGAGAGCACCTTAACCCAAAAAAATTGACCCGTAATGGTGGAATGTAGCTTCTCCTGGGAGACAAGTGGAAAGTATATTTTAGGTCATAAGAGACTTCCTTTTTGTTCCTCAATTCACACTCTGTAGTCACCATAAAATTGCAAATACACAAACCAGAACAAGTTATCTCAGGAACTAATTGAAAAGTAGACATACAAAGAAGGAAAACCAACTAGAATTTTTCCTCTCTTGCTGTATAAATGTCATTATCCCATGACCTTGTGACTCTATGACAACTTCCAATTAATGCAGACATTACCAGATTCACTACTAATTGCAGAAATTGAAACAGGTAAATAAATACTAAATTCCAGAGTGATACATGCGAGAGGTGGAGTTGAGAAGCAGATAACTCAATGTTGGCTACAGGAATTGTCCATAAATTAATACTCTTGATACAATGAAGAAAGTCTGATAAAAGTGCAATAAAGTAAAAAGCTAAGTTTATGGGACGAGAACTACAGGTTTTACTAAAGGACATAAAAGAAGAGTTGAAAAAATATAGTAATATCCATGTTTCTGGACAGGAAGTATCTATATTATAGATACATCCGTTTTCTCCAAAATAATCTATAAACTTAATGCAATCCCAATCAAAATCTGAATAAGAATTTTTCTTTGGAACTACATTAAATGACTCAATTTCACCTGGAAATTTGTGACAACGAAGACTAATAAACAGAAACTTTCCTTATTGAGATATTAAGATGTATTGTGAAGTTATAATATTGCGATATTCCTGCAAAACTACACAATTTATCAATAGAAGGGACAGATTCCATATATAAGAATTTAAAAATCCAATAAGTGACAATATAAGTACTTCAAATTAGTGAAGAAAATAATGTGAAAGTAAATAAATTCAATTTCCTGAAAATAAAGTTATATTCAAACCTCCAATCTTAGGCCAAAACAAATTACAAATCAATTAAAGTATAAATGAAAAGACCAGAAGAAAATCTGAGTCTACTGATACAAATTTATGCTGGGGAAAGCCTTTCCACACATGATACGAAAGGCAAAATCCATAAAGAAAAAGACTGGTATGACTATATTAAAAAATAAATGTCTTAAATTAAAAAAAGTCATGTACAAAAGACAAACACCAAACTAGAAAGTATTTTAATTAAAAAAAGTCATGTACAAAAGACAAACACCAAACTAGAAAGTATTTTAATTATATTTTCATAAAGGGTTAATATCTATCCTATATAAAGAGAATGAGGCAACAGCTATAAAAAATGGAATGGAGGTTCTCAAAAAAATTAGAAGTAGAACTGCCATATGATCCCGCAATCCCAATTCTGGGTGTGGATCCAAAGGATTTAAAATCAGAATCATAAAGAGATTTCTGCACTCCCATGTTCACGGTACAATTATTTATAATAGCCAAGATATAGTGTCCATTGACAGATAAATAGATAAAGGAAATTTGGTCTACCCATATAATGGAATTTTATTCAGCCTTAAAACTGACAACATAGATGACGCCGAAGACCACTATGCTAAATGAAATAAGCCAGTCACGGAAGGATAACCACTGCATGATTCCACTTACATCGGGTATCTAAAATAGTCAAAATCATAGAAGAGCTGTGGAGAGGGAGAAATGGGGGATTATTGTTCAGTGGGATTAAAGTCTTAAGTTTATGCTAGATAAATAAATTCTAAAGATCTGCTCTACAACATAGTACCCACAGTTAACAATCCAGACTTGTGCAACTTAAAATTTGTTAAGACGGTAAAACTCCTGTTAAGTGTTCTTGCCCCCACCCCCCCCACACACACACTTGCACACAGGAAAGGAACATAAAGGAAACTGGGAGGTGTTGCACATGTCTATTTTATTAATTTTGGTGATGATATTATGGGCATATGCCTATGTCCAAACTCGTCTAATTGTACCCATTAAATATGTGCGGTTATTATATCAATTATACCTCAATAGAGATGTCACAAATATATACAAAACAAAGAATTCCAAAGAAACAGGCAAACAAAATAAGCTAGTATTTCATAAATTATGAAACAAAAATTTGCATTTAATATATGAAATAAATTCAATCTGTAGTAAAGGAAATACAAATTAAGCAATAATTAAGATACTATGTTTTGACTACCTGATTAACAAAGATGAAAAACTAATGACAAGACTTAGTTTGGGTGAATATATGGGGAATTTAGCTGTCTCAAGTACTGAGGAAGTGATGAAAACTGCTACAAGAATTCTTGAGGAAAGTATACAATTTTTACTTAACACTTAAATACATAGCCCCTAATTAGAAAAATACCATTTTTAGAACTGTATCCCGAAGAAATCACCAAGGTCACAAGATGTATGTATGAGGATATTTTTCAAAACATCTACAAATAATATTTTTTAAATGATGTAAATGCTCTAAAAATAGGGACGTTGTTAAGTGCCATATACTATGTCCACACAGTGGATTATTGCAAAGCCATTACTAAATTTAATATTGATTTTATGGCTATAGGCATGGAATGATATTTATGACATATTTGAGGTTAGAAATAAAGCAGATTAGAAAGAGTATGCATATTGTGATGAATGTTACAAATTTACATAAGTCTACACCTAGGAATGCGTATGTTAAAGGATATTATGATTACATTTAAGTCAAAAATTATGTAACACTACATATGTAGGCGATGAATGCGGTGGCTCACACCTATAATCCCAGAAGTTTGGGAAGCCAAGGTGGGCAGATCACTTAAGGTCAGGAGTTCGAGGCCAGCCTGGCCAACATGGTGAAACCCCATCTCTACTAAAAATACAAAAATTAGCTGGGGGGGGTTGGAGGGAGTGGGTGGTTCATGGCTGTAATCCCAGGTACTCAGAAGGCTGAGGAGGCAGGAGAATCACATGAACCTGGGAGGCGGAGGTTGCAGTGAGCCAAGATCCTGCCACTGCACTCCAGCCTGGGTGACAGAGTAAGGGAGACTCCATCTCAAAAAAAAAAAAAAAAAAAAAAAAAGAATATATATAAGGGGATTTTTATAGTGCATGCTTTATCTGTAAATACTAACTAGATAGAGAAATTGTGGGTGACTTATTTTTCATTTGCTTAGCTTATAAAATTTTTTTTAAAAGAGTACACAATATTTTCATAATCAGGAAAATAATTAATGAAATGTTCCTATAATAAAATAATTTTTCATGGGATAAAAATGAGGTTACTTTTTTAACTGGGTATCACTTCTCAATATTATGCTTATGTTGAGAAACTGTATATTGTTCGTGCCCAAAGCAAACTCAGTCCTCAACTAAACCTTTTTGTTTTATTTATAAAATCTTCATTTATGAAAACCCCTTTAGATATTTATAAAGAAAATTTGTAAACACCTGCAGGACCCAAGTAAAACTTAGTCAAAGATCTGCTGGTCAGAGTGGCCTAGACTGGATGATTTCACCAATCACAAAACAATTGAAAGGTACAGCTCTTCTCAGAAGGATGTAGCTGACAAAGAAACATGTGCATACTCACAATATACTTAAGTTGGGGATAAGAGAGGCCTGTTGTTTTAAAATCCGTGTTAGAAACTCAGGTGATATTCTGATTTTTCTCCCTCTGATGTGATGTAGAATTACTGGAAAGTCTTTCTAAAAACAGTGAAAACTACTTTTACACCAACAATCCTAGGATGTAGTAATATCATTGTTAAATATTAGGAATTAGAAAAATCTCTACAAAGACCAATAGTGGGGGCCTACAAATAAATATTTGGGCCTATGCCAATTGAACACATCTATCTTTGAAAGTTTGGCTTTCATACATTTTCATTTGTCTTCTTTTACATTTAGTTCTCATGCTAATATTTAATAGGCCCATTATGTGATATTTTATTAATCCTCTAAGCTTTCACCCTTTCCCTATATTCTTGTACTAAGTGTAACAAAAATATATAGGAACTAGGTAAGTTAGCCACTCAGAAAAAGGTGTTTAATATGAGGCCAGGCCACATAACCCCTAACTGTGAATTACATCCATGAGTTTCTCTCTGTCTATCCATTACACATGCTTTTTCACAAACCCACAGCATTGTGAATTTTGTAAATGTTTGACGTATTATTCCTTCTTTTTCCCTGGACATTGTCCGACTCTTATTTCTGTTGGCTCTTTTAGGTACCTTGGGACAACTGACATTTGCAAGACTTAACCTGAGCCCCATCAGTTACAAGAGTTTGGAGGCCTCAGCTGTCACTTCTGTTTCCATGGAAACTCAAATCAGATTGCCAAAAATGAGGTTAGTCACTTAGAAATTATATTTTTTTAAAAAAAGAAACAAACGCTGCCCATGAACAACACATTGTTTGAAACAGTTCTTTGTTTAAAGCTGTTTTCCTGTTTCATAAGGATTAAATACCTGTTTCCATGGTAGCAGATTAATAAACTACAAAGATAGAGCTGAGCTCTGAAAGTTCCTTCTAGCAGCACCTACACGTCAGAGCCTACTGTGCTCATGAAGCTGGGGCTCTAAACAGGTTTTTTTAAACAATAACAAAAAATAACTACTTTGTTTCTATTCATATGTTTTCCATAGATGGAATAACACTAGCTAAATATAGTGACATCAGGGTTTGTATAGTGACAGTAACCACTATTTATTAACTGGTTACAATGGGACCAAAATGTGCAGGGTAAGCTTTACATAAATTATCTCCAATCCTTGGCATTATTGTCTGCATTTCATGGAAACTGAGATTCACTGAAGGTCACACAGGTATTAACAAGGGATGGAGCTGTGATTCAAACCCAGTTCTGGCCTACACTGGAGCCCAGACTCTTCTCTCATCTTTTTCAAAGTGAAGAGTGGAACAGAGAAAGAACAATTTTCTCCTATCCTCATCCCAACACAGGCATGTGCACACATGATCACATGCACACACGGTGCATTTCAGAGACTCATAGAGTGGATGAGGTGTGAGGGAGGCAGACTCCTCAGAAGTATTTAACTGTAAGTTCTTTCTCAGACCAGTCATACAAAGAATGTCCAGGTACCCGTGAAACCCAAGAACAGAAGCTGGTCTCCCAGGGTGGCAGTCCCTCAGTGGAATTCAATGCAACATCATTTTCCTCTTCACATCTCACTCTCTCTCCTCCAACTACAACCTGGCACTTAAACTACAACGTTTTCAAGTACAGGCCTGAAAAATTACACAGGTTGCTGATTCAAATGGATGAATAACTTATTTTAAATTCTTTATCAGTTGATGAAAATATTAGTCCAGTCAAATGACCACAGCAGGAATTTAGGAAATGCAATATTTTACCCAGTGATCCTATTATTCTCATTTACTGGAGAGCGTACATTTCTACTGCTAAATCAAAGGCATAAGTAACCACACATTGTTTGTTTCAGGAAATTAGATAGGGTAAATAATGGTCATTTATGTCTTATTCCAAATTAATTCTATCAGAGTTAAAAATAAATGCCCAAAAGCTCTGAGGACATGCTTAGGGAGAAACTGGATCCATTTCAACATTAAAACAGCTGTCTTCCACATTTTTTCTCAGGCAAAATGTAGATGGAAAACTGATATAACAGATTTTTGTCTCCAGACCAAAAAAAAAAAAAAAAGGATGAATTTAATGTCAATACAGGAAGAAAAGAAGGGGACAATTCCCAAAACAACAACTCAGTGCTCACTTTTAATTTATGTCAACATTTTTCTATTGAAGTAGGAAAAGAAACCTCATGGAATAGAACATTTTTGAAGAAATGAAACTGAGGCACCCCTGACATCACGATGACACACTGTTTAACCTTGAACTACTTGGATTCTTTGGAATAGAGATAAAGTTATTCCAGATGTAAAGACCTTAGGAAACATGGCATAAAGGCCTAAGTGACATTTAATTTGAAGATACAACTGCTGTGTTTCCTAAAACCCCAAGTACCTCTCCAAAGACCAAACACTCTGAAACCAATACAAAACATAATTCCTCAAGGAAAGAAACGATTTTCCAAACAAAATACAAGTTTCCATTTGTAACTCATTACTGCTGTCTGCTCCTTCAATTTTGAGATCTTCAGAAATCATACTTAGAATTTCCAACGCTCTTTACTCAGCCATAATGTTAATCACTACAGTAATCCAAATAAAGCTACAATAAACCAAAAATTAGCAGTAATCAAGAAAATGCATTCCAAATGAACAAGCAAAAAATTTTTCAAAACTTACATTTAATTATACTTGAAAAGTTATAAATTAGAACCAAAAATTCAAAATAAAATCAGCCTACACCACAAATGGAAGCTTTTAAAAACCCTAAACTAAGATTCTGTATATTTATTTACCCACAATTTTCAACAAAACAGATAAACAATTATTAAAGAGGGAATCTTTTACTTACAGCAAATTTGATCTAACAAAAATTATCAAGAACTCTCTCAAATAGACTTCTAAATTGAGAAAAGTTTTTCCTTCTTCCACTTCTTTTCTGTCTGTGGTAGGCAAAATGGTCCCCCAAAGATGTCCATGGCTAATCTCTGAAATTTAAGAATATGCTACATTACGTGGCAAAAGGGACTTTGCAGATGTAATCAAGGTTATGGACCTTAAATAAGAAAGAATATTCTGAATTATCCAGATGGGCCCAATCCAATTTCATGAGTCCTTAAACGCAGAGAATGTTCTCCAGCTGGAAAAAGAAGAGGAAAGCAAAGGAAAGTTCAAGCATGAGAAGGATTCAATGCACCCTTGCTGCTGCTGAGATGCAGGAACTCATGTGCATGGACAGAGAGGGGCCTATTGCAACTAAGGGCAGGCCTTCGCTGACAGCCAACAAGAAAAAAAAGAACCTTAGCATTTCAACCACAAAGAACTTAATTCTGTCAACAATATGAATGGGCCTGGAAGTGGAATCTTCCCAGAGCCCCCCATTAAGAGTCCAGAGGTTGACATCTTTTTTCTGTTTGTTTGTTTTTTTTTTTTTCTTTTTTTTTCTTTTTTGAGATGGAGTCTCATCAGTCACCCGGGCTGGAGGGCAGTGGCATGATCTCGGCTCACTGCAAGCTCCGCCTTCTGGGTTCACGCCATTCTCCTGCCTCCGCCTCCCGAGTAGCTGGAACTACAGGCACCCGCCACCACGCCCAGCTAATTTTTTGTATTTTTAGTAGAGACGGGGTTTCATCGTGTTAGCCAGGATCGTCTCGATCTCCTGACCTTATGATCCGCCCACCTCGGCCTCCCAAAGTGCTGGGATTACAGGCGTGCGCCACCGCGCCCGGCCTTTTTTTTTTTTTTTGATACGGAGTCTCGCTCTGTGCCCCAGGCTGGAGTGCAGTGGCGCCATCTTGGCTCATTGCAAGCTCCGCCTGCCAGGTTCACACCATTCTCCTGCCTCAGCCTCCCAAGTAGCTGGGACTACAGGCATGCGCCACCACACCCAGCTAATTTTTGTATTTTTAGTAGAGACAGGGTTTCACCATGCTGGCCAGGCTGGTCTCAAACTCCTGACCTCGTAATGCACCTGCCTCAGCCTCCCAAAGTGCTGGGATCACAGGCGTGAGCCACCACGCCTGGCCGACGTGTTTTTTTGGCTTGGTAATACCCAGTGAAGAGACCCCAAACAAACCAACTAGGATTTCTGACCTACAGAACTGTGGGATAACAGATGGGTTTGATTTAAGCCACTGTTTGGGCTAATTTATTATGCCAACAATAGAAAACAAATATATTCCCCTACCAAAACCTGTTTTCCCTCCACCTGTTACCTTCCATGTATCTTTTTCTTTTTTTTTTTTTTTTGAGATGGGAGTGTTGCTCTGTTGCCAAGCTGGAATGCAGTGGCGCGATCTCGGCTCACTGCAACCTCCACCTCCCAGGTTCAAGTGATTTTCCTGCCTCAGCCTCCTGAGTAGCTGGGAATACAGGTGCCGGCCACCATGCCCAGCTAACTTTTTTGTATTTTTAGTAGAGACAGAGTTTCACCATGTTGGCCAGGATGGTCTCGATCTCTTGACCTCGGGATTCGCCTGCCTCAGCCATTTATCTTTTTAAGAAATCTGGCCTGGCACGGTGATTCACACCTGTCATCCCAGCACTTTGGGAGGCCGAGGCAGGTGAATCACGAGGTCAAGAGATCGAGACCATCCTGGCCAACATGGTGAAATCCCCTCTCTACTAAAAATACAAAAAAATTAGCTGGGCGCAGTGGCGCATATTCCCAGCTACTTGGGAGGCTGAGGCAGGAGAATCGCTTGAACTCCGAAGGCGGAGGTTGCAGTGAGCCGAGATCACGCCACTGCACTCCAGCCTGGTGACAGAGCGAGAGAGACTCCATCTCAAAAAAAAAAAAAAAAGTAAAACAGCCAACAACACCTTAACATGTAATCCCAAAGCATGTTATTTCTGCAATGAACAGAGTACCAGACATCTAATCTTGAAAAACATGTCCTGCTTTTTCTGACAGTGGCAAGATGGCAGAGTATAAAGAACTAAAGGGGCAAACAACATGAGAAATTCCTTAATCTCTTCAGGCATTAATTTCCTCATCTATAAATGGGAAGAATATTAACTTTCTGACAAGATTGTTATGAATCATGAATGGTTCCATAAATATAAAAGCACGTAGGAAATGCTGAATCCACCTTGATCCCTTCTGCCATGGCCTCCTTTAAAGTGTTATGGAGCTTGCAACCCCAGGTTCAGAGAAACACTGTTTCTACTACAGTGTGGCTAGTTGGCTGCAGAAAGCAATAAAGGTTTATATGATGAAACTGACAACAATTATTTAAATCTGTCTGGAAAGCATTTCCAAGAACCATCCCATAGAAATCAGGACTGATGTCACACCACCACTGTGCTTACCAATGACTCACATGAAAGAAGAGGGTGTCTTGTTATTTCAGGTTGATACTGACCTACTTGCAGCCTGAATAACAAAAATAAAATTTGAAATTATCTTAGTAAATTAGAAACAAAGAATATATTTAAAAAACAAAATATAAAAAGCAAAAAATAATTAAGGACAAAGGGCACTGTAGTAAGAGCTGAACAAATATCAATAATCTGCCCAATTCTAATTTAGAAGATTACAGTGTCAAGTGTACGCTGACAATTTTATAGTTAAAGGGCTGTTAGAAAATAATTACCAATAATGATTTTGAATTTGGTGAACTATTAAATGAATTGATTAATTGATTCTCAGAGACTTAGCCAACTTCTCATTGTCACATGAAAGATGCCCAACAGCTATTTCTTGAAGGAATGGTGAATATAAGTATTATGTTTGACCTTAAATTTAGCTCTGAGATTCCTAGAATGACACATTATGATTCAAATGAAAAGAATCCATTATCTACCCACTCCTTGTCTGTACATTCAACTAAAAGAATAGAAACTTGAAAAACAATAAGAAACAATGTCTTTTTTTTTTTTTTTTTTTTTTTTTTTTCTGAGATGGTCTCACTGTGTCACCCAGGTTGGAGTGCAATGGTGCAATCTCGGCTCACTGCAATATCCGCCTCCTGGGCTCAAGCAATCCTCCTGCCTTAGCCCCCCAAGTAACTAGGACTACATGCATGAGCCACCATGCCTGGCTAATTTGAGGATTTTGGGTAGAGATGGGGTTTCACAGAAATTGTGTCTTTTAATCCATTAATTTTAGAGTTTCGTCATATTAACAAAGCCTATTTCTCACAGAAACTTAAGGTGATAAAATATAGCATATAGTCTTTGTGAAACTATAACTCTTTATATTAAATTTGATTATTCAAAATTATTTTGAAATCTGTACTGGACTTTCATAGTTAAAATATCTGTTGGTTTGTTGTTTTGGGTTCTAATAAGGAACATACATCTTGAGGGCCCTTGTGGTCCTTGTATTTATTAATGACTGACAATAATGCAATTTAAGTATCATAGATTCTGGGATGTTGCAGAGTGGGCAGGGGTGGGGAGACATGAGGATGGGCATGGAAGGTCTTATTGAGGAAACCACATTTAAGAGGACAGCAGTCCTTGAAGGAAGGGGAGTTTTCCAGTAAATAGTACAGAAGGAATACTTCTGGCAGAATACTGTTAAGAAACATCGAATTAAAAGCCTCAAGGTCAAGAAAAAGAGTGGGTTTGAGGAACTGAAATGTGGCTAGTGTACCAGGAATGTGGCGTGTGTGAGGAAAGAAAATAACATGGTATGATGTAGAAAAATAGGCAGGAATCAGCCATTGCAAGGCTTTATAAAACATTTTAAAGTAGTTAGATTTCTTCTTTTTTAAAAATTTTTGTTTTAGGCTCAGGGATACATGTGCAGGTTTGTTATATAGAAAATTTGTGTCACAGGGATTTGGTGTGTAGATTATTTTGTCACCCAGGTAATAAACATACTACTCGATAAGTAGTTTTTCAATCCTCTCCCTCCTCCCGCCCTTCACTCTCAAGTACACGTGTCCATATGTACTCAGTGTTTAGCTCCCACTTGTGAGAACATGCATTATTAGGTTTTCTGTTCCTATGTTAGTTTGCTTAGGACAATGGCCTCCAGCTTCCTCCATGTTGCTGAAAAGGACATAATCTTTCACCATCTTGGCCAGGCTCGTCTTGAACTCCTGACCTCGTGTTCCACCTGGCTTGGCCTTCCAAAGTGCTGGGATTACAGGCATGAGCCACTGCACCAGGCCTGTCACTGGTCTTTTTAAACGCAACTTCAAATAGCTATCTTGAACAATACAATAGGTTTTACATATATTTTATATATGTCTATAATATATATTATTTTAAATTTATATATTTTATATATATATATAAAGTACATTTTGACTGCCTCAGAATTAATGTCTTTTTATAAAATTGTTTGACATTTGGCAATCTCTATTCTCCTGACATAGTTCATTTTCCATATTTATTGATTCATTAATGAGCCTTTTGTTAGTGATTAAAGATGTTTTGTTTTGCAAAGAATTATCCTCTTTGATGTACTGTTTAACTAAAATAATTTTCAAATTATACTATACAATATAAAATAACCCAAATTTCAAGACTTTAAAATCAATTTTAAAGACAACTTTATCAAAAAGTATTTTTTCTTTTACTTCGTTTTTCAATAGTTAAAAGACATTGGTTATTTGAATAAAACTGTATTTAAACTAAAAATTCTGGCAGGGCATGGTGGTTCACGCTTGTACTCGCAGCACTTCAGGAGGCCAAGGCAGACAGATCATGAGGTCAGGAGTTCAAGACTAGCCTGGCCAACATAGTGAAACCCATCTCCACTAAAAATACAAAAATCAGCAGCATGTGGTGGCACGAGCCTGTAATCCCAGCTACTTGGGAGGCTGAGGCAGGAGAATTGTTTGAACCCAGGAGGCGGAGGTTGCAGTGAGCCAAGACCGCACCATTGCACTCCAGCCCGGGCAACAGAGTGAGACTCTATCTCAAAATAAATAAATAAATAAACAAACAAAAAATTCTAAAAATTGGAGAGGCATTTAATATCCAACAAACTTGATTCCCCACTAACCAGGTTATTTATTATCAATGTCATTTTGGTTCATCATATCTGTGTGGTTTTGCAAAACGTTGCTTAGTTTCCAAAGACTTCATGTTGGATTCAAAATCCCCATTGTAAGACAACCAGAATGAGAAGTGAAAATAGAAACAAGGGGCATCCCTTCCTGGAGGAATCTCACTCTGGCACAGAGAAGTAGATAAGCCATTGTCATTTTTCACTACATTAATTTAATCTGGATTTTACCTTAATCTACCCTACACCTATTTCCCCAGTACATACATTTATTTGATCTCTCCATGGCTTAAGCTGAGCAAGGAGGAAGGGGAAGAGAAGGAGAAGAGCATAAAAATAAAAAGAATAGTGTTACTAATTCCTAAGTAGTCCCTTTTCTGAGGTCCTTTTTTTTTTTTTTTCCTGAAAGATAGTAACCTAACAAGGCAACTTAGTAAGAAGTCTGTGGATTTCTTAGAACAGAATCCTTAGAGAATGCATAGCAGTCTGGGCGCGGTGGCTCACGCCTATGATCCCAGCACGCTGGGAGGCTGAGGTGGGCGGATCACGAGGTCAGGAGATCGAGACCATCCCGGCTAACACGGTGAAACTCCGTCTCTACTAAAAAAAAATACAAAAAATTAGCTGGGCATGGTGGTGGGCGCCTGTAGTCCCAGCTACTTGGGAGGCTGAGGCAGGAGAATGGCGTGAACTCGGAAGGCAGAGCTCGCAGTGAGCCGAGATTGAGCCATTGCACTCCAGCCTGGGTGACAAGAGTGAGACTGTCTCAAAAAAAAAAAAAAAAAAGAAAGAAAGAAAAGAAAAGAAAATGCATAGTAGATTGCAAAAATTGTCTCCCACTCTGTAGGTTTCCTGTTCACTCTGATGATAGTTTCTTTTGCTGTGCAGGAGCTCTTTAGTTTAATTAGATCCCATTTGTCAATTTTGGCTTTTGTTGCCATTGCTTTTGGTGTTTTAGTCATGAAGTCTTTCCCCATGCCTATGTTCTGAATGGTATTGCCTAGGTTTTCTTCTAGGGTTTTTATGGTTTTAGGTCTTACATTTAAGTCTTTAACCATCTTGAGTTAATTTTTGTATAAGGGGTAAGGAAGGGGTCCAGTTTCAGTTTTCTACATATGGCTAGCCAGTTTTCCCAGCACCATTTATTAAATAAGGAATTCTTTCCCCATTGCTTGTTTTTGTCAGGTTTGTCAAAGATCAGATGGTGGTAGATATGTGGTGTTATTTCTGGGGCCTCTGTTTTGTTTCATTGATCTATATATCTGTTTTGGTACCAGTATCATGTTGTTTTGGTTACTGTCACATTGTAGTATAGTTGAAGTCACGTAGTATGATGGCTCCAGCTTTGTTCTTTTTGCTTACAATTGTCTTGGCTATATGGGCTCTTTTTTGGTTCCATATGAAATTTGAAGTAGTTTTTTCTAATTCTGTGAAAACAGCCAATGGTAGCTTGATGGGGATGGCATTGAATCTATAAATTACTTTGGGTAGTATGGACATTTTCACGATATTGATTCTTCCTATCCACGAGCATGAAATGTTTTTCCATTTGTTTGTGACCTCTGTTATTTCCTTGAGCAGTGGTTTGTAGTTCTCCTTGAAGAGGTCCTTCACATCCCTTGTAAGTCGGATTCCTAGGTGTTTTATCCTCTTTGTAGCAATTGTGAATGGGAGTTCACTCATGATTTGGCTCTCAGTTTGTCTATTATTGGTGTATAGGAATGCTTGTGATTTTTGCACATTGATTTTGTATCCTGAGACTTTGCTGAAGTTGCTTATCAGCTTAAGGAGATTTTGGGCTGAGACAATGGGGTTTTCTAAATATACAATCATGTCATCTGCAAAGAGAGACAATTTGACTTCCTCTTTTCCTATTTGAATACCCTTTATTTCTTTCTCTTGCCTGATTGCCCTGGCCAGAATTTCCAATGCTACATTGAAGAGAAGTGGTGAAAGAGGGCATTCTTGTCTTGTGCCAGTTTTCAAAGGGAATGCTTCCAGCTTTTGCCCATTCATTATGATATGGGTTTGTCATAAATAGCTCTTATTATTTTGAGATACATTCCATCAATAACTAGTTTATTGAGAGTTTTTAGCATGAAGGGGTGTTGAATTTTTCTGCATCTATTGAGATAATCATGTGGTCTTTGTCACTGGTTCAGTTTATGTGATGGATTACGTTTCTTGATTTGCACGTGTTGAACCAGCCTTGCATCCCAGGGATGAAGCCGACTTGTTCGTGGTAGATAAGCTTTTTGATGAGCTGCTGGATTCAGTTTGCCAGTATTTTATTGAGGATTTTCACATCAATGTTCATCAGAAATATTGGCCTGAAATTTTCTTTTTTGTTGTTGTTGCTGTGTCTCTGCCAGGTTTTGGTATCAGGATGATGCTGGCCTCATAAAATGTGTTGGGGAGGAGTTGCTCTTTTTCTATTGTTTGGAACCATTTCAGAAGGAATGGTACCAGCTCCTCTCTGTACCTCTGGTAGAATTTGGCTGTGAATCCGTCTGGTCCTGGGCTTTTTTTGGCTGGTAGGCTATTAATTACTGCCTCAATTTTAGAACTTGTTAATATCCAGAATCTACAAAGATCTTAAACAAATTTACAAGAAAAAAACAAACAACCCATCAAAAAGTAGGTAAAGGATATGAACAGACACTTCTCAAAAGAAGACATGTATGTGGCCAACAAACATATGAAAAAAAGGTCATCATCACTGGTCATTAGAGAAATGCAATACAAAACCACAATGAGATAACGTCTCATGCCAGTTAGAATGGCGATCATTAAAAAGTCAGGAAACAACAGATGCTGGAGAGGATGTGGAGAAATAGAAACACTTTTACACTGTTGGTGGGAGTGTAAATTAGTTCAACTATTGTGGAAGACAGTGTGGTGATTCCTCAAGCATCTATAACTAGAAATACCATTTGACCCAGCAATCCCATTACTGGGTATACACGCAAAGGATTATAAATCATTCTACTATAAAGACATATGCACACGTATGTTTATTGCAGCACTGTTCATAAGAGCAAAGACTTGGAACCAACCCAAATGCCCATCAGTGATAGACTGGATAAAGAAAATGTGACACATACACATCATGGAATACTATGTAGCCATAAAAAATGATGCATTCATGTCCTTTGTAGGGACATGGATGAAGCTGGAAACCATCATTCTCAGCAAACTAACACACCAACAGAAAACCGAACAGCACATCTTCTCACTCATAAGTGGGAATTGAACAATGAAAACACATGGACACATGGAGGGAAACATCACACACCAGGGCCTGTTGGGGGGTGGGGGCTAGGGGAGGGATAGCATTAGGAGAAAACCTAATGTAGATGACCGGTTGATGGATGTAGCAAACCACCATGGCATGTGTATACCTATGTAACAAACCTACACGTTCTGCACATGTATCCCAGAACTTAAAGTATAATTTAAAAAAATTAAAGACAGACTACACATTGGGTACAATGTACACTGCTCAAGTGATGGGTGTAGCAAAATCTCAGAAATCACCACTAAAGGACTTATTCATGCAACCAAATACCACTAGTTCACCAAAAACCTATTAAAATAAAAAAAAATTAAAAAACAAAAAATGCATAGTAATGATGTCTCAAGCTTCTAATAAGTATCAATAATGCCATTGGGCAGATACATCTCAGTCTAGGTGGAGTAATATTCTAGAAAAAACCTTCTTCTCTTTAGTTAAGGCATTATTCCATACATCATTCATGAAATGAATGGTTACACCCCAAACACCTTCCTTATTACAGTAAGTGTTGAGGTTTGGCAGAATTAGAGATATAACACTCCTTTCTTTGCCTGTCAATTTTGGAACAAATTGAGAAATAAGATGGCGAAGACAGAAAGATAAAAATTAAAATAGTGGCCTTATTTTTGTAAGCTGATTAAGAAATGTAAATAGAGTTTTGTGGTCAAAGGGCTTACTACCTTCCCTGCTCCCAAACTCCCACCACCCAACCCCCAAACACACACACTATATTCTTCAGGAAGTCCACCAAAGAAAATTTTGATACCACAGAATAGATGCACTTATTCAACTTTGGTTACTAATATCGGTCCAGGGCAATGTGAGAAAGAAACGAGAGTGAATACCCAGGATCCAATAGAGAAGCTGCACCCAGATGTCACCTGTCAATCAGGACATACTTCTTCTCATGGTTTGAAATGAGTAATGGGTGGGAAAGAGGCCAGGAGTGTTACTCTAACAGATATTCTTCTACATTAAAACATGAAGCAAATAGAAAGATGGTTCCCCCATTCAGTAAGATTATTATCTGAGGCCCAAAGAGAAGAGCCCAATAATTATTCATGTATTAAAATATTAAGAAGCCTTAAAGTCATATACACCTTTAGGACATTGAAGCTTATAATCTATATTTAATATCATAGTAATGCCTCAAAGTACTCTCTTAGGCATTATACTACATGCTGTTGTTTAAAATACCACACTGTATCTCCAGGATTCAGAAAGAAGAGAGGACAAGCCACTTTCACACTTATTCCAAACTGCTCACAAAATAATTGCTTTCTTTAAATAGCTAACTTTTACCTTCTCATAAAAATGGTATACACTGTCACTAACAGAAAAATATGACTTTCTCAAAATGTAATATAACCCAATATTCATTTCCTAATGAAAACTTAATTCAGCATTTAGGCTATAAAGCCACTAGTTCTGTTACCTGCTTACAAATTTGTTTCATTTAACATTTTTATATGGATACCTGTTATTTAAAATGGCATTCATAATACAATGTTAGCATTTATTCTCCTCTATATCTTACATCTTTCTCTTTTCTTTTCTTCTATATATTTATTCCCTCCTTGTGTCAAAAACAAATTGCAAAATTCAAGATATCAATATGAATCTTTACCATTTAATTTCTATATGAACATAAAATGCCATATGGCTATAATTTGTGCAACAGAATGAACTATTTTGGCTTTTGACCCTTAAAAAACTCACCAATGAATATTTAATATAAAGTGAATATGAGAAGAAAATTACCCAGGACTTTGGCATTTGAAGCAACTTATTTATGCTCTCAACTAATAAATTGGAAGAATTCAGGTGAGCAACAGCTTCATTTAGTCATGTTGAGTAAAATAATAAATTGATATTCTTAAAAGGAACTTAAGCAGTTACCCCAGGTGTCCACATTCTTGAAATATATCATTTTCTTAAAAGTTACAAGAAAACCATTGATGGTTCCTAGCAAGCTCCTAACTCTGTTGCATAAAGAAATTCTTATTCCCAAGGGCCCTTTGATTTCTACAGTTAAAAGATATTCAGTAATACAACCACTGAGTTCTGAAATGGCATATGTTCCAAGTACAGGGGAATCAACAGTAAGAATAAAATAAAGATTCTTCCATCCAACTAAGAGAAATACCCTGCATGGTGAGAAATTCCAGATGAACTCTGCATTGATCCCATTGGTTAGCATTTGGTAAATGTTTGTCAGGTGTCCACCATGTGATTGTCACTGTGCTAGAGACTAGGGAGAGGGAAGGGGAATTGGAAGACTAACAAGGCATGAATTTTCCTTCATCAGGTTTGTACTTTCTTTGGTGAAAGAAAAGTAAAATTGTTTCTGAAAAAAAAGAAACCATTAGGGCAGAATCTAATTAAAGGGGGAAATAAGGTAAAATAATTTTTTATTTATCAGAGACTGAGAAATTTATTTTAACAGAGACCAACTCCAAACAAGCACATCAGTTCCAGCCACTTTCGTGCAAAAGATGAGGAAACCAGGTGCCAAGAAAATACTATGTGTTGTATTTCTGAGTTCTACACAAAGCCATTCAAGGTACAGAGGGAAAACAGTAAATAATCGGAAAAAGACATGCTAGTAACACCAAACAAGCATGACCTGAAACATGGATAAGCCCCTGGCTTTTAGTAACAGGAAACTGACAGGACAAAACTATGGAGAGGTTCCTGATAGTTGGCATGACTATGGAGGAGGAGGCCCTATCATTCTCTCCCACCCAAGACACACAGTTGCCAAAGCTTGAGAGAAAATGTGCAGGTTCTCAACAGACCTAGGCAAAAGGCAGATGGCCTAAGGATGAAGGAATTTAGCCATGAATGCTGCTTAACTTTACCACTGGAGTATTTGGAGTGTTTCAGCACAACTTCCGCAATGATGCAAGATAAACATTGTTTTAATAGAGACCATTGTTCCACTCATGGGTTCTGAAGGGACCAAGATTGAACTACACAGTTAAGTGACCATCCGACGTATCAACCAACAAGGTAGGCATTGGTCCTGACATGATTCTGCCCTTTAAGGAAAGGGATATTGTTGGGCACATAGTAGGTATGCAACAAACATTTCATGAATCTGTTGATTGATTAATCGATTGACCCTGAACCAATAGAAATATGTCAGAGACTGCTTGAAAAAAGACCCTAGTTACGGAAAGTATGTACACTCTCCTTGCACTTTTTTGCACTCCTCCTTTCCTCAAATCCAAACCATGTATCTCCTGTTGAAAGAAGATGTACATTGCCAAGTAGAAAGCAGTAAAGACATTTTGAGGTAACATGTTACTACATAGGAGGCATTTTGAAGACCACAGTAGAACCTACTGGACTCATTCAGTTCAGGAAATCATAGAGCTTGAGGTAAATCTAGAGTCCCAATTTGCATAAGAAAAACCAAGCTCTTAGGGAGAAACTGAAAATAAAAACACTCTGAAGCTAGAATTAAGACTTCTCACAAAGAAGAGGATATCATAGGGATGCCAGAAAGAAAAAGAATGTGTTTTTAAGTAAAAGGATATGATTCTCCTTTAGATGATACATTTGTAGTCACTGAAAAAAGACTCACTTGTGTCATCAACAAGTGTAGCATACTAGTAGTGTCCAAGTCCAATTTTTTGACATAAATACCTCAATAATCAGAGAAATAAAACTACTGTTAAAATAAAATACAATTATCTGATGGCCATAAAGAAGCTCAGAGGGGCCAGGTGCATAACTCATTCCTATAATCCCAGCAGTTTGAGAGGTCGAGGTGGGCACATCACTAGAGGTCAAGAGTTCGAGACTAGCATGGTCAACATGGTGAAACCCCATCTCTACTAAAAATACAAAAATTAGCCAGGCATGGTGGTGGGTGCCTGTAATCCCAGCTACTTGGGAGGCTGAGGCAGAAGAATCACTTGAACCCGGATGCGGAGGTTGCAGGGAGCCAAGATCGCGCCACTGCACTCCAACCTGGGCAACAGAGCAAGACTCGTCTCAAAAAAAAAAAAAGCTCAGGAAAATAATCATATCACTCTTGAAAGCAAAGATTTCATTGAGGCTTTCTGTATCACCAAACACTGGAGCTAATGGAAATCAGTAGTAACTAGAGGCCCAGGCAAGTCATTCAAGGGAATTACTAAAAGGGAGACTAGTACCCAAGGAATCACCCTACTTTAAGCCCTTTTCTCCTCCCAATGAAGTTAATGACCCCAACTCTACAAAATTTGATGGGAAAATCCTGGAAGACAATTCTGTAGCTGCAGATACATGAAAACAACTGAGCAAAGCAACAAGTGCAGAGGCTTACACCCTGCCTTGTATTTCTTGATTACAATCCATGCTTTTAGTGTGTTTCCCTGTAGTTAAGTTGACCTGGGAAATAAGAACTAGACAAGTGCGGACTCAATCCATTTCCATCTAGGTGGGCCAATTGAAAAGCCTGTTTAAACTCTAAGAAAGATTGCAAGGCAAACAATTTTTCTTTCTATCTTTCACAACCCATTTCTTGCATGCCCCTTCAATTTCTGTTTTCTTAGTAATACCTACTGCCGCCCAAATGTGGAACTGTGTTTTAACTGATCGTTAAACCAGGAATTCTTCATCTGGGAAATAATCCACAATCTGTTAGAAAGAAAAAACTGTATTTTTCTAAACTGTGTTTACAACTGCCAGAACTAAGCAAAACCTTCATTGGGATTCCCTAGATTTAATTTAGGATTAGGCTCTTGAGCTCAAATCCTAAATATATTGGCTGATGACATGAATGCCATCTCTCCATCATTTCTTATCAAATCTGAACCTGACAGATGCCTCTGCATATGCAGAGGTGGATTCCGTTAGACATATAATATTAAAATATTTAAGAAATTATATTTCAATAGTGATATATACAAGAACATAGGAATTTGCATGTTGTATCATAACCACAATCCATCCAGCTCAGTTTTCTATTGCCAAAATAAGTCCCCTGTTTAAAAAAAAAAAAAAAATTACCTTCTCTTGATAGGTATTTATAACGCTGTCATTCAATAGAACAATTAAGTAATTTTAAATTTGAGATATCTTGGTCATGTAACTCTAGTTTTTCTTTTT